>NC_000010.11:119120534-119745617 GCF_000001405.40 Homo sapiens | reverse complement strand
CAAGGTTGATGTAACTAAGGAAACCTTACCCAAAAGTTAAATCGTGTTTTCAGTCGTTCAGAAGGTCCATTGTAAGAGATACTTCTACATCAACACCTAGTGAACTCATAGATGTATGTAAGTACCAGAAACAAAAGTTTCATGAAATAGTATTTGAAAAGAGGTGGAGATTGGGAGTAAGAAACCCACTTGGGTTACTGCAAAAGTCTTGGCTTGAAATGACATGAAAGGTCATGGAAAAAAAGAGATCGAGAAAAAAAAAAGAAAAAATAACAAAAAAAGATTTAAAAACAAAAAACAAAAAAAGAAAAAGAGCTTAGGGAGTGAGCTGGTAGTGGGTGAAGAATCCACAGGAGGAGATGAACATGAAAGTCCTCAAAAGAAGCTATGTGGAGGATAGGGAGAGGGGAAATCAAAGATGACACTCACTGAGACACCTATTCTCTCCTGAATGGGAAAGAACAAGAGGGAGCATGGCAGAAAGGATAGCGTATACAGCAGCTGAAAGGAAGGGCCGATGAGAACCTCCTCATTCAATACCCTTTTCCATCTTTGGCATTGTGAACCATGTAAATGCATCATCCAGTCAAGAAAATAAGATTTCGACTTAAAAAAAAAAAAGAAAAAAAACTATAAAAATGTCTGTGTTGTGGTCTAATGACTAAAAACAATAGTCATTAGTAGTCGAGAATGAAAACCAGTTAAACCCATAAGACTGAGTTCATGATGAGATGATCAAGAAGAAATAACTGGATTTAAGAACGAGAGGAGGGACTAGGCTCAGTGGCTCATGCCTGTAATCCCAGCATTTTACGAGGCTGAAGCAGGATGATTACTTGAGGTCAGGGGTGTGAGACCAGCTTGGGCAAGACAGCAAGATCCCCTGCCTCTACAAAATATTAACCAGGTGTGGCGGCACGCACCTGTAGTCCCAGCTACTCAGGAGGCTGAGGCAGGAGGATCACTTGAGCCCAGGAATTTGAGGCTGCAGTGAGCTCTGATGGTGCCACTGCACTCCAGCCTGGGGGACAGAGCGAGACTCCATCTCAAAATAAAACAAAAACAAGAAAGAGATAAGATGATGAAGAAGGAAAAGAAGACAGATGACAAAAAAAAATGCTACAGGTATAAAAGCTAACCTTGGAAAGGAAAGAAGATACTATTTTTTTCTTCTAAGTCTGGAAAAAAAGATGAAAGGCTAAACACAGAAATGGAGAAGAGAAGCAGATGCGTGTATCCTATGCCCTTGACTCAGTAAAAACAGGAGTCAAAGTCGTCTTTGTTTTAGCAAGGGGAAGGATGGAGGATAATGGGGCACTGGAGGCTAGGTGTGGGAAAGGAATTTGACAAGTCAATTTGCAAGTGTTCTATGTGTGCTTGAAATGCATGTATATTTTTTAACTCAGTGTTGTCAAGAAAAAGGGGGGGAGTCAATCCATCAGTGGGTCATCAAATCAATTTCTTATAAAGAGATCAGCATTAATAGCACTAAAACAGAATAGAAGAGAAAACAAAAACCACAGTGTATGGAGAAATATTTAATGAAACTTTTGTTTCTGGTACAGCCTTGTGAATTATTTTGTTCAACCCCTCTACGTACTTGCTAATTTTTCTGACTGCTTCACCTGTTAGTTTTTGAGAGAGGTCTTACTTTTTAAAATCTCATGCTTTATTTTCTTCCTTATTTTTATATCTCTCAAGATTATTATATTTTCCTGGTGAACTGCTCTGCTTATCAGGACGTAATAACTGGTTTTATTTCAAATAATACTTTTTGCCCTAAAGTCTAGTTGGTATAACATTAATATTGTGAAAGAAACACATTAGGCATTAAAAAGGGATAAATATGAATATTGCTAACTACCTGTCCACCTCCCACAGCCTTGGGAATAAAGTCCAAATTCCTTGGAAAGGCTTGTGAGACCCTGCATAGGCTAGTCCTTTCCATCCCCCCCCCCGCCCCCCGCCCCCAGCAACCTAGCCTTCAGTCATCCTGAACTATGTGCAGCCTGGGCCTGGAATCCGACTCCCCACCCACTTCTGCCTGCCCTTCATTCTAGACTTAGAACAAGGGTCAGTCCTCTTCCCGGACACATTCCCCACTCCACCCACACCCAGCAGAGCTGACCAGACTCTCTCGTGTGGATCCCCTAAACCCTGTGCATATTCCCATCACGGCATCTTACTTTGGTTTAGTGCATGTCATTACTGACTTGCCTGTCTCCTTGACTGAACAGGAACTCATGAGGAAGAGGAAGCTCACTTAGACCTTGTCTCCTCGAGCTTCTGTTCCCAGTGCATGGTACACAGAAGGCTCCCAAATGGATAGGTAAACATATGATGTAGAAAGGGGGGAGGCAAGTTGAAATCAGATCATTTGCACAGAATCACGCTGGAAGGATTTACTACTTAAAGTGGCAAAAGCTAAAGTCATCACAGAATCAAGTTGGAAGGATTTACTACTTAAGGTGGCAAAAGTCAAGTCATCTCATCTGGTCTATTTGAGACAAAGACATTAAAGCTGGCATAGGTAAAGTAACTGCCCAACACTGCACAGCTTGTTAACATCAAAACACTTTCCCACTCTCAGACTAGGGCTCTTTCTTTCTTTCTTTTTTTCTTAGCCAGATGGAGTTTCACTCTTGTCGCCCAGGCTGGAGTGCAATGGCGCGATCTCGGCTCATGGCAACCTCCACCTCCCGGGTTCAAGCAATTCTCTTGCCTTAGCCTCCCAAGTAGCTGGGATAACAGGCCTGTGCCACCACGCCGGGCTAATTTTGTATTTTTAGTAGAGACGAGGTTTCACCATGTTGGTCAGACTGGTCTCAAACTTGCGACCTCAGGTAATCCACCCACCTCAGCCTCCCAAAGTGCTGGGATTACAGGCGTGAGCTACCGCACCAAGCCAGACCAGGGCTCTTTCTAACACCATAAGTTTCTCTACCAGATTCTTTCTGGTGCAATTCTCTCATGTTTGTATGGGGCTTTCAGCTCACCACCATCATCCCAGGTACTCCAAAATGCCTTTTTTTCTTGCCAAGTCCTATTGGAGGTATCTCCTCAATAACTGATGAATCTTTCACTTCTCTTGACCCCTACTGCTACTATCCTTGCCCAGGGCCAAGACCTTCACCATCTTGATCATTTAAAAAGCTGTTGTCTGGCCAGGCGCAGTGCCTCATGCCTGTAATGCCAGCACTTTGGGAGGCCAAGGCAGGTGGATCACGAGGTCAGGAGTTCAAGACCAGCCTGGCCAAGATGGTGAAACCCTGTCTCTACTAAAAATACAAAAAAAATTAACCAGGCATGGTGGCGAGTGCCTGTAATCCCAGCTACTCGGGAAACTAAAGTAGAGAATTGCTTGAACCCGGGAGGCAGAGGTTGCAGTGAGCTGAGATCGCGCCACTGCACTCCAGCCTGGACAACAGAGCGAGACTCTGTCTCAAAAAATAAATAAATAAATAAGTAAAATAACAAATAAAAAGCTGTCGTCGGGCCGGGCGCAGTGGCTCTATGCCTGTAAACCCAGCATTTTGGGAGACCAGAATGAGGCTGAAGAACTTGAGGCCAGGAGTTCGAGACCAGTCTGGCCAACATGAGGAAACCCCATCTCTACTAAAAATGCAAAAATTAGCCAGGCGTGGTGGCAAGCACCTGTAATCCCAGCTACTTGGGAGCACCAGGTGGGAGAATCACTTGAACCTGGGAGGCGGAGGTTGCAGTGAGCTGAGATCTGACTAATCGGCAACAGAGTGAGACTCCATCTCAAAAAAAATAAATAATGGCCAGGCACGGTGGCTCACGCCTGTAATCCCAACACTTTGGAAGGCTGAGGTGGGTGCATCACCTGAGGTCAGGAATTTGAGACCAACCTGGCCAACATGGTGAAACCCTGTCTCTACTAAAAATACAAAAATTAGCCAGGCATGCTGATGAGCACCTGTAATCCCAGCTACTTGGGAGGCTGAGGCAAGAGAACGGCTTGAACCCAGGAGGCGTAGGTTGCAATGAGCCAAGATCACGCCACTGCACTCCAGCCTGGGTGACAAGAGCAAAACTCCACCTCAAGAAAAAATAAAAATTAAAATTAATAAATAAAAATAAAAAGCTGTTGTTGGCCTCTAGCAGGCTGCTTAACACATAGCAGACACTCAGATGTCCACTGAAGGCAAAGAAGACTCCAAATAGTTTGGTACTGCTGGCCATGCAGAATAAGACAGGGAGCAGGAAGAATGAGGCTGAAGAACTAAACAGGAACCCACTCAGCGGGACAACAGGTAGTAAATTCAGGAGCCGCTTCCTCCAGCAGGGCAGATTTGGATTTGAGATAGAACACAGGACAAATCTGTAGAGGATGAACATGAAGGGGCCTGAAGCCAGAGAGCCAGGTGACAGGAAAGAATGTGCAAGGGTGACCTGGGGCTGACTGTAGAACTGGAAAGCTGGACAGAATTCAGCTACTTGGATGTGCTATAGATGTAGTCTGCATTTGGTGTCCTGGGTGAAGAATCCTAGCTCTACTACAGTCTCTGAACCCCTCTCAGCTTCAGTTTCCTCCTTCGTAAACAGAATTCCATCTAACTTAGCCGGACACCTGTAGTCCCAGGTTTTCATGAGGATTATGTGAAAAGTGCCCAGCATCCGTCACATAATAAATGTTAGTAACTTTCACATCAAGTTGAGAAATGTGTATGTATTTAAAACTCCAGGCTCCTACCATTCAGTAACCTCTCCATAATTTAAGGGTCTTCATATGGCTTCAAAGAAAAAAGTATGGGGCCGGGCACAGTGGCTCGCGCCTGTAATCCCAGCACTTTGGGAGGCCGAGGCAGGAGGATGATGAGGTCAGGAGTTTGAGACCAGCCTGGCCAACATGGTGAAACCCTGTCTCTACTAAAAACACAAAAATTAGCTGGGTGTGGTGGCAGGTGCCTGTAATCCCAGCTACTCGGAAGGCTGAGGCAGGAGAATCACTTGAAACCAGAAGGCGGAGGTTGCAGTGAGCCAAGATGGCACCACTGCACTCCAGCCTGGGCGAAAGAGTGAAACTCCGTCTCAAAAAAAAAGAAAAAAGTATGAAAGAAAAAACCCAACTTCAATACATTTTTCAATTATTAAACCTCATGGTAGGACCATAATTCCTGAAAGCCTTCTCAGAGTAATAAATGCTTCACGCAAATATCTTAATGCCTAGATATGCCCCAGAATTCTATTTTCTCAGAATGGGAAACATTGACCTGCAGCTCTGATACAGCATAAAACTGGGCATCCAGCATTCAGTCCCAACAACCAAATTCTGGTCCAAATGGTAAATCGAGCATGACTGCCAACTTCCTGCCCTGCCCCCACACCCGCTACATACACAGGAGAGAGGGAGAATCTAGAAAAGGCAGAATCTCAAGGGAGGTAAAAACATGCTTGGGAAAGACATGGATACTGGTAAACTCCAGTTCCATATGTGAGTAAGTACAAGGTCCTAAGGCTGGGGAAACTACAGAAGAATATAAATAGAAAGTGTAAATTTTAATGGCAACAATACCTGACAAAATTTCAGTTATCCAATAGAAAATAGGGGGAAAAAAATTAAGAAAAGCATAATAAATGGAAAACATAAATAAAAGGTAGAAATAACTTCTAATACATGTGTAGTTACAATAAATGTAAACAGTTTCAACTAACCAATGAAAAGACAGACTACTGACTGGGTGTGGTAGCTTACACCTGTAAACCAACACTTTGGGAGGCTGAGACAGGCAGATTGCTTGAGCCCAGGAGTTCAAGACCAGTCTGGGCAACATGGCAAAACACCGTCTCTACAAAAAAATACAAAAAATTAGCCAGGCACCTGTAGTTCCAGCCACCTAGAAGGCTAAAGTGGGAGGATCACCTGAGCCCAGGAGGTCAAGGATGCAGTGACCCATGATCACGCCACTGCACTCCAGCCTGGGTGGCAAATGAAGACCCTATCTCAAAAAAAATAAAGAAATAAATACAGACAGACTATTAAGTCTGAATCCCTCCATCAGTTTATTTAATTCTATGGCTATTTACAGTTTACCACTACATACCTGCAGTCCAGCATAACAGGCACTCATTCAATAGTTATTGAACAAAATTTAAAAAATAAGCATCAAATAATAAAAATGTTTTTCCTACCAATTGCTTGTTTTCATTGACGTGTAATAAGAATACCATCTAAAGTTTTTATTGTTTTTGAAGTTAGCCCCAAAATATCAGTCTTTGCTATGCAGGCACTTTTATTTATGTATTTATTTTCTTCTTTTATACAAACCAGGAATGAGCTTGGATTTTTAATTTCAGGTGCTTTTAATAATAAAAGCATTTATCTTTCAATAAATATTACACATGATTAGAATATGGTTGCTCAAAATGAAAGACTCACCTAAAACTTCTGGGCAATTTTTTTTTTCCCCTTGAGACAAGGTCTCACTCTGCTACCCAGACTGAAGTGCAGCAGCTTGATCATAACTCACTGCAGCCTCCAACTGGACTCAATCAATCCTCTCACCTCAGCTTCCCAAGTAGCTGGGAATACAGGCACACGCCATGATGCCCACCTCATTTTTTTTTTTTTCTTAGTAGAGATAAGGTCTATCTATATTGCCCAGCCTGGTCTCAAACTCCTGGACTCAAGTGATCCTCCCACGTCAGCCTCCCAAAATGCTGGGATTACAGGCATGAGCCACCATGCCTGGCCTGGGCAATTTAAATTATCCTGAAATTTTTATATTATCTTGAAAACTCTAGCAGGTACACAAAACTTCTCATACTAATATAGAGATAAGAAACACAAAACAATAGAGGAAGGCCTGAAGCAGGTACTGTAACTGACACAAGAAGGGAGACTGTGTGTGTTGTGTCGAGCTGCTCTGACTTCGCTGCCTGGTATAGCGCCTGGCATACAGCTGACACTTCAAAATGTGTGTGTGTGTGTGTGTGTGTGTGTGTATTTAAAATCTGTGGCTCTTCACTAAAGAAATAAAACAAGTTGGCATTAAAGAGTCTGTCTGTACAGAGGACATGTGTAGACAGTATTATTCCAGGCATATGCAGCAAATGCCCTTAGTAGTAGATATCCTACTGATCATATTAATGGCTACTCTGGGGGCAGAAGGCACTGGAATGGCAGAGAAAATGGCCAGCGGGCTCATACTATCCTTCTGCAAAGAATAACCATGTAACTGATCTAATCCAACAAATGTATTGTTTTCTAATCTTTCCTTCAGAAGGTATACTCTAATGTGGCATACAAATTCAAAAAAAGAAAAATTTAAAATTCACAAATAAATTGTAAAATTTAAGATCATCAACGTTATCTATAAGGAAAAGAGTTGCTTACAAATTACAAAAGTATAGCCTTTTTGAAATAATGCCAAATTTTAGTGAAATAATAATGCAACATACACCCTAAGTCATAAGTATTTGCAATAAGCTCAATTGTTTGACCCATCAGGTCAACATTTTCACTCTTATTTCAGATCCATTTGGCAGTACATGGCTTCTATTTTCATATGCCCTCCTCTTCCTGGTACACAGAAAACAAGTGATTAAGTACTGTGTGCCTGCACAGAGCATGAGTCACTCATTCCAAGATGGAAGAATGAAGGCACTCCCTCAGCCCAAGAACAAGCCTGGGTTTTAAAGCACAGCTGCTGAAGCCTATAGGCACTTTCACTGTGTCTTAAAAGAAAAAAAAAAGGTATCAGAGTATGCATAAATAATCAGACCCATATTTCATTTCCTGCTAAAGACAAAGGATATTACGGCTCTAAAAAGACAATCACCAACACAAAATCAAACAGATAAGGAAAAGGGTTTTAGAATGAGAAACTAAAAGTTCCAATTGTTAGCTCATTTATGCTTTAATTCTCAGAATTGGGTAAGGAATAATTTGATTCAGGTGCTATCTTATAAATGCAAAGTTTGATACACATTTCCTTGAACTGTCTAATGGTAATTATTCTCCAGCATTCCACAAGCTAAAGAGCTAATCCAATTTAGAAGTTCTAGCAGCTGGTGATTTCCCAGTCTTAAATCTAATTCAGGGTTATCAGTGCTGGCTGCTCATTATCATCATCTAGGAGCTTTATAATACTAATCCCTGAGCATCAGAGATGGTCTCAATTGGTTAGGGCGGGGCCCTGGAATAGGTATTCTTTAAATCTCCCCCTGGTGATTCTACTGTACAGCCAGCTTGAGAATCACTGGTCTAAATGATTATATATAGGTCACTGGGAAGGACCTGTATTAGTAACTTGGTCTTAGTCTGACTGAAAGATGATGCCTGTAGCACATACAACTTTAAACTCTCACATAATAAAGTAATACAAACTGCATAAAGATCTCATAATATAGGGAGGCGGCATAAAAGCTGGTCTAAACTAGCAGAAGGAAATACACTTCAAAAAGTAACCACAAGAATATTTAAAAGATTAAAGATACCACCTAGAAAAGAAACTTAATTTCCAGGCCAGGCACAGTGGCTCATGTCTGTAATCCCAGCACTTTGGGGGGCCCAGAGAGGAGGATCACTTGAGCCCAGGGGTTTGAGACCAGCCTGGACAACATAGCAAGACTCTGTCTCTATAAAAAATGTTGTAAAAAAATTAGCCAGGTGTGGTGGTGCCCACATGTAATCCTAGCTACTCAGGAGGCTGAGGCGGGAGGATCACCCGAGCCCAGGAGTTCGAGGCTGCAGTGAGCTATCCCACATTCCAGCCTGGGTGGCAGAGCAAGACCCTGTCTCTAAAAAAATTAAAAATTTCTAGACATTTTTATTTAAAAAGGGATCTAATTCCAGCACAGCAAGACGGCCACAAAGTTTTGATCATCATGAAGGAAATTAGAAATTGGTTCTTAAACTCTACAATATCCAAACACAAAATTGTTGATTCTCTATATGAAGCATAAAGTCCTAACTGTCACATCTCAAGAAAAGACCCAAAGCAACTCAAAAAGGAACAGAGGACAACTAAACAAAAGGACTTTCATGAAAGGTCCCACAGTGTAATTAGGACATTTCAGCCTAGGAGGACCTGATGGAAATGAATACAACTATGAAAGGTATAGACTTAACTGTATACCACTTAATACCAGTACAGGAAACCTACACATTTAAAAGTCATGGTTTGGGCTGGGTGCAGTGGCTCATGCCTGTAATCCGAGAACTTTGGGAGGTTGAGGCAGGAGGACTGCTTGAGGCCAGAAGTTCAAGACTAACCTGGCCAACATAGTGAGAACCCATCTCTATTATTTAAAAAATAGAAAAGTCATGGTTTGGGAATGAAAAAGTACAGCTTAAATTACAACTTTCCAAACTCATTACCTTAAGAACCTGAAAGTAACAACCACCTCAAACAAAGATTAGATAAATCCTTGGGTGATGCATTCATAATGCATTCATAATGCATCACCCAAGAAATATGGCAATGTGTTGGGATATATCCCTCACCTTTTGCTGTCCCCAAAACTGTCTTTTGATATCACTTTCAAAAACAAGATTTTGAGAGCTAAATCAAAGCACAGATGAGCTAAGAATTGGTATTTTCCTTTCCTCATTTTAGAGTTATTAACAGAGAAGCTGGGATTACCGGCGCTCGCCACCACACCCGCCTAATTTTTGTATTTTCAGTAGAGACAGTGTTTCACCATGTTGGCCAGGCAGGTCTCAAACTCCTGACCTCAGGTGATCTGCCCACTTCAGCCTCCCAAAGTGGCTGGGATTACAGGCATGAGCCACTGCGCCTGGCCCACAGAATTTTAGGCGATGTAATTTGTTAGGAGAAATAAATATAATACTAAATTAGTTAGATGTTGGGGGATGAGGGCTGCTTCTTCAAGAAAAGTATTTGAAAGGTGCAAATGGGAGTAAATGACACAGCTACACAGATGAATTCTGGAAGTCCCTGCCTAGAAAAGAGACTGTTACTCTGCTCAACTCCCGGGTCCACCCACCACAGTTGCTCCCTGGGGGAAGGGACATTCTTTAAGCTGGAAATAAGAGAATGTTTATATCTGGCATAAAAACAATATATAATGATACTGTGAAACATCAATATTATACCTGCAAATTACTAAAATTGAGAGCATGATGGCATGTTTTAAATTTCCTAACATTTCAGTTAGATAACTGCTTCAAATCGTACATATTGACATTGCAGAAATTGTAAAATTTGAAATTCAGTGTTAACTTCAAAGTGAAAAGCTGTTTCAAAGAATGAGATTCATAAAGAAAATTGGCTTAGTATTTTAAAGTATCCCACTATCAAGTTAAAAAAATGCAAGGGTAAACTTGAAGGAAACTGAAATTAAAATAAAATAACTTAAAAGAAAAAAATATCAGGGAACACTGACCTAAAATCAACCTGTATTTCAGACTTACCAAAGAAAGAATGTGTGGATGCTATTTTGTGAATGAAAGCAGATCCCTTAAGAGTCTCCAACAACCAGAAAATGAGTCATCCTAAAAACATGTGATTTAATTAAGGTACTACCAGTATGTCTTGTGAAGGTACTGTAATGCTGAATGTTCAGTGTTTATCCTCACTTTAAAAATACTATTTATACATTATCACTTAATGTATTATCAATAGCTACTGATAACCTTTAACAATTATTAGTTCCCTATGTTGTTAAACATACTGATTCAAATGTTCTCCTCAGCTCAATTATGGGCAGCTGACACATAATGATTATGACTTACATCAGCTAAGGACTTAGATTGACTAAAGGCTCTGTGACATTGCTGCTACTTCTCAAACTTCTGTTTGCAAATGTAGATTTCTAAAGGTTATGTTTTAAAATATATTTGAACAGGAAAAGAACCGTTTACAAAAAGACACACAGAGACATAGTAACACAGCTTGTAAAGATCTCATGCATTTAATTCCCCATAAAACCATGCCAAAACAAGGTTGGACTATGATTCTGAGAATGTATTGAATCAATAGCAGATTGATTCTGCTATTAGGTGCAGTGGCTCATGCCTGTAATCTGAGAACTTTGGGAGGCTGAGCAGGAGGACTGCTTGAGGCCAGGAGTTCAAGATTAACCTGGCCAACATAGTGAGACCCTGTCTCTATTATTTAAAAAAAAGAAAAGTCATGGTTTGGGAATGAAAAAGGAAGTACAGCTTAAATTACAACTTTCCAAACTCATTACCCTAAGAACCTGAAAGTAACAACCACCTCAAACAAAGATTAGATAAATCCTTGGATAATGCATTCATAATGCATCACCCAAGAAACATGTGTTGGCAATGTGTTGGGATATACCCCAAACTAGTTTGATCAAACTAGTTTGATTTTCCAGTAGTCCAGTATTATCTGCAAATACATGAATAAATTCCACCATACATCACAAGGACTAAAATTAGCAACAACAACCTTCTCTGCACAAGGGCCGGTTTGGAAAAAAACAAAGATGTCTATGGGTCCCATTTATTTTTATTCAGAAAGAAAACAAATTTAATGAATTCCACAGGCTTAAGAGTGAGATTCCTGCTTCACTGAATAAAATGACAGTGAGAAATTTGCATGACTTTTTTAGGTGGCAAGAGAGGCAGTGTGTTCTAGTCTTTTGTTCTTATATTCTCCCTTTAAACGTCCCTACAACCCCTTTGCTGCTTAAACTATAGAAGGTAGACCAGGGACTAGAATTATTTCAATTCATTCAGTACAACTTTCACAAAAAACCTGTTATGGGCCAGGTGCTAGGGATCCAGCAGTGAGTCTCATCCTCTTTCTCCGTGCCAGGGGTGTGTTTAGGCCAGGCAAGTGGGACAAGTGGGGACCTGAACCAATGCAGCCAGGTTCCCCATAGACCAAGCTGTCAGTGCACCTTAGTTTCTGGCACCTTCACGGTCTACTCTAAAAAAACTTGATACTACCTCTCCTCCAAAGCATGCCTTTGGCTAGCCTTTGCTGGCCAGGGCCTGGCCAAAACACAAGCGTCTAGGAACCAGTGATTCTACAAAGTTTCTCCCTTCTTTGAAGAAGGTAGTTTTGCCCTACACGCTTCTCCTCCATTTCACCTCTGCTGTGCATGCTCTGAAAGGATGTCTATGAAATTGGATCTAGGACTCTTGAAAAGCTACACTGAGAAAGGCTTCAGGTTGCTCACCACTGGAGGAAATAGTTCCCAATGAGTACACATGTCAATGCATCTGCTCAAAGATCTCCCCTGTATCTATTCCCTTCCCAAACTGCAGATCTTCCAAACACTTAAGAAGAGAAACCTGATCAACTGACCGTAGCTGGAAAAACTACTACTAGTCAATTCATTACATAACAACATTCCCTGTAACTATATGAATTTTGCAAGAAAGTCAATGCAGGCACAGGATCAACAAACAAACTAGTTATCACACTATTAGCATTTTCTTTCTACATAGATCCTTCCTTAATGTGCTTGCTTTGACATTTGAGAGGCTATTTAATTCTCCATATAGGCTACACTATAATGATTAGGATAGCTAAAGATACATTTCAGCTATTACCCATGAAAATATAAATCCTATCACTTTGTAGTCAAGAAGGTAGAAAGGTTCACAAAACATTTTTGTCAATACTGAGGAAAACCTGGTTTTAGAGTCAAACACTGGGTTAGAGCCTGGCTCTCCCTCTGTGAACCTGGGCAAATTACTTCTCTGTGCCTCAGTTTCCTCATCTGTAAAATGAGGATAATAATGAAACCATCCTCCCAAGGTTTACTGTGGAGATGAAATGAAATAATACATGTAAAGGTCATGGAACAGTGTCTGGCTCAGAAAAGTGCTCAGTTGCAGCTGAGATTACAGGCCAGTTGCGGTGGCTCACGCCTGTAATGCCAGCACTTTTGGGAGGCTGAGGCAGGCAGATCATCTGAGGTCAGGAGTTCAAGACCAACCTGGCCAATACGGCGAAACCCCGTCTCTACTAAAAATAGAAAAATTAGCCAGGCATGGTGGCAGTAGCCTGTAGTCCCAGCTACTCAGGAGGCTGAGGCAGAGAGAACTGCTTGAACCCGGGAGGCAGAGGTTGCAATGAGCCGAGATCATGCCATTGTACTCCAGCCTGGGCAACAGAATAAAACTCCGTCTCAAAAAAAAAAAAAAAAAGAAAAAAGAAAAAAGAAAAGTGCTCAAGAAATAAAAGCTGTTATTATTAGCTACTGTTAATCTCAGGTGATGATGTAGACAACAAAATATACACAAAAACCTCCCTCAATCTGTAAAACCTGATTCCAAAAATTGTCAGTCACCTTAGAAAGACTTTGTACTCCTACCAGGCGTGGTGGCTCACGCCTGCAATCCTAGCACTTTGGGAGGCTGAGGCAGGCAGAATACCTGAGCTCAGAAGTTCAAGACCAGCGTGGCCAACGTGGCGAAACCCTGTCTCTACTAAAAATACAAAAAATTAGCCAGGCATGATGGCAGGCGCCTGTAGTCCCAGCTACTCAGGAGGCTGCGGCACAAGAATCGCTTGAACCCTGGAGGCCGAGGTTGCAGTTGCAGTGGGCCAAGATCATGCCACCACACTCCAGCCTGGGCTGTCTACACTAAAAAAAAAAAAAAAAAAAAAACCACTTGTCTTCTTTTATTTAAGCCAAAAATGGGTGGGGTGAAAACTTTGTAAAGATAAGTCTTTTCTACCTTTAAATGGGAAATAAACGTAGTCATACAAATATGTACATGCATAAAAATAAACATACAGATCTATTCAACCCAACTGTTAGCCTGTCAGCAATATAAAATATGGAGTAAAAAGTAGTATAAGATATAAAACTAGTAACCCATTATAAAAACTGAAGACTAAATACACTAAGAAAAAACCTGGTTATTCAACAACAAAAATGATCAGAAAGATTTTGTAAGCCATTTAATATGTAATTTAAAGTGCCCTATTAAATTCTGTCATGGTAATTTGCAAATTTTTAGTAAACACAATATTTTTTTCTGAGACAGTCTCACTCTGTTGCCCAGGCTGGAGTACAGTGGCACCATCTCAGCTCACTGCAACCTCTGCCTCCCAGGTTCAATCGATTCTTGTGGCTTAGCCTCCCGAGTAGTTGGGATTATAGGCACCCGCCACCACACCCAGCTAATTTTTGTATTTTCAGTAGAGACGGGGTTTTACCATGTTGGCTAGGCTGGTCTTGAACTCCTGACCTCAAGTGATCCATCCACCTCGGCCTTCCAAAGTGCTGGGATTACAGGCGCGAGCCACCATGCCTAGCTACAAACAGAATTTTTTAAAAAGATAAAGTTCAAAATCCTTTTTTTTTTTTAAGTAAATACCAAATGCCACAAAACTCCAAATAAACAGAATCATTTCACAAAAATGATACCTCAAAAAAAAATTCCAGGTGGATTTCAATTCCATAATTATGATTTCTCATTCAAAAAAGTTAACCTCATATGACATAGTAAAAATAATTTCATTATCAAAAATTAACTCTAAGAAGAACAGAAAAAATTTTTAACATTTCTGTGAATTCTAACTAATACCTAGTATCCCTCAAAAAATTGTTCAGGCCAGGCGCGGTGGCTCATGCCTGTAATCCCAGCACTTTGGGAGGCAGAGGCGGGCGGATCACGAGGTCAAGAGATCGAGAGCATCCTGGCCAACATGGTAAAACCCCATCTCTACTAAAAATACAAAAAATTAGCTGGGCGTGGTGGCGCGTGCCTGTAGTCCCAGCTACTCGGGAGGCTGAGGCAGGAGAATTGCTTGAACCTGGGAGGCAGAGGTTGCAGTGCGCCAAGATCACGCCACTGCACTCCAGCCTGGCAACAGAGCGAGACTCAATCTCAAAAAAAAAAAAAAGTTCACTGGGATTCATCACTTAGAGTATCACCTTTCCATATACAGTTTCTATGTTTATGAATGTTATGTGTATGACAGATGCTTTGAGATCTCTTCTTGGTCGCTCAGTCTCAGAACAGAATGTGAATTATTATATAATTTACACACAGCTATAAATTATATAATACTGTCATATCAGACAAAGCCACAAGGACTAGAGGAAGCAATTTTAAGACCAAAGAGATAAGACCATATCAGCATTCCCCCAAAGTGGATTGTATTATATTTCTTTTTGAATCTTCAAATTACAATTCTTATCCTGAGATATTAGACTCTACTCTCAGAAGATTACTGAATGTTTACACGGTGCTTTATCACTTTCCCTGTAGAAAATAAAATAACCAGGCCGGGCGCGGTGGCTCATGCCTGTAATCCCAGCACTTCGGGAGGCCGGGGAGGGTGGATCACCTGAGGTCAGGAGTTCGAGACCAGCCTGGCCAACATGGCAAAACCCTGTCTCTAGTAAAAATACAAAAACTTGCCAGGCGTGGTGACAGGTTCCTATAATCCCAGCTACTCAGGAGGCTGAGGCAGGAGAATCGCTTGAACCCGGGAGGTGGAGGTTGCAGTGAGCCGAGATCGCACCATTGCACTCCAGCCTGGGCAACAAGAGCAAAACTCTGTCTCAAAAAAGAAAGAAAAAAAAGAAAAGAGAAGTAGTAGTCATTATCTTACAACAGACATAAGCATCTAAGCATCTATCAAAAAACTGCTATATATGAATACAGATTACTCATTACCCTTAAAAAAATTAGAAACACCAGAAAAAAAACAATACTTCGTTTTTTAACTAGGAGAAAAAAAACCTGAAAAAGTTTAAATAATGTTAAAGAGGAAAGTAAGGAATACTACCAAAAAGATATTTTAAAAGCCCAGTGTGGTGGCTCATGCCCATAATTCCAGCACTTTGTGAGGCCAAGGTGGGAGGATCGCTTGAGCCCAGGAGGCCAAGATCAGCCTGAGCCATATAGTGAGACTCCATCTCTACCAAAAAAAAAAAAAAAAAAAATTAGCCAGGTGTGGTAGCACACACATGTAGTCCCAGCTACCTGGGGGACTGAGGTGGGAGGAATAGCTTGGTGCCGGGAGGTAGGGGCTACAGCAAGCCATGATCACGCCACTGCACTCCAGCCTGGGTGACAGAGCAAGACCCTGTCTCAGAAAAAAAAAAAAAAGATAATGAGATAATGCTACATCAGATAGAAATATAACACAAGTGCAGGTGTACCTTTCCTCATATTTCCTCATCCAAATGGACAGAGATTTTCCACTCCAATTAAAATATATTCAAAACAGCCCTAAAAAGAGGCCAGGCGCAGTGGGTCAAGCCTATAATCCCAGTACTTTGGGGGGCCGAGGTGGGCAGATCACCTGAGGTCAGGGGTTTGAGACCAGCCTGGCCGACATGGCGAAACCCTATCTCTAACAAAAAATACAAAAATTAGCTGGGTGAGGTGGCACACACCTGTAGTCCCAGCTACTCAGAAGTCTGAAACAGGAGAATCGCTTGAACCTAGGAGGCAGAGGTTGCAGTGAGCCGAGAACACGCCACCGCACTCCAGCCTGGGCAACAGAGCAAGACTCTGTCCACTGCCCGCCCCGCCCTTTCCCCCTCCCCCAAAAAAACAGGCCTAAAAAGAGCAACAAACATAATACAACATCTTATTTTTAAGGCAATGATATTACTGAGAGAGAACTTAGACTTAACTTTAATTCAGCTCAACTCAAACAAAAACGCCTTCTCTGTCCTAAGTACTCTAAAGCCTAGAGACACCAAGATGAGGAGTAAATACAGCCCTTGCCTTGGGGAACACACTGGGACTTCCCACCGGGGAAGAAGTAGGCAAACTTTTATTATGATGATGCATAAGGGTTAGAATTGAAGTGTCCACTAAGTGTAGAAAATGCCTGGAAACACAATAAAGGTGGCCAATAATTCTGCCCCAAGGATGAGGGGTAGCATCTGAGCTGGGTCTTATGGAATGGACTAGGTAGGAAAAGGGGTTGACAGTAACAAACATTCCAGGCTAAATAAATGAGTATTTTAATCTTAAATATCATCATTACTTATCCTTCTGATGTCTCTAGAAAAAGGAAAACTCTTGTTTCAGGTTGTTCAATAGTCACGAATGTAAAAACCACGATGCCCACAAGCTTTTTTGAGCTTATAATACTGCCCTTTCAAAAAAGAAAAGGACTTAGTAATCTATTCAGCTAAATAACCAGTAGGAAACAATGAAAGATTTTAAATGCTGTCACTACAAACAGCAGCAAAACTTGCCATAAAAGCACAGGGGAAAAGTCCAATAAAATAAAGAGAATTTTAAATGATTCCATATACAGAAAAAGATCTGAAAAGCACTTATTCAATTAAAATGCCATTCTTAAATAGCCATTAGTTAGAAAGGATCTTCAGTCCTGGACAGGATAAACTATAGGAAAATCAAGTGCATGGGATTCTTTATTCCCTGGCTATCCTGAACACCTTAAGATCAAAACTGGCTGTTACTTCTGAAACATGGCCTCTTCCTTCCTCCAGACATTTGGTCTACTTGGTCTGTGGCCCGCTATATTCTAAAAAGTATGCCAATCTCAAGTGCAAAGGCTATAGCTACTTTCCTCCCCCAAAAAAGTTTTAAATTTGCCTTCTGACATGGACTTTGAACAAACAGTAATCCAAACTGCATGGCTTCATCCAAGAATCTAGGCGCAGGTTAGCCTTTATAGTTCAAGAAACTGGGGTGTAGAAAAGTTTGTTGTCAGATGAGTTGGAGACGATCTTAAGTCCCATCCAGTTCTAATAGTCTAAGCTTTTAGAATCCAAGGAGTTGACTCTTTTGACAACCTAGGAATTTTGAAATCTGCTTTACTTCAAGCTGTACTGAAGCCTTACCCAAATTTGGGGGAGTGAAAGGAGGGAAGGGGAGAAAGCCAGACAAATGGTCAAATCAGAGAAGAGAATGACAGAAGACTGGCCAAAATTAGCCTATCCATAATAACTCTATCCCGAGATCATCAAGAACTTTATCTGGGCCAAGGAGTTTATCCTCCATTCTGAAAAGAGGAAATACAACGTAATAGCAAGAAAATATAGACAGAGCCTGAGGAAAAAAATAAGTTATCCTTCACTGCTCTGGCAAAGCAACTAGTAGGCCTTCCTAAGAAAGCAGTGGGGCCTGCCCAAAAGTGTTCTGGAGGTCACAGAACTGCCCTGTGTCAGTGTCTCAACTCTAGGCTGTGACCCCGAACGAGTTACTAATAACCTCTCACTCCTTTCTCCTCACCTGAAAAAGAGGATCCCACACGTGTCCTGTAAGGTTGCTGTGGGGATTGGAAATAATATGTTAAAGGGCCTGTCCTTAAAAACCATCCTATAAGTGATACCACGCTGTGATCTGAAAAGCTCATCTGAACCTTTTATCCTTTTCAATTCATATCATGTAATCCTTCTGTCTAGACTGCACATAAGAATTACAAGTAAGTCTGAAAAGCTCTGGCTCCTTCCTTAAAGAACTCTATCCTCTCGCTTTCCCTAAAGTGGAAGAATCTCTGAGTGATATGAGGAAAGGATTAGCAAGCCAAAAGGGGCAGGTGCCACCCAGCCCCATCTTACAAGAAACTGGACTGTCAGCGCTCTGAGGGCAGGGACTGCTCTGTTTAAACCACGACTGCACACACATTTTCCTAAAGCAAGCTAATTGCAGACTTAAGCCTCTCCGAACAGCTTACATGACACCCAAACATGGACCCACAATACATTTTGTGTCGCACAACATCAAGTCACACAAAAATCTCAAAATTATACATTACAATACAATTTAATTGTGCTGTGGTATTAAAGTCAAAGACAAAGGCTTTAAACCGAGTGCCTATGAGGTAACCACAGTAAAGTCACACCTTTAATAATAAGGGACCAAGAACACACGGGATGGCAACAGGGAGTGAGTGTCCAGCAGAGCCCTAGACGGAACTGGCGCAACCGCTCCAGATCGGAATTCGAACCCAGAACTTCTGGCGAAGGCCATGTAAGAACTACTCCAAGGAGGAAGAGGCCTTTACGGCCAGGTGCACCTTGCTGGAACTTTCTGCCGGAGGGGACCCCCTCCCCTCGGCCTGGGCCCCAAGCCCCAAGGGCGGCCGCGTGACGCGGTGGGAAGGACGAGGGTCGCCAGCCCCTTCTGCTCCGCACTGGGGTAGGGGCTCGGCGCTGTCTCGGAGAAAGGCCAGGCTCCTTCCAGTCAGGGAATAATGACAGCTCGCGCGCTCGCAGCCCGCCCCGCCCCGCCTCACCAGGCCCGCAGGCGGCTCCTCCCGCCCGGCTGAGGGGTCCGGCCGCGCCCCCTCCTCTCCCCGCCCTGGCCCGGGGTGCCCCCCGCCCGCACCGCCAGCCTCACCGGGTCGGAGCTGGAGGCCGCCGTCGCGGCGGCTGCACCACAGCGCGCGCTCGCCCTGCTGCAGGATGTAGTGGTCCTTGGCTTGGAAGAGCTCCATGCTGGCCCCGCGCGCCCAGGGAGGCGGCGGCCCGCGGGCGGCGCACGGGGCGTCCTAGTCGGTCGAGGCCGCCAGAGCCCGCGCCTCGGGGAGCGGCCGGGTAGGAACCGCGCCGAGAAGCAGCGGCAGAGGGAACGCCCCGGGGCACCCGACCGGTAGGAGGAGAACGCGCCCCGGCAGCGGCGGCGGCAGCGGCGGCCGTAGAGGCCTCTCCCCCCCGCTCCTCCCCTTCCCTGGCTCCGCCCCAGGCCCGGCTCCACCCCCTCTGCTGGCTACTCTCCCCGAGCGCCCGGCTCCGCCCCTCAGCCTCCTCCTCCTTTCAGCTCCCTCCCGCTTCCTGCCCTTTCCTCCGCCTTCTCCCGGGTGTCTCCTCCCAGCTCCTCCCCGCGGGTCTTTCCTCCTCCCTCTCGTCCTTCCGCCCGCCCCTCCCGCTCTTGCCCAGGCCCCTCCCCCGGCGCGCCAGCCTTCCTGTCGTGGTCACCGGTGGCAGCTCGGGAGCTCGGCCGAGTCGGTCTGGACTGACCGCCTCCCTCCGCGCGGCCTTGGGGACAGGCGCCCACCGCTGGGGCCTCCCCTCCGTGCAGGGAGGCGCTCACGCTTCGCCAGGCCGAGACCTGAATCCAACCCCACACCCGCTCTCCCGGAGCGGTGCGGGGTACGTTCCCCGCGGGCCTGCGCTGCCTGCCCGTACCGAAACCAGGCGAGACCCCGGGGCCTGGCTACAGGGGTTCATCCCCAGCCAGGCCCACAGCCAAGCGGAGGCGTCTTCTGTTTTCGTATTCCCTATTAGAAGTTTGACAACAGGAGGCATTCAATAAATGCACATCAACGAGGGAAAGCATGTAACAATAGAAAACACACAAGCATTAGCAGCACGCGGCTAAAGAGCGAGGAGGAAGGGAGGAATGTACAGGTGCTGCTGTGTCCCGAATTAAGCAGGGCGGTTTGGAGAAGACTTCACAAATGGAGCCAGTTAATGAAGCAAGCGGAAGGAATATCGTTTGGCGAGGATAAGATGAATGGAGACCCTCTCGGGGAAGGAGGAGTCTCCCCCAAACATCCTTGAGCTCAGTCTGTCTTGAAAAACCAGTTGATATCCTGAACAGAATGGGTCTGGAGAATGAGGCCCCCACTTCCGGGGCCAGTTCGAGGACTATCTAGCTGTGTGATCTTGGGGAAGTCTCTTGGTCTCAGATGGTGGTTGAACTAATGACCTTTTATGACACCCCCAGTTCTATAAATCATTGAGTCTTCCTACTCCTAACTCCTTGCCTTCTCTAATGCCTGAATCGGAAACAAGAGAAAAAGACAAGAAGTAGGAGATGAGAAAAATAAGGCAATACTTTTTTTTTTTTTTTTTTTAGTTTAGGAGCGGAAGTTTATAGGCAAAAGAAAAGGGAGAACAGCTGTCTCTCTTGCGAGAGAGAGGAGTGACCGAATGGGACTTCTCAGAAAGCAATACTTTTAACCTTCTGCTCAAGTAAAAGTGAGAGGGTACAAAAGCAGGAAGGAGTTCCACATGACTAGTTATTCCAGCCCACAGTGTTGAATTTCCATAGCACAGAAAGTCCAATGATAACAAAGCGTCCTGGAATCTTTTCTAAGTACCATGCCTCTGTGCTGTCCAGACACCTCAACATAAAGGTCGAGGGAGGTGGTTACTCTATCAAATCTTTGTGATGTGATTTGGAGAAAGAAGGTAATGAAGCTATAAGAAGCTTCAGTGGAACCATCGGTTTCAGATTGATTGTTTAATTCAGCCATGTGTTGACTTAGCAAAAATGAGAATGAGAAAATCCTATGAAGACATTGTATCCTGCAAATTATTTCATTATTGTTTTATGAATTACATTGCCAGATGTGAAGAAAACAATGCTGTTGTAACTGTTTTAAAACAATTAATTAGTTCATTGAAACTTTTCCTGATGTTTTAGATCCATGGTTCCAACCCTGGCTGCCTATTAGAATCACCTGGGGAATTTTTCAAACATATCAATGCTTGGACCTTAGACCAATTAAATCAGAATTTAATTGGGGTGGGGCTCTGGCATCAGTTTGTTTATTTTTTCTAAGCTCCCCAGATGACTTTACTATGCAGTCAGGCTTGAACACCACTATTTTAAGTGAAATTAATTAGTAAAATCTGCCTGACAGCAGCTTGGAAAAAAACAGCAGTCAGTCATTAACTAATGCCATCATATGGGCTTGGTTACCTGTAAATGCAGAGTTAACAAGCAAAGTCTTTAGGAGAGAGGAAAACATGGAGGGGAGATGCTTCTGTAATTATCTGACCCCAATGCACACTGCTGTCTCCCTCAGGCTCCAAACACATGCTGTGGGGTAGGCACAGCTCTAGCCTGGCTGAGCAGAGTGAAAAGAGCACATATTTTCTGTCCCTGGTAGATGTCACATCCCCAATCTACTGCCACAGTTGCCTTGCCTTGTTTCTGCTATGAACTTCCTGAACCTTGGCCACTGCAGCCTCTCCACTCCCTGGCTAGCCTATCCTCGGCCTGTGGCTAACTTGCCAGCCTCATCACCCTCTTCCAGCTTCCTAATTCAAGGTCCTCCTGCCCCGATGCCACCCAGGTTTTAATGGAAAGTTCACGTGATGCTGCTCTCCTTTTTAAACACAGATGACCATCATACATATTATATATCTTCTTTTACGTGTATGGCATATATATGCTAATTTAAGTATAATCACTAAGGAGTTTGGTTCTAGCCAGTTCTGTGTGATTTTGGTCAGTTCACTCAATCTCTTTTGATCTCAGGGTCCTTATTTATGAAAAGAGATGATCACTAAGTGTTCCCTTCCAGTGCTGAAATCAATGTGAGGAAATGTGTCCACGTAGTTAAACCTACACAAATGATGGTAAATAAGCCAACTGTGATTATCGATTTAGCCCTTCAATATCTCTGAGATCTTTGGATTAGATTTTGGTATCCTCTGGTGAGATTTGACTTTAACATCATCTCCTGTCTTCTGTCTACTTGTCCATAGTCTTGTTTGTTGTCTGTGATAACTTTCTTCAGTCTTGTCTATGAGAAATCTCCCAAAAGAAGAGATTTATATTTATATAAATATATTCCCCCCTCCCCCAGCCTGCCTGGAGGCTGCTAATGTTGCAGGTCAGCAGTCCAGGTGGCTTAACTTTGTTTTTTGTTTTTTGTTTTTTAATTTTTTTTTTATTGATAATTCTTGGGTGTTTCTCACAGAGGGGGATTTGGCAGGGTCATGGGACAATAGTGGAGGGAAGGTCAGCAGATAAACAAGTGAACAAAGGTCTCTGGTTTTCCTAGGCAGAGGACCCTGCGGCCTTCCGCAGTGTTTGTGTCCCTGATTACTTGAGATTAGGGAGTGGTGATGACTCTTAACGAGCATGCTGCCTTCAAGCATCTGTTTAACAAAGCACATCTTGCACCGCCCTTAATCCATTTAACCCTGAGTGGACACAGCACATGTTTCAGAGAGCACAGGGTTGGGGGTAAGGTCACAGATCAACAGGATCCCAAGGCAGAAGAATTTTTCTTAGTGCAGAACAAAATGAAAAGTCTCCCATGTCTACTTCTTTCTACACAGACACGGCAACCATCCGATTTCTCAATCTTTTCCCCACCTTTCCCGCCTTCTATTCCACAAAGCCGCCATTGTCATCCTGGCCCGTTCTCAATGAGCTGTTGGGCACACCTCCCAGACGGGGTGGTGGCCGGGCAGAGGGGCTCCTCACTTCCCAGTAGGGGCGGCCGGGCAGAGGCGCTCCTCACCTCCCAGACGGGGCGGCTGGCCGGGCAGGGGGCTGACCCCCCCACCTCCCTCCCGGACGGGGCGGCTGGCCGGGCAGGGGCCTGATCCCCCCACCTCCCTCCCCGACGGGGCGGCTGGCCGGGCGGGGGGCTGACCCCCCCACCTCCCTCCCGGACGGGGCGGCTGGCCGGGCGGGGGGCTGACCCCCCACCTCCCTCCCGGAAGGGGCGGCTGGCCGGGCGGGGGGCTGACCCCCCCCACCTCCCTCCCGGACGGGGTGGCTGCCGGGCGGAGACGCTCCTCACTTCCCAGATGGGGTGGCTGCCGGGCGGAGAGGCTCCTCACTTCTCAGACGGGGCAGCTGCCCGGTGGAGGGGCTCCTCACTTCTCAGATGGGGTGGTTGCCAGGCAGAGGGTCTCCTCACTTCTCAGACGGGGCGGCCGGGCAGAGACGCTCCTCACCTCCCAGACAGGGTCGCGGCTGGGCAGAGGCGCTCCTCACATCCCAGATGGGGCGGCGGGGCAGAGGCGCTCCCCACATCTCAGACGATGGGCGGCCGGGCAGAGACGCTCCTCACTTCCCAGATGTGATGGCGGCTGGGAAGAGGCGCTCCTCACTTCCTAGATGGGATGGCGGCCGGGCGGAGACGCCCCTCACTTTCCAGACTGGGCAGCCAGGCAGAGGGGCTCCTCACATCCCAGACGATGGGCGGCCAGGCAGAGACACTCCTCGCTTCCCAGACGGGGTGGCGGCCGGGCAGAGGCTGCAATCTCAGCACTTTGGGAGGCCAAGGCAGGCGGCTGGGAGGTGGAGGTTGTAGCGAGCCGAGATCATGCCACTGCACTCCAGCCTGGGCACCATTGAGCACTGAGTGAACGAGACTCCGTCTGCAATCCCGGCACCTCGGGAGGCCGAGGCTGGTGGATCACTCGCGGTTAGGGGCTGGAGACCGGCCCGGCCAACACAGCGAAACCCCGTCTCCACCAAAACCAGTCAGGCGTGGCGGCGCGTGCCTGCAATCGCAGGCACTCGGCAGGCTGAGGCAGGAGAATCAGGCAGGGAGGTTGCAGTGAGCCGAGATGGCAGCAGTACAGTCCAGCTTCGGCTCCACATGAGAGGGAGACCGTGGGGAGAGGGAGAGGGAGAGGGAGCGGTACTTTTTATTTTTGAGACACAGTCTCCTTCTCTTGCCCAGGCTCTGTTTTTTGTTTTTTGTTTTTTGTTTTTTTTTTGAGATGGAGTTTCACTCTTGTTACCCAAGCTGGAGTGCACTGGCGCGATCTCGGCTCACTGCAACCTCCACCTCCCAGGTTCAAGCGATTCTCCTGCCTCAGCCTCCCGAGTAACTGGAATTACAGGCATGTGCCACCACGCCCAGCTAATTTTTTGTATTTTTAGTAGAAATGGAGTTTCACCATGTTAGCCAAGCTGGTCTTGAACTCCTGACCTCATGATCCACCCGCCTCGGCCTCCCAAAGTGCCGGGATTGCAGGTCTGACAGGTGGCTTAACTTTAGGGTTAAGGGCCCAAAACACTCACAAGCTGTGATGGTGAATTTTATGTGTCAACATGACTAGGCTAAGAGCTACTCAGAAAGCTGGTAAAACACTATTCCTGGATATGTGTGTGTGAGGGTGTTTCCGGAAGAGATTAGCATTTGAATTGGTAGACTAAGTAAAGAAGACTGCCCTCATCTATATGGTGGTCATCCAATCCTTAAGGACAAGAATAGAACAAAAAGGTGGAAGAACAAATGTGTTCCCCATTGAACCCGGTTATTCATCCCTCCTGCCTGCAGATATCTGAGCAGATATAGTTCTGGGCTCTCAGACCCAGATTGACCTCCCTGGTTCTTAGGCCTTTAGGTTTGGACTGGAACTATACCACAGGCTTTCCTGGTTCTCCAGCTTGCAGAAGGTAGACTGGGACTTCTCAACCTCCATAATCTCATGAGCCAATCCCTCATCATAAATTTTCTTCTGTATATGCATATATATTGTTTCTGTTTCTCTGGAGAAACATGAGGGCAGAATGCAATTGACTGCTTTCCCAAAATTTGTATGTTGAAATCCTAACCTGTAAGGTGATAGTATTAGGAGAGAGGGCCTTTGGAAAGTAATTAGCTCATTAGAGCACTTATAAGAGACCCCAGCAAGGTCCCTTGCCCCTTCCACCACATGAGGGCATCTCGAGGAAACAGATGTTCGTCTAAGAACCAGAGAGCAGGCCCTCACCAGACACTGAATCTACCAGTGCCTTGATCTTGAACTTCCCAGCCTTCAGAACTGTTGGGAAAAAAAAAAAAAAATTCTGTTGTTTATAAGTCACCCAGCCTATAGTATTTTTTTGTTAGCCCAAACAGACTTAAAACACAAGCCAAATTTTTACGTTTGGCCAATCAACAGCCAATTTCTTATGGATTTATCACCCAGCAAACTTAATGCTACCTCCTCACATAACTTCATCAAGGATGGCTGGAAATTGTACTGTTGGAGCACTTTGACATATATAAAGTTCTTCAGGCTGGGCAAAGTGGCTCACACCTGTAATTCCAGCACTTTGGGAGGCCAAGGCAGGCGGATCACTTGATGCCAGAGTTCAAGGACCAGCCTGGCCAACATGGTGAAACCCTGTCTCTACTAAAAATACAAAAATTAGACATGCGTGGTGGTGGGCGCCTGTAATCCCAGCTACTCGGGAGGCTGAGGCAGGAGAATCACTTGAACCTGGGAGGCGGAGGTGGCAGTGAGCCGAGGTGGCGCCACTGTATTCCAGCCTGGGTGACATAGCGAGACTGTCTATAAAATAAAATAAAATAAAATAAGATAAAATAGTTGAGAAGCACCACAGACCAAGAAAAAGGAAAGTCCCTCATGAGGAGACTGTCATGTTGGCCTAAAAGAGGCCCTTTTATTTAATGTAGAAGACCACCCTTTTTTCACTTCTTTACTTTGGGGGTTAATAATTACTGGCTTTTTAATTGTACGGCCTGATAAAATTGTCAAGGACCTACTCAGGAGGCTGAGATGGGAGGATCACTTGAACCCAAGAGTTCAAGGCTACCATGAGCTATGATTGAGCCACTGCACTCTAGCCTGGGCAGGAGAGCGAGGAGTGAGACCCAGTCTCGAAAAAAAAAAAAAAAAAAAAAATGGGGTGGCCGGGCGTGGTGGCTCATGCCTGTAATCCCAGCACTTTGGGAGGCTGAGGCGGGCAGCTCACCTGAGGTCATGAGTTCAAGACCAGCCTGGCCAACATGGTGAAACCCCATCTCCACTAAAAATACCAAAAATTAGCAGTGCGTAGTGGCAGGTGCCTATAATCCCAGCTACTCAGGAGGCTGAGACAGGAGAATCGCTTGAACCCGGGAGGCGGAGGTTGCAGTGAGCCAAGATCGCACCATTGTACTCCAGCCTGGGCAACAAAAGCGAAACTCCGTCTCAAAAGAAAAAAAAGGAAAGAAAAGAAAATTTAGGCCAGGTGCGGTAGCTTACACCTGTAATCCCAGCACTTTGGGAGGCCGAGGTGGGTGGATCACCTGAGGTCAGAAGTTTGAGACCAGCCTGGCCAACATGGTAAAACCCCATCTCTACAAAAAAAATACAAAAATTAGCTGGGCATGGTGGTGGACGCCTGTAATCCCAGCTACTCGGGAGGCTGAGGCAGGAGAACCACTTGAACCCAGGAGACAGAGGTTGCAGTGAGCCAAGATGGCACCATTGCACTCCAGCCTGGGTGACAAAAGCGAAACACCATCTCAAAAAAAAAAAATTTTTTTTTATTAAACCAGCCATAATTATTTGTGTGTGTGTGTGCATGTGCGAGAGAGAGCGAGAATGTCTTTTCTGCAGCTAATTTTTCTCTTCTCTCCTTGCAGAGAAGATAATTAGCCTTGTTCAGTGATAATTTCATAGTTGTCTAAAACCAGCTGTCTCTCACTTCCTTTCTGTTATGCATTTACTCTTCAATTAAAAAACAAAACAAAAAAAAGGTAACTTTAAAAAATTAGTTTGCTCTAAATAAGCTACTTTGGAAAAAACGTCCAGGATACACTGTTAAACAGAAAAAGTCCGAGTTAGGCCGGGCACGGTGGCTCACGCCTGTAATCCCAGCACTTTGGGAGGCTGAGGTGGGTGGATCACTTGAGGCCAGGAGTTTGAGACCAGCCTGGCCAACATGGTGAAACCCCGTTTCTACTAAAAATACAAAAATTAGCTGGGCATGGTGGCATGCACCTGTACTCCCAGCTACTCAGGAGGTTGAGGCGGGAGAATCGCTTGAACATGGGAGGCAGAGGTTGCAGTGAGCTGAGATTGCACCATTGCACTCCAGCCTGGGTGACAGAGTGAGACCCTGTCTCAAAAAAAAAAAAAAAAAGAAAAAGAAAAAGTCCAAATTGCAGAACAGTATTTTCTAGTATCCCATTTGAGTTTTTAAAGTGAGGGAATGGAAGAGAGATTATATTTTTATAAGTCCAGAACATTTCTGAAACAAAACACAAAATCTAGTTCCCTTTGAGGGATGGAAATGGGGCTGGTGAGTGGAGGGGCTGTGAAAGGGAATGAGGAATGTAGGAAGGAGGGTGGAGACGTTTTTCACTTTATATACCTGTGTACTTTTTTTTTTAAATTTTTGTGGATATATAGTAGATGTATATATTTACGGGATACATGAGATATCTTGATACAGCTGTATGCTCTTGATTTTTTAAAAAACCATGTGCTTTTAATGTTTTAAATCTTAAAAAGCTAATTAAGTGTGTGTATATATATATATGCATGTGTGTATATATATATGCGTGTGTGTGTGTGTGTGTGTGTGTGTATATATATATATATACACACAAATCATTCCTCTACCACACATAAAAACATATTTTTAGGCAATGTATTACCTAAGGATCTAAAGTCTTTTGCCTCTGACCGGGCAAAGTGGCTCACGCCTGTAATCCCAGCACTTTGGGAGATCGAGGCAGGTGGATCACCTGAGGTGAGGAGTTTGAGACCAGCCTGGCCAACATGGAGAAACCCCATCTCTACTAAAAATAAAAAAATTGGCTGAGCGTGGTGGAGCGCACCTGTAACCCGGCTATTCAGGAGGCTGAGGCAGGAGAATTGCTTGAACCCAGGAGGCAGAGGTCGCAGTGAGCCAACATCATGCCATTGCACTCCAGCCTAAGCGACAAGAGAGAAACTCTGTCTCAAAAAAAAAAAATGCATTGTTAGATAATCATGTTAGAGATTTTTCAAATAATGCTTTGGACTGCACAGAAAAACAACAGGGGGATGTTACTCTGGTAGAAAGTTGGTACGTCCTAAAAGCTGCCCAGTGGATTTTGAACCTATTGTTACTTCTCCTGGTTAAAGAAAATAATATCCTACAATGTTTCACCATTTCATAAGAGTTGCACTTAGTGACAAGGAAACATGGGGTTTTGGTTTCCCTAATAGTGCTGTTCTTTCCCTTCCATTTTACAGCAATCCTTCAACGAGACTGAGAAGTACAGTGAGGGGATGTGTGTTGCAGATGGGGTGTTTGGACAGCTTCTGACTACAGAAGCAAAGGCATGGGGGTATAGAGGCGGGGGGCAGGGGGACGGTGAACAAAGCACGAAATGTGATTTGCAAGTTTCCAAGATGGTGATTTTAACTATGATGGGTAACCAGAGACCAGCTGCAAAAATGTGGCAAATATATTTTGAAAATTTGGCCCTCACTCTAATTTCAGGATTAGAGTGCTGTTGCTGCTTCTGAAACCCTGCAAGATATTCACATTTCAGTTACTCCCAAGCAGCACATCATTTCTCACAGCTTTTCTCATTGCTATTCTCTGAGTTAATTGAGTGGGGATTCTAACTTGTAGCTATGATGCTTATAAAGCTACAATCCAAGGGATTCAGTCCAGGCAGCATTGAGGTTAAAAAAAAAAAATCCATTCTATACAATTAAAAACAATTTGAGAAAACTCAAATCCTTTGTGTGTATTTCTCAAATATTCTAAAGCCCTCTATAATTTCTTTTAAATCTTTTTTTTCTTCTCACCATTGTCCTCATATAGCACAAATATTCCCATATCTCTCCTCTCAAAACTCCAGAAAGCTTTCTCCCTCCAGCATCTTTTTCAGTTCTTTGTTGTGAAATCTGACCAAACCACTTAGGGCTATTTCCCTGGCAAGGCCTGGCCTTCTCTAGAGGGTGAGACAGGGGAAGAAAAAGCACAAAGCTAAGCCAGAAAACTCTCTAGCTGCGGCTGGGGTTGGGGGGGAAGAGGAAAGGCTAGAAACACTCAAACATTAACAAGTCTAGCCCATCACTTCAGCATAAACATATTTCCCCTTTGGGATTCAGTAACAAGTATTTTCATTTTGAATGGGAACAAAATGTGGCCTGTAAACAATTTGATGCAGGGTCCGTACATTCAAAGTCTGCCGGCTGGTCTCTGGACTTTTCTTCCCTTGTGATTTCCTAATTGGAACTAGGCAGTCTGGTTCAGAGGAGGACAGCAAGTTTCCGGGGCTGCTGCCTGCCTGCAGAGAGGGACAAGCACTGGGTCTGAAGTGATTCCCCAAAGCCCCCCCATTTGCTCCTATTTGGAGCGAATTACTGACTCTTCTGCCTGTGGAGCCTGGAGCTGGGAAATCCAAGGGAGATGGAAAGAGACAAGTGCCAAGGGGCGGGCAGTTGCGGTGGCCTCTGCTGTCTTGTTCTCCTCTACCCATCCCCAGCCCTAGGAAGCAGAACAGCCTGCAAATTGTATTTACCCCCCAGTCAACACCGGCAAGTGTCACTGGGGTCCCACCCCACCTCACCTATTCACCAGCCAGATGTGCTAAGGCAAATCTCCCAGCTCTCCAAGATCAGTTTCACCCTAAACAAAATGGAGATAAGATATAAAATTTTCTTCACAAGGTTGTCATCAGAATTAAATGAAGTCAACTCTTTGAAACGATGTCTTAAACTACAAAGAGTTGGCCGGGCGCGGTGGCTCACGCCTGTAATCCCAGCACTTTGGGAGGCCAAGGCGGGTGGATCACAAGGTCAGGAGTTCGAGACCAGCCTGGCCAATATGGTGAAATCCTGTCTCTACTAAAAATACAAAAATTGGCCGGGAGTGGTGGCAGACACCTGTAGTCCCAGCTGCTCGGGAGGCTGAGGCAGGAGAATCGCTTGAACCCGGGAGGTGGAGGTTGTAGTGAGCCAAGATCAGATCAGGCCACTGCACTCCAGCCTGGGAGACAGAGAGATACGCTGTCTCAAAAAAAGAACAAAACAAAAAACTATAAAGAGTTATCGCACCGTTATTTTGCATATATTTTAAAAATATATGCATATATTTTATGCAAATATTTTGCATATATTTTATGGCTGGGCTCAGTGGCTCAGGCCTGTAATCCCAGCACTTTGGGAGGCTGATGTGGACGGATCGCTTGAGTCCAGGAATTGAATATGAGCCTGGGCAACATGGCAAGACCCCATCGCTACAAAAAATACGAAAAAGTTAGCTGGGCGTGGTGGTGCGCAACTGTAGTCCCAGTTACCCAAGAGGCTGAGGTGGGAAGATCACTTGAACCCAGGAGGCAGAGGTTGCAATGAGCCATGATCATGCCACTGCACTCCAGCCTGGCTGACAGAGGAAGACCCTGTCTCAAAAAAAATATGTATTTTATGTGTAAAGTTTTCCCCTCTAGGCTCATTATTTGACAAATTCCTAACATATATATAAAATATTTTTTATATATATAATAACATATATATGTAAAGCTAAACACATTTTAATTTTATATATGTAAGTGATTCACGTTTTTAGCTCAAATCACATCACCAGGAAATAGAAGTAGTGGACGTTAACTGTGTAACTATAAGTTGGATGTTGGCCTTGATTCCCAGCCAGAGACAGAGAATTTGTCCTGAGGCAAAAGAAGCTTAAGCTTCAAGATTCCTTGATTTCATCCAAAGCCCTAATTCTGTATTCACTATTTTGTATTCTCCTTTCTAAAGGGACTCTCCTTATTGGAAGAAGCTTCAGGCATCACAGTTCTTGCCCCCATTGCTAGCAGGAAAGAACCTTCTGTGCTTCTACATCCCAGGAGGATCTGTGCCTGTTCGTTGTCTTCTCTTGGCTTGTCTCCCCTCTGTGATCATTCTCCCGTGTCCTTTTAGCCGCTCCTCCTCTTCTGAGCTCAGATACACTTTCTGCTCCCTCCAGCTCTCTAATCTACTAACAGTTATGGAGCTGGATGAGCACACACACACACACATACACACATTTGTTTTAGAGATAAATTTAGAGATTGGAAACTATGTTTAAAGATGGCACCATTCATCCCAATGACTCAGACAGAGCTATTCTCAGTTCATGTGGAGCCCTTATATTGAAAATAGAGCTAGGAAGCATCTTTGATTCAGTAATGCCAGGGTATAGATTTTCCAGGAGTAGATTCAAAAGTACTATTAATAGGTGGAGAGTGTTTTCATCGTGTGATGCTAGACTGGGTGGTTTCAGGAAAAAATGTAATACTCAGTGGCAAGGCGTGCTTGTCCTTGGGGGATTCAGGATCAACCTGGCCACAGCCACTGCTGGTTAAGGCACTGCCCAGAAGCAGCAAGGAATCACAGTCCTCCACTAATTCATAGGAATCCAAGCTCACGGCGCCCCAACTCCAGAGCCATCAGAGCTGTAGTGGTAGGGATTGTGGGATACTTAGGGAGATAGAAGGCAGGTTCCAACCTGTGGGAAGGGTTGGAATTTCCAAGGTAGGGTTTAGGAGATTTCATACTGGGAGGGGGATTAAAGGAGAGCAGGAGACAATCAAAAATTAGGGGAAAGCCAGGTGTGGTGGCTCATGCCTGTAATCCCAGCACTTTGGGAGGCTGAGGTAGGTGGATCACTTGAGGCCAGGAGTTGGAGGCCAGCCTGGCCAACATGGTGAAACCCCGTCTCTACTGGAAATACAAAAATTAGCCAGGTGTGGTGGTACATGCCTGTAACCCCAGCTACTTGGGAGGCTGAGACACGAGAATCGCTTGAACCCTGGAGGTGGAGGTTGCAGTGAGCCAAGATCACACCACTGTACTCCAGCCTGGGCAACAGAGCAAGACTCTGTCTCACATAAATAAATAAATAAATAAATGGAGGAAACACATATTCTCTTTTTTGTTGTTTTTTTGTTTTTGTTTTTTGTTTTTTGAGACAGGGTCTTGCTGTGTCGCCCAGGCTGGAGTGCAGTGGCACCATCTCAGCTCGTTACAACCTCCACTTCCTGGGTTCAAGCAATTCTTCTGCCTCAGCCTCCCGAGTAGCTGAGACTACAGATGCTCCCCACCACGCCCGGCTAATTTTTGTATTTTTAGTAGAAATGGGGTTTCACCATATTGGCCAGGCTGGTCTCAAACTCCTGACCTTGTGATCTGTCCACCTTGGCCTCCCAAAGTGTTGGGATTACAGGCGTGAGCCACCGTGCCTGGGCCGGAATATTCTCTTAATATATTTAATTATGTTAATATTATATGTATGTATGTGTGTGCGTATATATGTGTACATATGTGTGTACATATATATGTGTATATATATGTGTGCGTACATATATGTGTATATATATGTGTGCGTACATATATATATGTACGCACACATATATGTTAGGAATTTGTCAAATAATGATTTTGGAGGGGAAAACTTTACATATAAAATAGATTTTTTTAAAGTATAAATATTTCTGTAACACTATAGTTTAAGACACCCTTTCAAAAACTTCGTATAGTTCCGCTAACAACCTTGTAGAGAAAATTTTATATTTTATCTCCATTTTACATAGGGAGAAACTGACCTTGGAGAGCTGGGACCTTTGCCTAAGCACATCTTCAGAATAGTCTCTGAAGGCCTGAACAGAGAGGCCTGCCCCACATTACTTTCACCCTGAGTGGTATGGTGGGATGAAGGTGCAGCTTCCTATCCTTGGGTGGCTTTCGCTCGCTTGTCTGACATTTCCATCATGTCTAACCCCCTGCAGTCACCTGAATAACAGCCCTCAATGATATCAGAAACCTGTAAATGTTACCTGTTTGGAAAAAGGGTCTTTGCAGATGTGATTAGGGATCTTATCCTGGGATATCCAGGTAGGCCGTAAATGCAATCACATGTATGTGAATCAGAAGGAGGCAGAGGGCTGGGCACAGTGGCTCATGCCTGTAATCCCTGCACTCTGGGAGGCTGAGCCAGGTGGATCATCTGAGGTTAGGAGTTCGAGACCAGCCTGGCCAACATAGTGAAACCCCATCTCTACTAAAAGTACAAAAATTTAGCCAGGTGTGGTGGTATGTGCCTGTAATCCCAGCTACTCGGGAGGCTGAGGTAGGAGAATTGCTTGAACCCAGGAGGCGGAGGTTGCAGCAGTGAGCCGAGATCACACCACTGCACTCAAGCCTGGGCAACAAGAGCAAGACTCTGTCTCAAAAAAACAAAGGAGGCAGAGGGAGATTTTACACACAGGGGAGAAAGTGATAGGAAGACAGAGCCGAGAGAGATTTGAAGGTGCTGTTCTTTAAAATGGGCAAACTGGGCCGGGCGCGGTGGCTCACGCCTGTAATCCCAGCACTTTGGGAGGCCGAGATGGGCATATCACAAGGTCAGGAGTTTGAGACCAGCCTGGCCAATATGGTGAAACCCCGTCTCAACTAAAAATACAAAAAATTAGCCAGTTGCGGTGGCACGCACCTGTAGTCCCAGCTACTCGGGAGGCTGAGGCAGGAGAATCACTTGAACCTGGGAGGCAGAGGTTGCAGTGAGCTGAGATCACGCCACTGCACTCCAGCCTGGGTGACAGAGTGAGACTCTGTCTCCAAAAAAAATAATAACAAAATAAAAAAGATGGGCAAACCAAGGAACACCAGCCCCCACTGGATGCTGGAAGAGACGAGAAACTGATTCTCCCTTAGAGCCTCTGAAGGGAGAAAGGCACTGCTAACACATTGATTTTGGCCCAGTAAGACTGATTTTGGACTTTTGTGCTACAGAACTATAAGAGCATAAAAGTGTGTTGTTTTAAGCCACCAAGTTTGTCCTAATTTGTTATGGCAGCCACAGGCAACAAATACAACCTCATTCAGAATCCCATGCGTTTGGTCTGACAAAGATGGGCAGCCCTGGCATCCCATCATCAGACGCAGTGATGATTCCTCAGGGGTTCCTAGTAGAGAGGGTGTATTAGTCTGTTTTCATGCTGCTGATAAAGGCATACCTGAGGCTGGGCAATTTACAAAAGAAAGAAGTTTAGTGGACCTATAGTTCCACATGGCTGGGGAAGCCTCACAATCATGGTGGAAAGCAAGGAGGAGCAAAGTCACATCTTACATGGATGGCAGCAGGCAAAGAAAGAGCTTATGCAGGGAAACTCCCCCTTATAATAACCATCAGATCTCCTGAGACTTACTCACCATCATGAGAACTGCACAGGAAAGACCTGCCCCCATGATTCAATTACCTCCCACAACACGTGGGAATTCAAAATGAGATTTGGGTGAGGACACAGCCAAACCATATCAGAGGGCCTGTTGGGGCAGTGCCCCCTCCTAACCTGTAGAGGTCCATATGAGTTTCCTATAGCTGCCATGCAATTGACCACAAACTTGGTAGCTTAGAACAACAGAAATTGATTCTCTCACTGTTCTGGAGGCCAAGTCCAAAATTAAGGAGTTGGCAGGGTCAATTCCTTGTGGAGACTCTGTGAGAGAATTCGTTCCGTGCCTCTCTCCTACCTTCTGGCAGCTCCCACAACCCTTGGTGTGTCTTGGCTTAGAGCGAATAACTCCATCTCTGACTCCACCCTCACATGAATCTTTACCTGGCCTTCTTCCATGGGTTTCTATTTATTTTCATATATGTGTGTGTGTGTGCGTGTGTGTAATTTTCTCTTTTTTCTTTCTTTCTTTTTTTTTTTTTTTTTTTTGAGACAGGGTCTCACTCTGTTGCTCAGGCTGGAGTGCAGTAGCATGATCATGGCTCACTGCAGCCTCAACCTTCTGGGCTCAGGTGATCCTCTCACCTCAGCCTCCCAAGTAGCTGGGACTACAGGCATGCACCACCATGCCTAATTTTTGTATATTTTGTAGAGACTGGATCTTGCCATATTGCCCAGGCTGGTCCCAAACTCCTGGGCTCAAGCAATCCACCCACCTCAGCCTCCCAAAGTGCTGGGATTACAGGCATTAGGTACCATGCCCAGCCTAACATATACTTTTCTTTCTCTTTTTTTTCCATACAGACAGGGTCTTGCTATGTTGCCCAGGCTGGTCTTGAACTCCTGGCCTCAAGCGATCCTCCTGCCTCTGCCTCCCACAGTGTTGAGATTACAGGCTTGAGCCACCACACTAGGCCTCCCTGTGTTTCTGTGTGTCTTCCCCTTTTCTGTCTCTTGAAAGGACACTGGTCATTGGATTTAGAGCCCATCCTAATCCAGGGTGATCTTATCCCAAGATCCTTATATTAATTGCATCTTCAAAAACTCTACTTCCAAATAAGGTCACATTCATAAGTACTGAGAATTAGGACTTGGACATATCTTTTGGGAGGACACTCATTACAGGGGCTAATACCCTCCCCTCCCACTCAGTGGGGGAAGTATAGAGAATCCAGCAGTCACCTACCCAGCCTAACGAAGACTTCGCAAGTTGCAGCAACTTGCCCACAGTCAGGCAGCAAATTTCTGACACCAGGCCTCATAGAAACCAACCTCAGAATCTCTAACCCAGCATGATTTCCACTGCACCACCCAGCCTCTCGTGTAACTCCCTACCTAGGAACAGTGCTATTCCATTCAAAATCAGCTTCAGACCAGGTGAAGTGGCTCATGCCTGTAATCCCAGTACTTTGGGAGGCTGAGGCGGGAGGCTCACTTAAACCCAGGAATTCAAGACTATAGCCACCTATGATAGCGCCACTGCATTCCAGCCTAGGCAACAGAGGGAGACCCTGCCTCAAAACAAACAAACAAATAAAATCAGCTTCAAATATCTACATTGTCAATCTTCATACAATCCCTTTTGGCAGAAAAGACAAGCCTACCATACACTAAACATGGGCATCATACTTCAAGTTGATGTCTGAGAAATTTAAGGAAACATTATGATTCCAATACTTCTCTTCCTGTTCCTGTTGCTAAATGATTATTTTTTTCTCAAAAATGGAAAAATTTCTCAAAAGCTAGCTGACTTTATGCCCCTAAGCAGCTATCCTGATGTTTCAGAATGTAGAAGATTCTTTGCACTGAAGGAAAAATAATCACCTCCCAGTTTGTGATGAGTTCTCTGGCTCTAAAGCCCTTTGTACGTGTTACCTTACTTGTGCAGATGAATACCCTCAAGAGATCTCAAGGGATTTTGGTCGGTAGTTTCCATTTGACATGCAGTACGTTTGAAAGGGAAAGAAACTATTTCTGTGGGTGTGTGCTAGACAATTCATACCACTTGTTTTTCTTTTTGTTTTTTTGTTTTGTTTTGTTTTGGAGGCAGTCTCACTCTGTTGTCCAGGCTGGAGTGCACTGGTATGATCTTGACTCACTGCAACCTCCACCTCCCGGGGTCAAGTGATTCTCCTGCCTCAGCCTCCCAAGTAGCTGGGATTACAGGCACACGCGACCACGCACTGCTAATTTTTTTTTTTTGTATTTTTAGTAGAGATGGGGTTTTGCCATGTTGGCCAGGCTGGTCTTGAACTCATAAGCTCAGGCAATCCACCTGCCTCAGCCTCCCAAAGTGCTGGAATTACAGGTGTGAGCCACTGCACCCTGTACCACTTGTATAATCCTAACACAGGTTTGAGATCTCTTCTTTGGACCTGCAGCTACTGTTTGAAATTCAAAAGCACTTGTCAAGCACTGTGCCTATCCCTGCACTGCTCCCTGTATCAGCTCTCTAGGGCTGCCATCACCAGGTGCCACAAACTGGGTGGCTGAAAACAATGGAAATCTATTATCTCACAATTCTGGAGGCTAGAGGTCTGAAATCAAGGCATTGGCAGGGCCATGTGCTCTCTGAAGGCAGTGGGGAAGGATCCTTCCTTGCCTCTTCCCAGTTTCTGGTGGCTTCTGGCAACCCTTGGCATTCCTTGGCATGCGGCTGCATCACTCCAATGTCTGCCTCCACTGTCACGTGGCATTTTCCTCCTGTCTGTCTGTGTGTGTCTCTCTCGGCTCCATTCTTCTTTTTTTTTTTTTTTTTTTTTTTTTTCTAAGAGATGAGGTCTCGCTCTGTTGCCCAGGCTGGAGTACAGTGGTGTCATCACAGCTTACCACAGCCTCAACCTCCTGGACTCAAGAAATCTTCCCACCTCAGCCTCCCAAGTAGCTGGGACCAAAGGCATACGCCATCATGCCTAGCTTTTTTTTTTTTTTGTAAAGTAGGGTCTCCCTATGTTGCCCAGACTAGTCTCGAACTCCTGGGCTCAAGTGATCCTCTAGCCTTGGCCTCCCAATGTGCTGAGATTACAGGTGTGAGCTACCACACCCACCCAGTTCTCTTCTTATAAGGGCACCAGTCAAATTGGATGTTGGGCCAACCCACAGGCCCACCCCCCTAATCCAGTAGGACCTCATTTTAATGACTAATTACATCTGCCAAAAGCCCTGTCTCCAAATAAGGTCACATTGACAGATTCCTGGTGGACATGAATTTGGGGAGAACACTAACCCAGTAAACATGCCCAAGGGGGATTGTACTTTTTTTGAATGGCTTCTACTGCTCCCTTTAATATGCCAATTCCTATGTCACTGATATGTTTGGTTGTGTCCCCAATCTCATCTTGAATTGTAGCTCCCATCATTCCCGTGTGTTGTGAGAGGAACCCAGTGGGAGATAATTGAATCATGGGGGTGGTTTCCCCATACTATTCTCATGCTAGTGAATAAGTCTCATGAGATCTGATGGTTTTATAAGGGGTTTTCCCTTTTGCTTGGCTCTCATTCTTTCTTGCCTGCCACCATGTAAGATGTGCCTTTCACCTTTCACCTTTCACCATGATTGTGAGGCCCCCGCCCCCACCCAGCCACGAGGAACTGTGAGTCCATTAAACTTCTTTTTCTTTATACCCAGTCTCGGGTATGTCTTTATCAGCAGCGTGAAAATGGACTAATACAGTTACTCAGAAAGAAAAAGTCATATAGAGAGTAATAGAAGCCTGTCTAAATTAATCATATTGTTTCCTTCTATTTTTAAAGAGTACAGATCTATTTACTCTTAAGGAAAAGTAAAACATCAGCCATGAGGGAATGAAGTATAACAGCAACCAAAGTGTTAAATAGTGACTATTTGCAGCCTCTCCCTCTGCCCCCACTACCTGAGTATGTTTTATTGTTATTCACACTTCCTCTCCCCTTCCCTACTCTCAAGAAGGCTCCATCTCTGCAGCCATCCTGTATCTGATGACTTGCTCAAAGCTCTCAAAGCTGTATGGAGCAGATGGCCAAATCGATGGCTTTGTCATTCATCCTCCTTCCCGCCCCTCCCCCTACCCTTCACGCTGAACTCCAGAATGGGGAAGATCATATGGCCAGGACCCAGCTGTCTGAGACTGCTCAAGCTGCCATGACAAAGTGTGACAGAGTGGCAGGCTTAGCCAAGAAATTTACATCCTCACACTTTTGGAGGCTAGAAGTCGTATTAATCCATTCTCACACTGCTACAAGGACATACCCGAGACTGGATAATTTATAAAGGAAAGAAGTTTAATTGACTCACAGTTCTGCAGAGCTGGGGAGATTTCAGGAAAGTTGTAATCATGGCGGAAGGGAAAGCAAACATGTCCTTCTTCACATGGCAGCAGCAAGGAGAAGTGCAGAGTGAAGCAGGGAAAAGTCCCTTATAAAACTATTATATCTTGTGAGAACTCACTATCAGAAGAACAGCATGGAGGTAACCGCCCCCATGATTCAATTACCTCCCACTGGGCCCCTCCCACAACATGTGGGGATTATGGGAGCTACAGTTGAAGATGAGATTTGGGTGGGTACACAGTCCAAGATCAAGGTGTTGGTAGGGTTGATTTCTTCTGCAATCTTTCTCCTTCACTTACCATTGGCCTCTTCTTGCTGTGTCCTCACATGGTTATCTCCAGGTTTATGTGTTGTGTGTGTCCTAATCTTCTCTTCGTACAAGGACATCAGTCATATTGTATTAGGGCCCAACCTATTGACCTCCTTTTACCTCAGTCAGCTCTTTAAGAGCCCTGTCTTCAAACCCAGTCACAGTCTGAGGTACTTGGGGGTTTGGACTTCAACACGTAGATTTTAGGGAGGCACAATTCAGCCCATACCACCAGCCAAAGATCTTATCATCAGCTTACCTGCATCTCCCTCCTCCCCCCATCATTCCCTACCTTAGGGCCCATCCAAATTGCCCTACAAAATGTGGAGTCCCTTCTCTATGCACAATATGAAATATATGAAATAATATAGACATATAGAAACCAGATACTTGCAACAACCTATTCATGACTGATATACCCTTAAGGTTCTTGGACAAATGGGAGTACCTATTAAAAATGATTCTTTCAGGCCAGACACAGTGGCTCACACTTATAATCCCACCACTTTGGGAAGCCAAGGTGGGAGGATTGCTTGAGCTCAGGAGTTCGAGACCAGCCTGGGCAACAAAGCAAGACCTTGTATCTACTAAATTTAAAAAAAAAAAAAAAAAAATCAGCCAGGTGTAGTGGCAAATGCCTGTAGTACCAGCTACTCAGGAAGTTGAGGCTGGAGGGTCGCTTGAGATCAAGGCTACAGTAAGCTATGATCGTGCCACTGAGCTCCAGCCAGGGCGACAGAGCAAGACCCAGTCTCAGTCAATCAATCAATAAGATCCTTTCAGAGACATCTTGAAAATATTTTTTAACTGAGAAAGTGGAAAAAAAAAGTCAAGAAACTGACTTAGTTTCATTATTAGTCTAATCTAAAATAACAGGTTTGCTGTGTGCTAAAAATAATACTCAGACTCTCTGAATGAGTAAGCCCACTAAGAATAAACAGGGTTTTTTTAAATCATAAAAATGTCAATCATAATCAACACCTAATGTGGGAAAGTATCTTCCTCTTAAAAATATTAAGAAGGTGGCTGGGTGCAGTGGCTCACGCCTGTAGTCCCAGCACTTTGGGAGGCCAAGGTGGGTGGATCACAGGAGTTCGAGACCAGCCTGGCCAACATGGTGAAACCCTATCTCTACCAAAAACACAAAAATTAGCTGAGTGGGAGGCACCTTGTAATCCCAGCTGCTTGAGAGGCCGAGGCAGGAGAATCACTTGAGCCCAGGAGGCAGAGGTTGCAGTGAGCCAAGATTGCGCCATTGCACTCCAGCCTGGGCGACAGAGCAAGACTCCATCTCACAAAACAAAAACAAAAACAAAAAAAAATTAAGAAGGTGAGCAATGAGCAACAAAAACGTCTAAATTTTGCAGACAGAATAAGAGCCCAAAGGTTGTACACACTGAAAAACAAAACCGAATAGCTATTCATATTTTCCTTAAGGTTTGAGGACAAAGAAGCTCTAGAAGAAGGTTATACTGGAGCCAGAAAGGAAGCATACAAAAATATCCCTATCTATTTTTGTAAAGACAGGGTCTCACTCTGTTGCCCAGGCTGCTCTTGAACTCCGGGCCTCAAGTGATCCTTCTGCCTCAGCCTCCGAAAGTGCTGGAATTATAGACGTACCCCACCACCTGTGGCTGAGTTTCTCTTTCAACCGACAAATAGAACCTTTCTTGGAGTTAGAAAGTAGGAGATCAGGAGCTTCTCACTAATGATGGTGTAATTCAGCAATGGATCCCTTTTCGGGTCATCAGCTTAGTGTCAGTTCCTGGTTCTATCTGACTCATTGCAGTAGTGGGAGGTTTCGAAAACTTGAAGTCAGGAGGGTTTACATCAATTTCACATATTACAAACAACAACAACAACTCACAGCGCTAGGGAGGCATCCCATTCTACTCATCTTTACAACCTGACAAGAACAGGAATACATTCAACAGAAATATTCTTCTCTGCTACGAACAGATTGAAATAAATACCTGAGTTCCTGATAGAATGGAAAATAACAGCTTTCCATAGGTGCGGAATCACCAATGACATCAGAACAAAAATTATTGCTCGGTACCAAGGAGAAAATGTCTTGAGGACAAGATGTGAATAACAAGTTCAGAAGAAGGGAAGGTCAGTCAAAAAAAAAAAAAAAAAAAAAAAGCAGCCTCCTGGGCGACAGAGCAAGACTCAAAAAAAAAAAAAAAACGAAGATGAAGGATGATTATCATGCTACCTCTAAATTTCTACAGCAGGCTCCATAGAGCTCAAAATACTTTAAAGACGTATTTTTATTCTGAAGTAGCAGGAAGGAAATATCAGCAGCGTTTACAGATGTTGAAACTGAAGCATCACATCATTGGGGGATGCCCAGTTCTCCCTGCAGCATCTACTAGCTGTGCAGGATGGGGCCTACAGAGTGAGTTTCTGTCTTTCCTAGGAGCTTACCAACTCAGTCATCAGAAGGTTTCCCCAATCCAAATATATATTATTTTAATGTAAAAATAGAATATGTTGGCAGGGCGTGGTGGCTCACGTCTGTAATCCCAGCACTTTGGGAGGCCAGGGCAGGTGGATCACGAGGTCAGGAGATAGAGACCATCCTGGCTAACACAGTGAAACACCGTCTCTACTAAAAATATAAAAAATCAGCCAGGCATGGTGGCGGGCACCTGTAGTCCCAGCTACTGGGGAGGCTGAGGCAGGAGAATGGCGTGAACCCAACAGGCAGACCTTGCAGTGAGCCGAGATCGTGCCGCTGCACTCCAGCCTGGGCAGCAGTGCAAGACTCCGTCTCAAAAACAAAGAATATGTTAATAATTATATTAAAATTTCCATCAGAAACCTCAAGGCTATTGAGAACCAGGATTAATCTACTGATTACAATAAGAGAGGGGGCTGGGCACAGTGGCTCATGCCTGTAATTCCAGCACTTTGGGAGGCTAAGGTGGGAGGATTTCTTGAGCCCAGGAGTTTGAGACCAGCTTTGGCAACATAGTGAGACCCCATCTCTATAAAACATAAGTGAATTAATAAATAAAATAAGAGAGGGGACAAAGAGATGTGGTCATTTGGTCAGTGTATTGGTTTTCTAGGGCTGCTGTAACAAATGACCATAAAGTGGGTGGCAGTAAACAACAGAAGTGTATTTTCTCACAATTCTGGAGGCTAGAAATCCAAAATCAAGGTGTTGGCTGGGCCAGGCTCCCTCTGAAGGCGCCAAGGGAGAATCCTTCCTTGCCTTTTCCAGCTTCCGCAGGCTGCCTGCAATTCTTGGTGTTCCTTGGCTTGTAGATATATCACTCCAATTTCTGTCTCATTTGTCACACGGCACTCTCCCTGTGTGTCTGTATCAGTGTTCAAATTTTTCTCTTCTTATAAAGGTACCAGTCATTGAACTAGTGTTCCAGTAAAACCTCATCTTAACTTTTTTAGATCTACAAAGGATGTATGTCCAAATAAACTCACATTCATAGGTACCGGGGATTAGGACTTGAGCATATCTTTAAGGGGACATGATTCAGTCAGCAATAATCAGTTTGAAAACAAGATATTACTACCTAGTGGTAAATACACTCAAAACTACCAAAGGCCATGACTCTCCCCCCAAAAATGGAGATAGCATCATCTTTACTGTTGAAATAGCCCAGAATGTCTTTCTGAATAAGCTCTCTCTAGATGTTCTTCCCACCTCTAAGACTCATGATTATCTATGACTTAAAACTTACCGTCTCACAGACTCTCTCTCTATATGCAGCTTTTCCATTACAACATTTTCACATCCCCATCCTTGAAGCTGGTAACTGTGTTTTTTGTTGTTGTTTTGTTTTTTGTTTTTTTCCAGAGGAAACTTGTCCTGAAATGGAGTGTTTTGTTCTAAACAGTTCATGTATCCTTTAGAAGGAAAGGAGAGGGATGTTCACAGACAGAAAACATATAGTAAAAATAATTAACATATTTGAGCTTCCATTCTGCTTAAGACTGTGGTAGACACCATCAGTCTGTTTAATACACATGACCATTCCCATTTAGGGACATGGAAAATGAAGGGCAGAGCACAGAAGGAACTTGCCAAAGTCTCACGGACCCTAAGAGGGTAAAGGGTAAACTACAGATACAGGCATATGCACCCTACTTCTGACCCCAAGAGCAACACAACTAGGACAGGTGAAAGGAGTAGAGGATGGGATGAGAAAGGCCAGGGACAGAAGCTTCCTTCCTTTCTTTTGCACCAAGCAGCGGTTTGTTCAGGAGCTACCGTTTTCCGTTTGTGCAGTGCTGCCTCTGCACCTCAGCAAATTTCTGACCGACCAACAGAATCAGAATAAGCCACTCATACAACACCCCACAACAGGGACCCATTGTCATGGAAGTCAGGTGGCTGAGAGCTAAGCATTATTCCCCTGATCTGTCCCGGGCGTTGTTTGGAGGTTGGATGAAATCATGAAATGTAAGCATTCTTTCTGAGTCTGGAAGCAATCCAACGAAATTGAATGATTCATTCCTGACCCCAATTACCTCCTTTTACCCCACAATATTCTTTCTCTACCTTCTCCTACAAAAGCATTTGTTCACTCAATAACTGCTATGTGCTAGTTTTAACAATCTGACAGCTCAAAGAGATAGACATCAGCTCTCTTTTTTTTTTCCTTTTCTTTTCTTTTTTTTTTTTTTTTTGAGATGAAGTCTAGCTCTGTCGCCCAGGCTGGAGTGCAGTGGCTCGATCTTGGCTCACTGCAACCTCCACCTCCCAGGTTCAAGTGATTCTTCTGCCTTAGCCTCCTGAGTAGCTGGGATTACAGGCATGTGCCACCACACCTGGCTAATTTTTTGTATTTTTAGTAGAGACGGGGTTTCACCATGTTGACCAGGCTGGTCTCAAACTCCTGACCTCGTGATCCACCCGCCTCAGCCTCCCAAAGTGCTGGGATTACAGGCGTGAGCCATCGCGCCCGGCTTTTCTTTTTCTTTAGAATTGAGAAACCATAGAGAGACACGTCAAAATAACTCCTGAAGATTGCCTCTTTATGCAAGAGAAATACAAATAACCAGATTTCTTCTTTCTCTTTGGGCTTAAAAATGAAATCTCATGTGATTTATCTTTGTAATTCCAAGAAAATATTTAATGTTTTATTTTCTCCTTTTTACCATATTTTACTTTACTATCTCACTTTCTGCTGTTCTGAATTATTTTTATCACCTTCTTTGTTCTTAGAATTGTCCTTTGCCCCCATTTTTTCCCTCTTCTTCAGTTTCCTAATTGTCCCAGCTATTTCACTCTCTCTTTCTTATGGTTCTCTCTAGAATCATCAAAGTGTAGAAATTTAATATGAAAAGGGATTTTCAGTTAGTTTAGCAGCATCATTTTACAGATGAAGAGCTAATGTTTAGGGAATTTGTCCAAAGTATTCCAGTTAATTTGTGGGAGGACCTGGCACTGGAACCCAAATGTCCTGATTACCTGAATACAGCTCCAATTCCTTCTTTAGATCTAATGCCACATTCACATAAGACATCTTCATATCCCTGCCATACCTGCTGATCTCTTGTGCTGCGTACTAATGTCAAATCTTAGGCTCTGGGCCATCAAGTATGGATTTATTTATTTATTTTTATTTTTGAGACACAGTCTCTGTTGCCCAGGCTGGAGTGCAGTGGTGTGATCTCGGCTCACTGCAAGTATGGATTTAGTTATTCTGGTGCTTAAAAGGTTTGAGATGTCATTTTTCTGAGTAGATGGCAGATGATTTCATGAAATCTGTGAAATGCGGTATTCTTATTTAATTTTATGAAAAAGAGAAATACAAAGAAGAAAAGGGGAAATTTTGATACAGTATTACCAATAGTAAAAGTGTGGAGAAAGAAAGAGGAAGTGAAATTTTACAACTCAAAACTATGCTCACGGTATACTCATAGATTTCAGTCAGTAGCACAATCTAATAATAAAACATTTGGGTCATAGGTCAAACAAGTAATTACAATCTGATGTTTTTCACTAATTAGAGTAGAAGCAAATTTTATTCAATGTTGTGTCCCCACAGTCCCCACAGTTCTTGATGCATCCTAAGTGCTCAATGCACTGTGTCTAATAAATGTTGACTGAAATAAATATGTGGTCTAGAGAAAGTTAAATTAGAAGATCGACTTAACACTGGATTCAGGGTTCTTTTAATGCCAATATTCTAATTCTAATTTTGAAAAGCAGCACAAGAATATTACCAGTTAGAAAGAAAGAATCCGGCCAGGCGCGGTGGCTCATGCCTATTATCCCAGCACTTTGGGAGGCCAAAGCGGGTGGATCACCTGAGGTCAGGAGTTCAAGACCAGCCTGGCCAATATGGTGAAACCCTGTCTGTACTAAAAATACAAAAATTAGCTGGACATTGTGGCACGTGCCTGTAGTCCCAGCTACTCGGGAAGCTGAGGCAGGAGAATTGCTTGAACCAGGGAGGTGAAGGTTGCAGTGAGCCATGATCACGCCACTGCACTTCAGCCTGGGTGACAGAGAGAGAGAGAGAGACACTGTCTCAAAAAAAAAAAAAAAAAGTTAACATAGTAAACATCATGTTATGCATATTTTACCATAAAAAAAAGCAAGGTAGGGAAAATGTGTATAGTTTTGAGTAAGGAGGGAGATAAATCTAGGTATATTATTACTTATGTATTACAAGGAAAAATAAATATAAATTTTAAATTGCTAACTTTAGTGGAAAAGAGGGAACAGGTTGGAGAACACAGGGATATAAGCTAGACTTATTTGAATATACCTTGCTTTGTAGATTAGATTTTGAAATTGTGTAGATATTTTATATAATTATAGAATAAAATAAATAGGCACTCTCAAAAAGAGAAGAAGAGGAACTATACCTCCTCTATCTCTTTCTTCCTCTACTCCGGCAACCTTATAGACCACTATTCCAGATGATAGTGGTACAAGCTAGGAGGGGGCTGCCTGACCACTATGGACTTCATGTGAGCCAATAAATAAACTCGTGTTGAGTTAAGCCACTGAAACATTGCAGAAGCTAGGATAGATTGGTTTTTGTTTTTGTTTTTGTTTTCGTTGTTTTGTTTTGAGACAGGGTCTCACTCTGTCGTCTAGGCTGGAGTGCAGAGGCACGATCGTGGCTCACTGCAAACTCTGCCTCCCGGCTCAAGCAATCCTCCCATCTCAGCTTCCCGAGTAACTGGGACTAAAGACACACGCCATCATGCTCAGCTAATTTTTGTATTTTTTGTAGAGATGGGGTTTCACCATGTTGCCCAGGCTGGTCTCAAACTCCTGAGCTCAAGCGATCTGCCCACCTTGGCCTCCCAAAGGGCCAGGATTACAGGCAGGAGCCACCACGACTGGTCTAGGGTATATTATTTGGACCGAATACCAGGTAATGCAGGTAAAGCACTTGGCCCTGACTCATGCTAAGCAGTCAGTACAAATGCAGCCAAGCCTCGGGTCAGCCCCAAAACCAAGAATGAGAACCACTCAGACTCCCTGTCAGAATCACATCTCTTCCCCTCTTGGAACATCTGTTTCTTTTTTTCTCATGTAGAGATCAGTTTTCTCTGCTTCTCTCTTCACATGATAAACAGAAGGTCACTATCCCATAATCCATAAAGTAATTTTTCCTCCATTCAAGAGGCCAATAAGTTCAGGTATTGGCTGTCTCTCAGGCTAATTCCCTAAAGTCTCAAACCCCTCAAAAGAAAGTATTACTGCTTTAGCTTGGGTTAAGTGTGTGCTTGTGGCCCAATAACATGGTCACTGGAGAAAGGTCTTGCCGCCCTCCAGCCCCTGCTGTGAGTGGGGCAGGCAGTCACCCAAGAGCAGTCACTGGCAGGCTCCACAGGCGTGCCCCCTAAAATGACTCTATTGGTTGGGATATGGGTTCAGAGACCCCAAATAATAATGGTATAAACAGAGAAAACAGTTATTTTTTCCTTTCTTGAACAGCTGTATGTAGGCAGCTTAGAGTTCATATGGTAGTTGTCGTGGGTCGAATAGGATCTCCCAAAAATTCATATCCACCCAGAACCTCAGAATGCAACTTTACATGGGAACAGCATCCCTACAGACGTAATTAGTTAAGGATTTGGAGATGAACTCATCCTGAACTTAGGGTGGACCCTAAATCCAATGACTAGTGTCATTATAAGGAAAGGAGAGGACGTAGAGGAACACAGAGAAGAAGGCCACGTGAAGATGGGGGCAGAGATTACAGCGATGCTGCCACAAGCCAAGGAACACCTGGGACCACCAGAAGCTGGAAGAGGCAGGAAGGATTCTTCCCTGGAGCCTTTAGAGGGAGCATGGCCCTGCTGACACCTTGATTTTAGACTTCCAGCCTTCAGGACTATGAGAGAATAACTTTATATTGTTTCAAGCCACCTAGCTTGTGATAATTTGTTATGGCGACTGTAGAACACTGATATAATGGTTTTGGGGGCATCTGGGACCCAGGCTACTTCCAGCTTCCTTTCCACTATCCCTACAAGGTGGCTCTCATCCTCATAATCCAAGATGGATTTCCAGGCTTCATATCCATCAAGTGTTGGGATGGGAGGGGAAAGAAGGAGCTCCCTCCCTCCCTTTAAGGACACACCTTGAGTAGCACCCCACACTTCCACTTACATCCCACAGCCAAGCCCAGATGCAAGGAAGGATGGGAAACACAGTCTACTTTTTAGAGACAGAGTCTTACTCTGATGCCCAGGCTGGAGTGTAGTGACAACATCATAGCTCACTGCAGCCTCAAACTCCTAGACTCAAGCAATCCTCCCACCTCAGCCTCCCGACTAGCAGGCCTGGCTAATTAAAAAAAAAATACTGTGGGCCGGGCGAGGTGGCTCACGCCTGTAATCCCAGTACTTTGGGAGGCCGAGGCAGGCAGATCACGAGGTCAGGAGATCGAGACCATTCTGACTAACACGGTGAAACCCCGTCTCTACTAAAAATACAAAAAATTAGCTGGGCATGGTGCCTGTAGTCCCAGCTACTCAGGAGGCTGAGGCAGGAGAATGGCATGAGCCCAGGAGGCGGAGCTTGCAGTGAGCCAAGATCGTGCTACTGCACTCCAGCCTGGGCAACAGAGCCAGAATCTGTCTCAAAAAAAAAAAAAATCTTTTTTTGTAGAGATGGGGTTTCGCTACATTGCCCAGGCTGGTCTTGAACTTCTGATCCTCCCACCTCAGCCTCCCAAATTGCTGGGATTATAGTCATGAGCCATTGCACACTCAGCCAAACTGCTACCTTTTTTAAAGCAGAGATTTGCCTTAGGATGGCTAATATGGTAGTGGAATATAAAATGTCATTTTTTATAAAATGGAAATGTTAATACTTATTTGGTATGGTTGTTGGGAGGATGTAATGAGATACTAATGCCTGGCTCACGGAAGGTACTCAGTAAACAGTAGTTATTATTAAAGGTGGGAAAGGCTGGGGGATATCAATCAATTCATTCATGTATCCAGCAAACGTTTGATGAGAGCACACATTCAGTGTCAGGGTTAAGGGTCTAGGGAGTCACTCCCCCTACCCCCACTCTAAGAGTCACACCGATAGAATATATGTCCAAGGATCTCTAGCCAAGCAGGAAACAGAAAACCAACCTTGACGCAAAGCTCTAGTAAAAGCTGGATTTGAACATGGCTTAAACCTAGACCTAAGGGAGACAAAATCCTCCTTTTCCACTGAACTGAACAGAGGAAGACTCATGAGGCAAGGGTCACCGGACCTACCCATCCAGTCATACTGGAGAAGTTGGAAAAAAGAGAATGACAGATCCTCGCTTCCCCTGCCACAGAGGTGGTCCTGCCAAGGGGTGCTAACCCCACAGAAGCATTATATCTGAGCTCAGGCAAAGCAAGAAGGGTGGGACCTGGGGCCTTGCCTTTAAGACCAGTTACTCCACCCACCAATGAAATTGGCCCAATCAGACCTTCAACCTCTCCCCTGGGAGGGGGCAACTAAAGGAAAGGAGAAGGATGATGGAAGTGTTTCCTCAAAATGTTCTTCCAATAGGAAGAGAAATCTTCTCCACATCCAGGGTCTAAAGAGGAACTAAACTTCTATGTGGTTCTCTTTAAGCTACCAGGTATTTGGAAGTTGGGGAGGGTGTTCATGACATGAAGAGAAGGATGTACAAAGACATGGAACCACAAAAGATCATGGCAAGTCCAGAAAAGAGTCAGTAGTTTATTTTGTCTGAAGCATAGCCATTGTGTGGAGGAAACAACAGGAGGAGTGTCTAAGCAGCCAGGCAGGTGCAAGATGATTTGTCAAGACTGATTAATTTGAAGAAAGATGGCTATCGGAAACTAACAGGAAACATCATATTTATCCACGAAATGCCAGGAGCATTCTCTTTAAATTAAGGAACAGGACAAGGATGTCTGTTATTCTTGATATTATTTAGCATTTTTGCTAGGCATTGTAATAACACAATAAAAAGAATAAGAGAGGCTGGGCACAGTGGCTCATGCCTGTAATCCAAGCACTTTGGGAGGCCAAGGCAGGTGGACTACTTGAGGCCAGGAGTTCGAGACCAGCCTGGCCAACATGGTGAAACCCCATCTCTACTAAAAATACAAAAATTAGCCAGGCATGGCGGCGTGCACCTGTAATCCCAGCTACTTGGGAGGCTGAAGCAGGAGATCACTTGAACCTGGGAGACAGAGGTTGCAGTGAGTTGAGATCGCACCACTGCACTCTAGTCTGGGCAACAGAGTAAGACTCTGTCTCAAAAAAAAAAAAAGAACACGAGGCACAACATAGGATAAATTAATTTATCATTATTATAGATGATATGATTGTCTACCTCTTGCCATCTTACAGAAACAGCTAGGTTGGACCTTGTTTTAGTCAAGTATGGACCAATCAGCACGCACTTTCTCCTTTCTGAAACCCATACAAACCCTCAACTCAGCCAGACTCACAGAGACGTTGGGATGACCTGCTGCTGATAGGAGCTAACCCCTCTGGGTCTCCTCTCCACTGAGGGCTGCAGACGTTGGGATGACCTGCCTGCAAATAGGAGCTACCCACTCTGGGGCTCCTCTCTTCTGAGGGCTAAAGATGTTGGGACTACCAGCTGCAGGAAGGAGCTACCCGCTTCGGTCTCCTTGACTCATCAGGATGACCTGCCTGTGGATAGGAGCTAGCCACTTTGAATCTCCTGAGAGCTGTTCTGTCACTCAGCGAAGCTCCTCTCCACCTCACTCACCCTCCAGTTGTCTGTGTACCTCATTCTTCCTGGATGCATGACAAGAACTTGGGACCTGCCGAATGGTGGGACTGAAAAAGCTGTAACACAAACAGGGCTGAAACACAACCCCCTGGCTCACCACATTGCAGGCAATAAGAAAAGAAGAGCTCTGGCCCTTCGGGGAGCTCAGACCTAGGGGGTCTCCAAGCCAGGGCTGCGACACCCTCTTTGGGGCTCTGCGGTTCCTGGCATCTCCAAGTTTGCAGGTGCCACCATATTACCCTCATCCAGACACGGGTGCCTGCAGCAGAAGCCGCATGCAGTACATCTGGTCCAGCCACAGCTTTTCATGGAGCAAGCACCTGTGGTGGCACCTGGAGTTGCCTGTCCCACCATAGCAGCTGGCATGCCTGGCTGTGCATAGTGGCCAGATCCCATGCTTGCTTGCCCACACACCCGCCACTCCACGCCTGGCTTGCCCTTGGCAGGTGTGGGATCTGAGCACAGCCTGCCGGGCCAAGTGGGTGGGATGAGCCCAGTGGGCAGAAGCAATATTCAGGCAGAAGGCGCTGCTGGCCACAGAGGTTTTCCAGCTGGAAAAACGACACCCCAAGGATCCTGTGACAAAACTACATTTCTTTTAAAAAGGAGGAAGGAGGCAGGAAAGGAGCCTTCTGGCCATGGGGAGAGTAACTCAGTGGGGGTTACTAGATTGGGTGGTTGGAAGACTGAAAGTGAAGAGCCCATTTAGGAGAATGACTCCAAGAATGATGGTGGTGGCAGGAGGGAAAAGGAAAAGATGGATGCTCTGAAAGTAGAACACTGGATATTTGATATATGAAGGGATTATTGTCGATTTTTTTTTTTTGAGACAGAGTTTTGCTCTTGTTGCCCAGGCTGGAGTGCAGTGGCACAATCTCGGCTCACTGAAACCTCTGCCTCGCAGGTTCAAGCGATTCTCCTGCCTCAGCCTCCCGAGTAGCTGGGATTACAGGCACACACCACCATGCCCAGCTAATTTTTTATATTTTTTGTAGAGATGGTGTTTCACCATGTTAGCCAGGCTGGTCTCGAACTCCTGACCTCTGGTGATCCGCCCATCTCAGCCTCCTAAAGTGCGGGGATTACAGGTGTGAGCCACTGCACCTGGCCTGTTGATTCTTTCATGTTTGGTGTTTGGTTGGGTTTAGAGTGAAGGAAATAAGGTATTAAGCATGATGCTGTTTCTGGCCTGGGCAAGTGGGTGGCACCATCTCCTGAAGTAGGAAACATCAGGGAGAAGAAGGTAGAAGGGGGATGGAGTGCCACTGTGCATACAGTGACTTCGAAGTACCTGTGGGATGTCTAGGTGGGGCTGTCCAGTTGGGTGAGGTCTGGGATGAGGTTGTGCAGATACAGAAAGTCAGAATGGATTCGTATAGAGTAGGTGACTGAGGCCATGTGGAAGAGGCAGATGGCCTGGAGAGGGACTAGAAAGGATTCTGGAAAGGAAAGGAAAATCCAGACCCAGAGGATGGTCAGCTTTGAAAGCACAGGCAGAGAAAGAGGAGCCCAAAACATAGGCTGGAAGGAAATAGCCAAAATATAGGAGGAAAACTAAAGAGGGTAAATCTCATGGGAGTTACAGGAAAGGGGTCAGGAAAAGGGTCAACAGCTCCAGAAGCCACTGAACATTCATTCACAGAAAGAAAGGAATACTGTCCATTGGATTCAACAACAAAGACACTGTTTATGACCTCAGTGAAAGCAGTTTCCGGGCTGCTGAGCACACAGGCCATGCCTTGGGTGGAGGCGTGAATGGGAGGCATACAAAGCTGCTTCTTGTGGTCTGCTCTCCCCACCGCCTCTCAGGGAGGCCGTCCTGTCCACCATCCTGTGGTCCTAAACAGCCACATCCTGTAATCTGAGGCCAGTGACCTATGACTTGTCTCCTCACTTGAAGAAATTACCAGGCTAGTTGGGTTCCATCTCTTGAGCATCTGTCTGTTGATGGTGGGAGCTGGGCTAAAGATCCTGAAGTTGACTGAAGCTGGAGTGTTCATTATGGGATGGTGTAGGATGGGTAAGTAGAGAGTGGTGGAAATGGCAGAGATGGTCAGAGAGAAGCAGACACACACACACACACACACACACACACACACACACACACACACACACACAGATGAGGGAGGAGAGGGCAGGGTAGAAAGGAGGAGGAGCCCATCCTGATGAGTTTGCAGCCCCTATTCCAGGTTTCCATGAGGCCAATTATCCTTCAGCATCTTGGGTAAGAGGTCTGGGGTGAGGTTGAGCAGATACAGAAAGTCGGAACGGATTCGTGTAGAGCAGGTGAACGAGGCCATGTGGGAGAGGGAGACAGCCTGGAGAGGGACTAGAAAGGACTCTGGAAAAGAATGGGAAATCCAGACCCAGAGGATCTATTGCTAGATTTGCACATGGTTGCCAGTGTGTCCCTATAAGAAGCAGCTCCCTAGAGCCAGCCAGATGGGTCTGTATTCCAAAGGAACTTGAACAGAACAGGAAATGAGGAGGTAGAGGCACTGAGTGTGCATAACTCCTTTAAGAGTTTAATTTTGCAGGGAGGAGAGAAATGGGGCAACAACAGGATAGAGTGGTGAGAGCAACTTAAAGATTTTATATATATCTCTCTCTCTTTTTTTTTTTTTTTTTTTTTTTTGAGATGGAGTCTCACTCTGTTATCCAGGCTGGGGTGCAATGGCGCGATCTCGGCTCACTGCAACCTCCGCCTCCCGGGTTCAAGTGATTCTCCTGCCTCAGCCTCCTGAGTAGCTGGGACTACGGATGCCCACCACCGTGCCCAGCTAATTTTTGTATTTTTAGTAGAGATGGGATTTTACCACATTGGTCAGGCTGGTCTTGAACTCCTGACCTCGTGATCCGCCTGCCTCAGCCTCCCAAAGTGCTGGGATTCCAGGCGTGAGCCACCATGCCTAGCCTATTAACTTAAAGATATATTAATGTTGCTGGGGATAAATCAAGAGGAGAAGTTGGACACACAAGAGAGCTGGGACAACTGAAAAATCAAGGTCTCAGAAGAGGTGGATGGTGGGATCATCTTTGAACAGAGACTGTGAGCCCCATGTCATTGGCACCAATGCATTGGGCCCTCGGCCTCCCCAGGACAGGGTGGGTCTCCTCTCAGAGGCCTCTTTCTTACCTCCCTGGAAAGAGGGGAGCCACAGCGACTCCCGCCCTGTCTTCATCAACCCTGCCTTTCTAATCAGGCTGCTAGCATCTTGGGTTGGATGCCTGATATTTCACTTCAAATGCCTCCCAGACTTGCTAAGTCACTTCCAGGAGGCATTGACAGCTGTGTGTGATCACTTGTGGTGGGACTCTTGAGCAGCAGCCAGCTCTAATACAGAGCTTCAAAGGTGGAGCTGGTTATATTCTGGCTGTCTTCACCTTCAGTGTCAAGGCATACAACAGCCCCTCGTAACCTAACAGGCATGTTTCTCATTACTTCTTTTTTATTTTTTATTTTTTTGAGATGGAGTCTCACTCTGTTGCCCAGGTTGGAGTGCAGTGGCACGATCTCGGCTCACTGCAAGCTCTGCCTCCCGGGTTCAGGCCATTCTCCTGCCTTAGCCTCCCAAGTAGCTGGGACTACAGGAGCCAACCACCACGCCCGGCTAATTTTTTGTATTTTTAGTAGAGACGGGGTTTCACCACATTAGCCAGGATGGTCTCAATCTCCTGACCTCGTGATCCGCCTGCCTCGGCCTCCCAAGGTGCTGGGATTACAGGCGTGAGCCACCGCACCCAGCCAAAGCCACCGCGCCTGGCCGTTACTCATTACTTGTTTGCAAACACTCTATGCCCCAGCTCCTCCAGACAGCTCACTGTAGAACGGCTCCCCATTCCTTTTCAATCTGCCCTACTAAAGATCCCTGACCAATTTGCGGAGAAGGACTGAGTCTTGTTCGTCGAGGTACATTGAACTCCTAGCACAGTGCCAGGTATAGAGTAGGCATTCAGTAATACCTGTGGGATACAATTTTCCCTGAATGCACTTCATGCTTTCACACTTGCAGGCTTTTGTTCACAATACTCCTGCTCCCCAGAAGATCCTCTTCCCGTTTCAGACTCTTAACTAGATTCCCCTTATCTGCTGTCTCTCTCTCTCTCTCCCCTCCAGCACCCGATTACTCTTCATCTTCTTAGCCTGTTGTGCTCTGTCCTGAGTTGCCCCAGCATACCGTATTCAAACTGCTGGTTTACTCGATTCACTGCCCTAACCCCCTTACCCCTATTAGGCCTGAAGACAATGGATAGGCTTTACCCATCTTTATATTCCAGTCTTAAACTCACTGTGTTTCTTTTTCTTTTCTTTTTTTTTTTTTTTGAGTCAGGGTCTCACTCTATGACCCAGGCTGTGGAGTGCAGTGGCACAATCATGGCTCACTGCTGCAGCCTCGAACTCCTGGGCTCAAGTGATCCTCTCACCTCAGGATCACTGACAAGGTCGCACCACGTTTCCCAGGTTGGTCTCCTAGGCTCAAGCAACCCTCCCGACTTGCCCTCCCAAAGTGCCGGGATTACAGGCAAGAGCCACCGTGCCTGGCCTACTCTCTGTTCTTAGCAACAATTAGAATAATGTCTGCCGTATAGTAGGTATCAATATACCTGTGTAATCCAGGTAGGACAGGCTCCTCTTCTGTATCCTGGAGTACTTCTTGCTAAAATACAGTGAGGAGAGATGAGACAGGAATTAAATATTCAGTCTTACTGTCTCTCAATTTTGAAACTGCCTCAGACCATAGGACTCTCTAAGTTTAGTGACACCTGGTAGCACCTCCATGGCAGGGGTGGAGGGCTGCAGCTCTGCTGGAGACACTCTCCCAGTTGATCAGAATGTGCTTACCACCCTTTTGGCCGCCTCACTAGTCTTTGCCAACCCAAACCCCACTGGCTGCTACGGAGTCCACAATGAAAGGGGTCCCCAAGAGAGTATTCTTGGATCTCACGCAAGAAATAATTCAGGGTGAGTCTGCAGAGTAAAGTGAAAGCAAGTATATTAAGACAGTAAAGAATATAAGAATGGCTACTGTGGCCAGGCGCCTGTAATCCCAGCACTTTGGGAGGCCAAGGCGGGAGAATCATGAGGTCAGGAGTTCGAGACCAGCCTGACCAACATGGTGAAACCCCATCTCTACTAAAAATACAAAAATTAACCATGTGTGGTGGCGCACGCCTGTAATCCCAGCTACTCAGGAGGCTGAGGCAGGAGAATCGCTTGAACCCAGGAGGCAGAGGTTGCAGTGAACTGAGATCGCGCTACTGCACTCCAGCCTGTGTGACAGAGTGAGACTCTGTCTCAAAAAAAAAAAAAAAAAGAAAGAAAAGAAAAGAAAACAAAGGCCGGGCATGGTGGCTCACGTCTGTAATCCCAGCACTCTGGGAAGCTGAGATGGGCAGATCACCTGAGATCAGGAGTTCGAGACCAGCCTGACCAGTATGGTGAAACCCTGTCTCTACTAAAAGTACAAAAATTAGCAGGGCGTGGTGGCGCGCGCCTGTAGACCCAGCTACTCAGAAGGCTGAAACAGGAGAATTGCCTGAACCCCAGGGGGGCGGAGGTTGCAGTGAGCCAAGATCATGCCACTACACTATAGCCTGGGTGACAGAGCAAGACTCCATCTCAAAAAAAAAAAAAAAAAAAATAGCTACTGCAAAGACAGAGCAGCCCCAAGGGCTGCTGGTTGCTCATTTTTATGGTTATTTCTTGATTATATGCTAAACAAGGGGTGGATTCTTCATGCCTCCCCTTTTGAGACCAAATAGGGTAACTTTCTGATGTTGCCATGGCATTGGTAAACTGTCATGGTGCTGGCGGGAGTGTAGCAGTGAGGTCACTCTCATTGCCATCTTGGTTTTGGTGGGTTTTGGCCAGCTTCTTTACTGCAGGCTGTTTTATTAGCAAGGTCTTTGTGACCTGTATCTTGTGCTGACCTCCTATCTCATCGTGTGACTTAGAATGCCTAACCTTCTGGGAATGCAGTGCAGTAGGTTTCAGTCTCATTTTACCCAGCTCCTATTCAAGGTGAAGTTGCTCTGGTTCACATGCCTCCGGCAGACTGGAGGTACAGATAGATTTCACAGAGCAGCCAGTATAGTCTGGATGAAGGAACAAAGGAAACGACACAGTTCCCTTGTACCGTTCATGCGGAAAAGGTCTTATAGAATTAAGCCTCCAGAAAGAGGGGGCCCACAAAGACCCTCCTTTTCTCTCCATTTCTCCATCTGCGCTCAATACCCCCCTTCCTGCCAACCCCTCTTTCACGCACCCAGACCTGATACCTTTCTCTTTTCCTCCAGATACTTCTCTCCGTAGTTTACCCTGTTACCCTAACCTTGTTGATTTTTTTTTTCTGCTTAGTCCATCATTTTCTCAGAAATGTGTCTTAACATCTCCCACTATGATTGTGGATTTGTCTATTTCTCTTTTTAGTTCTGTCAACTTTGTTATGTATTTTAAAGCTTTGTTCTTTATTAAGTGCTGCATATCATGTATGAAAAATTACAGATATAATTTGAGGCCCTAGATGATAGTAAGATTTATTTTTGCTTCTGGAAGGCAGTTGGGGTCTGGGCAGGCACCCTTAATCCAGTGGTTTTCAACCACAGGTGATTTTCCCCACCAGGGGACATTTGGCAATGTCTGGAGAAAGTTTGGTTGTCAGAATTTGGGGAAGGAGAGGTGCTACTGGCATCCAGTGGTTAAAAGCCAGGAATACTAAACATTGCATAGGATGGTCCACTGATAATGTCAATTTATCAGTGTCAATAGCACTGAGGTTGCGAAAGCTTGCCCTAATCCAATTATCAGAGGCGTTTGAACCAAAGTAACTCCATCTTGAGTAGGGGCTGCGTAAAATAAGGCTGAGACCTGCTGGGCTGCATTCCTAGAAGGTTAGGCAATCTAAGTCATGGGATGAGATAGGAGGTCAGCAGAAGATACAGGTCATAAAGACCTTGCTAATAAACCAGGTTGCAGTAAAGAAGCCGGCTAAAACCCACCAAAGCCAAGATAGTGACAACAGTGACCTCTGGTTGTCATCACTGCCACACTCCACTTGCACCATGACAGTTTACAAATGCCATAACAACATCAGGAAGTTACCCTATATGGTCTCAAAAGGGGAGGCATGAATAATCCACCCTTTGTTTAGCATATCATCAAGAGATAACCATAAAAATGGGCAACCGGCAGCCCTCGGGGCTGCTGTGCCTATGGGGTAGCCATTCTTTTATTCCTTTACTTTCCTGATAAACTTGCTTTCACTTTACTCTATGGACTCACCCTGAATTCCTTCTTGCTCCAGATCCAAGAACCTTCTCTTGTGGTCTGGATCAAGACCCCTTTCCTGTAACACAGTCAAACGGTAAGCCAATGGGAAGCTGGGTTTCAGTCTTTGTGAGAGTTTCTCTATTTTCATTCCTGTTCCTTCCAAAGGGTGAGGCCCTTTGGAAGTTGAAAGCTGGCGGCGACTACTTGAGCTCTTCCTTCCTTAGCATGAGACTGCTGGGAGCTTCTCTGCCTCATGAAATAGGCAAATGCCTCAAAATTCAAAGCTCTGCTAACCCTTCTCTCCAGGACCTTGACCCTCAAATCCTCACCCCCTTGGCGGCTCACCTTCAGATAGGTCTTGTTTGTTTTGCCAGCTTTTCTAGCTGCTCCGGATAGGAGGACTGATCTGCCAATCTGCCTTTAGGGGAAACAGCAAGAGATTGCCTCTCAGTCTTTTCTTGAAGCTTTCAAATGCAGGCTTTAGGCCTATTGTGATGCTAATGGATCTCCTCTGCCCTTACTTTGCCCATTCTGCATGGAGGGGGCAGCTCTAGTCCCCCAAGCATGAAAGAAGTTGGGTACTCCCGGTTCTGATCATTACTGCCACCAGGAAGAGCTACGGGGTGAGAGGGGGGATGGATTTCTCCCTAGTTATGTAAGAAACAAGCAGGTCTCACCCTTCATTTTTCCTTTCTCATACAAGGTGAAATACTGCAGTCTCATACGAGGAAGCATGTTTTTCCTGTTAACATTATTTCGATCCTGGTCCTTAGGGAAAAATAAGCCCGGCATTAAAGTGCGGGGAGCACTCACCTTCCCCCACCCCACAGTCTGGCTTATAGTGCTAGAACACCAACCAAGTGGTGACTGGGCCGGACCACAAATGGATGCGGATGCGGTCAGCTCCCGTTATGAGGATAGAATTCTAATCAGATTGTGGATCCGATTACTTCTGACTCATAAATCTCCCTGACTTTAGAAAACAGGGATATCTTATTTATTGGAGGAATGACAGTGTGAACAGAGGCGTGGCTGCGTTCTCACCAGCTGAGATAAACGCCGACCAGACCAGCACAGACATCCTGTGCTCGTTTCCTTTACTTGGTTTTTCAAATAAAGCCTTTGTGTGTCACTGGTATTGTGAGGAATACGAAATAATGAAAGAAGTGATTCTTCAGGTGAGTCATTCTATTATAAAATGGAGCCCACCGTCAGGAACTGCTCCCTGAGAGAGCAGGACAGGATTTCCCTGCGCGGGGAGTGAAAGCAGAAGGCGCAGTCACGACGCGCCCCCTACTGGTCAGCGAGGAGAAATCCCTCACCTCAGGTTTCAATTAGTGCGGGTGAGTCCTGAATTAGGAACCTCAGACCTGAGGCCTGGTGTGGTGGCTCACACCTGTAGCCCCAGCACTTTGGGAGGCCGAGGCAGGTGGATCACTTGAGGCCAGGAGTTTGAGACCAGCCTGGCCAATATGGTGAAACCCCGTCTCAGGTAAAATAACAAAAATCAGCTTGACGTCGTGGCACACACCTGTATACCAGCTACTCAGGAGGCTGAGGCAGGAGAATCGCTTGAACCCGGGAGGCGGAGGTGCAGTGAGCCGAGATGGCGCCATGGCACTCCAAAGAATCACAGAACTGGCCAGGCACGGTGGCTCACGCCTGTAATCCCAGCACTTTGGGAGGCCGAGGTGGGAGGATCACCTGAGGTCAGGAGTTCGAGGCCGGCCTGGCCAAAATGGCGAAACCCCCCTCTCTACCGAAAAATGCGAAAAGTAGCCGGGCATGGTGGTGCCCAACTACTGGGGAAGCTGAGGCAAGAGAATTGCTTGAGCCAGGGAGGCCAACGGAGGTTGCAGTGAGCTTAAGTCGTGCCACTGCACTCCAGACTGGGTGACAGAGAGGAACCTTGTCTCAAAAAAAAAAAAAAAAAAAAAAAAGAAAGAAATATTACTGAGAATCACAGAACTGAAGTGGAATTCCATGAATCCAATGGAATTACATTAAATTCCATGAGTAGGAATCCAATTCCATGAATGAAATTTCATGAATCCAATGGGATTCATGGAATTGCTGACACACAGTGAGATACTAAGGAGGCTAGGAGGCTAAGATGAAGAGCCCCTGTCTCAGGACTCCAGGGCCTAATTTAACAGCCACAATCTGCCAAGGTCAGAGGTAGCCTTAACGTGTACTGTACTCATAAATCAATCTCCCTGGAGATTTCAAACCTTCAAATTGCTTTGGTAAAGCCTTAACTCCTTTCAACCTGAGGAAGTCGATTGAAGAAAAAAGCCTTAGCTCTAAAGAAAGATTTTGAGTTTCTCATTCCAGTGGACCACAAAAAAATAAAAAAGAAAGAAAGAAAAATCGCATTTGTGCAAAATCAACCATTTACATTTTATACTAATCAGTAAGTTATTCTTGGGCCTCGTGCTTGTTTGTAAACACATGCCTTCTCTCTTTCATTCTAACTGGAAACTTTATCCTTAAATCTGTTCGTGCAATAATTATGAAATGTAATTTTATTTTTAAACAATATATTTTCTTTTGTTTGTTAATTTCTTACTTTTTTTTTTTTTTAGACAGAGTCTATGTTGCCCAGGCTGCAGTGCAGTGGCGTGATCTCGGCTCACTGCAACCTCTGCTTCCTGGGTTCAAGCTATTCTCCAGCCTCAGCCCCCCAAGTAGCCGGGATTACAGGCATGCGCCATGACGCCCGGCTAATTTTTTTTGTATTTTTGGTAGAGACGGGGTTTCGCCATGTTGTCCAGGTTGGTCTCAAACTCCTGGCCTCAAGTGATCCACCTGCCTTGGCCTCCCAAAGTGCTGAGATTACCGGCGTGAGCCACCATGCACAGACTCTTTTGTTAATTTCTTTAATTTTTAAATTTCTATTGATATATTATAGTTGTTCTTATCCTGAAGATATTTTGATACATGTATAAATGCATAGGATCAAATCAGGGTAGCTATCGATCGCCTCTATGTATTTTCTTGTATCTTGATCGTTAGAGTGAAATATAAGGAACAAAAAACAAACATGGAGAAGTTACCATGTTTTTAGTATTTTTAAATCCTAAGGGTTTGAAAGGTATATATTTGGGATAATGGGCCTTTTTGTCTTTTTTTGTCTGAAGGAAATTTGTGACCCAATAATTAGTCAAAATTATCTCCAAAAAATGTTAATGAAACTGGGCACCTTTTGGGAGACATTTTTAAATTATGTCAGCTACTTCAGTGTCAGAGGGTGGACAGAGTTGGCTGAGAACAGTCACATTTAGACAAGAGTCTTGTGTGTACTCTTTTGGTTATGAAAATGTAGGGCAAGTAAGCACTCATTGCCCTGAGTGAAAAGTGACATAAACATTTTTTTAAAGGGTTCATGAAGCCTGTCCCTCCCTTAATACCTCTTGATGGGAAAATTTCATTGTCAGGCTGGGGCTCACACCTGCAATCCCGGCACATTGGGAGGCCAAGGCAGGCAGATCATCTGAGGTCAGGAGTTCGACACCAGCCTGGGCAACGTGGTGAAACCTGGTCTCTACTAAAATTACAAACATTAGCCGGGCATGGTGTCGGGTGCCTGTAATCCCAGCTACTTGGGAGGTTAAGATGGGAGAATCACTTGAACCAGGGAGGTGGAGGTTGCTGTGAGCAGAGATTGCGCCACTGCACTCCAACCTGGGCAATAAGAGTGAAATTCCATCTTAAAAAAAAAAATTAAAAATTGAGAGATTTCACAGGAACAAATTTCTGGTCTTTCTGGAAAATTGGAAATCTCTTGTAACGCTGGACCAATGCCCCACATGACAATTGCTGCGTGGGGCCAAGCATCAGTCCCTGGCTCTGCCCCCAGACTACATCCAACTTGTGACAGCTTGGCTCTGTCAATCCTCCACCTGGCTGGCCTCTGTGAACTGTGGGATCGCACCTTGTGGAAGGCTTGTGCTGGGATAGAGCTGACTCAGTGCTGGGGGATCCCTGAGGGGACCCCAGGATTTGAATTCCAGGTTCCTAGAGGATATCAGCTGAATGCTCACCTTTCTGTGTGCCCTGTAGGCATAGATAAGTTTGGCATTCAGGAGAAAGAGGGTACCAGAGCTCCAAGCTCGATCCGGCACTTTTGGATCCGTTTCCATCGGTTCTTACAGCTGCTCCTCAGACCCTAGCAGCCAAGATGGTGAAGCAAATTGAGAGCAAGGTTGCTTTTCAGGAAGGCTTGGAGGCTGCAGGTGATAAATTTGTCATGGTTGACTTCTCAGCCACGTGGTATGGGCCTTGCAAAAAGATCAAGCTTTTCTTTCATTCCCTCTCTGAAAAGTATTCCAACATGGTATTCTTTGAAGTACATGTGGCTGACTGTCAGGATGTTGCTTCAGAATGTGAAGTCAAATGCATGCCAACCTTCCAGTTTTTTTTTGTTGTTTGTTTGTTTGTTTGTTTTTGAGATGGATTTTTCCTCTTGTCCCCCAGGCTGGAGTGCAATGGCAAAATCTCAGCTCACAGCAACCGCCATCTCGCAGGTTCAAGTGATTCTCCTGCCTCAGCCTCCCGAGTAGCTGGGGTTATAGGCATGCGCCACCAGGCCTGGCTAATTTTTGTATTTTTAGTAGAGACGGGGTTTCTCCATGTTGGTCAGGCTGGTGTCGAACTCCTGACCTCAGGTGATCCACCCGCCTCAGCCTCCCAAAGTGCTGGGATTACAGGTGTGAGCCACCGTGCCTGGCCCTTTCCAGTTCTTTAAGAAGGGACAAAAGTGGGTGAATTTTCTGGAGCTAATAAGGAAAAGCTTGAAGCCACCATTAATGAATTAGTCTAATCATGGTTTCTGAAAACATAACCAGCCATTGGCTATTTAAAACTTGTAATTATTTTTATTTACATAAAGTATAAAGTATGGAGACTATAAACCCAACTGCCATCTGGATGACAACAAAATATGAATTCTACTCTTTTTTAAAAAAAAAAAAAAGAAGAAAGAAAAAAAGAGGGTATCAGAAACAGACCCAGAGATGACTGGGGTCTGGGAGGAGGAAGCTGGAGAACCGGTGAGTGTGAACAGTATGCATCAGTCAGGGTTCGCCAGAGAAACAAAATACACATATACAGCGCTTGTGTGGTGGGGATGTGTATGTGTGTGTGGGTTTAATTTTTATTATAAATAGAGATGGGGTTTTGCCATGTTTCCCAAGCTTGTCTTGAACTCCTGGGCTCAAGCAATCCACCCTCCCCAGTCTCCCAAAGTGCTGGGATTACAGGCATGAGCCACCGCACCCAGCCATGTGTGTATTTTTTTTTTTTTTAAGGATTTGGCTCACATGATTGTGGGGACAGACAAGTTGGAAAGCTGTAGGGCAGGGCAAGTCAGGGCAGGGCAGCAGGCTAGAAACTCAGCCAGGGCAGATGCTGTAGTCTTGAGGCAGAATTTCTTCTCCTCCGGGAGAAATCAACCGATGGTAGATGTTAACCAAGTCTGTAGAATATCTACTCAGCAGCATCTAGTGCTGGAGTTAAATAGCTGGGTGCTATGGTCCAGCCAAGGTGCCGCCTGAAACACCCTCACATGGTGGGAAGAGCGGTGGTTGAAGAAGGAACCCTGGAGACCTTGATGTTGAAGAGAGGGCAAGGGAAGAGGGTGAGTCAGAGCCTGCTGGGGAGGAGAGCTGGAGACATTGCATAACACCAGTGACAGTGTGCCCACAGAAGTGGTTTCGGTAGGGGTGGGTGCAGGAATGGATGGCTGTAGGTGGATCAGGACGTGGGAGGTGAGGGGACTTAGCTGGCTCTTCCACGACATGTGATCAGAAAGTGGGGGTGGTGAGCTGGGGGTGGTGACCCGGGCACGATGGCTCATGACTGTAATCCCAGCACTTTGGGAAGCCAAAGCAGGTGGATCACTTGAGGTCAGGAGTTCAAGACCAGCCTGGCCAACATGGTGAAACCCCTTCTCTACTAAAAATAGATTTTTTTTTTTTAATTTAGCTGGGTGTGTGGCACATGTCTGTAATTCCAGCTACTCGGGAGGCTGAGGTGGGAGAACTGCTTGAACTTCGGAAGCAGAGGTTGCAGTGAGCCAAAATTGCACTACTTCACTCCAGCCTGGGCAACAGAGCAATACTCTGTCTCAAAAAGAAAAAGAAAAAGAAAAGTGGGGGCAGGGGGTAAAGTGAGGAGGAAGCATTTCTTTTTGGTTTGTGTTTTCTGTAGGCTAAGGACAAGAAAAGAGCCATTGGAGAGAGAAAGAGATGAAGTGGAAGACAGTGAGTGAGGGGCTGGCAGAAGGATTTCCCCTCTTCAAACTAGAGGAGAACTTCCTCAGCCTCCATGCAGCCGGCCAGATCCTAGGGCAAAGCTCTGGCTAGAGAAGGCAAGGACAGGCAAGAAAATGTTTTAGAAAAAGACCCTTTCCATCTGGAATGCTTTTTCCAACTCCCTTCACACCTTCAGGCTGGCTTCTAGTTGCACCAGGAACTCTGGGCCCACGTGTGAGGTGCGGGGGCAACACTGTCCATCGAGAGGACCTGTGGCTGCCTCCTCATCCCTTCCACCAAGCGCAGGATGGCACCATTGCTGGCTTCTGCTGCCCTCTGTTGTGGTCCTGTACCTCCTCACCTGCTCAGATGCTCCGCGGGGACTGATGGAGCTCTTCCTGGTCTCCAGTGGTTCTTACTGGGTAGTGCTGGACAACAGAGTACCAGGAAGGCAGGGACCTGGCCAAGCGCACATACGCATGAGTGGAGGAAATTTTACAATTTTTAGGAAGCAACAAAGTATAAAGTGGGAATTGCACATCTTCCTTACGTTTCTTTTGTTGTTTTTATTTTGAATTACGTATTGAGGGAAGCGCTACAATTTTTTCCATAGGTGGGTGTCTAGGGCTTCCCCAGCCCCGCTCTCAGCCCTCTGCACTCACACTTTTCAGAGCCACAGGATGTGTAAGGGCACCGGAATCACCAAGGGTGGGTGTGCCTGCTGGAGCTTTTTTTGTGCTGCCTGAAAGTTCAAAACACGCTGGAACAGGGAAAGAAAGGTATTTGCCCAAGTGACTAAGACATGTTCCAGCGTTTTCCCACAGGCTCCTGCACATCCCAAAATAACTGCAACCCTGGATCCTGTCCGTTGGCATTCGATTACATTTGTATAATGTTACAGACAGTGGGCAGGCCGGCCAGCCACACTCACACAGGGGCTTGCAGGACCGCACAGCCCATAATGGAGCTCCACGCTATGCTTCCTGGCTAGGCTGCTAAGGGAGAAATACCAAGGCAGAGACCACAACAGTAGCCAAGTGCAGACCTGCCAGAAACATCCAGATCACCAAGAGGGCCCTTGGGCAAGGCCCTCCTTTCACAGATGAGAGCAAAGGGCACAGAGAGAGGAAATTACTTACATAAATTAACTTAAATAAATTACATATCTGGGAATTATGAAAGTTGGTGAAAGAGTTGGCCCTCAACTCACAGCTCCTAAAGAGGTATTTATTTGTGCAGGAACATCAATTTAGCCTTAGAATCCTAACATCTTAAGTGGAAGGGACTTTTAAGCACTCCCTGACCATCCAGGGTGCTTCTGTGCCCAGGTCTGGACAACAATGTGGGAAGAAGGAAGTGTCGGAATGAACCTGCCACCCCTCCGGGGATTCTGTCTTGCTGAGGAAATGACTCAGGATGTTGAGAAAACAACTGGGTTTTGGCAAATGCACAGAAGGGTGCTAGGAGCTTTGGGAAGGGAGAGTCTGAGAAGGAATGCGTGGTCCAGGTGGGGAAAGTTTCAACCCAAGGTGGGCCTCAGAGTGGGAAGATCTGGAGGCTGGGCATGGTGGCTCACAGCTGTAATCCCAGCACTTGGGAGGCCGAGGTGGGCAGATCACTTGAGGTCAGGAGTTCAAGACTAGCCTAGCCTGGCCAACATGGCAAAAAACCATCTCTACTAAAAAATACAAAAATTAGCCGGGGTGACGCACACCTATAATCCCGGCTGCTCGGGAGGCTGAGACAGGACAATCGCTTGAACCCGGGAGGCAGAGGTTTCAGTGAGCTGAGATTGCATCACTGCACTCCAGCCTGGGCGACAGAGTAAGACTCCATCTCAAAAAAAAAAAAAAAAAAAAAATGGAGTCGGAAGATTTGGAAAAGCAGATAGAGAGGGCCTGAGCAGGCATCGCAGGAAATAGCCCTGACACTCGGTAGATGCTCAGTGGCTGTAGCCCCCCAATGCCTACAGGGGCCAAGACAGTTGTGTCACCAAGAGCGTACAGCTAGCTCTATGCCCTGCTCCCCACACAAGGCCCAGGGGCCACCAACACAGGCCAGATAACTCCCGTCCTGATGCCCACAGCATGTCTCATTTGGATGATTGAAAATATTCCAACCACATTAAACAGCTACTTATTTGATGATGTTTAGTGATAAAAATACTATCAACCTAATCCAGTAACCACTCAAGGAGGCTTAACGTCGTATGAGGTCCATTGAGTCCCAAAGAGAAGTGGTCACATCATCTTTGGTTCTTTTTTTTTTTTTTTTTGAGATCGAGTCTCACTCTGTTGCTCAGGCTGCAGTATAGTGGCGTGATCTCGGCTCATTGCAACATCTGCCTCCCAGGTACAAACAATTCTCGTGCCTCAGCCTCCCAAGTAGCTGGGAGTATAGGTGCATGCCACCACGCCCGGCTAATTTTTGTATTTTTAGTAGAGGTGGGGTTTCACCATGTTTGCCAGGCTGGTCTCGAACTCTTGACCTCAAGTAATCCACCCGCCTCGGCCTCCCAAAGTGCTGGGATTACGGGAATGAGCCACTGCACCCAGCCTGGTTCATTTTTAAAATAGTCTAGTATTTTTTTTTTTTTTTCCTATTTACATGTTCGAGTTTCTAGAATCAGTGGCATGTCGGCTTGTACTCCCCAAATGAGTTCACCCAGGAATGATGTTGGCAGATTCCCATGGGAATGACTTCAGCCTTCCTCAGCAGGCTAACAGTGGCAAGCACACCAGGGTGTATTTTTGTGCAGCATCGTCAGGCACCAGTATTAAACTCAATACAGTCATGAGAAATTCAGCTCGGGGGCTCTTAAGTCAGCACTTCACTGAGAGTTCCAAGGTCTCAGGCCTTTCTCTTTTCACTTTATTTGGCAAGTAGTTAAATAAATAAATAAAATAAAAATAAAAAATAAACAAATCCAGCACATCTCCATGCTGTGGGGCTGTGGTCCCTCCCAAGGTTAAAAAAAAAAAAAAAAAGCCACTGGCACAGCAAGAAGAATCTCCTTCTACCCAGGCCTGAGTGTATCTCGTCCCTAACTCCAGAGGCTTCTAGGAACCCAATCCAGGAAGATAAATCTGGTCTCAGTTTGGTTTGGTGACTCACAAGGTGTTAATAAAGATGACCCCAAGATTCTCAGAGCACATTTCCAACCCCCAGTGACCTAGACTCCAAGGAACACTTTGGCCAGCCTTGGGCAATAGTGGGAGCTGGCTTCCCTGTGCGCTTCCTTTTTTAATTTTTAGAGACAGGGTCTCAACTCTGTTGCCCAGGTTGGAGTGCAGTGGCGGGATCACAGCTCACGGCAGCCTCATCTCTTGGACTTAAACTATCTTCACGTCTCAGCATCCCTGGTAGCTTGGGACTGAAGACGCATGCCACCACCTGGCTGATTTGTTTTTTGTAGAGACAGGGTCTTGCTATGTTGCCCAGGCTGGTCTCAAACTCCTGGCCTCAAGGGATCCTCCTGCCTTGGCCTCCCAAAGTGCTGGGATAACAGGTGTGAGCCATTGCGCCAGGCCCTCTGGGCACTTTTGGACAATCTCAGCTTCTTGGTGAGGCCTGAGGACAGGTGGGCAGACATGCTACCTAACTGGCACCTTGGCTGTTGGCTGGGTCGGTCCGAACGGATGCAGCAGGCATGTTCCCATTACCGGAGTTCACAGCCCTGAGTCTTCCCAGGTTCCTGTTGCAATCTGAGACTGAAAGGTGACCAAGACAATTCTCTCTTGAGCCGGGCTATTGGAGACGTCACAAAACCCAAAGCAGGCTTGTTAAATGCACCTGTCATTTATTCTGACTGAAACCAGGGACAGACAATCTCCATGATGCCACTGCTTTCAAAGATTTAGAAACCACAAAAACCATTTTGAGTTATATTATTACTTTATTTTCTTTTTTTAAAATGTAGCATTAAAGTCATCCAACATACAGATATTCCTATGGCTCCTGGCACATTTTACTCTCTCTAAAGTCAGGTATTTTAATTATGAGATGAAGAAAATCATCTCATTAAAATGGCAACATTTCTGATAAATGTTTCATATTTATGTGATGGGTAATTGACTCCCCATCTACCCCTCCAGTCCAGAGCTACAAAAGACAGTGCACAACCACAGCTAACAGGTGGTGGGGGTGCCCAAGTAGACAGGGCTGCAGAACAACAAGCAACGGGGTTAAACTTCTCAAACAACAAGCAACTTCTTTATTTGTACAGAGTAAGAATATAGAAGAAAAGCATCATTTTCCTTTTTAGCCCTTTTATTAGTGTTTTGCCTCCACCCAAGTTACTGCATACCAAGCAGCTAATAAAAACCAACTGACTTAAAGTCTCTGAAATGCATGCAACTTAAAATTCCCTAAAGCACACATCGGTTCCGAGTCTGATTTTTACAGGGCAGAGGCTACGGTGCTGCTGGGTTACCAGGGGTGTCTGTCATGCTGCTGGGGTTTGAAGTCGCTGCTGCTGTGGCTTCTGGCTGCTGGGTTTCTGTGTGGGGATCTTCTGCATTTCCAGCATTTTTCTTGCCCTTGTCTGCTGCCACGGCACCCATCTCCATGATTGCCTGCAGTGGCTGATCTGCTTCAAGGTTGCTGGGCTGGAGTTCATAGACCTGGACTTGACCTGGGACATCAATGGCTTTCTGTTCAAGTTTTTCCAAGATGGTCTGAACCTTCCTGACACCGTCTCTCCTGGCCTGACGCACATCGGCTCGTCCCTCGGGGTCCACTGAATCCAGGGCCAGCAGCTCTTTGGTCAAATACTCTTCGATCATCAGGTACTTTTTGTCAGTCTTCTTGCCTTCAAAGTTGTCTACAGCCTGCTCCAGCCCCTGTACCTTCTCCAGGATGGCTTCCACTTTCAGCACTCCTGGATGTTTTGGGGGAGCCTCGGCTTCTCCTGGTTTTGGAGGTGTAGCTTCTGCAGGGGCAGTGCTGGGGGCTGCCCTCTCTTCTGTAGCCACACTCTTGGGGGAAGAGGGGACAGCAGAAGGGCCAGGGCTGGGAGGAGGACAAGGAACTGGAGCAGGGGGAACTTTCACCTCTACCTTCTCAGAGGGAGGTGGGGGCTTCTGGGAAACAGGTTTAGAATCCACCTCTTTGCGGATCACTTGAATTGGGATGTGTCCAGGAGGGAGTTCTGGTCCAACTGGGCCTGGCTTACTTTCTGGTTTGTTTTCAGGCTGGGAAACAGGTGCAGTTTCTCGATGGGTCATGGGCTGCTGAAAAAAGGACACAAAAATATATTTTTAATAACTGACTGAAAGTCACAGAAATTGTTTGTAGCTAGTACAGATTAGAAAGAAAACTGAGAAATGGCTTTTTAAAAAAAGTTTAATAGTATAAAAGATTTTCAAAGTCAATCAATGGCTGTTACAAAATAAAAACATGGTATTAATCATGTATGTAACCCAATCATTAGTCAGGCTTCCATTGATCACCCCAGGCTATTTGTCTATTACCTCTCACTGAATTTCTCTGTAGATGGTATTCTTAATGGCAATGAAAAGAAACCCAATAAAATTTTCAAAAATGAAAATAGCTAACCTGGGCAATATAGTAAGACCCCAACCCTACAAAAAATCTTTAAAAATTAGCCAGGTGTGGGAGCTTGCACTCGTAGTCCCAGCTACTCAGAAGGCTGAGGCGGAAGAATCGCTTGAGCCCAGGAATTCAAGGCTGTAGTGAGCCACGATTATGTCATTGCACTCCAGCCTGAGTGACAGAGCGAGATCCTGTCTCAAAGAAGGAAGGGAGGGAGGGAGGAAGGAAGGAAGGAAGGGGGGAAGGAAGGAAGGAAGGAAGGGGAGAAGGGGGCAAGGGGGAAGGGGGCAGGAAGGAAGGAGGGAAGGGGGAAGGGGGAAGGAAGCAGGGAAGGGGGGAAGGGGAAGGGGGGAAGGGAGGGGGAGGGAAGGAGGGAAGGAAGGAAGGAAAGAAGGAAAAAAATAGCAAAAACTCATGCTGACTGCTGAACTAGGCTGACTCAGAGCAGAGTCCTGAGTGACTCCAGCTCTCAGGTGTTGCAGCCTTGGAGTCGCTGCCTCTGGTCCTTCTTCCTTACACTGTGCAGACAGTCTGCTCACGGTGTGATCTTCTTGTCTCCTGTTTTAGAAAAGATACGATCTTCTTTTTTTAAAACCGTGACAGCCTAGTAGTTTCTGCCCAGACCAATGTATTTTTTTAGGATTAGCCAAGATGCTCTAAATGGTTAACTCCAGAACAATTTTGCTTCAGGATAGCTGTGCTGTAGCCTAACATTCAGCAATGACACAGCGCCTCTGTGCTAACCTCTGGCTGCACAGGTTTTCCTGTGACTATAAACTACAGCCATATAGATATATAGATTTTTGTGGGGGACAGGGTCTCACTCTGTTGCCCAGGCTGGAGTGCAGCGGGGCTATCACAGCTCAATGCAGCCTCAACCTTCTGGCCTCAAGTGATCCTCTCACCTTAGCTTCATGATTAGTTGCAACTACAGGCACATACCATCATGCCTGGCTAATTTTTCTATTTTTTTGTAGAGACAGGGTTTCACCATGCTGCCCAGGCTGGTCTTGAATTTCTAAGCTCAAGCAATCTGCCCACCTCGGCCTCCCAAAGTGCTAGGATTATAGGTGTGAGCCACCACGCCTAGTAAGCCATATATTTTTTAATGAGCTATGCTCAAAGCAAAAATATCTTGACGCTTTTTGTTTTTGTTTTTGTTTTTGAGACGGAGCCTCGCTCTGTCACCCAGGCTGGAGTGTGCAGTGGTGTGATCTCAGTTCACTGCAACCTCTGCCTCCCAAGTTCAAGCAATCCTCCCACCCCAGCCTCCCGAGTAGCTGGGATTACAGGCGCCCACCAACATGCCTGGTTAACTTTTTTTTTTGTATTTTTAGTAGAGATGGGGTTTCACCATGTTGGCCAGGCTAGTCTTGAACTCCTGACCTTAAGTGATACCCCCGCCTCGGCCTCCCAAAGTGCTAGGATTACAGGATTACAGGCGTGAGCCACTGCGCTTGGCCTTATCTTGGCTCTTATTCATGTAAGTGAATATCTAACACTTCTTTTAAAATCTCACCCTAATTTCATCAACTGGGAAATAACTGGACTATATTATTTCTAAACTATTCCCAGCTTAAAACACTCAATTCCACTATAACGTTCAGTTTGGTGAAATCCTGGAAAGCCTCCCAAAAGGGAACTTTGAATCAGCTCTAAAAGGGAGGTCACCACAAACACGGTTAATGGTAAGAACAGGATGAAATATCATTTCACTGATGATGAGAAACACATGGGAATGATGTGGAGAAAATATCCCTCTCTCTACAAATGGGACCCTCCTAGGATTGCTGAACCCAAGTATGGATCGATGTAGCTGTCTACACTCCAGCAACCTCCTTTTCCATCAAATCTCTTTCGCCAATGCAGACATTCGCAACTTTGGCCCTTACCACTCACAACCCAACCACGCACCCCTCCTAGGTTCTAACAGCAATGGCTGTGTAAGAAGTGACTTTAGAAACACTTTAGAGAGGGTGTTCCACAGCCTGTGTTCTTCAAAACCGTCAAGGCCGTGAAAGCAAAGAAAGGCTGAGGGAAGACTGAAGAGAAGTTGCATCTAAATGCGGTGCTCATGATCCTTGTTTCAGTCCTGGAAGACATCCTGGAAGTGGGGGCAAACTGCTATAAAAAAGATTCAAAAATGTACTGGATAATAATGTTGTAAGAATGTGAAATTTCCTGAATCTGGTAAGTCTACCATGGTTATGAACGAGAATGTCTTCCTCTTAGGAAAATATTTGCTATTCAGGGGAAAAGGGACATGATGTCTGCAATTAATTTTCAAACAGTTAAAACACATCAATAATATACGAGAGAAGAAATGACAAGGCGAATGCAGACATATTGACAAACAGTGAACTGGATGAAGTATATGTGGGGCTCTGTATGATTCACACAACTCTTCTATGAGATTGAAATTATTTCCAAATAAAACAACATTTTAAGATGAGGGTGCTCTATTCCAGGGCCCTGGCCAGTGTGACCATTTGTAATGAAAGAATATCCCACATTTGTTCACGGGGGGCTTTCCTTTTTAAAAACTGTAGCATTCAGCTGCTCAAGTTGCAGCCACAGGGGGCCCAGGGCTGCTGACTGTCCTGCTGCTAAGCTGTGAGCTGCTTAAACTAAATGACATCCTCTTCCAGGAACCTGCACCTTGTGTCTCCACTGGAAGATAACCAGACCCCTGCCTACAACCTTCCCCAGGCCAGCACGGCTTCCAATCCGCCATAGCTGGCTGATGCCTCAGCCAGACCACATGGTACCTGATTACAAAGGGAGGAGGGGGGTTAAGACATGGGCCCTGTGGTCAGGCTCAGCCCTAAGCTGAAGAGATAAAATGAACACTTCTGAAATGCCCCGAATAATGACATGTTGAACTCATACAAGTTGGGAGTTCTCATTAAGGGACTCATATGAGGCATCATGAGATGAGAAGGATGAGTAGGCTTCATGGAGGAGACAAGACTGGCTCGTCCCTCAGAGGACAGGGAGAACCTATACTGTGCGGGCATTTCAGGGAGCGGGTTCAGCATGGGCAAAGGCACAGGGGTGGGAATGAGCAGAATGGGCCTGCAGAGTGGAGTGGGTAACTGAGTGGAAGGTGACACACTGCCTACACCCAAGGTGAGGCTGTGGCTGCGGTGTGGATGGGGGTGTGAAGAGCCCTGAAAGGGTGTGGTGGACACTAAGGAAGCTGGTCCCAGGTATGTAAGTTCTGCCAAGCTGTTTCGTCTGCTCTAAGTCAGCCGCAATGCACAATGATCAGCCCAGCAAAAGCTGCAGAGTGCGGAGGGTTCACAGCCTGAGCAACTGTCCTGCATTTCTGTTAATACCTAGCAATTTCTCGAATCTCACTTGCCTGTAGGTACACGCATGTTAAATAGGCAGGGATGAAGGGGGAACCCAGGGCACCCACAGAGCTCCTGCACCCCTGGAGACATACCACCATAACCAGTCTGCTGACGACTAACTTCCCGTACCTGAGGCCTGTCGACCACGGTGTGCACACGGATGGGCGAGGGGGAGTGGAGTGGCGTGCTGCTCCTGGCTGGTGAGCCCTCCCGGCTCGATGCACCCTGGACAGATGACCTGAACGGGGATGCCGCCCGCAGGGGCCGGGGCTCCCAGTCATCCCCCTGGATCTTGTGGTACACAGGCTGGTGGGTCTGGTACTCCCCCTGCTGCGCTGGGTAGTGCGTCTTCTGGGCTTGGTGGAAGGAGGGCTGGGCTGCTGGCCGGGTAACGTTCTGCTCGTGTATCACCGGAATGGAGATGTACCCCCGCGGGAGCTGGTGACTGCCCAGGCTGCTCCTGCCGGAGGAAGGCAGGCTGGCCGAGGAGGATGAGGATGAGCAGTCAGAGGCAGCTGGAGACTGGGACCGCTGCAAGAGACACAGGGTAGAGGGCATGACCCCACAAATGACTCCCCTGGCTTGGCATCCTGACCACGCCTTCTGCTGTGCACCTCCTCAGGGCAATCCATATTGTAAGACCTCCTATCTGTAATTTTCAATTTTCAAAATGTGCGGTTAAGACTGAGAGCTCTGGGGCTGGGCGCGGTGGCTCACACCTGTAATCCCAGCACTTTGGGAGGCCTAGGTGAGTGGACCACCTGAGGTCAGGAGTTCAAGAGCAGCCTGGCCAACATGGTGAAACCCCATCTCTACCAAAAATACAAAAATTAGCTGGGTGTGGCGGCGCATGCCTGTAGTGCCAGCTACTCAGGAGGCTGAGGCAGGGGAATTGCTTGAACCTAGGAGGCAGAGGTTGCAGTGATTTGAGATCACACCACTGCACTCCAGTCTGGGCAACAGAGAGAGACTCCACCTCAAACAAAGCAAAACAAAACAAAACAAAACAAAACACACACACACACAACAAAGACTGAAGGCTTTGGAATCAAGGGGCCTATGTTCAAATTCCTAGTAATTCAATCATTTTCTAAGCTTCATTTGAAATATAGGAAGAGTGCCCCTCCCTCACTGGGCTGCTCTGAAGATGAGGTCAGTCACCTGGGCATGTGCCTCAGCCCCAGGCCAGCACACAGGAAGCGCTCATACAAGGGATGTGTTGTCCCCACTACCCTTTCTCTGCCAATCTACAGAGAACTCGGCTGAGCAACTGGGAGCTGCCAGCATCCCGTGTGGCCCAAGGCAGGTCAAGCACCTTTCCCTGCTGGGCCACCTTCTATTCACCTCGAAATTGAGAGCATTTCCTCTTCTAAGTGCTTTGTTAGCCTAAATTTGTGAAGATGTCTCGCATTTATGTGTCACTTTGATTTCTTGCAGCAAAACCATTATAAATATAGGCATTACTTATTTTTTTATTTTTGAGACAGTCTCGCTCTATCACCTAGGCTGGAGTGCAGTGGTGCGATCTCGGCTCACTGCAACCTCTGCCTCCTGGGTTTAAGCAATTCTCCTGCCTCAGCCTCCTGAGTAGCTGGGATTACAGGAATGTGCCACCATGCCCGGCTAATTTTTGTATTTTTTGTAGAGACGGGGTTTCACCGTGTTAGCCAGGCTGGTCTTGAATTCCTGGCCTCAAGTGATCCACCTGCCTCAGCCAGGTACTACCTCTCTAAGAAAAGAAAAAAGGTATCCCACATTAACTGTAACTTTCACTCTCAAGCAGGTGTGAAGCTGAACAGATTCAGACGGAGCTGAGAGGCAAGCATGACTCAGGGTGCAGATAGGACACGGGAGTTTGTGCCCAGGAACAACGCTGGCACACACCACAGGATGATGTGCAGACAGGAAAATGAGAGGACTTACTGCTTAGGAATCCTACTAGGAATGCCTCAAATCTCAGCTAAGAACCAGATTAAGAACTATTTTTTAGCTATTAATGCACAGAATCCATTGACATATCCCTGAGATGTTTGGCTTCAGGATTAAAATGCTGTCTTAAAGCAGCTGCCTTCCTGACTCCTTATTTCTTTTGAAACTGTGGTGCACGGTGAGGGCAGGCATGGGGTCTCATTTTCCTGTCAACATAGCTCCACAAGCGGTTAAGATTTATCCATAAGCATTGAACTGAACAAAATAATGCACAGCTATCTCTGTGCTTCTGAATAGAAAGCCCAGTGTGAATAAGGAGCATGGAAATTAGGCGCCAGAAGGCAGGCCAGGCTTCCGGTCCCAGCTCTGCTCCCTCCACCTGTGTGCATCTGGAGCAGGCAGGCTGCAGTGTGCCCTTCCGAGCCGTTCCTTAGCTACAAAAAGAAGCCACATGATTCCTGCCCTGCCCCACTGAAGAACAGCCCTATGAGATGCTGGGGGATGATGTGGGGCCATCACCCTGTCTTTGCTGGGTGACCTCTGATGCTGCAGGCTAGACCCAGATGCCCTGCATGTGAACAGGTGCCTGGCCCAGGGCACTGTCCTGAGGGGATGGGCCCGGCCTGGGAAGCACAGCGGCTTGCTCCCCAGCAGGCTGGTGAGCCTGGCCTCTCCTTACCTCAGGTCCGTGGGAGGCTGGGGGCTGGGCTGCCGCCGCCGCTGCCACCTGTCCACACTGTTTATCTGGCTGAGTGGTTTCTGGCATGCCCCGCAGAGGTGACTGGGACCTCTGAGGAGCCGCTGCTGCCGCCTCAGTTCGGAATCGCTGCATCCCAGGCTGGGGATAGACATGGAAAGGGTGCACCTGCCGGTTCTCAGCGCCTTCATGGAGCACAGGAATGGGAATGTAGCCTGGTCGGAGCTGGGGGTACACAGGGTGGCCTTCCCTAGCAGGCGGCAGCCTAGAGCCCTCCCGGGAAGGGCCATTGGCAGAGGATGGAGTCTCCTGAAATAAAAAGTGGAGAAACACAGGCTGGTTAGAAACTGGGAAGTGAACCCTCCTGGCAGAGGAAACACTGTGGCGCTTGGCATTGTGATCTTCCCGAGTGACTTGGGCCTCAAAGCGTCAGCCAGCTCCCAGCCCCTGTACCCTCCAAACCCCCCACCCCATAGAGGTTGCTATTTGGCCAACAGTTTAGGAATTAGGGGCATCAGGAGAAAGCCAAAAGTATCTGTTAAGCAAAGGAAAGGTCCCAATTCTCCAAACTGGTAAGACAGGTTTCTTTTCTGGGTGACTGAGGGAAGCGGTGAGTGTAGGAGAGCTGCCCATGCCCGCATTTTCAGAGACCCGGATCAGAAGATGAGCTCCAGGAGCAGGGGTCAGCTCCAACCTCTACATTACAGCAAGCGTCTCTGTTTCCAAAAAGGCCCTCACATTTCCCAGCAATATAGAGCTTGTACTGGGCCCAAACACAGGACACAGTTTGGGAATCTTTACAGAGAAGTGGGCTGGGGAGCGAGGGCTGCCTCCTCAGGAGTATTGTTAGAACAATTTGCAGGAAGGGGAAGGACAGGGATGCAGAGGCAGCATAGGGAGAGAGGGGCACCCAGGGTTAACTGTGTCGCCTAACGATGCCAACTGACAAAGATTCTCTGCTTGACCAAATCTTAGGCTTCCGAAGCATCTCCTAGGCCCATCTGTGCACTTCCTTGTAAAGTCAAGTTTTAGCAAAAGACACTGCTAAGTCAGTTTAGCCAGAAACCCCCTCCCCAGCCTCACTATCTGATCAGCTTCCACAGCCTCCAGGTGCTGTCTAATCACCCTGGCCTGTCTTCGGCAAGAATCCTGTTTGGTCAGCATAGCCAGAAACACCCTTAGCCCTGATGTTTCCTCTTCTAATTTTCCATCCACACTGCTCCTTGACTATAAATTCCCAATCGCCCGTGTTGTATTTGAAGTTGTGCCCAGTCTCTACCCATGACTGCACGACCCCACTGCCGTGGTCCCTGTGCCTATCTTGATGGCCCCGAATAAATCTTCCTGACTGTGCTTTAACAAGTATCACTGAAGAACTTTTTCTTCAACGCAACAGAGCCTGCTTGGGCAAGGAGCAGTTGGGGTCCTTCTCTTATGTCCTCTCTTGAAGTTCTCCCTTCAGTGGCCTGGCTATTTTGGGACCCTTGAGAAGGCCAAGTTCCAGATGTACCACAGGAAAGATCTTATTTCAGACAACAAGGCTGGCCAGTCACTCACTGGGCAATGCCATCTCTCAGCAAGCTGGGCTGCGCAACAGAAGTCCTAACAGTCCCCGAGCACCGAGGGTCCTTTCCCAGGAGGGGAGCTACTGATAAGTGTCATTTGCATATATCTGTGTAAGGCAACTCTTAAGAAGGGGAGTGATCTTTCCTGACGAAGGCAGCTGTCTGCACGGCGAACAAACGCCAAAGGCTAACAATCTATGAGCTTGCAGGGGACAATCTCTACTGCTGCGGAATCAATCAAAAGTAAGGACAGATACTGAGGGCTGCTCTGCACTTTGAGAGAACAGACCATTAATTCTGTGATGTTTCTATTTGTGTGCAGGCGTGGGCACCAGGTGGCTGACCCTGGTTTAGCCCTTTCAGGCCCATCAACTGCCTCCCTCCTGCTGAGACCCTGCCCTTGGAGGGCCTCCAGCACACAGGAAAGGCATGGGTGTCACTGTGTCCTTGGGGACATGGGCAGACAGGCATTCTCAGATTAGAACAGCCACGTGCTCAGGGCGGCGGCATTACATTAGCCTGCTTAACTCTCAGGTCACCCAAGAGCAGGAGCAGGTCCAGGCCTCACATTCAGAGCTGAATTCCTGCCGTGAGATGGCCCTGACAGGGAGCCAGCAAGAGGCGCTGAAGAAACCCTCTGCTACTCAGTGTTGAGTCATAACGTGCCTGTGGGCATTCTGTCCACTCACTGAGGTCCTCCTCCTTCCAGCCGAAATCGGAGCCTGCATTAGTCCTGCAGTGTCATTTTTGCTGGCTGCCCAGGGGCTCATTGTTTCTTCCCAGCCACGCACAAAAGCCTCAACCATCTGCACACTCCACACAGCAGGGACCAGCAGTGAGCAAACCCTCATCCACCACCTGGGGGAACATCCTGCCACCCGCTGAGGAGTCCTATGGGGTTACCAAACCAGCAAGGGGCACTCCCTGCCAACAGGGGCTTAGAAGATGGGCTAAGGGGGCAGGAAACAAACAAGAAGCAGAATTACTTGGAAAGCACGGAGGCCCTGAGGGATGGGGAAAGGCACAGGCTCTTCCAGGGTAGACGCTGCCCTAGGTAGGGTCTAAGTGTGATTCGTACCTCTATTTCTAACAGTTCTGTGAGCTTGGGTAATTCTCTTACCTCTGTAAGCCTTCGCTTCCTTTTCTAGAAAACGGAGCTAGCCAACACCTGCCCTGGAGAAATGTTGTGAGGTTTTATAAGGGCATATCAAGAGGGATGCCCGGAAGACTGGCAATAAATGTGAGTTTCTCCCTAAATACGCACAAAATTATGCTTTTCAGACTCCAAAGTGTCAAAGGAATCAAAAGTGAAGGATAGGGCCAGGCACGGTGGCTCAAGCCTGTAATACCAGCACTTTGGGAGGCTAAGGCGGGCAGATCACCTGAGGTCAGGAGTTCAAGACCAGCCTAACCAACATGGTGAAACCCCATCTCTACTAAAAATACAAAGATTAGCTGGGCATGGTGGGGGGCACCTGTAGTCCCTGCTATTCAGGAGGCTGAGGCAGGAGAATCACCTGAACCCCGGAGGCAGAGGTGGCAGTGAGCTGAGATCATGCCACTGTACTCCAGCCTGGGCAATAGAGCAAGACTTTGTCTCAAAAAGAAGAAAAAAAAGAAAAAGTGAAGTACAAAGTGAATCGATGGTGCTAGAAACCAGAATGGTGGTCACTTCTGGAGGAGATGGTAGTGGCTGGGAAGGGTCTCGAAAGAGCTTTCTGAGGTGATGGGAATATTCTCTTTTTCTGGGCAGTGGTAAATGGGTGTATGGCTGTGTAAAACTCCATCAAACCCCCACACTGCCCACTCTGCCACATCCCACCCACACTCTCTGGTTTTAACTGGGAGAGCTGCTGATCCCAACCCCTTATAGCCAGACCCTTCCAGGGCTTGGAGTCCTCAGACAGGCCTTGAGGAGATGCAGCTCCTCCTGGGGGAAGCCCCTGGATCCAGAAAGCCCTTGAGCCAGCCACGAGCTGAGCACCTCATGCATCTCGCTGAGCACCTCGTGCATCTCGCTGAGCACCTCGTGCATCTCGCTGAGCACATTTTGTGCCTCCATTGAAAAAGAGAAGGGGAATAAGACAGGAGAGAGAGGGAGGAAGGAAAAACAACTCTGTCTGCACACAAGACTGTGACAGCAGAGACTGCTTGCTGGAGCCAATATTCAACCTTTCCAGAGACATGGCTTGGTCCACGGGGAAGGAATGTGGTCACTGCAGGCAGGGGCAGTGGTGTCAGAAGAGTGGTGGGAAGCAGTGGCAAGGGGCAGGCTTGGGGGTCAGTGCTGAGCTGAGGGAGATGAGGCTAGAGACCAGGGGCCAGGCTGGAAGTGGGGGCTGAGGTCCACCCTTCTGAGTGTTCCAACCATCACAGGAGATGCCTCAGCAAGACAGAGGGACTGGAAAGGAGAAGCCAGGACATGCTGGGAAGTGAAGAAGGACGTCAGGGAGGAGGAGATGAGCACAAAGCAGGGCAGAGGGCCTGGAGGGTAAAGGGCACCCAGAAAAATGAGAGGCATGTGGGGGGAAGGGGAAAGGTCTCCACCGTGCGTGAGGTCCACTGAACAGGCCAAGCCTGCCGGCACAGCTGGAAAGCAGAGACGGTCAGGACAGGCAAGGGCGGCCTGGCTGCTTCTCCAACAGTCCCGAGGTCTGTATTCCTGGGCTTGGGTGAATTAATGACCCATTTTTGCCATTTAATAAAAAACCAAGTGTCTCCTTGTGAGCACTGCATCTAAAAGACGTTCCAGGCTCCCCTTCTACTCTGGTGGGGTTTTGTTTAAAAAAAAACAACAACAACAAAAAATTGCTTTAAATAAAAAAAACATGAATTTCACAAAATAGGCAATTAAACACTTCTACATGAATGAATAATTCCAATGAAAAATGAAACTCCCACCCGTAATGAGGTCTATGCCAGGAATGCTGATGCCACATTCTAATGTTCCCATCCACTATCATTAGGGTCACAACAGCAAATGCTTCCGCTTTTACTAAGTAAAAAACACCACCTGGGCCAGGCGTGGTGGCTCACACCTGTCATCTCAGCACTTTGGGAGGCCGAGGCGGGTGGATCACCTGAGGTCAGGAGTTCAAGACCAGCCTGGCCAACGTGATGAAACCCCATCTTCACTAAAAAAAATACAAAAATTAGGCTGGGCGCGGTGGCTCACGCCTGTAATCCCAGCACTTTGGCAGGCTGAGGTGGGTGGATCACGAGGTCAGGAGATGGAGACCATCCTGGCTAACACGGTGAAACCCCATCTCTACTAAAAATACAAAAAAAAAATTAGCTGGGCATGGTGGCAGGCACCTGTAGTCCCAGCTACTCGGGAGGCTGAGGCAGGAGAATGGCGTGAACCCGGGAGGTGGAGCTTGCAGTGAGCCGAGATCGCACCACTGCACTCCAGCCTGGGCGACAGAGCAAGACTCCAACTAAAAAAAAAAATATATATATATATATATACACACACACACACACACACACACACACACACACAAACAAAAATTAGCTGTGTGTGGTGGCGGGTGCCTGTAATCCCAGCTACTCGGGAGGCTGAGGCAGGAGAATCGCTTGAAGCTGGAGGCGGAGGTTGCAGTGAGCTAAGATCACACCATTGCACTCTAGCCTGGGCTACAAGAGTGAAACTCTGCCAAAAAAACTCTCACACACACACAAAAAACACCACCTGGAAGAGTTAAATTGCCCTTTCTCTCTTCTATGGTGTTTTCAACACAATCTAGCAAAGAGAGATATTTTGTAAATAAAAGAATCAAAAGAAAAAATGTGTAATATTTATAATTCTAGAATCTGACTAAAACATGTCTCTTCAGTCTACTAAGTGTTTTCAAGTTCAAGCACATCCAGATAATGCCTCTTGGTTACACCAGCATCTCTCAGATAAGGCTTACTATGTGCCCCTTCCTGATTCAAGCGGGAGCTCGGAATCTGCCTCCTCAAAGTTGGGGGGACAGCTCTGTGTGATCATGGGACAGGGACTGGGATGCAACCACGGTGACCAAGCAGATGACTGCTGATCCTCATGGCCACCTCATCAGGGCCCGCCTGCAGCTCAGAGCTCATTATCCTTATCTCGGCTAAAGACATCAGGAACACATATTATACAAAATCCAATTAGGAAAGAAGAGCCCAGGGGCTCAGTCCTGACTCTCACTGCTTATCTCACTATATTAATTTATAAAATGAATTGGCTAATTCTGCCCCCTTGTTTGTGCATTGCATTAAAAATCTGAAAAATCTGAGGCATGTCTCAGGGCACCAAACAACTCCATGAGATGGCCAAGATAGAAAGCAGGAAAAAAATGACCCCAGATGAGTCAAAATTTGCCCTATTATGTACAAGATATTATGATTAGAGAAAGCCTGAGGTCAGGTTCTGAGCTTTGGTGAGCTGTTGGGCTCGTTTGCTTAAGAGCAGGTCTAAACTGCACTAGTGGTTTTTAGCAGCAACATGGGCGCTGAGGGAACAGCAGGAGAGCTCGGAAGAGGCTGCACTTGGTCCTAACGCTGGCTCTGCCCCTAAATACATGTGTTACGGAAGTGGCTCACATGCCCTCTGTGAACTTTCGTTTTCTCAGCTGCAAAATGAAGGGGAGGCCCAAAAATGTTCTAGAAAGCAGTGGTTCTCCAGCACTTGGGGTATCGAAGCACCCAGGAAATGCAAACATTGCAGACTCTTAAGCCCAACCCAAGTAGGTCTGATTCCGTAGGTGTGTGAGGAAGCCTAAAGGTCCGCAGTGAGAAAAACGATGATGGAAAGTTCCTTTCAGCTCTGACACTCTGCGTGGCCTGATTTCCAAAGTCCCTTCAAGCTCTCAACAGCTATACAAGCCCCCAAACAAGGAAAAGTTAATGTCACAGAAATCTAAAAACGACTACTCCTAACTACACTCAAATCATATCAGAACTGCCAGAACTCAGAGCACCCCAAAGTTTCATGTCCCAGATGAAGAGGAGGGCCCGGGTCCGGTGGTTCATGTCTGTAATCCCAGCACTTTGGGAGGCCGAGGCGGGTGGATCATCTGAGGTCAGATCCATTCCCAGGAGTTTGAGACCAGCCTGTCCAAAATGACAAAACCCTGTCTCTTCTAAAAATACAAAAATTAGCTGGCCGTGGCGGTGGGCATCATAATCCCAGCTGCTTAGGAAGTTGATGATGCACGAGAATCGCTTGAACCCAGGGGTGAGAGGTTGCAGTGAGCCAAGATTGCAGCACTGCACTCCAGCCTGGGCGACAGAGTGAGACTCTGTCTTAAAAAAACAACAACAAAAAAACAAAACCAAAAACAAATGAAGAGAAGGAAGCCTCTAACCCCCAACCCTGTGCCCTAAAAGCAGGGTGGGAACCACAACCCTTGGGCACCTGCAAGGTGTCTGCCTAGAGAGGCGTACGCCAGGCACATGTTCATGAAAGAGCCGTGGAGAAGAATCTACCTTGACCCACCCACAACTGACTCCCTGCACACTGAGTGGTCACTGAAACCCGAAAATGGGCACCTTCTGTGAGCCCCAATCTTGGCTCCATGGTACAGTGCTCTTTATTTTATTTTTATTTTTGAGACAGAGTCTCGCTCTGTCGCCTAGGCTGGAGTGCAGTGGCGCGATCTCGGCTCATTGCAACCTCCGCCTCCCGCGTTCACGCCACTCTCCTGCCTTAGCCTCCTGAGTAGCTGGGACTACAGGTGCCCGCCACCATGCCCAGCTAATTTGTGTGTGTTTTTAGTAGAGACGGGGTTTCACTATATTGGCCAGGATGGTCTCGATCTCCTGACCTCGTGATCTGCCCATCTCGGCCTCCCAAAGTGCTGAGATTACAGGCGTGAGCCACCACGCCTGGCCAGGTACAGTGCTCTTTAAAAAGTGGGCTCCACATCTACAAACCACAGCTTCCATCACTCTGGTCTGAACTAGGAGAAACAGTAACAAAGGCAACTCTTAGGGCTGTCTCGTAGCACTTCCGACTTGGCAGGCCTGGGGTATTAAGTAGGACACAGACTGTATTAACTGGGTTTTTAGGCCAGAAGAGCCTTCACATGGGTCAAGTGAACACTTCAAAACTTCTAAAACAAAGAAAAAAGATGCAAGAACACAGAAATCCTGGAACTCCCCATATGGCTAAGGCCTGGATCAAAATTAAGTGGCCTGGCTCGCCTCCATCAGGCAGGAAACAAACAAAACACACTTTCTTCCAAAGTGCAACTGGAACTGGGCGTGGTGGCTTACACCTGTAATCCCAAGACTTTGGGAGGCCGAGGCGGGCGGATCACTTGAGGTCAGGAGTTCAAGACCAGCTTGGCCAACATGGTGAAACCCTGTCTCTACTAAAAATACAAAAAAAAAAAAAACAAAAAAAAAACATAGCCAGGCATGGTGGCGGGGGCCTGCAATCCCAGGTACTCAGGAGGCTGAGGCAGGAGAATCGCTTGAACCCAGGAGGCAGAGGTTGCAGTGAGCTGAGATCATGCCATTGCACTCCAGCCTGGGCAAGAGAGTGAGGCTCTGAATTAAAACAACAACCAAAACAAAAAACAAAGTGCAACTGGAGTCGAGCTTCAGCACCCTACCGAAGCTCTCTGCTTGCTATGATGGGGTGCATGAATGAATTAAGTATTACTGCCCATTTGATACTGAAATACACAATAAACAGCCATTAACATCCCTACAGCCAAAGTCAAAATCCCTTCAGTCCCCACTGGATTGTAATACAGGGTCTCTCCCACTCCCCCAGCACTATTTTGGGCACATAATAGAGTTGGGGAAAATTCTGAATAATAAACTAAGTCCACATTCCACTTACAGGACACCTGAGGAGTTAGGCTTTGTCCAAAGACTCCTGGTAAGACAAGAGGTGTGTGCCAACCACATACTCTATAAACTATCATAAGTCACAGGCTACTGGAGGCTTTATCTAATATGCCTGTTACTAAAATATATATACATTTTATCCTGGAATAAACAGATGACTGTCCCTATGTGTTTTCAATGGGAAAAAAAATTTTTTTAGAAGATGAAACCAACATTGCTTCTCTTTGCAGCTGTGTCCAAATAAACAGGAATGAACCAGCATGAGCCCGGGTCTTCAAGGTGCCACCCTGGGTTCCAGTCCCTCCTTGATGCTCACCAGCTGTGTGACCATGGACAGGACTCCTTGCTACTGTTTCCGCAGCTGTAAAGATCCCCATATTTCCCAGGGGTTTTTGCAAGAGTTAAGTGAAATAAGGTACGAAATAAGGTACAAGTCTTTGTAAACTCTGAGCTGCTCTGTGCCCTAAACAATTGGGTTTCTTTTTCTTTCTTTCTTTCTTTTTTTTGGAGACTGAGTCTCGCTCTGTTGCCCAGGCTAGAGTGCAATGGCACAATCTCAGCTCACTGCAACCTCCGCCTCCCGAGTTCAAGCAATTCTCATGCCTCAGCCTCCCGAGTAGCTGGGATTACAGGCACCTGCCACCACGCCCAGCTAATTTTTGTTTTTGTTTTTGAGACGAAGATTCACTCTTATTGCCCAGACTGGAGTCCAAAGGCATGATCTCGGCTCACCACAACCTCTGCCTCCCGGGTTCAAGCGATTCTCCTGCCTCAGCCTCCTGAGTAGCTGGGATTACAGGCATGTGCCACCACACCCAGCTAATTTTGTATTTTTAGTAAAGATGGGGTTTCACCATGTTGGCCAGGATGGTCTCGAACTTCTGATCTCAAGTGATCTTCCTGCCTCAGCCTCCCAAAGTGCTGGGATGACAGCCGTGAGCCACCACGCCCAGCCACAATTGCATTTCTTTATTCCACAAATAGTTATTGATGGACTCAGCTTTTCTCCAGCACTAGCTGGTTGGGCTTACCGTTTACAAAGCCTAATTCTTTTTTTAAAAAAATATTTATTTATTTATTTATTTTAGAGACAAGGTCTCACTATGGGGCCCAGGCTGCTCTCGAACTCCCGGGCTCAAGTGATCCATCTGCCTCGGCCTCCCAAAGTGCTGGGATTACAGGTGTGAGCCACCGCGCCCTGTTCAACAAAGCCTAATTCTTTAGTCTGTCTCACCAAGTTGGTAGTAAGACAGTTAGAATTAGAAGCCCCTTTATCTGAGAGTCTTAAGAGGACTAATTAGCAAGGATGTCACTTTCTCTGCTTAAGACTTTATCTAAAGTTTCACAGCCTGGAAGCAAAGAGCCAAAGACAACTCTAGGGACCTGAGCCCTAAACGACCCACCTCTCCAACAGGCTGGGCCGCTGCTCTGGGGAAGAGGCCTGCTCTGCAGACAAACTCCTGGCTGAGCAGGGCGCCCAGCCGCACTGACTGTGGTTCCTTGACACATCTCCCTGAGGCCTAGAGAGAAAAGCCAGGCCAGGCTGGGGCACAGAAGGGTCCGCCTGGGAGCAGAACATCTGCTGGCGTCTCCTCAACATCCTCGATGGCCCCTCACCAGGGCACACGTCAGCCGTCTCCAGGCCAGGCACCATCCGCAGCTGCTGGTATTTCCCCTGCTGGGGGCACCTGAGTCAGCATCCAGCCTCCCTGCAGCCCCAGCCCTGCAGCCTGCCTCACGGGTTCCATGTGGCAGAGGTAGGAACTGGAATGTGGCCCAAGGTCACATGAAGTTAGCTTCAGGGCATGTTAGAACCTACCTACCTCTTCTTCAGGGGAAAAAAAAAAGAGCGGAGCCACCTGCTTTAATCAAGCCAAAGTCACAAATCACAGATGGAAACTATCTGAAATTTCCATCCCAGGAAGCAAACTCTGAATTTAGACAGAGTCAAGGAAAAGGACCTCTCTCAACTGCTACATTTCCATGCTAAATGGAATGGTCAGCCACCTGGCAAGTCCATCCTCCAGACACGACCCTACAAGTGCCTGTTAGGTCTCAGTGTACAGGACATCAGCGGACGTGTATTCTGTACAAAATACAATTTCCAAAAGAAAAACATCCTCAGTTCATCAGCTGCCATGCAGGCAAGGGGACCCTCTCTGATGGACGGTGAGACCCCTGAGTCCCGGGGGGGCTCTGCTCCCACCTGCAGTGGCTTCTCAAGCATTCGGTCCACAGCAGCCACACCCCCCAGAAGAGGGTGGTGGCACTTGGAAAACCCCTCCTTCCTTCCATCTGCGGTGACATTTACACCCCTGAGAGCTGGGTCCAGAAGAGCTGTGCAGGTAATCGGCCCCTCAGTAAGGTGGGCTGATGTCCCCCCTCACAGGCAGCGCTCCTAGCTCCTGCCTGGTACTTTGCGGCTGCACAGACACAGCTGAGGGAGACCCTCCCCTTGAGGAGCTGAGGCTGAGTAAAGCCAGCGCTCTACACAGCACAGTGGAGGACACAAGGACCCAGCCTATCTTGGGCAGAGGATGGGGAGATGCATCTATGGACGCATGGCGCAGGGTCTGGCAGCTGGGTCAAGGCTCCCGAAGGCCCCGCAGCTTCATCTGTTACTGTTCCTTTACATCCTCCACTCACAAGGGGCACGGGAAGCCCCAGGGAGGGCTCCAAGGGCCACCTGGACACTGGTCGGGGGAGTCAGCTACACTCCATACAAGGGGGATAAGAGGAGGCCTTGCTTCTAAGAAACAAGACCCCAGGCCTCTCTGAGAGCTGAAAGGCCCACGGACAGCCAGGACAGTCTGCTGTGTGGAGAGGCCACACACCTATCCACAAACACACTTCTACTCCACAGAGCAGGCTGCATATGTTTCCGGGAGTTCCACGCATGCATCAGTTCAGGCTTTGGGACGTTCGCCTCCCACACACCATCTTCCTTGATTCTCCCAACCCTGCTAACAGAAGTGTTGCTATGCCCACTTCACACAACGGGAGACTGAGGCTCAAGAAGGGTAAGTGCTTTGCCTAAGATCTCTAGAACCCAGGTTTGTCTGATGGTAAGGCCAGGTAGATGCTAACCTTTCTGCTACTCCTGTCACAGCTGTACACTGTGATAACATCCATGTGTCACTAACGTCTCCAAAACCTTCATCTCCCGGGGTAAAATGCAGCAGGAGAGGCAGCAGGAGAGAAAGGCTTCCATTTCGCCCAGCCACGCTCGGCTGAGGCTCAGACCTGGAACATTCAGTTCAAGTGTGCTCTGGGTCAGGGAGCCAGCGCTCCATGCTGAGTCATCAGGCCAGCCAGGCAGGGTACACGAGAGTGAGAGCACTCAGCTTAATTCTGAGTCACCACAGCCCCAAGACTGCAGGGACGCCCGGCATGGAGCGCTGTCAGAACCGGGGAAGACACCGTCCAACCCAGGAAGGAGTGCTAACCCCGCTGGGATGCTGGGGGTCTGAACTGACCCTGAAAGGGTGGGCCAGCGAAGGGGCTGGCTTTTCTTCTGCACATGAAGGGGCCTTCCCATCCTCCCACTGTATGAATTTTTAAACCATCCATTCATTTATTCATTCATTCAATGTCAAGGAAGAATTTTTTAAATAACTGAAAAAAATATATAATTCTACTTTAATAAACACTGAGGAAGATACTTTAAAACAGCAAACGTTTGTTCTCCAATTGAATGCTAAGGAATTTTCCGTAAAAAGTCTCCCCAGTTCACTGGGGCACAGCTCTGTGCTGGGAGCTCTTGGACAGCTGAGCTGTTTACAGGCTCCTGACGCACAGAGCTGGCACTCTGCGATTCTAGGCTTTTCTGAATTGACAGTGAATAAGAACCTTCACGTATACGGTGTCTGATCTTGCTGCCAGCCACACGAAAAAAAATTTTTAAGAGACTCTTTTCACAGTGCCAGGGGCTGCTCTCTGCACAGCTATGGAAGTAGGGTCTGGCTGCTGCCAGCTCCCAGCCTCTCCAGCCCTGCTGTAAGATGCTGTGTCATTGGGAGAAACAAAAAAGAGCTTCTCCAGACCTGTAAGGATGAACTTAGGGAATCAATACTGAAGTCCTTTGTGCAGAGAAGGCCATTCACAAAGTGACAAAAAGGAGCAGGCCTCTGGGGACCTTTAGGAGCCCAGGACAACTCTGCAGTTCTTAGGAACCAATGGAAGGCTTCCCGGGACACACCTGCATCCTTCACGGGCAGCTCTTCTGTATCTGCCTTCGCGCTCTGGGCAGGCCCATGTTCTACCCTTCTCCACAGTCACTCGTTCCATCTTTTCTGAGCCTGTGGACCCTGCCAGGCATCAAGAGGCAGCGATGAAGCACACAGACTCTGCCCCAGAACTCCTAACAGGGGTGTGACCCCAAGACAAAGCAGAAAAGTGCAGAGCTTAAGCAAAAAGATTCAAATTAAAATAATATGGGTTCCAGAAGAGAGACAGCCTGCTTCGGACCAGGGAGAGGCAGGACATGCTTTGTGGAGAACAGTCTCAAAGTGGGCAGACTTGTCCTCTATATGGCATTTAACACTGTGACTCGCACACTGTGGGCACTCAGTGAATTTCAGATGGGGTAAAGGAGTGAGTAAAGAGTCGGGCCCATCTCCTAAATCCAGACCCAGGTTCAAGAAACAGGCCAACATTTCTGATTAACTATACAAAGATGGACTCAGGGCTGTTTATCACCTCAAGCTGTGCCTGGGGAGTATAAAGCAGCCGTGCCTGGGGAGTATAAAGCAGCCAGGCCCGCTAAAGGCAAGTCTGTCTGTCACCCCTTCAGGAACTCAGATGGGGGTAAAGCCACAGAAGTCTTTCTGTTTATCACAGGCCAGGCACACTGCCTCTCCAAATCTGCTGTCCCATGTGTAAGACACTTCATAGTTTCTAGTTCAAAGAGCTGGTGAGGATTTAGAGATAAGGTTACCAAAAGCACCCACTCATATCTGGCACATATATATATATATGTGTGTGTGTTGACAGACAGAAAAATACTACATTCATTCCTCTCCCCCCAAATTCTTCCTAAGCTTTTGCAAGCTGCCTGGCTTCCTAAAAGGCTGCCAAGGTCCCAAAGATACCTTCATCGAAATACGTGACGACTTAGTAACACCAGATACCTCACATGGTATCACATGTGCCACATGATGCATACAGATGAATCCTGCACCTGCAAAACAAGGGGCTCTGGAGCCTGCCTCAGACGGCCGGCTGATGGGCATGGTGGCGCTCACCTATAATCCTAGCTACTTGGGAGGCTGAGGCAGGAGAATCGCTTGAACCCAGGAGACGGAGGTTGCAGTGAGCCAAGATCGCACTACGGCACCCCAGCCTGGGAGACAAAGTGCGACTCCGTCTCAAAAAAAAAAAAAAAAAAAAGAAGGCCAGCTGAGTCTATGCTCTGAGGCAGAAGCAGATCAGAGGTGTCTACTTGACTCACAACAAAAGGGAACCCAGGAGGGGCTGGAGAATAACACGGTCAAGTGTGACACAGGGTTCACTCGTGTTCGCCAGTGCCAGAGGGTCTCAAAGATCCTAATAAGCAAGGCCTTTGTCTTCAGTTTCTTCTGTAAGCTCTCTTAAACATTTAAGAGCAATATTAAAACAGCAAAACTTAAAGGAGAAAGAGTAGGTCTGGATGATGAATGGTTTTCTACTTTGGATGATAAACATCAGAACATCATTTTTAAATGTCAATAGAAAGTAATAAACATGTAGAGTGGTTTATATAAGGTGACTGTGTGTCATTCCAGAAACGAGGACAGCACTAAGCAAGCCTCATGGGTGGTATGAAGCTTTCTGACTCACAAGCAGCCCTGATAGCATCCAACAGTTAAGCCTTCCCAGCCCTGGCCAACGTCAAACGCTGCCGCAGGTCCTGTGTACAGGCTCCACCCTCATAAAGGGCAAATCTACCCTACAAAACGGGACAAATGATGTTCTCGGAGGTGCAGTCGGTTCTCATGTGAACAACACAGGCTGTTCTTCAGAGGGGAAAATGAAAGTCCTGGATGAGCTGGGCTCCAAGGCATCTGGCCATGCTGTTCATCTGCCCCCCAACAAATCACTTTCATGCAGTCGCACAGGAACTTGCTCAGCCACAACTGCAACTTGCTGGAAATACGAAGGAGAGAACGGCCACTCATTTCCTGATTGTGCTCCGCCTCTGCTAAGAGGCATAACAGCTTGCAATAGATCTGGAAAGAGCAAAACGATCTCATCTTTAAGAAAATTCAGGAGGCTCTGCTGAACCTTAAGCAAAATAAATGGGTCTCTCTACTTCAATCATAACTCGAAACATTTCCAGTGTTATCTGAAAGGATGTTTCTATCTCCCTGTCACAGTGCCTGAGTATAATCTGTTAAATGATTATGGTGAGATTCTGCCAGATGGGCAAGACAAAAAGAAAAGGCTCTGGCTTGCTTCTTCCTGGGGTCCAGGAAGATCTCTGGACCACCTCCCCACTCTCGCACTGCCAGCCACCCTGCCAGACTTTGCAAGGTGCTGTCTCGGCTCGCTTCCCATGTCATCCCCATATTCACACCTCCAGAAGCCCGCGTACCTGGGGAGTTTCCCCAAGAAGGAAAATGGAGGCTTGGGAAAATGCTCTGCAGGATAGATGTTCAGGAGGCACTAAGCCGCAGCTCCTCCTCCCCAAAATGGGATCACTGGCCATCCGTGGCTCCCACTGCCAGTGCAGCAGAATCAGAACCACCAAAAAAGCTTTCTGGACTTAATAGTTTTCTGGGCCCTACACTGAGCAATTCAGATTTGAACATGGGGTTGGGGCAGGGAGGCGATGAGACACAGCCACAATCTGTGTTCTTAACAGGACTCCCTGGAGAGTGCCAGACTGGTAACCCCCAAGATCCATGGAGCTAGAGCGGCCCTGCTCCATGAGGGAGGAAGGTCTCCCTCTCATCCCAAGGAGGCCTGGCGGGAACAGCACTCCAGAACATCCGGCCTCTGTTTATTCAGGGAGGAGCCTGGAGGAGTGGCTGCACCAGCACTGAATGCCATCCTCTGCCAGGAAAGGGCCTGGACTGGTATGAACTTGCCAAATTAGTGGGAAGCCCAAGTGTGCAGAAAATCAAAATCCAGGAAGACTGCAGGTGGGGAGGCCCAGCTGCTTAGAATGGGGCTGGATGAAGCCCAGCATCTTTGCCGGGAGCCGTCCTGCTTCAGCAATGACAGAAGATACTTGCTTTCGCTCTGCCCCTCTGTGAAAACAGGGAGTTGTCCTAACTACTTCAGGAGAAGGCGGAAGATCAACTGCAAGACGGCAGTAGAAGACGAAATAAAATACAAAGGTCTAGTCTTTTCTTTCCATTTTCTTACTAACGTGATTAAATTTTAAACATCCTGAAGCTGAGTCCTCCCCCAAAAGAGAGGTCGTCTCTTGAGCTCCTCATGCTCAATGAACAGCTTTTTACTGATTGACAGCATTTCCTCTTGAAGATGATGATGCTCAGACGGGCCTCAGCTCAGCTCCTCCAAAATCGCCCTTTGTTTTCTGCAAGGGCCTTTTTCTCATTATGCATTGAGAAGCCAATTTCAAATACAAAATGATATTCAAGGATTTTCCACTACATTTAGTCTCCAGTAAGGTGTAACTCACACAAGTGCAACCTGATATTGTGTGTGTCAAAGCACAGGATTGAAAGCAATGAAGCACAAACAGCTCATGGGCTGAATGTTAGTTTTCTCCTTAAGTTTTGGTGCCATGCTGACAAGTCTCAAGTCATTCACTTGGTAAAGGGAACTCTTTTCTTGAGTTCATCAGTCCCATCATCAAAATCCAAGCAACCTCAGCACAGAGGTCAGTGACCCAATAACTTGGTGGCCAGGAGGGCACAAAAATAATCAAGTATTCTAGCCTGCATGCCTCAGTTTCCCAAAACACTCACTTCCAACTTCTGAAGAGACACACTGCCTCTTATTAGGACTTTCCTGACACTAGTTCTCTCCCTGTTGTTGGTACTAGCTGGATGACCTTCAAAGTCACACCTGAACTCTCTGGGTTTCAGAAAATAAAGAAGCCTAACATAAGAGATCTTCAAGGACATTTCAACTTTAAAATTTTGACCGTGAAATTTTCAAATAAATCTTCCCAGCATCAGACTTCTGATTTAGTAGTTCTTTGTATTTGCTGACAAGAATAATGGTAACTAAACCTGCTTTTTTTCTTTTAATAAGGTTTATGAAATCACAGCCTAACCCATGCACCAGGTGGGTACAGGAAGATCTCAACTTGCTGGGTAAGTTTCATGCTGAGAACAAAGTGCTGGGAATGTTTATGTTCAAACTTGATCTTCACTCACAACAAAGGCTGCCAACAGATACCACTATCCCTATGTCTACAGGAAGAAGGCTTCAAAATAATAGTTGTAAACCACACTAAAGATCATGTACATCCACGCAGACTCCTAAGAAAGGTGGTTTGAAATGAGTGTCAGTTTCACCCAAAAATGGGTGGAACAGACACACAAAAAGGTATATGTAACTGTGCCCATCCCAGCTAATTACAGCCTCTTGTACTAATTTTCAAGAATAAATATACAACTAATCTCTCGTAAATGTAAACTGCTGCCTGTACACGGTCTCACTGCTGGGCACCGGAGTTTTATCAATATTGTTAAAACAAAAAGTGCATAAAGATGAAGGGAAATAATACAGGTCTTTCTTCTAAAACAATGGGTTACACAGCAGTTTTAATTTGGTGAGTTTTTAAATCTTCAAAATAATTTACCAGCTCTTTGCTGCTTTTATCTTGCCCAGACGGCGTTAACAATTCAGCTTTAAGTATAACATATTTATTTTAAAAACTTTTTATCCTGAAAGCTCAAATTTATAAAAAATTGAAAGAATAGTATAACTAACTCTGATTTTTGAAAATTAACACACTCATTCCAAATTTACATTTTCAAATTTCATGCTCTTGGGGATTAAGAAGTATATATCCTTGCATGTATGTAAATGAGACATACTTCTGCTGTATTCACAAGAGTATCATTAGTCAGTTATTTGTGTACTGGTAACAAATCCTAAGTATTTTAATACCATAACAAGGCAGGAAGCGAATGCCATTATAAATATACACGTATCATTCTCTTTCTCTCCAGTGTGAGGCAATGTGGTAAGGCAATGGCCAACTGTAAGACAGTCTCAGATCTCTAGTCTAGATCTCTAGAAACTGCTGGGGAGAAGCACACCCTGTTTTTTATTTTACAAATCATACTAGGATACGTTCATATTGAAAGCACTTTCAAACAATAATACAATTTTAATTTAAAATACACACACACACATATATATATGAATGTTTTGACACCAGCCTCCAGAGTCATTGGGTGCCTAACATGGGACAGTAGCCAAGATACCCCTCAACCAAGTTGGAGAACTTGAGCGGTAAAATTCCCCCCAAAACCACCATCCAAGCTTGCGAGTGTCCCCCTCGAGTCCGCGGTCAGCAGGGTGCGCCGCGGGTCCCGGGCCCGGAGGCCGAGCGGGCAGCAGGGGCCACGGTGGGCCGGGGCCTCCGGAGCTGACCAGGCCGGCCGCCCCTCTCCCAGCCCTAGAGCGCGAGGCCAGCGCTGGACACCCGGCCTTCCGCCCTGGAGTCGAGCCGTGGACGGCACCGGAGCCACTGCGGGGTCGCTTCCCGGGCCACCGAATCCCGGGGCCTCCTTTCGCCCCGACGCCTGTCAAGGGCGGGTCCGGAGCGGGGACTCGTCCGGGCGCAGCGGGAGTGTGTGGCGGGGCGCGGAGCCGGTGTCCGCCCGCGAGGGGCCTTCGCCGACCCCCGGGCCCCGCCGCCTCGCGTCCCCCCGGCCCAGCCCACTCCCCGCCGCCTGCCGTCGAGGTGGCGCCACCGACCAGGGCGGGCCGCGGGCCCGGCTCACCTTGGGGCCCTCAGAGGGCACGCGCGGGTCGTTCCACGTAGTGGTGCGGCTGTTGTGGTCCACGAAGAAGGGCCAGCCGGTCTGCGGGTCGATCTTGATCTCCCATCCGGGGGGCAAAGGGTCGCGGTCACCGTTGCCGGACGCCACCTGCATCATGGGCGAGTGGGTGGCGGCGCTCATGCTGGGTTGGGGTCTGCCCGCTGGGGCGCGGGTGCGGGGCGCTGGCTCCGGGCGCCGAGTCTCTGGCCGGGCCGCCGCCGTGGGCCCCTCTCCGCCGCCGACGTGTCCGGGAAGCCGGCGCCGGGCACCTTTATGAATTAAAGGCGGGGGTGACGTGGCCAGAGAGGGGTGGAAGTGTCTGGAAATAGCCTCCTCGCTGCCAGAGGGGAAGGAGGAGATAAAGGGAGGTAGCAACTGGCCGGCTAGAAACTTCTGGTCCAGTCCAGAGAAGTTGGCCGCGGCCCGGGGTTGGATGCGGAGCTCCGCCCTGAGTCATCGGCTATAATCGCGGCGGGCGGGGCAGAGGAGCGGGGGCGGGGCCTCGGCCCGCTCGCCCCTCCCCCACCTCCTCCCGCCCCTCCCCCTTCCGACTCGTGCGCGTGCCCGGGCCGGAGTCGCCGCGGGCGGGCGCGGGCGCGGCTTCGGGGTCCGCCTGCGGGTGGGAAGCCGGACGAGCTGGACTGGGGCCGTCCTCCGTGCGCCCCGGGCGGGTTTCGGCTTTCATAGTCGCTCTCTCCCTCTCCTTTGCGCCGAGTGAGTGTTCCCGGGGCCGGAGCCCGTGCTCCCCGTGCCTGCCGCCCGTCCTTCCTGTACAAACAAAACCATCTCGCCCACCTCCACCCCCTCCCCCATATATGATAGCCGAGGACCCTGAGGGCTGTCCGGGAGGAGCGCGGGGACTCTCATCTGACACCGGAAGGAAGCCAGGGAGAAAATGGAAGTCAGTGCAAACTCACCTGCCTTCCTTTGGAAACTTCAAGAAAAAAAGAGATTGTATCAACTGATGGCTTTTAGTCTCCTAGACTAAAAAGAAAGTTTCGTTGCAGCTTTAAAGATAAATCACATTTTCTTGGGTCTGGATCTTTTTTATGGTAGAGATTGGTTCTTGCTATCTTATATCTTGACCCTGATTTGGGAAGTAAAGACCGAATAACCATGACATTTTTTGTTTGGTTTATTCAATTGCACTTGTAACCTGTCAAAGGAGAAAATTACAACACATTTAAAGATCTTTTTTGTTGTTGTTGTTGTTGATTTTCATTTTTTAACTTTTATTGTTAAAGATCTTATTTGTGATTCTAGAAATTGGGCAACATCTCCATTAAATTAGAATAAGTGCTCCCATGAGCTGAGCAGAAGAGGTTGGTTTTATAGACAGAGAAGGGCTGAAGAAAGCAGAAACAAAGAACCAAGACTGGATTGGTTGTTTCAAAATTACTTTCCTTGTAAGGAGGGGACAGAGAGACAGAATCATAGAAAAATAACTGATGAGGGCTTGCCACCATGGCTCATGCCTATAATGCCAGCACTTTGGAAAGTCAAGACTGGAGGACCTCTTGAGTCCAGGAGTTTGAGACCAGCCTGGACAACACAGTAAGACCCCCATCTCTGCATAAACAAAAAATAAGCCAGGTGCAGTGGCTTATGCCTGTAGTCCCAGCTACTCAGGAGGCTGAGGTGGGAGGCTCATTTGAGCCCAGGAGTTTGAAGCTGCCATGAGCTATGATTTTGCTCTTCATGCCAACCTAAGCGACAGAGCAAGACCCTATCTCTTTAAAAGAAAGAGAGAGAAAGAAAGAGAGAAATGATTGAGAGAAATGTAACATCAGGTTACATACTTCAGATTACTGTACAGTTGACCCTTAACATGGGTTTGAATTGAGCAGGTCCACTTGTACATGGATTTTTTTTCAATAAAAGTTACACCGATGTGCTTGCCTCTCCAGTCTCCCCTTCCACCTCCTCCACCTCTTCTGTCTCTGCCACCCCTTGACAGGAGAATCAACCCTTCCTCTTCCTTCCCCTCCTCAGCCTCCACGTGAAGATAATGAGGATGATGACGTTTATGATGATCACGTCCACTAAATGAGTAGTAAGTGTACTACTCTTCCTTATGTAAATGTAAAATCTCTTCCTTATGATTTTCTTAACATGTTCTTTTCTCTAGCTTACTTTATTGCACGAATACATATAATACATATACAACATATGTGTTAATTGACTGTTCATGTTATTGGCAAGGCTTTCCGTCAAGAGTAGGCTATTGGTAGTTTTGGGAGATTCAAAGTATGCAGGGGCGGGGCATGGTGGCTCACGCCTGTAATCCCAGCACTTTGGGAGGCCAAGCGGCGGATCACTTGAGATCAGAAATTTGAGACCAGCCTGGCCAACATGGTGAAACCCCAACTCTACTAAAAATACAAAAATTAGCTGGACGTGTGGCACATGCCTGTAATCCAGCTACTCGGGAGGCCGAGGCAGAACTGCTTGAACCCAGGAGGCGGAGGTTGCAGTGAGCCAAGATCATGCCACTGCACTCCAGCCTGGGCGACAGAGCCAGACTCCAGTTCAAAAACAAACAAACAAAAAAGTATGCAGGGATTTTCTTTTTTCCTTTCTTTTCTTATTTTATTTATTTTATTTATTTATTTTTTTGAGACAGGTTCTTGCTCTCTCTCCCAGACTGGAGTGCAGTGGGGCAATCTCAGCTCACTGTAACCTCTGCCTCCTGGGTTCAAGCGATTGTCCTGCCTCAGCCTCTTGAGTAGCTGGGATTACAGGTGTGCACCACCATGCCTGGCTAATTTTTGTATTTTTAGTAGAGACAGGGTTTTGCCATGTTGGCCAGGCTGGTCTCAAACTCCTGGTCTCAAGTGATCCACTCGTCTCCGTCTCCCAAAGTGCTGGGATTACAAGCATGAGCCACCTCGCCCAGCTTTGCAGGGATTTTCGACTGCACGGAGTTGGTGCCCCCAGCCACCTCCTGTCACTCCCCAACCCTCACCCCTCATTCGAAAGTAGCCTGTTTGGGAAATTAGACTATCACCTCTCCTGATTTCTCAGAAAGTCAGATAACAACTTGGTTTTGGTTTGGTGATGTGGAACTTTAGCATGAGTGACTCCTTTCTGATTTTTCGTCGGGTTTGTTAAGGCCAAATGCAGGAGCTTAGTCCAAAACAGTGACCTCTTATAACTTTTATTTAACAAACGTCAATGAGCACCCCAATTCCCCTGGGAAAGAGAGACTGTGTTCCAGAAAGAGAGAATGTTTGGGAGGTGACATTTTAGATCTTTAGACATACTGACTCATTCCCTTCCCCAGAAACGCTTTGAACTAATATTGGGCCTAGTTTTCAATTCGGAATCAGAGAATATCCTCGAACCCCAGTCAATACCTCTGCCCCTTCCTGCCCTCAGCTTACTCCTTCTGGAGAAAATGCCAGAGAGGCCTGCCTATCATTTCCAATGGAATGATTCTCACTTGTAAAAGTATGCTTATCCGCTTTGGAGTCCAGTAACTCCAGTGATGATCAGGCCCCAGGGACTGATGCAGGTCACCAAACATGTTAGAGACAGGTGTATAAACCCGAATGTCAGTGCACTAGTTTCCCATAGGAAATATTACTGTTGAAGGAACTAGACCCCCAAATTCACTAGTCAGTGTCTGCCTTATGCTTCCTTATGTCTGCAGCCCTGAACCCAGAGTCCATATTCAATAAATGTTGATGTTTATCGAAGATTGAATCCAGAGTGAAATTTTATTTCTATCTTCTTCCTTGCTCAATTTGCTTTCCACTACAGTTTAAGTAACTACAGTTTAAATAAACACAGAGGCTGGGTGTGGTGGTTCATGCCTGTAATCCCAGCACTTTGGGAGGCAGAGGTGGGGGGGATCACTTGAGGTCAGGAGTTTGAGACCAGCCTGGCCAACATAGTGAAACCCCGTCTCTACTAAAAATACAAAAATTAGTCGGGCATGATGGTGGGTGCCTGTAATCCCAGGTACTTGGGAGGCTGAGGCAGGAGAATCGCTGGAACCCGGGGAGCGGAGTTTGCAGTGAGCTGAGATCACGCCACTGCACTTCAGCCTGCGCAACAGAGGAAGACTCTGTCTCAATAAACAAACAAATACTGAAAGTGGTGTTGGCCATTTTTCCCCTGAAAGAAGCAGCAGGGAGGAAGCAGGTTACTCTGGGATTAACATAGCTGCTTCTGACAGTTGCTCTGGAGGCTAAAGCAGCTCCATCCTGGATGCTCATCTGCCATGTTCGTTTCTGATGAACCCGTTCCAGGAATGCCTCTAAGATTTCTATTTTCACATACTTACCCTTCGGTCAAAATAACGTTGGTGTTACTGTAAACACATACTTACTATAAATCCTGCCTGTGGCGAATTCCCTGTGGTATACAAGCCCTGGGACTTCAGGGTAACAGTGCAGGGACCCGCCATCTTGTCTTGCAGCCATCCAGGACATGGCTTGTGTTTGTAAGTCCCTATTAAGTGTTTCTCTCTGAGAAACTGGATTTGTCCACCTCTTTCTTCAGCTTCTCAGTTTCCTCAGCCTTTGAGGGTAGGTGTGCATAGACCTGCTCACCGCAGAAGAGTTATCCTCCGCTAGGGACTTCCGCAGGGTTTGTCTAAAACAGAGACACAAGTCTTGGAGAGCTGGCTGGAAGAAGCTGCTTTGAGCCACGTTGAATACTGAGCATCATGTCTGTCCTCGGTGGCTTTTTCTTTTCTCCAGGCCCTCAGACACTCCCTCTTTAGGCCTCCTGGAGTTCATCTGCCCAGATCAGAAGCTTAAGCATAACCCTAAATTTCTTTTGCCCCTCACCATTTAATTATCCTTTTTTTTTGAGACTTGCTCTGTCACCCAGGCTGGAGTGCAGTGGCGTGATCTCGGCTCACTGCAACTTCCGCCTCCCTGGCTCAGGCGATTCTCCTGCCTCAGCCTACCGAGTAGCTGGGATTATAGGCACCCGCCACCATGCCCAGCTAATTTTTGTATTTTTAGTAGAGACAGGGTTTCACCATGTTGGCCAGGCTGGTCTTGAACTCTTGACCTCAGGTGATCCTCCTGCCTTGGCCTCCCAAAATGCTGAGATTACAGATGTGAGCCACCGTGCCTGGCCCATTTAATTATCCTTAAATCTGTGGATTCCACTTCCTAGATATTCCTTGATTGTGAACTCCTGTCTGTCTTTAGTGCCACCAACCCGTCCAGGTTACCTTTGCCTGTCATCTGGATCTTGGCACGGCCTCCTGATGGATCTCCCAGACTCTAATCTTTGTGTGTGTGTGTGTGTATGTGTGTATGTGTGTGTGTCTGTGTGTGTGCGTAAGCAGTTGGTCACGTAAACCAGCCTCTAATCTTGTTCATCTCCAATTCGTTGCCCACATGGTAGCCAGAGCAATCTTTCAAGCACAAAACAGGCCTTGCCCCTTCTCTGCCTAGAATTCTTTAATGCCTCTCTGTTGACTCCACACTCCTTGGCTTGGTGTACACAAGACCTTCCTCCCCTCAGCCTGGTGTGCACTCTGGCTGGCCTTGCTGCACCATATCATGCAGGCACTGACACAGCCTGCCCTTGCCTCTGCCCACCCTGCTTCCTCCACCTGGAGAGCCCTTCTCTCCAACACCCAATGGCCTCCCGCTCTCTTTGCCTGGCTGACCCCCCTTCATCATCAGGTATTACCTGTGGCATCTCTCTTCTTCATCCTCCTGGTCTGAGTCATGTGTCCCTTCTATTATGGCAAAAACTGTGATTACTTTTGCACCAACCCAATAGGTGCTCTGCAGAAAGTAAAAAGTTTCCTCTTCGAAGCTTCCCTTCTTGTTAAAGAATAAATCATAAATGTTAAAAATAATAGTTTCTTTTAAAGACTAAACTTCCTTCAAGCCTCCTTGCTTTGTGCTAGTAACTCTTTGTTAAGCCTTGTCCTATGTAGCTGTTAGATATAAAAGAATAAGTACAGTTGGCCAGGCACGGTGGCTCACACCTGTAATCCTAGCACTTTGGGAGGCTGAGGCAGGTGGATCATGAGGTCAGAAGATCGAGACCATCCTGGCTAACACAGTGAAACCCCGTCTCTACTAAAAAAATACAAAAAAAAAAAAAAATTAGCTGGGCGTGGTGGCCGTCGCCTGTAGTCCCAGCTACTCGAGAGGCTGAGGCAGGAGAATGGCGTGAACCCGGGAGGCGGAGCTTGCAGTGCGCTGAGATCACACCACTGCACTCCACACTCCAGCCTGGGAGACAGAGCGAGACGCCGTCTCAAAAAAAAAAAAAAAGAATAAGTACAGTCTATGTCCTTGTACTTTAACCAAGATATTTGTACTAGACGTGCTCACAGGCACATTCCAGCTTGCAGCCTGTGCCCCTTCCTTATTTAAAAATATTATTACTTTTCTAAGTCCTTTCGCAAGCAACTTCCTCTTTTCCTTTGTTCTCTGTTGCTTTTACCTATTTAAGAAAGTTTTAAATTATTAGCAAGTCGGATTTAATTTAGACTGTGAGGTCCCGCTCCAGCCAATAGAGACAGGACACAGTAGCAGAGACAAACTGCATAAAGGATAAAAATTACTTCCCTTCTTTGTTCAAGTGTGCTCTTGCTATTGTTCCATCTGCAAGGAGCACCCTTTCTGCAGAAAGTAAAATTGCCTTGCTAAAAAAAATTTTTTGTCTAAATGCTAATTTTTCCTTGCCGTACCAAGGAACAAGCACTCTGTTTCTAAATAAACATTTTCCTTATAACATGCTCCCTTATACATCCCATGCCACCCTGTCAATTGCACTGAATTGCAATTGCTTGTCTGATGGTCTAATGTGTCCATGGATTGAGTTTCATGAGGGCAGGAGCAGACTTGTCAATCACCACTGGGTCCCCAGCCTCTAGCATGGTGCCTGACAGACAGTAGTTACTAAAGCAACAATAGTTGTAATGGCTACCATTTATTGAACATTTACTGCATGCCAGGTACTGTGTGAACGGCTTTGTGTGGATTACTGCATTTAATTTTTATGGGAGAAGCTGTGATGCGTGCTGCCCAGATCCACTTTCAGGGATGAGGGACTTATTCCACCTACTGTTGGGGATGCTGTAGGAAGCTGAATCTCAGCTACCTATGGGGACTGATGCAGCTGAAGAAAACTGCCTCGCCCAAGGTCACACGTCCCTCCAGGGACAACCTGCATCTAGTGACTGATTTATTGAGGGGCTTAGAGGCCCAGCCCCTTCGGTCCAACTCAGGATAGGGCTAACGGGCTACCCCGGCTCCAGAGCGCCCTCTGGGGTTGACTGCTGCTTTCTTTGGGACTGCATCACAGCTCAGCTTCTCCCTCTGCACAGTCCTGCTTCCTGTGTTGCTCCTAGGAGAATTCCGTAATAAAGTCCAGCTTGCTACCTCTCATAGTCAGCTTCCTGAGGAACCAAGCCTGGAACAATCCTCTCAGCAGCCTTCTGGGTAGGCGTTATTATGATTCTCCTTTTACAGATGAAGCAACTAAGGTTTGGAGACGTTAACACAAGGCTCTTGATTTGTGGAGGCGGGATTTGAATTGTGGCAATTGACGCCGGATCCCACGCTATTAACCAGGAGCTCAAACATAAGTGAATCAACGGCTTAGTCCCACTTGTCACCAAGGGAAAAAATGTAAAAAGCTAGAATTGAGAAACAACGTTTTGTGCGAATGATTTTTTCTCAATGCTGAGGAAACAGGAGCCGTAGCTGGCTGCTGTGGAAGATTATAAATCAGCCCTATTAATGCTGTGCCCAGGCCTGACTGACTCATAGCACAGGTCACAGACAGAGGACTCAAGCCCAGCTATAATGGTGAGTTTTAAATGAAAATGTCAACCACAAGATTTCAGCGTCTGGGTGATTTAATCCATTTCTATTGGAACACAAGAGCCAGCATAGGAGAACAGCCAGTTCTCCCTGATCGGTGCAAAATGCTGGTCATCCCAGGTCGTTTTTTTTGCTTTTGGGATGTTGTGAGAGATCGGCACGTGCAGCCATGCACACCTTCACTAGCCATGCCCTCTCAGGGGGCCCTTCCACTAGGGGCAGCCTAGATAAAAGGAGGCCAGGGCCATCTGGATGGAAGCCATGGCCTCTCTCTAATGTCCTGATGGTCGAGTGCACTGGGAGAGAAGGGCTACAGGCAGTAGGTATTAGCACTGAGGGGGATAGAAGACGTCCGGCCTGGTTATACTGTGCAGACTTCTATGATAAGCTCTATAAATACGCCCTGCTGGAGGTGGAAGGGGAAATCAATATGGCTTCGCTGCAGAGTTTCAGATTGCAGCACTAACTTTGCATCTGTTTGTTATTAAAAGTTAAAGTCTGTGCCTGCTTGAGCCCAGTCGCCCTGTGCTCTCTGACCTTGTGTGGCAGGTACATCCTGGGCCTTTAATCACAAACCATCCTGTTTAGCTATTTAACTGTCTACATTCTTCCCTGAAAGAATGGCAGGAACCATGGTACTGGGGACTCTAGCATCAAACGCTAACTATTTTTTACTTTTTAGTTTTTGAGGTGGAGTCTCGCTCTGTTGCCCAGGCTGAGTGCAGTGATGGGATCTCAGCTCACTGCAACCTCTGCCTCCTGAGTAGCTGGTATTATGGGTGTGTGGCACCACACTGGCTAATTTTTGTGTTTTTAGCAGAGATGGGGTTTCACCATGTTGGCCAGGCTAGTCTCGAACTGCCAACCTCAAGCAATCCACCTGCCTCTGCTTCCCGAAGTGTTGGAATTATGGGCAAGAGCCATTGCACTCAGCTATTTTTTTTCTTTTTTCTTTTTTTTTAATATCAGACACTGTCCTGATCTCATTTATCTACCCAGCAACTCTAGGAAGCACAGGCTTTTATTAAACCCATTGCATGGTTGAGGAAATAGGCTTGGAGATGTTGAATAACTTGCCTGAGCTCACATAGCTGACCAGCAGGTAAAACCAGGATTTGAAGCCAGGTCTGGCTGATTCTGCAACCTGTATTTAACCACAAGGCAAAACAGCCCTCCACCTCTTGCTGCTTCTCTTTTTTAGGTGAGTCCTAGCTGAGCAGCTGAACTGCATTGAATAGTATCACCACAAGTTCATATCTACCCACAATCTCAGAATGTGAGATGTGTTCATATCTACCCACAACCTCAGAATGTGAGATTACTTTGCAGATGCGATCAAATTGAGATGAGGTCATACTGGATTAGAGTGGGCCTTAATCCAATGACTGGTGTCCTCATAAGAAGAGGACACCAGTTCATAACCATAATCCCAGGACTTTGGGAGGCCAAGGCAGGCAGATCCCTGGAGTCCAGGAGTTTGAGACCAGCCTGGGCAACATGTCGAAACCCTGTCTCTACAAAATAAGCAAACGTTAGCTGGGCGTGGTGATGTGAGCCTGTAGTCCCAGCTACTTGGGAGGCTGAGGTGGGAGGATAGCTTGAGTCTGGGAGGCAGAGGTTGCAGTGGGCCAGTATCATGCCACTGCCTTCCAGCCTGGGTGACACAGTGAGACCTATGCCTCAAAAAAATAAAAATAAAAAGAGGGGCCAGGTGCGATGGCTCATGCCTGTAATCCCAGCACTTTGGTAGGCCAAGGCGGGCAGATCATTTGAGATCAGGAGTTCAAGACCAGCCTGACCAATATGGTGAAACTCGATCTCTACTAAAAATACAAAAAAATTAGCCAGGTGTGGTGGTGCACACCTGTAATCCCAGCTACTGGGGAGGCTGAGGCAGGAGAATCGCTTGAACCCTGGAGGTGCAGGTTGCAGTGAGCCTTGATCGCGCCACTGCACTCCAGCCTGGGTGACAGAGGAAGACTCTGTCTCAAAAATAAATAAATAAAAATAAGTAAATAAAAATAAAAGGAGGGAAATGTTGATACAGAGACACAGACATACAGGGAGAAGACCATGTGACAATGAAGGCAGAGATCAGAGCGATGCACCTGTAAGCCAAGGAGCACTGAGGATTGTCTGCAACCTCCAGAAGCTGGAAGAGGCAGGTAGGATTCTCGCCTAGAGTCTTCTAGAGAGAGCATGGCTCTGTCACCACCTTCATTCCTGACCTCTTCTTTAAGATCAGTTTTCAATTATATCACCCTGACTAAACATGAATGAATGGATAGCTTGTCAAGCCAAAAACCAATAAATAATGATACGAATGTAGGAGGGAAGTGAAAAATGTCTGGTTACCCATTTGTTTATTCACTCCAACAAGCATTTGATGCCAGTCTCTGGAATTACAATGATGAATGAAACAGGCTCAGCCTCTGTGCTCAGGAGTTAATGATTTTGTGGAGTCAAGAACCCTGTGAAGAGTTAAGTTACATTACAACGTGGTAAGTGCTATTGCAGAGATACAGATAAAATGCTGTGGGAGCCGAAAAGACAGAGCAACTAACTCAGCCTAGTGAATCTGGGAAGGCTTCCGGGAGACATTTGTGTTGAAAAAAGTTTTAAATCAATAATCAGTAGTATACACATGATACAGAACTCCAGGTGCCAAAGGAGACTGCATTAGTTCACTAGGGCTGTTGGGACAAAGTACCACAAACTAAGTGGCTTAGAACAACAGACATGCATTGTCTCAGGTCTGGACTGTAGAAGTCCAAGTCAAGGTGTCAGCAAGGTTGGAGCCTTCTAAGGGCTGCAAGGGAAAACTCTGTTCCATGCCTCTCACCTAGCTTCTAGTAGTTTGCTGGGCATCATGCTGATCTCTGCTTTCATTTTCACATGGCATTCTTCCTGTATGACTGCCTGGGTCCAAATTCCTCCCTTTTTTTTTTTTTTTGGGACAGAGTCTCGCGCTGTTGCCCAGGCTGGAGTGCAGTGGCATGATCTCGGCTCGCTGCAACCTCTGCCTCCTACGTTCAAGCAATTCTTGTGCCTCAGCCTCCCCAGTAGCTGGGATTACAGGCACCTGCCACCATGCCTGGCTAATTTTTGTATTTTTAGTAGAGACAGAATTTTGCCATATTGGCCAGGCTGGTCTCAAACCCCTGACCTCAGATGATCCCCCGCCTCGACCTCCAAAAGTGCTGGAATTAGAGGCATGAGCCACCACACCCGGCCGCCTCCTTTTCTTTTTTCTTTTTTATATAGAGATGGGGTCTCACTGTGTTGCCAAGGTTGGTTTTGAACTCCTAGGCTCAAGTGATTCTCCTGTCTCAGCCTCCCAAAGTGCTAAGATTACAGGCATGCGCCACTGCACCCAGCCTCAAATTCTCCCTTTTCAACAAGGACATTAGGGGCCCACCCTACTCCAGTATGACCTCATCTTAACTAATTACATCTGCAATGACACTATTTCCAAATACACTCACATTTTGAGGTCCTGAGGTAGGACTTCAACATATAACTTGGCGGGGGTGGGGGAGGTTCACAATTCAACCCATAACAGGTACTCGATGAAAAATAAACCTCCCGGCTAGTCTCAGTGGCTCACACTTGTAATCCCTGCACTTTGGGAGGCCGAGGTGGGCTGATTGCCTGAGGTCAGAAGTTCAAGACCAACCTGGCCAACATGGTGAAACCCCGTCTCTACTAAAAATACAAAAAAAAAAAAAACAAAAAAAAAACACAAAAAACTAGCCCAGCATGGTGGCACCTATAATCCCAGCTCATTGGGAGGCTGAGGCAGGAGAATCACTTGAACCCAGGAGGCGGAGGTTGCAGTCAGCCGAGATCATGCTACTGCACTCTAACTTGGGTCACAGAGCAAGACTCTGTCTCAAAAAAAAAAAAAAAGAAAAGAAAAGAAAAAGAAACTTCCCTTCCTCTATGCTCCCCAGCTTCCCAGTTCCCTGCTCTAGAGGCAACCAATGTCTCCAGCTTACTGGGTGTTTTTCCAGGGGGTCTCCCATTCATTTACCAACATATATGTGCACGTTCTTCCTACTCGTAAAATGATAGCCATGTGCACTGGCATTCACCTTCCTCTTTTTACTTAACAATGTTCCTGTGAAATTTTCCATATCACTCCACACAGAGCCTCTTTACTCCTTTAAGTGACTGTACAGTACTTCCTAATTTATTGAACTGGTCTCCTATTAATAGATATTTAGATAGTTTCCAATCTTCTGCTATTACAAACAATGCTGCATTGTGTGTGTGTGTGTGTGTGTATATATGTATATATATATATAGAGAGAGAGAGAGAGAGAGAGAGAGACAGAAAGAGAGAGAGAGATTGAGACAGAGACAGACAGACAGGGTCTCACTCTGTTACCCAGGCTGGAGTGCATGGCATGATCTCGGCTCACTGCAACCTCCACCTCCTGGGTTCAAGTGATTCTCCTGCCTCAGCCTCCCAAGTAGCTGGGATTACAGGCGTGCACCACCATGCCTGGCTTATTTTTTTGTATTTTTAGTAGAGATGGGATTTCACCATTGGCCAGGCTGGTCTCAAACTCCTGACCTCAAATGATCCACCTGCCTCAGCCTCCCAAAGTGCTGGGACTACAGGCATGAGCCACCGTGCCTGGCCTTCAGTGTATTTTCTTGTGCACAGGTCATTTTGCAAGAAAGTACGAGTAGGTCTATCAATACCTGGAAGTGGAAGTGCTCCATCATCAGGCCAATGCGTTTTAAAATTTAAGTTATTTTGCCAAATTTGTCTCCAAGGAGGTCAGGGAAGGTCAGCCTCGCACCAGTAGCGTTCAGAGTGCACGTTCCCCATGACTTTTTTTTTTTTTTTTTTTTTTTTTGCCACAGAACAATAGACACCTTTATTCCATGGGCAAAGACAGAAAGGATGAGGATTTATTTGCCTTTCCGGGCCTTGATTTTCCTAAGATAGAACTCCATCTCCTTGCCCCCTGGCACATAGACATGGGCTTGGCCACACTGTCCCAGCCTTGAAGCGACGCATGCAAGAAGCTTGCCCTGCTGGAACTGCTCCCCCAGGAGACGGCTGATTTTGGCATTCTTTTCCCTTTCATCGTATTTCTTCTGAATTTTTTTAGATCGTTTTTTGTTTAAAGTCTTTTCTTCCTCAGGAGTCAGTTTGGCTCCCTTCTTGCAGCCCAGGGGCAGCGCATAGTGGGACTCATACCACTGGTGGTACGGTGTGCTGTCAGTGAGCACGAAGCAGTTCTCCACCAGGGTCTTGGTACGGACCAGCTTGCTATTGGGCGCATCGTAGACAACATCAGTGATCCTTGTTTTGCGAGTACAACACTCTGAACCCCAGGAGAAATTCCCCATGTCCCGCCTCAGGGCACCGTATTTATTGTTACCTCCCCGCACACGGACTGTGTGGATGTGGTGGGGGCCAATCTTGGTGTTGGCAGCCAGGTGCCCCAACTCATACTTCCGCTTCTTGTCGTAGGGCTTTCTCTTGCTGCCAGTCTTGCGGCGCTTGTGCCAGTTGTCCTGAGAGATGCCCATCACTCGGCGCTGGCTGGAAAGAGGCCCCATGATCTTACCGGACCGTGTTAGCTAATGTTCTGATCTTTGCCAATCTGATATATTCCCCTTATGCTTTTAATTTGAATTTCTATTATGATGAGTGTAATTGAGCATCTTTTCTTTTTTTTCTTTTTTTTTTTTTTGAGACAGAGTTTTACTCTTGTTGCCCAGGCTGGAGTACAGTGCGATCTCGGCTCACTGTAACCTCCGCCTTGTGGTTTCAAGCGATTCTCCTGCCTCGGCCTCCCAAGTAGCTGGGATTACAGGCACCCACCACCACTCCTGGCTCATTTTTGTATTTTTACCAGAGACGGGGTTTCACCATGTTGGCCAGACTGGTCTTGAACTCCTGACCTCGTGATCCGCCCACCTCGGCCTCCCAAAGTGCTGGGATTACAGGCGTGAGCCACTGCACTTCGCCCCTGTTGAGCATCTTTTCATGTGTTCAGAGACATTTGGAATTCTCTTCTGCGAACAGTCTGAACCTATCCTTTGCCTGTTTCTCCACTGGGACTAAGGGATAATGAAAATGATTTTTACAGATGCAAAAGGGGTTAAACAAGAGCACCAGGTCGATGTGGGACCCATAACAATGGGGACTGGCATTGAAAAATGGCCTGAGGCATTCTACCTCTGGTCCAGTTGCTTGAGATTTCTGACTGAGGCCCCCCCCTCCCACTCTCGCCTAAGCAGCAGCCAGCTCTGGAACCAAGGGAAAGCCTGGAAATGAAATTGTAGGTTTAGAAATGAAAATTTGAGCTTGGAATGCAAATTGACTGAGAAACCACCAGGCCCCTCCTCTGAGCCTGGTTTATCTCCAGCCTCTGAGGCTGATTTAAGCTTGGTCGGGGATAGAAGGAAGTGAGAGGTAGGAGCTCGCTGCATGACTTAATAGGCTGAGAGGAAGATGAAGATTGAAACAGGTACACATGTCATAAAATGATGGTCAGAGACCAGTGTCAGGAATTTCTTCCAAGGCCACAATATTCTTCTGCCTTGTTCTTTTGTCTTTTCTTCACTGGCTAGGGCTGTGCTAAGTTAAAACCCAAATGGACAGTCATTTCTATCTAAATCCGTTACTGTCTTAGAAGGTGTGGGGCAGTGTTTTCAGGATGGAGAAAGAATCAGGGTTGTGCTTTGGGGATCTCTGCCACCATGTGAATTGCACTCTGAGGTTTAAGTAGGTACCGGTACATGTCTTCTATTGTTTCCAGAAGGTGCACAAAGTTGCTTCCAGAGAGCCTGTTAAATCTCATTCTTCTATTCTTATATGCTTCGAGATTTCTTTTTTTTTTTTTTTTTCGAGAAGGAGTCTTGCTCTGTTGCCCAGGCTGGAGTGCAGTGGCATGATCTCAGCTCATTGCAACCTCCGCTTCCTGAGTTCAAGCAATTCTTCTGCCTCAGCCTCCCAAGTAGCTGGGAGTACAGGCATGCACCACCACGCCTGGCTAATTTTTGTATTTTTAGTAGAGACGGGGTTTCGCCATGTTCGTCAGGCTGGTCTGACCTCATGATCCGCCTACCTCGGCCTCCCAGAGTGCTGGGATTACAGGCGTGAGCCACTGTGCCCAGCCCTCTTCAGGGATTTCTTGAACACCTCCTGACAATAATCCCTCAGCTAGGCTCCATGGAAGCTTTCAAAGACATGGAAGAGCTGATCCATGCCTTCTAAAATGGTAGACTCTAGTTGGGGAGTTAAGGCTTCTGTGATAGTTAATTTTATGTGTCCAGTTGGCCCCAGTACCTAGATGTTTAGTCAAACATTATACTGGATATTTCTGTGAAGACGTTTTCTGGATGGCATTAATTGACTTTTTTTTTTTTTGAAACAGGGTCTTGCTCTGTCATCCAGACTGGAGTGCAGTGGCATGATCTTGGCTCACTGCAACCTCTGCCTCCTGGGTTCGAGCGATCCTCCCACCTCAGCCTCTGAAGTAGCTGAGACTGCAGGCATGCGCCACCATGCCTGGCTAATTTTTTTTTTTTTTTTTTTGTAGTGACAGAGTTTTACTATGTTGGCCCAGGCTGGTCTCAAACTCCTGGGCTCAAGCCATCCACCTGCCTTGGCCTCCCAAAATGCTGGAATTACAGACATGAGCCACCGTGCCCAGCCCAAGATTGACATTTAAATCCGTGGTCTTTGATTCCAATGAAAGATTTATGAAGCGGGAAAAAGGTCTGTGGACTTTAAGTAAAGCAGATTGACCTCCATAGTATGGGTGTGCCTCATCCAATCAGTTGAAGGTCTTCAACAGAACAAAGACAAACCTCCCCAGGTAAGAAGTTCTGTCAGCAGACTGCCCCTGCCCCTTCCCTAAATCACTAGTTTGCCCACCTAACCTGCAGACTTTGGATTTGCACCTCCATAATCTTGTGAGTCAAGTCCTTACAATAGATCTCTCTCTATATTTACACATCCTGTTGGTTCTTTTTCTCTGGGAAACCCTGGCTAATATAACTCCTAACGAATTGCATTATCTTGGTGGTGCTATCTGACATTACCCGAAGGAAGCCTCCAATCAGACAGACCTTGAACAGGAACTAGAGATTTAAGCAAGATTCCAAAGCAAAGTCAAGTTTGACTATATGGAGGAAGAAGGAAGGGCCTTCTGGGTAGGGAAACACATTTGTAAGAGCAAACATATGGAGTTAGGCCCAAGCAGGAGACCAATCTCAGGGTCACAGGTGCTCTATTACCTTTCCCATAGCAGCTGCCACAGTTGCACCTGGACACTTGTTAGTGGCAGTATGTGTTCAATGTCTGTCTCTCTCCTTAGGCCATAAGCTGGTATTTGGAGCACATATACATTCCTCATGCCTACCTAGTTCCATTCTTAACACAAGTTGGTGTTGATTAAATATTATGAAATGAAGGAATTCACTTGGCCCTCCTGCTGAATTATAGTCAATGGCAGAATTAATTCCCTACCCTTTTCCAAAAGGTGTCAAAAAACTGGCAATGATGGTTATGAGAATTGCTTTTTCCTAATGGGGAGTCAAGTTTATTATTTTCTATTTCAAAATACATCCTTGTAAACAATTCAGATAATGCATAAAAATACAAAAAAGAACATCTGTAATCTCATTGCCCAGAGATGAGTTGAGAAATGAAATAACATTAAATTGCCACTGACTGTAAAATGTAGTGTATTGTTATTGCCACATTATCAGATCTTTCCTTGCTCTTGAACTAAGACCCTCATATTTATTGAGTGCTTGTTGTGTGTTAGCCAGTGTGTAGGATCTGAAATACAAAGGTAAATAAGGCAAGCATAGGGTATTCCTGGCTTCTGGAAGTGTCTAGTTAGTTCTCTAGGCCAGGTGGGCATGGTGGCTCATGCCTATAATCCAGGTGCTCTGGAAGGCTGAGGCAGGAGAATTGCTTGAATCCAGGAGTTCAAGACCATCTTGGGCAATATAGTAAGACCTCATCTCTATAAAAAATCTTTTGGGCCGGGCGCAGTGGCTCATGCCCATAATCCCAGCACTTTGGGAGGCCAAGGCGGGTGGATGACCTGAGGTCAGGAGTTCGAGACCAGCCTGATCAATGTGGTGAAACCCCATCTCTACTAAGAAATACAAAAATTAGCCAGGCATGGTGGCGGGCGCCTGTAATCCCAGCTACTTGGGAGGCTGAGGCAGGAGAATCGCTTGAACCTGGGAGGTGGAAGTTGCAGTGAGCCGAGATTGTGCCATTGCACTGCAGCCTGGGCAACAGAGCAAGTCTCCGTCTTAAAAAAAACAAAACAAAAAAAAGGCCGGGCATGGTGGCTCATGCCTGTAATCCCAGCACTTTGGGAGGCCAAGGCAGGTGGATCACGAGGTCAGGAGATCGAGACCATCCTGGCTAACATGGTGAAACCCCGTCTCTACTAAAAATACAAAAAATTAGCCAGCCATGGTGGCACGTGCCTGTAGTCCCAGCCACTCAGGAGGCTGTCTCAAAAAAAAAAAAAAAAGTTAAAAAATTAGCTGAGTGTGTACTGTGGTGGTACATACCAGTAGTCCCAGCTACTCAGGAGCCTGAGGTGGGAGGGTTGCTTGAGCCTGAGAAATGGAGGGTGGAGGTTGCAGTCAGCCAAGATTGCATCACTGCACTCCAGCCTGGGTGACAGAGCAAGTCCCTGTTTCAAAAAAAAAAAAAAAAGGAAAGAAAGTTTTCTAGAATCAAAGCTTTTACAGACTCCAGTGTTTCTGCATCATCTCTTGGCTGCTGGACACAGGTTCTTTTTGCTGTGCTTGAAAACACGTTTTTCTTTTCCCAAGCTGTGGTGAACAAACCCCTCAGAACATTTCCCCAAAGCCATTTCCATTTTATAGAAAATGTGTTGTTACATTTTGAAGGATTCTTTTCATTACTTCCCCTGGGTCCCTCTGGAAACTTGGCTTCAGTTTAATGATTTTCTTGGTTGTTGTTGTTTGTGTCTAAAGATCACATTCTTCTACCAGGGAGCAGCTGTTTACCCTGACAGACCAAACTGGTTTAACTTTATTACTTTTCACTAATGAAAAGAAACATTGTTCTTAGTAAGTAGAAAGAATATTTAACACCATTTTCCTTATTTATGTTTGGTTTGTTTGTTTGTTTGTTTTCTAGAGACAGGATCTTGATCTGTTGTCCATCCTGGAGTTCAGTGGTGCAACCATAGCTCACTATACCTTGACCTCCTGTGCTCAAGTAATCCTCCTGCCTCAGCCTCCTGAGTAGCTTGGACTACAGGCGTGCACCACCACATCCAGTTGATTTTCTTATTTTTCATAGAGGTGAGGTTGCTCAAGCACTATGTTGCTCAAGCTGGTCTCAAACTCCTGGCCTCAAGGAATGCTCCTGTCTCAGCCTCCCAAAGTGTTGGGATTACAGGCATGAGCCACCACATCCGGCCTTATATTTTGATTTTTTAAATGTTAATAATTTTTAAGTACATAAATGATATATAACACATACGCTTGTTTGAAAATGTATTTAAAATTTAGGCCAGGCATGGTGGCTCACGCCTGTAATCCCAGCACTGTGGGAGGCCAATGCAGGTGGATCACCTGAGGTCAGGAGTTCAAGACCAGCCTGGTCAACATGGTGAAACCCCATCTCTACTAAAAATACAAAAAAATTAGCTAGGCATGGTGGCACACACCTGTAATCCCAGCTACTTGGGAAGCTGAGGCAGGAGAATCGCTTGAACCTGGGAGGCAGAGGTTGCAGTTAGCCGAGATCGCACCATTGTGCTCCAGCCTGGGCGACAGCGAGACTTCGTCTCAAAAATAAAAAAATAAAAAATAAAATATTAAACAATTGAATAGAGGAAGCTTATCATCTAACAAGTCTTGGTCTGGCCTTTTTGTTGTTGCTTTCTTTTTATTTTATTTTATTTTATTTTCCATTGTCAATATTCAATATAATGCTGCTTTCTTTAGGGTTTTTTTTTTTTTTTTTTTTTTTTTTTTTTTTTTTTGAGATGGAGTCTCACTGTGTCACCCAGGCTGGAATGCAGTGGTAAGATCTCAGCTCACTGCAACTTCCGCCTCCTGGGTTCAAGTGATTCTCCTGTCTCAGCCTCCCAAGTAGCTGGGAGTACAGTGCCACCAAAACTGGCTAATTTTTGTATTTTGGGTAGAAATGGGGTTTCACCATGTTGGCCAGGCTGGTCTTTAATTCCTGATTTCAAGTGATCCACCTGCCTCGGCCTCCCAAAGTGCTGGGATTACAGGCATAAGCCACCACGCTCGGCCCTTTTTAGGGTTGTTCTTATAGGGTATAGGCATGGAGCTTAATGCACTTGCACCTGGGGAAAACTTGTTACGATTTTCTGAAGTTCCTCTGTTCCAGATTAATTTCATTCAAAATCTGTGGATTACAGCTGGGTGAGGTGGCTCGTGCCTGTAATCCCAGCACTTTGGGAGACTGAGGTGGAAGGATCACCTGAGGTCAGGAGTTTGAGACCAGCCTGGCCAACATGGTGAAACCCCGTCTCTACTAAATATACAAAAAAATTAGCCAGGCGTGGCGGCGTGTGCCTGTAGTCCCAGCTACTTGGGAGGCTGAGGTGGGAGAATAGCTTGAACCCGGGAGGCAGAGGTTGCAGTGAGCCAAGATCGCACTACTGCACTCCAGCCTGGGTGACAAAGCAAGACACCGTCACAAAAACAAAAAACAAAACAAAACAAAAACCTGTGGGTTACTCATCCAGCTATTCTGTACTGTTGATTGGCCACAGGATGCCAAGACCTACTCTTGAACTGGAGCAGGCAATCTTTGCCCTCAAGGGCTCTATACCTGGCGAGGCAGCCTGTGCCCTCAGGGTTAGGACTGGTAGCCCCAAGACTATTTCAGGCCTCAACACTAGGCTGGTAAAGGCACATTTTGAAAACTGGGGAAAGCATTTGCTAGTTAGTGGCAGCTCACTGTATGTGCAAATGGCAGGCAAGTCCAAACACAAAGACCAAGGTGTGCTTGTGCTGGACTCAGTTGCCAACATGATGTGGGAGAGGAGGCCAGTAATATGGTTCTTTCTCTTTTTTTGCCTTTATTGTTAACATAAAGGGCAGAACTAGATTCTGCAGTTAGAACTTTAGAAAATGTATTGCTTTCTCTCTAATTACAAAAGCAATTTATATATACTCTATGAAAGTTGAATGGCTGGATGTGGAGGCTCACACCTGTAACCCCAACACTGTGGGAGGCCAAGGCAGGAGGATTGTTTGAGTCCAGGAGTTTGAGACCAGCCTGGACAACATAGGGGGAGACCCTGTACTTACATAAAATTAAAATTTTTAAAAATTAGCCAGCTGGCAGGGCACAGTGGCTCACACCTATAATTCCAACACTTTGGGAGGCCGAGGTGGGCCATCACCTGAGGTCAGGAGTTCGAGACCAGCCTGGCCAATGTAGTGAAACCCCGTCTCTACTAAAAATACAAAAAAATTAGCCAGGCGTGGTGGCGCATGCCTGTAGTCCCAGCTACTCAGAAGGCTGAGGTGGGAGAATCACTTGAACCCGGGAGGCGGAGGTTGCAGTAAACTGAGATTGTACCACTGCACTCCAGCCTGGGCAACAGGGCAAGATTCCATCTCAAAAAAAAAAAAAAAAAAGTCAGCCAGGCATGGTGGCATGCACCTGTAATCCCAGCTACTTGGGAGGCTGAGACAGGAGGATCACTTGAGCCTGGGAATTCGAGGCTGCAGTAAGCCCTGATTGTGCCACTGCACTCCAGCCTTCATAACAGAGCAAGACCCTGTCTCAAATAAATAAATAAAAATTAGAAAATACAGAAGTCACAAACAAATAAAAATCTCACAAATGGGTGGGGACTCTTAAGGAGACACGATTAAGGCTGATATTGGGAAGAACTTGCTAGCAAGTAGGAGTGAGCTCCTGGTCACTGGCCTTATTAACAGAGCAGAAGACTGGATTGTCTCAGCTTCTAAAAGGACTTGGGACTCTGATTTTTGTGATGGGGGTGCCTGTCCTCAGCCTGCTGGGTTCTAAACAGCGTGTCCTTTTGCCCCCACAAACCAAGAAAGGGCCGAGTGAAGCAAGGCTCTGCAGAATGGTGCTTGCAGAGTCGGTTATAGGCCTCAGGCTGGTAATGCCACTATTTGTTCATTGATTCACTCATTCATCCACCCAATCTTTAAGTATTTATGGAGTGCCTACTATGGGCTGGACACCACACCAAACTCTGGGGATGTTCTGTGAACAACACAAACTCTGACACTCAAATTATACAGATAATAATTTTGGTGCAATTGTTAACACTAAGAAGGAATAGAATAAGATGCCTTGAGAAATTAAATATGGAGGGAACCCTCCAAGTTGGGAGGTCAGGAAGGCATCTTGAGGAAGTCACATGTAAGCTGAGGCTTGTTGGATGAGTGGGACTTAGCTTGGCAGGAAGAGTGTGGGAAGAAACGATGGCCACTGCAGGTGTGAAGGTCTGTGCTAAGGAACCTTCAGGGAATGAGACAAGGCCACTGAGGGAGGCGCATGCTGAATAGACCTCTGGCGAGGCCCGGGGAGCCTCTACAGGGATGTGAGAATTTATCCCAAGGGTAATGGGAATCACTTGCAGAATTTTTCTTACTTTTTCTTTTCTTTTTTTTTTTTTTTCCGAGATGGAATCTCACTCTGTCACCCAGGCTGGAGTGCAATGGCACGATCTTGGTTCACTGCAATCTCTGCCTCCCGAGTTCAAGTGATTCTCCGGCCTCAGCCTCCTGAGTAGCTGGGATTACAGGTGCCCACCACCATGCCCAGTTAATATTTTTGTATTTTTAGTAGAGATGGGGTTTCGCCATGTTGGCCAGGCTGGTCTCGAACTCCTGACCTCAGGTGATCCACCCACCTGGGCCTCCCAAAGTGCTGGGATTATAGGCATGAGCCACCGTGCCCGGCCCACTTGCAGAATTTTAAGCAGAGGAGTGGCATGATCAGGTTTGTGTTTTAAAAAATCATTTCGCTGCCATGTGGAGAATGCCTTGCAGGAGGGTAAGATTGGAAGCAGACTCCAGGTTTCCATATAAGTTCAAAGGCCAGAGGGCAAGGCAGAGGGGGAAAAAGAAAAGCCAACATGAACGTTTCAGGGAGAGATGATGTGGCTGGGGCAAGAATGGGTTTGATTGAATATATATTAGTGCCAGGCACTGTGCTCAGCAATTTACCTGCATGATCTCATTCAATCCTCACAAACACCTATGAAATAGGTACTATTGTGGTTGTCATTTTATAGGGACCACTGAGGCTCAGAGATGTTAAGAAACTTACCCAAGATCACACAGCTGGTGAATGGAGAGCCAGGATTTGAACTCCTGGGGTTAACTGCCACCCATAACAGCCCATGCCCCATGGGCTCAATTATCACCTATACTGGAGAGAATCAGATCAACTCAAACTATTCTTCAGAGTAAGAAGCAACAGGCTGGGTGCCATAGCTCATGCTTGTAATCCTAGCACTTTGGAAGGCTGAGTCGGCAGATCGCTTGATCCTAGGAGTTCGAGACCAGCCTAGGTAACATAGCAAGACCCCCATCTCTACAAAAAACACAAACATTAGCCAGGCATGATGGCACGCACCTGTAGTCCCAGCTTCTCAGGATGCTGAGGTGGGAGGATCACTTGAGCCTAGGAGGTTGAGGCTGCAGTGAGTGCTGGATTCCAGCCTGGGTGACAAAGCAAGACCCTGTCTCAAAAAATAAAAAAAAATAAATAAATAAAAGCAACAGAACTTGGTGATAAATGATTAGCTCCACTTAGTAACATCAGGACAGCTATTTCAAAGTGCAAATTTGTTGTAGGTATACCTTAACGAGAGGAAAGTTGCAGATCAGTAAATTTACACTAAAGTAATAATAATAATAGCAAACATTTGTATGGTACTTTCTCTGCGCTGTGTAAAGTTCTTCTAAGAGGTTAATCCTTAGAGGATTCACTTAATCCTCTTAAGAGCCCTGAGAGAGAGGTGTTATTGGTATCATTCCCATTACACAGACAAGGAAACCGAGGTACATAGAGCTCAAGGAACTTACCCAAGGTCACACGGTAGCAAGTCTCACGGGGGTATATAAGCCCAGGCAGGCTGGCTGCAGAGGCTGGCCTCTTAACCACAGGCCATGCAGCTTCCAGGGGTTCCTGCAATGTAATGGTCCCCTTACCTGAGGCCAGACCTCACCAGAGCAACTCATTTCTCTGAGTAAAAGAGGCCAGGAGTGGCTGTGTGTGGTGGCTCACGCCTGGAATCCCAGCACTTTGGGAGGCCGAGTTGGGCAGATCACTTGAGGCCAGGAGCTCGAGACCAGCCTGGCCAATATGGTGAAACTCTGTCTCTACTAAAATATAAAAGTTAGCCTGGCGTGATGGTGTGTGCCTGTAATCCCAGCTATTCAGGTGGCTGGTGCATGAGAATCGCTTGAACCCGGGCAGCAGAGGTTGCAGTGAGCCAAGATTGTGCCACTGCACTCCACCCTGGGAGACAGTGAGACTCTATCTCAAAAAAAAAAAAAAAAAAAAAAGCCCAGGAGCTTGCTTTTTCCTCTGAAGTCACTCTATAAACATGGTCAGTAAGATATAAAATTGGCCTTAGGATTTTTTTTTTTTTTTTTGAGAAGGGTCTCGCTCAGTCACCCAGGCTGGACTGCAGTGATGAGATCACAGCTGACGGGTTCAAGCCATCCTCCCACCTCAGCCTCTCAAGTAGCTGGGACCACAAATGTACACCACCGTGCCGGGCTAATATTTTTATTTTTTTGTAGAGACAAGATTTCACTATGTTTCCCAGTCTGGTCTCAAACTCCTGGGCTCAAGCAATCCTCCTGCCTTGGCTTCCCAAAGTGCTGGGATTACAGCTGTGAGTGCCCATGTCCAGCCCCGCCTGAGGACATTTAAATAATAAGCCTTTCAGACTGGCATACTCAGCCTTCATTCCCTGAGGTAGAAATTCCAAGTCTGCTGTAAGCTGCTCATTGGAATGACCTGAACTGAAAAAAGGGGTTTCTTTTCCAGATGTTATTTTCTGAATTGGCTGGGTAGGTATTTGTAGGAGGATGAGGGGTTATTCGATAAGGAGTCCACAGGGAGTTTTCTCAGGCTTCCAGTGAAATATTTTCATTATGCAGATGTGGCCGGCTTGGTGCTTAATAAAGCTTTGCTTAATTTGGATGGCTGTGGAATTATATTTGGAGGGATTGCTATTCAAGGGAACCAGTGGAGGGGCAGTCGTTAGTTCCTCACAAGCTCGGATGTCTTTTTGTAACAGAGAATACAGCTTTCCAAAAAAATCACAGGCAGCTCCTTGTGAACTGGACTCTGAAGAGGGGAGGACGCTCAGGTGCCTCCTTGGACCCGGCTTCCCTTCTGAGTTGCTATCACCCCTGGAGCCACCCACGGTGGTCGTTCCTGTTTCAGATACTTAGAGGTCTTCCCACTGCTCTCGGGTAGAGCCCAAGCTCTTTGCTGGTCCCACCAAGTTCATCACAGCATCACCCTACTGGCCCTGCCAGCTTTCCTCCCAGCTGCCCTGCTCCCCAGTCCCACCTACAGCGTCTCACCTTCCGCCAAAATACCCTGTGCAGGTTCCTTCCTGCCAGAAATGCCATTCTCCCTTCTCTTCATCTGGTAAACTCCAGCTCATCCTTCAAGGCCCTGGCAGCAGTTTCTTGGGGAGACTTCTCCATGGGCCCCAGGTAGAGGGAATCAACACTCATAGTGCCATGAGAGATCTAGTACAGCCTTATCATGCACAAATTATTTGGTTATGGCCTCGCTAAACAGAGAGGCCAGGGATCAATTTATGGGTCTTCAGTTTTCTTTCTTTTTCTTTTTTTTTTTTTGAGACAGAGACTTGATCTGTCACCCAGGCTGGAGTGCAGTGGCATGATCTCAGCTCACTGTAGTCTTTGCCTCTTGGGTTCAAGCAATTCTCCTGCCTCAGCCTCCCAAGTAGCTGGGATTACAGGCACACACCACCATGCCTGGGTAATTTTTGTATTTTAGTAGAGAGAGAGTTTCACCAAGTTGGCCAGGCTGACCTCGAACTCCCGACCTCAGGTGATCCACCTGCCTTGGCCTCCCAAAGTGCTAGGATTACAGGTGTGAGTCACTGCGCCCTGCCCATTTTTCTTTCTTTGCCCCATCTGTGGCCCCTCCATCCAGCACGATGCCTGGTGAGCAGTAGCCATATGGGGCAGGCCACACTTCCCAAGCTGCATCCCACCTATTATTTCATCTTAGCAAGACTGTCCTGACCACAGCCCTGGGGTAAGATGCCCATGTTTTGGACCATGTGAACCTTGCCTCCCCTATGCCTGGTCTTAGAGTGGATCCTTGGAACCAACCCATAGGCTGGCATGTGACCTGTGATGACCTGAGAAAAAAGATGAACCATCAGGCTCTGCTTTTAGGCATGTGAACTAAGAAACATGGGAAGAACTGGCAGGAGAAGAGAGAAGGGGTGTGGCTGAGTCACATGAAGAGGAAGGAACAGGAGGAGTGAAGACAGGGGGATGGCCGCCACTGAAGTGCCTTGAGCTGCCCTGGCTCCTGGGATGCCCTCCAGCTCTTGTCTCTGGGAAGCCTGGCTGGGCTGTAGCTACCATTCTTGATTTCTGAGATCAGTTCCCTTTTGTGGTAGCCAGCCTCCAAGATGGCTCCATGACCATCGCCTTCTGGTATTGTATCTTCCCACACTGAATAAGGTAGACCAATAAGATATTCCAGACGAGATGGTTGTGACTTCGAAGACAAATCATAAAAGACACTGCAGATTCTGCTGTGGTCTCTTGAATCACTGCCTCTGAGGAAGGCCAGTCACCATGTTGTGAAGACACTCAAGCAGCCTTGTGGACAGGCCACACCCGGGAGGAGCTGAGGCCTTCACCGAGAATCAGCACCAACTCACTATGCATGTGCGTGAACCACCATGGAAATGGATCCTCCTGCCCCAGTCAACCTAAAACCACTCACTGCTCCCAAATTCCTGACCCACAGAAACTCTGTGAGATGATAAGTGTTTGCTGTTGTTTTCTGCGGCTAAGTTTTGGAGTAAAGCATTAGGCAGCAGTAGATTACTAATATACTTTTTTGTTTCTTTACAACAAAAAGTCTTTGTATTCACTTGTGTATAAGCACTTGCTAGTTGCTTACTGCTGACATGTGTGGTTGGTGGCCCAACTACACACTAGGGGCAGTTTATGCCCTGCAATTAGCAGCTGCTCCACTAGAAGCATAGAAGAAGAAATCCCTCTCTCTCTCTCCCTCTCTCTCTCTCTCTCTATAATATACATATATATAATATATAATATATTTATATTTATATATAATATATAATATATTTATATATATAATATATAATATATTTATATTTATATATAATATATAATATATTTATATATATAATATATAATATATTTATATTTATATATATAATATATAATATATTTATATTTATATATGTAATATATAATATATTTATATTTATATATGTAATATATAATATATTTATATTTATATATGTAATATATAATATATTTATATTTATATATATAATATATAATATATTTATATTTATATATAATATATAATATATTTATATTTATATATATAATATATAATATATTTATATTTATATATATAATATATAATATATTTATATTTATATATATATAATATATAATATATTTATATTTATATATATAATATATAATATATTTATATTATATATATATAATATATTTATATTTATATATATAATATATAATATATTTATATTTATATATATAATATATATATTTATATTTATATATATAATATATAGATTTCTTCTATGTATTATATATGTATATTATATAAACCAATAACACATTACCTATGTTTGCTGTGTTACCATTTTTTATTTTTATTTTATTTTATTTTATTGAGATGGGTCTCATTCTGTCACCCAGGCTGGAGTGCAGTGGTACAGTCTTGGCTCACTGCAACCTCCGCCTCCCGGGTTCAAGCGATTCTCCTGCCTCAGCCTCCGAAGTAGCTGGGATTACAGGCATTTGCTACCACGCACAGCTAGTTTTTTTATATTTTTAGTAGAGATGGGTTTTCACCATGTTGGCAGGTCTCGTCTCAAACTCCTGACCTCACGTGATCCACCTGTCTTGGCCTCCCAAAGTGCTGGGATTACAGGTGTAAGCCACCGTGCCTGGCCCTATGTTACCATTTTTTTTTTGTTTTTTTTTTTTTTGAGATGAAGTCTCACTCTGTCACCCAGGCTGGAGTGCAGTGGCACGATCTTGGCTCACTGCAACCTCCACCTCCCAGGTTCAAGCAGTTCTCTGCCTCAGCCTCCCAAGTAGCTGTGATTACAGGCACCTGCCACCACACCCAGCTAATTTTTATATTTTTAGTAGAGACAGGGTTTCACCATCTTGGCCAGGCTGGTCTTGAACTCCTGACCTTGTGATCTACCTGCCTCAGCCTCCCAAAGTGCTGGGATTACAGGCATGAACCACAGCGCCTGGCCCTATGTTACTATTTTTGAAGAGGTTTTCATACACATCTCATTTGACCCTCTTAGCAACTGACATAGATATATTATTCTAGATTTCAGATATACTTACAGCTACAGATTAACTTTATCTTGAGAACTTTTGCATTAATGCCCAGATAAAGCACATTTTGCAGTTTTTTTCACTTAAATATAGGATCAATATGTTCATTTATTCGACAAATATTTACTGAGTTCCTACCGTGTATAAGAAGTGTGAAGACATAGAAAGGAAGCAAACATTAATCTTGCTTTCAGGGAATTTATAATCTAGTAGTAGGAGCATTAAAACGTACATAAATATCACCTCTGTTGTGAGGCTATAGAAAAAAAACAAGATATACAGAAATAACTAAAACTATGCAGAAACTTCTAAAGCCCTAACACCCGGGACTGGGCAGTGGCCTTGTCCTGGGTGTTGTACTAAAAGCTTTGGTTTTTTTTTTTTTTTTGGAGATGGAGTTTCACTCTTGTCGCCCAGGCTGGAGTCCAGTGGTGCAATCTCGGCTCACTGCAACCTCCGTCTCCTGGGATCAAGTGATTCTCCTGCCTCCAAGTGATTCTCCTGCCTCAGCCTCCTGAGTAGCTGGGATTACAGGTATCCGCCATCACGCCTGGCTAATTTTTTATATCTTTTTAGTAGAGATGGGTTTTCACTATGTTGGCCAGGCTGGTCTTGAACTCCTGACCTCATGATCCACCCACCTCGGCCTCCCAAAGTGCTGGGATTACAGGCGTGAGCCACCGCGCCCAGCCCGTAATCCCCATTTTACAGACAAAGAAATGGCGGCTGGGAGATATTCATTAAGCCATTCCCATGCTTTTAACTGTATTACTCTATTATCTGCAAAACAGATAGTAAAGAAAGGCAGACCAAGATTGGTGTCCATGTATTTTCTGTTTTTTAGTATTGTACTTTATTAAATATAAAAATATTTATATGCCACAAAAATTATTTTAGTGACGACTACCAGAAAAGTACAAAATCACTTAATAACTGGTTTTCTACAGCTTGATTTGCCAAGAAACTTATAAGCAAATGGAAGGTGTCTAATAAGTACTTACTGCAGTTACTTACTGGAATGAACAGTTGTGAGAACAAGAAGAAAACCTGTAACTCTGAAAATTGTTTTGTTTTTTTGTTTTTTTTGAGACAGAGTCTCTCTTGCTCAGGCTGGAATGCAGTGGCACGATCTTGGCTCACTGCAACCTCCACCTCCCAGGTTCAAGCAATTCTCCTGCCTCAGCCTCCTGAGTAGCTGGGACTACTGGCATGCACTGCCACACCCGGCCAATTTTTGTATTTTTAGTAGAGATGAGGTTTCACTGTGTTGGCCAGGCTGGTCTTGAACTCCTGACCTCAGGCAATCTGCCTGCCTCAGCCTCCCAAGGTGCTGGGATTACAGGCATGAGCCACTGCACCTGGCCTGAAAATTATTTTATATCCCATTCATAGATCTCCTCAGAAGGTCTACTTTAAAAATAAATCACATAAAGAATTGTTCAGACTTGTTTGGTGATGCCTCAACTTCAGAACATTTGCAAAGAAATCACATGTAAAAGCAATCATCTCAATACAATTAAATGCTAGTTTTAAAAAAAGTTTCCTTTAAAACAGTGGTTCCCAAAATTTAGCATGCGTCAGAATCTCCTGGGGGAAGCATGTTAAAATATAGAATGCTGGCCTCCTCCCCAGAGTTTGCTACAAGTTTGCAGGTGGTTCTGATGCTGGTGTGGGCACAACACTTTGAGAAGCACTGCTTTAAGATCTAGTCTCTAGAATTCAAACTAATAAGCAATGAGCATATACCTTTGCCTTTTCTAATAGTAAATAAATAAAAGAACATTTCAGGTAGCTGAATAAGTCTTTAGACTCTTGAAATGTTCTACTGAAATAGAACGTATAATTTATTAATCTTGGTTCATAATCATTCCCATGAGTTCAAAAGACAGAACTACAGGACAGTCCTGAATAATTTATGACTACATGAAAACATTTATTTACATGCCCTTTACAAAATGTATTTACAAAACACATAGCAACTATTAGGGTACACAGACCTTGTTTCTATCTTCCCCATGCTTCTTCTCTATAGGAAATACAATATGAAATTATAAAGAGTACTGAACTCAAGGCTGGGCGTGGTGGCTCACGCCTGTAATCCCAGCACTTTGGGAGGCCAAGGCGGGTGGATCACCTGAGGTCAGGAGTTCAAGACCAGCCTGGCCAACATGGTGAAACCTCATCTCTACTAAAATATAAAAATTAGCCAGGCGTGGTAGCGGGCACCTGTAATCCCAGCTACTTGGGAGGCTGAGGCAGGAGAATCGCTTGAACCTGGGAGGCGGAGGTTGCAGTGAGCTGAGATGGCGCCACTGCACTCCAGCCTCAGCGACAGAGTGAGACTCCATCTCAAAAAAGAAAAAAAAAAAAAGTACCGTACTCAGAATGAGAACTTCATCTATCATCAATGTACACATAAATATCAGTGAATCGTCATACTCAAGACTCAGATTAAAGAACTTCTTCATCAGGGCAGCAGTAATATTCCACAAAATATATTGGTCCATCTTCATTTCTAATCATATACTGTAATGAAAGGAAGCCTCGGTTATCTGTCCGAGTAGATACGTGACAAGACAGGACTAATGCCTTTGTAGAGGGTTTCAGTAAGGAAATCTTGCATCTGTTGACCTGGGTCTGATTATAATGCTTCCATCAAATCAGAATCTTTGGGGCGGTCAAGGTGGGAACTTCCTACATTTCCAAAAGTAGATAACCTGAAATAAGGCTTGTCAGGAGACATGGTAATTTGTAGGACCTCACTCGTCATATCCAATTCAGAAAAAGCTTCACAGAGCCCTTCTGACTGCAGAATTTTATCAATAACATTAGTGCTGTAGAAATTAAAGTCCAGGTCCCTTCAGGTTCCTGTGTATTGATTTTGCAGACTGCCACCACTCCTTCTTCTTCCAGGAACAGCATCAAAGGGTAACCATAACCTTGGTAACACATCCGAAGTGCAGTTCAAGTCCCTGGCATAGGACTTGATCCAAAAATAGATAAACAGTCTAAAAGGACAATGAAATTAATTCAAAAAGTAACAGACTCTTCCTGAACTTTAAGCTCTTGAAATATTCCAGCCTGAATAAAAGCATTTGCTTGCACACACTTTGCATTTTCCATTGTTACTTTGATTCCATTTTTAGTTGCGAAACACACAGCACATTTTCGGAAATGAATAGCTTTTAAGATAGTGGAGAGATTCCTAACATTGTCAAGGCTGGCCACAAGACTGTATTGATCATGCTCGTCTTGGATCTGTTGGGTCAGGAGGGGCATCGCCCACTGCACATTCGGCCCCAAGGGATGCTCCTGGGGCCTGTTCCTGCAGATCGCGAAACACCTTTGCAGGGGGATCTGGATGCTGGAGAGCCTCTCCCAGCAAATTCCCTGAGGCGGAGCAAGGCAGCTCCAGGAAACTGCAGAGGAAGTGAAGCAGCCCCTGCCACTCTTCAGATCAGCCTTCCACTTCCTTTCCAAGCATTTTCTTGTAAAGGTAATGAAGAGTTAGTTCATCCAAAGATGATGATCAAATTAGTGGAGGGCCTCTTGAAAACAATCTGTTCTATACTGAAGTCAACTGGGTTCTAGCCACAAGTTGCTTTTACTACTCTTCCCCTTAGATAGTTGGTGGTTTTTGCCAGAGAAGCCCCACTGTTCTCTGTTGGTGCAGCCATTTTTGCACGACTCATCAGGCAGTTTATAGCACAATTTAGAAACACCAGGGATAGCAGAATTACGAATCATGCTGTCTGCTGATGTAAACTCTATTTGGATACAATAATGTTTTTAAATAACCTCAAATACAATTACACCCTGAGGATGGGGCTGGTTGAATGACTACAGGAATATCATTCAGATAGTTCATTAACTAATTACAGAGCACCACAAACAGAGCCTACTGCCAGGGAGGGGCTGTGGGGATGAATCACAGGGCTGAGCTCAGGGGCCAGAGTGATGTTCAGTTCTTTTCTGGTGCTGGCATCACAAGGTGGCACTCTTGACTGAAAGAGGGAGGCTCTTTCCTCCTCTCCTGTCTCTCTAGCACCCGTGGGAAGGTGCTACGCGAGGCCCAGAAATACATGCCAGGGTCATATGGCTTCAAAAAGCTCTCTTCCCTCCCCTCGTCACTCACTGCACTTGTAACTGAAGACAAAGTCTCAGGCAGGGTGCGGTAGCTCCCGCCTGTAATCCCAGCACTTTGGGAAGCCAAGGCGGGTGGATCACCTGAGGTCAGGAGTTCAAGACCAGCCTGGCCAACATGGTGAAACCTCATCTCTACTAAAATACAAAAATTAGCCGGGCATGGTGGTGGGCACCTGTAATCCCAGCTACTCTGGAGGCTGAGGCAGGAGAATTGCTTGAACCCGGGAGGTGGAGGTTGCAGTAAGCCAAGATTGCGCCACTGCACTGCAGCCTGGGTAACAGAGCGAGACTCCATCTCACAAAAAAAAAAACAAAAAGTCTCAGAGAGCTCTGGGCAGGCAGGTTACTGGTCGCCTATTTAGTTACTGAAGCTGTTGTGTTTTGCTTTCTTGAGGAGTTTGAGCACTGCATGGAAGAAAGGTTTATTAGGGACAAATGGGCCCCACTGCCCTGCTGCCTGGGAGCACTTGCCAGAGGATCTTGGGTCTTCACTACACAGGACAGGAGTGACCACCCGCCAGCTGGGCTGGTTGTAGTGCCGGCACGTGGTAGGGTTAAAAAATCGTTTAAAGTTATAAAAGTGTTTGCAAAGCATATGGGAGCCCTGCTACTTTGGGCAAGCCTCTCTTTGAATCTTGGTTTCTTCAACTGTAAATGGGATTAGTAGTAGTGGTATCCACCTCAAAGAGTTATTGGATCAAACGATATAAAAAATGTGAAGTGCTTAGTACAATGCTTGGCAAAGAAGCCAGGGCTCAGTAAATGTGCAGGCCCTTCCTCTCATTGTCATTTGGCTTCATGCACGCTTACATATGGCCTTCAGAAGAGAACAGATTCAGATCTCTGTTCCTTAGCCCCAAGCATGCACCTGTCAGCATTCAGGCCCATGGTTATTTGGCCAGCCTTGTAATGATACTAAAGACTGACTATTCAGAATGTTTCTTCTGAACTTTCAAAATCAATGACAGTTGCACACTATCTCCTTTCAGGCAAAGGTCCCTCCAGCAGACCCTCTCCCCACCTTGTTTTGAAAAAAGCATTATTTAAGGGAAATATAACTGAGCCTGGCTGGCTGTACTACCTTATTTTTCTATTTCCCTCCAAAGTGAATGCCAGACATTTCTAGGCCAAAGACAGGATTAACATTTCTCAGCCTAGTAAACACACCCATCTGGATTCAACCCGGGGAGCACCAGCACTGCAACCGTTTCCTGTAATCGGCTTGAACGATCCAGGCTGTAAGCTTGAAAATGAAATTCTGGAAACGATATTTCCATCCTGGAAGCTGTTTCAATTACAGCTTCTTGCAGATGAACCTCAGATAAGCGGCAAACTTACAAGCCCTGGCACGGATGTAATGAGTCTGCACGATGGGAACCTGGCCATGCTACAAGGAAGAGGCTGCCTGTAGGCTGAGAATATAATCGCTGGACAGAGCCACAAACCTGTGCTGAGCACCTGCAGCGCGGCAGACATCCGGTGAGACTCTGAGAACCACAGGGAGCTGAACGTGGGCCCCATCCTCAGAGACTTTTGGTTCAGTGGAGGAGATGTATTACCAGGCCATTTTATGTAATAGGCTGAGATGGTGCTCAACCCTGGTGCTGTGAAAACATTAGCCCAGCTTGGGATTGAGGAAGTGATCCCCGAGCTGAATCTCCATAATTAAGCAACAGTCAGCTGTGTGAAGTAAGGTGGAAAGGATATTCGAAGCAAGGGTAAGAGCAAGCAGAGACCCAAAGATATGGAACAGGAGTGTGTGTGTGTGTGTGTGTGTGTGTGTGTGTGTGTGTATGTTTGTCCGTGCATGTGTATCTGAGTCTAGCCAGCCCAGTATTCAAGTACAGGAAAGGGAGTGCCCTGGGAGTAACTGGGTGTACGTTTGCCCTTCACCATCATTTTTAGCATCAGAAAGTCCTTCAGAAACTGCCCCAAAATCTTGGGTTCAAGACACCAGACTTCTAGGGTGTGGGATTCAGGCCCAGTGAGTCTCCCCGAGGTTTGCAGAGGCCAAGCCTTTACATTTCTAATCTTTAGTTTACAGTGGGGCCTCGGTATTACTAATAGAATTAGGGTTCAGTAGGTGTCCAAACAGCCAGTTCATGGAAGCTGAGGAACCTGAGCCCAGAGGGAAACTTCAGGACACACAGCAATCAATCCTGGAACGTCTCTGAGTTTCAGGGCAGTTTTGGAGGTCATTAGGGAGGTAGCAGCGGGCTGATTTGATAACAGGTGCCACCTTGCTGACTCTTCTTCCAGTGTGAAAATGACTTGGGAGCACAACAGAGGCTCCTTTTGAAGGCTGGTCCATGAAGCAGATGCCTCTATTTGTTCTTTTTTCTTTTTCAGAGACAGGTTCTTGCTCTGTCACCCAGGCTGGAGTGCAGTGGTGTGATCGCAGCTCAGTGAAGCCTTGAACTCCACAGCTCACACGATCTTTCTGCCTCAGCCTCCTGAGTAGCTGGGACTACAGACATGCACCACCACACTCAGCTGATTTCTTATTTAAGAAAAATTTTTTAGAGACAAGTCTTGCTCTCTTGCCCAGGCTGCTCTTGAACTCTCACCCTCAAGCGATTCTCCCACCTCAGCTTCCTGAGTAGCTGGGATTACAAATGCAAGCCACCACGCCCAACGTTGTTCATTTTTTATATGTTTCACAGTGTATTAGTCCGTTTTTATGCTACTGATAAAAACATACCCAAGACTGGGAAGATAAAGAGGTTTAATTTGACTTACGGTTTCACATGGCTGGGTAGGTCTCATAATCATGGCGGAGGGCAAAGGGCACTTCTTACATGGCAGCAGCAAGAGAAAATGAGGAAGAAGCAAACGAGGAAACCCCTGATCAAACCATCAGATCTCGTGAGACTTATTCACTATCATGAGAACAGCACGGAAAAGACAAGCCCCCATGATTCAATTACCTCCCCCAGGTCTCTCCCACAACACATGGGAATTCCAGGAGATACAGTTGAAGTTGAGATTTGAATGGGGACACAGCCAAGCCATATCACACAGTTTGGGTGAAGGATACTTAATAAGGGAGGGCGCAACATACAAAAACTGCAACATCTGGCTGCCATCAGCTCCTCCACCAGCGCCCCCGCGTGGGAATTAGTGGAGCGCCAGACAGTCCTAAGGTCAAGTCAGTCCTAAACTTGCAGTTGTTTGTGAGACTTACATCACTTAATTTCACAAACCTCACTGTTCAAATGGGGACAATCAGGCTTATGAGTAGTTGTGGGTGTCAAATGAATGTTCGTATGAGGTCTGGCATCACAATGAGTATTTTAATGGATCTTATCCAGATGCCTCCAGATGCTATTGGATAAAAGGTTGCAGCTAACAACTGACCTTGAATTTTTCTGGCTACTTGGGGGGCAGTGCTGCCCTTCAGTTTGGAGACTCCCCTTAGTGTCACCACGGTAGGCAGTGGGGTCAGCCCATCCATAATTACACTCAGAAAACCAGAGGCAGCAGTACCTGAGGGCCTCCAACTTGACCTTTCCTCCTCCTGCTTCTACTGAGCTCTGCCTATGAGCCTAGAGGCTTCTCAACCACCTCTCCACACCAGACTGTGAGAAAAAGGGCGCCTGCCTAGAAGTGACACAACTTGAGTTTCTTCTTCTTCTTTTTTTTTTTTTATAAGACAGGATCTTGCTCTGTTGCCCAGGCTAGAATGCCACGGCATGATCACAGCTTGCCACAGCTTCCATCTCCCGGGCTCAAGTGATCCTCCCATCTCATTCACCTCAGTAGCTAAGACAACAGGTATGTACCACCACACCCAACTAATTTTTAATTTTTTTGTAAAAACAGAGTCTCACCATGTTGCCCAGGCTTGTCTCAAACTCCTGAGCTCAAGTAAAGTTCCTGCTTCAGCCTCCCAAAGTGCTGGGGTTACAGGCGTGAGCCACTGGCCCACTGCACCTAGCACAACCTGGGTTTTCATTCACTGCCACAACAGAACTTGGCACTGAACAGTTCTATTGCCACTCTCAGTTTCAAAATCCCAGAAGAGGGGAAGATTTTAAAATATTTAATAGTATTATTTTTATTTTAAAAGTAATGCAGATACATTTAAAAAAGAAAAACCCACAACGAATAGTATAGAATGCTGAAGTTGAGCACTTGACTTCTCCTGGCCTCAGTTTCCTAATCTATAAATGGAAGATAATAGTAATACCTTCCTCTTAGGGTTATTATGTAGATTAAATGAAGGATAGGAAAGGCACTTGGTGCAATGCCTGGCAGAGAACAAGCATGTGATATATGTTAGCGATTACCATGATAGCCATTGTACATCCAGAGATGACTTAGAGTCTTTTTCCAAAAATAAGCCTTGTTTATAAGAAAACACATTTACACACACTTATACACAGAGAGATGTTATACTTAATGCTCTGCAACTTGCTGTTTTCACTTAACAATAATCTTGAGCATGTTAATGCCTATTAATTCCCCCACACTCTTAAAATGACTGGGCAGTATTTTGTTGAATGGATGTACCGTAATTTATATGACCAAATGGGAACATTTAAAATACATAATTACCGGCCGGGCACAGTGGCTCACCCCTGTAATCCCAGCACTTTGGGAGGCTGAGGCAGGCGAATCACGAGGTCAAGAGATCGAGACCATCCTGGCCAACATGGTGAAACCCCGTCTCTACTAAAAATACAAAAATTAGCTGGGCTTGGTGGCGGACACTTGTAATCGCAGCTACTCGGGAGGCTGAGGCAGGAGAATTGCTGGAACCCGGGAGGCGGAGGCTGCAGTGAGCTGAGATCACGCTACTGCACTCCAGCCTGGGCAATACAGCGAGACTCCATCTCAAAAATAAAATAAAATAAAATAATAAAATAAAATAAATAATTACATATTTGCTCAGAGGTTTTATATTTGAAAATATAGGCAAACAACCATTTGAATAACTCAAACACATTTTCAAAATTTACAAATGTTACAAACTGGACCCACGTTATGTACAAACAGTGCTGCTGAGAGACAGACTGGAACCTCAAATCAAAAGCACCGTGGGCCAAAGTGGACAAGTCTAATGGGGCAGGTTAAAAGCAGTATAAGTTACTATACTTATTCCAGATTCACTTGAAACAGAATGGAACATTAAAGGAGGTGTAATAGTTGTTTGTTCAAGTTCTTTACTACAATATAAAGCGACCAGTGATTTTACCATTATATTCTTCAACTGGCTTCCCAGCACCTCGAATTCAATCAGTGTCCTGCTGTGCAGAGGTATTTTGAAATGTGCCAAGTCTTCATTGGAGTGGAAGTGCATGAAACCAGAGTTAATACCAGGAGCAACAGGGAGTCGAATTTATGGAGGTAAACTGTTGCTAGCTCTGCATTTCCACTCCTTTCGGCTGCTGGGACCAGTTGAAATTCTGACTGTATACTGGATGGTTGGGAGCTGAGGTGCACTGGGTCACAGGTACAGCTCTGGTAACTCTGCCGGGTTTTGAGTTTCCACAAAGAGGTGTGCTACAGGGTCCGGGGCCTAGGCCAGATAGCACCTGGCATGCTTTCCACCAGTTACTGTGATGCCTACTGGATGCACCAGATACTCTGCTGGGACCTAGAGGTACAATGGACAACAGGAGACTGGTGGAGCTTAGATTTTAGTTGGGGAGACTGACACAAACAAGCAAGCAAACCAAATAGATAGAGCTTATGTATGAGTCCATTTTCACACTGCTATGAAGACACTACCTGAGACTGGGTAATTTACAAACAAAATAGTTTAATTGACTCACAGTTCCACGTGGCTGGGGAAGCCTCAGGAAACTTACAATCTGGCAGAAGGTGAAGGGGAAGCAGACATGTCTTACTATGGCAAAGCGGGAGAAAGAGAGCCACTTTTATTTATTTATTTATTTATTTATTTATTTATTTATTTTTATTTATTTTGAGATGGAGTTTCATTCTTGTTGCCCAGGCTGGCGTGCAACAGCGTGATCGTGGCTCACCATAACCTCCGCCTCCCAGGTTCAAGCAATTCTCCTGCCTCAGCCTCCCGAGTACCCGGGATTACAGGTGTGCACCACCACGCCCAGCTAACTGGGAAACTGCCACTTTTAAAACCATCAGATCTCATGAGAACTCCCTCGCTATCATGAGAACAGCATAGAGGAAACCGCCCCCATGATCCAGTCACCTCCCACCAGGTTCCTCCCTTGACATGTGAGAATTACAGTCCGAGATGAGATTTGGGTGGGAACACAGAGCCAAACCATATCAGCTTATGATTAGCACGTGAAAGAAAGAAACAGTGATGAAATAGAGAGTAACAAGGGGAATCCACTTTCTATAGGAGATGAGGAAGGTGACCCCTGAGCGGTGACTTGATAGATGACAACAGCCCAGCTCTGGGAAAAAGAAAGCAGAAAGAACAAGGGCAAAGGCCCTGGGGTGGGAAAGAGCTTGGCATATTTGATGAACTGGGAAAAAAACCCAGGAGGCTGAATCAGAGTGGGCAAGAGGAGAAGAAACTAAGGCAATAGGCCATCTCCTGCAGGTTTGTATAGACCACAGCAAGGAGTTTGGATTTCATTCTGAATGCTATGGGAGGCCACAGAAGACATTAAGAAAACAGTGGCATAGCCTGATTCCTATCTTTTCAAAAAGATCACTTGACTGCTGTGTGGAGAATGCATTGAAAGGAGGGAGGCCAATGGAGAAGACTGCAGTTTCCCTTGCAAAAGATGATGCTGGTGGAGGCAGAGGCTGCAGCAGCAGATGTACAGCTGTTATCAGTCCCCTCCGGCAGGCCAGAGCCCTCTGTAGGCTCCAGAACACAAAGGTTCTCCAGGGGTCCCCAACTAACTCATTCCCCGGTGAGCTCTCGGGCAACGGCCTAGTGCAGAGACAAACATCTGGTGCAATAGGGGTTATGGGACACATTAAGACAGACACCTGTCTCACTGGGGAGACCAAACACCCCCACATGACGAATTAAATTATAAAATTCCAGGCCTCAGGCATTGGTGACCAAGAGCACTAGAGTTAGAGGAAGCAGAGATGACTTGTCATCACCACCGACACCTGTCTTTGGAACCCTTGGCAAAACTATGAACTCTGTATATCACCTGGTATAGGAAAGGTCTATACCACCTTTCTTTTCCCCAGCCAGGAATACGGACCAACGCCCATCTCCCACACTGAATATACCCAGACCCCTTTGGCAGCTTTAGCTACCTGCAACACAACATCTGTTTTTGTTTGTTTGTTTTGAGACGGAGCCTGGCTCTGTGGCCCAGGCTGGAGTGCAGTGCCGCAATCTCGGCTCACTGCAACCTCTACTTCCCAGGTTCAAGCAATCCTCCTGCCTCAGCCTCCTGAGTAGCTGGGATTACAGGCGCCCGCCACCTGTTCAGGAAACAGTACTGGATCAACCTAGATGGAGTCAGAAGCTTATGTCTTTCACAAGGGGAAAAGGGGTAGGGCTGTGGTACCAAAAAAATCAAAAATCGCCCGGGCACGGTGGCTCACGCCTGTAATCCCAGCACTTCGGGAGGCTGAGGAGGGTGGATCATGAGGTCAGGAGATCAAGACCATCCTGGCTAACACAGTGAAACTCCATCTCTACTAAAAATACAAAAAATTAGCTGGGTGTGATGGCGGACACCTGTAAACCCAGCTACTTGGGAGGCTAAGGCAGGAGAATGGCATGAACCTGGGAGGCAGAGCTTGCAGTGAGCTGAGATAGCGCCACTGCACTCCAGCCTGGGCGACAGAGCGATACTCTGTCTCAAAATAAATAAATAAACAAACAAATAAATAACATAAAAAATAAAAAATCATAAATGCCAGTGGGAGTATTTGAAATATAGGTGGTTGGGGGCAGCAGGCACAATGGCTTGCACCTACAATCTCAGTACTTCGGGACGCTGAGATGGGAGAATCACTTGAGCCCAGAAGTTCAAGACCAGCCTCAGCAACATAGCAAGACCCTGTCTCTACAAAGAATTTTTTTAAATTAGCCAGGTATGGTGGCGTGTACCTGTAATCCCAGGTACTTGGGGGGCTGAGGTAGGAGGATTGACTGAGACTGAAGTGAGCTATGATTATGTCACTGCACTCCAGCCTGGGGAACAGAGTAGGACCCTGTCTCAAAAAAAAAAAAAAAAAAAAAAAAAAAAAAAAAGGCTAGGTGTGGTGACTCACACCTGTAATCCCAGCATCCCAGCACTTTGGGAGGCTGAGGCAGGTGGATCATTTGAGGTCAGGAGTTTGAGACCAGCCTGGCCAACATGCTGAAACCCCGTCTCTACTAAAAATACAAGAAAAATTAGCTGGGCATCGTAGCGGGCACCTGTAATCCCAGCTACTCAGGAGGCTGAGGTAGGAAAATTGCTCGAACCAGGGAGGCGGAGGTTGCAGTAAGCCCATATTGCACCATTGCATGCCATCCTGGGCAACAGAGTGAGACTCCACCTCAAAAAAAAAAAAAAAAAAAAAAAAAGAAAGAAAAGAAAAAAGAAAAAAGAAATATAGATGGTGGGTGGGGAGCCACTCCACTGTTAAGCAGGGTGTGGCTTTTCTCTCGGATTGTTTTGAAGACCTTCTCTTTGTCTTTGGTGTTCTGCAGCTTTACTATATTGTGTCGGGTGTGGATTTCTTTTCATCTATTTCACCTAGTATGTATTGTGATTCCTATTGTTATGGGCTGAATTGTGAATTGTGTTCCCCTCCCACCACCAAATTCACCTATTGAAGTCCTAACCCCCATGGCCTCAGAATGTGGCTGTATTTGGAGATAGGGTCTTTAAAGAGGTAATTAGATTAAATGAGGTCAGTAGGCTGAGTCCTAATCCAATATGATGGAGTCCTTATAGAAAGAGATTAAGACACAAACATACACAGAGGGGAGACCACGTGAAGACACAGGGAGAAGACAGCCACGTGCAAGCCAAGGAGAGAGATTCAGAAGAAACCAACCCTGCTGACACCATGACATGAGACTTCTAGACTCCCGAGTGGTAAGAAAATTAATTTCTGTTGTTCAAGCCACCTAGTCTGTGGTGCTTTGTTAGTTCAGCGCTGGCAAATGGATACCCTGACATCTAAGGATGCATGTCTTCTACATTCTGTAATGTAAGGATGCATCTAAGGATGCGTGTCTTTTACATTCTGGAAAATTCTCAGTTGTTTCTCTTTGGCTATATTTCCTCTTCAGCTGTTTGGCTCTTGTTCTTTTTCTCTGCCCTCTCCTAGACTGCAATCTAATGAATATTAAATTTATTCTCTCCTCCCTGCTCCATGAACTCTTCTGTGTTTCCCACCTCCTTCCTGTCCCCATTGCAGGCAGGGTGATTTCTTCAGATCTCTCCTCCAGTTCACTCATCTTCTCAATATCTGCATCAAATTTGGTGTTTAACCATTATGTTTGTTTAAACAATTGTTTTACATTTTTAAAGTTTCATTTCTTTTTCAAATCTTGCCTTTGGCCAAGTGCAGTGGCTCACGCCTAATTCCAGCACTTTGGGAGGCTGAGATGGGAGGATTACTTGAGGCCAGAAATTTGAGACCACCCTGGCCAATACAGTGAGATTCCCTGTGGCTACAGAAAATTAGCCAGGTGGTTGGGTGCGGTGGCTGACGCCTGTAATCCTAGCACTTTGAGAGTCTGAGGCAGGCAGATCATCTGAGGTCAGGAGTTTGAGACCAGCCTGACCATGGTGAAACCCCATCTCTACTAAAAATACAAAAAAAATTAGCTGGGTGTGGTAGCACCTGCCTATATAGTCCCAGCTACTTGGGAGGCTGAGGCAGGAGAATTGCTTGAACCCAGGAAGCAAAGGTTGCAGTGAGCCGAGATCACACCATTGCACTCCAGCCTGGGCAAGAGAATGAGACTCTGTCTCAAAAGAAAAAAAAAAAAGTGCTCATGTAATTCAATAATAAATACAATTGTCTGGGCACAACGACTCATGCCTGTAATCCCAGCACTTTGGGAAGCCAAGGGTGGGAGGACTGCAGGCAGTTTGAGACCAGCTTGGGTAACATGGCAAGACCTCTATCTCTGAAAAAAATACAAAAATTAGCTGGGCGTGGTGGCACGCACCTGTAATCTCAGCTACTGGAGGGCTGAGATGGGAGGATCACTTGAGCCCAGGAGGTAGAGGTTGCAGAGAGCCATGATTGCACCACTGCACTCCAGCTTGGGCATCAGAGCAAGACCCTGTCTCAAAATAAATAAATATAATTGTGATAAATTAGTATTTTAAATAAGAAAATATTAGAAGCACAAACTCAGAACCTCTGGAGGCGAAACAGATGAGAGAGATGGAACATACAGATATCAAGTGTGGGTGACTTATTCATTCTTAGGTTGGGTGGTGAATTCCTAAGAATTCAATTTATTCTTGACAATGTCATATGATATATATACATCATATATCATTTTATATATTTATATATATATATGAGTAACATATTACCTCTTGTTTTGAAATAGCATTTTGTTTAGGGGAATCAGAAAGGCCCATATTCAGTCAGACACAGTGACTCATGCCTGTAATCCCCGCACTTTGGGAAGCTGAGGTGGGCAGATCACTTGAGGTCAGAAGTTCGAGACCAGCCTGGCCATCATGGCGAAACCCCCAACTCAACTAAAAATATAAAAATTAGCTGGGTGTGGTGGTGCACACCTGTAGTCCCAGCTACATGGGAGGCGGAGACAGGAGAATCGCTTGAACCCGGGAGGCAGAGGTTGCAGTGAGCCGAGATTGTGCCATTGCATTCCAGCCTGGGTAACAAGAGTGAAACTCCATTTCAAAAAAAAAAAAAAGAAAGAAAGAAAGAAAGAAAGAAATGGCCATATTCTACCTCCGGCCAGTCACGTCTACCTAGACCTAGTTCCAAAGCAGGCAATGGAGGGTAAATGGAAGGCCAGCCAAGGGATTGTGGAGTGTTCCTCCAAATCCCACTAGAGAGAGTGGATAGGCTGGGCTGGACCCACAGCTGCCCTCTGTGTCTGAGTTGATCAAGCTGTGAGGTCTGTGTACAGGTTCCAAGGTTGAAGGTTTACTTCCCTGATGCTCAGATTTGAGTCTCAGATGCTGGTCTGTGATATGGGACAAGTCAGTTTCACAGGGATCCATCATCATCTGGAAGAATGGATGCAGAGAGCAAGAGCAAGAACAAGACAGCCCCTGGAGCCAAGGCAAAGCTGGTGCAGGTCTCGGGAGGAGAAGGGAGAATGAGAATGCTCGCTCTCCAGTGAGGGTGCCAGCTGCCCTTCAGTGCTCCTGTGAGGTGGCATCAGGGGATCCAGGGAGGAGAACCACACCCTTATCCGAGGTCCCTTTTACTCAGTAACTGTCCAGTGGCCAGTGTAGCCCACTTCAGAGAAGCTCCCCTTAACTTGGGGGTGAAATCAGGCGTGGGGTGGGAGGAGGACGGGAAGGGGCCCTGTATTCCTGCTCCTGGAGGACAGCCTGCTTCAAACAACGCAGTTCCCGTTTAACATTTTAAAAATCAAATTAACACAGTTCCTGGAGCCTAATACGTGTTCCCTTGCTTCCTTTCCCTTCCCTTCAAGGAGCCTACCTTCTCTAGGATGAAGAACTTACCCAAATCTTTTAATCACGACAGGTATCGAGGTGCCCTTATTCCCGGCGGGGCCAGCAGGTTGGAGGCTGTCTCCTTAGGGACAGAGCTCCCTCTGCTGTCTCACCAGCCGCAGCCTTCAGGATGCAGAACAGAGCCCATCCCACGGCGACATCAGCTTCAAATAATTGTCATAATAACCTGTGACAATCTGCTTTTCATAGAGGACAATTGTCTGTTGATATGTAGCTTAATAGTGGTAATATGGAGTATGGCAAAGGCTGGAGAATCAGCCAGGGCCCTGTGCAGCAGTGACCTTTGGTGTGCTTCTTAATTTCCTTGAGCCTCACTTCTCTTGTCTTTAAAGTGGATATAATGGATCCGCGTATCAGTCAGGGTCCAGTGAGGAAAACAGAAATTATGGTACAGATGCTCCCCTGCTTATGGGTTTATCGGGATGCTCCACCTCCCGATAAACCCATTGAACATTGAAAATATCCTATGTAGGAATTCAACTTTCAGTATTTTCAACTGGGTTATCCCCATATAACCTCATTGTAAGTTGAGGCGTGTCCTGAATGCTATTGCTTTTGCACCATCGCAAAGTTGAAGAATCATAAGTGGGGCGCTGTGTGTAGTTGTTTTTTTGTTTTTTGTTTTGTTCGTTTGTTTTTTTGAGACAGTCTCGCTCTGTTGCCAGGCTGGAGTACAGTGGTGCCATCTCAGCTCACTGCAACCTCCACCTCCTGGGTTCAAGCAATTCTTGTGCCTCTCAGCATGCTGAATAGGGCTCTGGCTGATGAAGTAGGTGAGGCCCGGGGAGCCTCTATAGGGATGCGAGAACTTATCCCAAGGGTAATGGGAATCACTTGCAGAATTTTTCTTTTTTTTTTTTTTTTTTGAGACGGAGTCTCACTCTGTCACCCAAGTTGGAGTGCAATGGCGCGATCTCGGTTTACTGCAACCTCCACCTTGCGAGCTCAAGCGATTCTCGTGCCTCAGTCTCCTGAGTAGCTGGGATTACAGGCGCCCACCACCATGCACGGCTAATTTTAGTATTTTTAGTAGAGACGGGGTTTCGCCATGTTGGCCAGGCTGGCCTCAAACTCCTGACCTCAAATGGTCGGCCTGCCCTGGCCTCATGTGTATGTTATTATGACCCTGTAACTGCTATCTACAGCTGAGCCAAATAATGCAACATAATCACTTTTCCTTTCCTATATAACTTTCATCTTAAAGAGTTAGTAAATTTCGGCCGGGCATGGTAGCTTACGCCTGTAATCCCAGCACTTTGGGAGGCCGAGGTGGGCGGATCACGAGGTCAGGAGATCAAGACCATCCTGGCCAACACGATGAAACCCCCGTCTCTACTAAAAAAAAAAATACAAAAATTAGCTGGGCCTGGTGGCAGGCTCCTGTAGTCCCAGCTACTCCGGAGGCTGAGGCAGGATAATGGCGTGAACCCAGGAGGCCCAGCTTGCAGTGAGCGAGATCACACCACTGCACTCCAGCCTGGGTGACAGAGCGAGACTCCATCTCAAAAAAAAAAAAAAGGAGAGTTAGTAAATTCCTTATTTTCTGTTCACTTGGTTTTCTAGGTACTTATTATTAAGATATCCCCAAATTATCCCTCAGTTGTTTGCTTTCCTTTCAGTAAGATCAAATAAATTAGGTATTCTTTAAATTTAATCTTCTTAAAGAAATCTCCATCACAGCCTTTTAAAAAGTAGTGGTGCTGGGCGCGGTGGCTCACGCCTGTAATCCCAGCACTTTGGGAGGCCGAGGCGGGCGGATCACGAGGTCAGAAAATCGAGACCATCCTGGCTAACACAGTGAAACCCTGTCTCCACTAAAAATACAAAAAAATTAGCCGGGCATGGTGGCACATGCCTGTAGTCCCAGCTACTTGGGAGGCTGAGGCAAGAGAATCACTTGAACCCGGGAAGCAGAGGTTGCAGTGAGTTGAGATTGCACTACTGCACTCTAGCCTGGGTGACAGAGCGAGACTCTGTCTCAAAACAAATAAAAAATAAATAAAAAATAAAAAAGTAGTGGTAAAATACATATAAGATAAAATTTACCATTTTAATCCCTTTTAAGTGTATAGTTCAGTGGCTTAAGCACATTCCCACTGCTGTGCAACCATCACCACCATCCATTTCCAGAACTTGTTTCATCTTCCCAAACTGAAGTATCATACTCATTAAGTAATAACTCCTCAGTCCTCTTTCCCCCAACCCCTGGCAACCACCATTCTACTTTCTGCTACTAGGAACTGGACTAGTCTAGGTACCTCATACAAGTGGAATCATATATTTGTCCTTTTGTGACTGGCTTATAACACTTAGCATAATGTCCTCAAAGTTCCTCCATGTTGTAGCAAGCATCAGAATTTCCTTCCCCTTAATAGCTGAATACTATTCCATTGTAGGCATATACCAGCATTTATTTATCCATTCGTCCATTTGATGGACGCTTGCATTGCTTCCACCTTTCAGTTATTGTGAATAATGCTGCTGTGAATATAAGATGTCTTAGTCTATTCAGGCTGCTATAGCAAAATACACTAAATGCGATAGCTTTTTATTTTTTTGCCCTCTGAACAAATGGACGCTTTTATTTTTTATTTTATTTTTAGAGACAAGAGTCTTGTTCTGTTGCCTAGGCGGCTAGAGTGAGGTGGAGCTATCATAGGTCATCACAGCCTCAAATTCCTGGGCTCAGGTGAGCCTCTTATGCAACTAGGACTACAGGTGTGCACCATCATGCCTGGATAATTTTTTTTTCTTTTTGTACAGATTTGGGGGGGTGGGTCTTGCTATGTTGCTCAGACTAGTCTCGAATTCTTGGCTTCAAGTGATCCTTCTACATTGACCTCCCAAAGTGCTAGGATTATAGGCGTGAGCCACCGTGCCCAGCCTGGATAGCTTCTAAACAATAGAAATTTATTTCTCACAGTTCTGGAGGCTGGATGTTCAAGATTAAAGCACCAGAATGATTGGGTTCTGGTGAAAGCTGTTTTCTGGTTTGTAGATGGTTTGAGTGCAGTGACACAATCATGGCTCACGGCAGCCTCGATCTTCTGGGCCCAAGCAATCCTCCCATCTCAACCTCCTGAGTAGATGAGACTACAGGCATGCACCACCATGCTTGGCTAATTTTTTTTTTTTTTTTTTTTTGAGATGGAATCTCACTCTGTTGCCCAGGCTGGAGTGCAGTGGCAGGATCTCAGCTCACTGCAACATCCACCTCCTGGGTTCAAGCGATTCTCCGGCCTCAGCCTCTTGAGTAACTGGGATTACACGAACCCGCCACCATGCCTGGATAATTTTTGTATTTTTAATACAGACGGGGTTTCACCATATTGGTCAGGCTGGTCTCAAACTCCCGACCTCAGGCGATCTGCCCGCCTCAGCCTCCCAAAGTGCTGGGATTACAGGCGTGAGCCACCACACCCAGCCTAATTTTTTATTTTTTTTAGAGATGGGATCTCACTATATTGCTCTGGCTGATCTCAAACTTCTGTGCTCAAATAATCCTCCCGCCTCAGCCTCCCAAAGTGCTAGGATTATAGGCGTGAACCACTATGCTGGACTTCAAGGTCTTTTTAATAAAAGCACTAATCCCATTCATGAAGGCCCCACCCCCATGACTTAATTACCTCCCAAAGTCCCCACCTTCTAATACCATCACCTTGGTTTAGGTTTTAACATATGAATTTTGGGAGGACAAACTCAGAAGACAGCAATGGAGGTACAAATGTCTCTTTGAGACCCTGCTGTCAATTCTTTTGGGTATATTTTGAGAGGTAGAATTGCTGGATCATATGGTAATTATATTTTCAATTTTTTGAGGAACTGTTATACCATTTTCCACAGCAGCTAGACCATTTTACATTCCCAGCAGCAGTGCACAAAGCATTCCAGTTTCTCCACATCCATGCCAACACTTGCTATTTTCCCTTTTGGGTCAGTAGTAGTCATCCTGGTGGGTGTGATGCTCTTTCCTCTTGGTAGTTTTTTTTTTTTTTTTTTTTTTTGAGAAGGAGTCTGGCTCTGTTGCCCAGGCTGGAGTGCAGTGGCACAATCTTGACTCACTGCAACCTCTGCCTCCTGGGTTCAAGGAATTCTCATGCCTGAGCCTCCCAAGTAGCTGGGATTACAGGTGTGTGCCACCATGCCCAGGTAATTTTTGTATTTTTAGTAGAGATGGGGTTTCACCACATTGGCCAAGATGGTCTCACTAACTCCTGACCTCAAGTGATCCACCTGCCTCCCAAAGTGCTGGGATTACAGGTGTGAGCCACCATGCCCAGCCCCTTTGGTTGTTTCTTATCAAGTTTTTAAGTAGTTCCTCTTCTGACTTCTCATATGTCGGCAACCTCCAGGATTCTTAGTCCACTCCTCGTCCATGCCTTCCCCAGGGAATATTTTCTCTAATACTAAAATTAAACTACACCTGCAGATTTATTACTCCCAAAGCCAGTCTGAGTGAGCTCCAGACTGCTATGTCCATTTATACAATGGACAGCTTAAAATACATGCCCCACAAGCAAGTACAAAACCAAATGAACTTTCCCTACAACCTGTTTCTTCTCCCATATTCCCTGACTCAATAAGAGGCCCCAGTCTAGGCCAGGCATGGTGGCTCACGCCTGTAAACCCAGCACTTTGGGAGGCCGAGGTGGGCAGACCAAGAGGTCAGAAGATCGAGACCAGCCTGACCAACATGGTGAAACTAAAAATAGAAAAATATTAGCCAGGCATGGTGGCACACACCTGTAATCCCAGCTACTCAGGAGGCTGAGGCAGGAGAATTGCTTGAATCTGGGAGGTGAAGGTTGCAGTGAGCCGAGATCACGCCACTGCACTCTAGCCTGGATGACAGAGCAAGACTCCATCTCAAAAAAAAAAAAAAAAAAAAAAAAAGCCCCAGTCTAGACAGTCAGCCAGGCCATTAACATGGGAGTTGGCCAGGCGCAGTGGCTCATGCCTGTAATCCCAGCACTTTCGGAGGCTGAGGCAGGCAGATCACTTGAGTTCAGGAGTTTGAGACCAGCCTGGCCAATATGGTGCAACCCCACCTCTACTAAAAATACAAAAAAAAAAAAAAAAATTAGCTGAGTGTGGTGGCATGTGCCTGTAATCCCAGCTACCAGGGAGGCTGAGGCAGGAGAATTGCTGGAACCTGGGAGGCGGAGGCTGCAGTGAGCTGAGATCACACCACTACACTCCAGCCTGGGCGACAGAGTGAGACTCCATCTCAAACAAACATGGGAGTTATCTCAGTTTCCCCTTTCTCTCATCCTTCTGCCCTGTTCTCTTGTATCCATAATCTTCAGACTCTTCTCACTGATACTGCCTAAATCCACTCAACATATACCTCCTTTTCTCTTACTTGGACTGTTGAAATAATCTCCCAGAAGTTCTCTCAGCCTGCTATCTTTCATTCCTATAATACCCCACACTAATGCTTGAGTTATCCTGCTACTATACAGATCTGATGTTAGTCCTCTGCTTAAAACCCCTGAATATATATGGAAGAGTGAGGGACCAAGAATAGCCAGCACCCTTCTAAAGAAGAGCAAGAAGGAGACATACCCTACCAGGATGAAAACTTATAATGAAGCTGTAGTTTGGTATTGGCACAGGCATAGACAAGTTGGCCAATGGACTACTCCATTGGAGTCCATAATAATAATAAACTCAGTCTATATGAAACTCTGGTATCCCTGGTGGCCATGAAGCTGTGCTGCTCAGACCTCCCTCCAAGAGAACCTGCTGCAAGGAGTGTAGTTAGTGGACAACCTCCAAGTGCTGCGTCTTCATGTCCATGGCAGTATTCAGGTGACTACTCTCCCAGAGCAGGCTCTCCCAGAACTGCTTTCAGCCAGTGACTGAGATTGTGGAGGTACTGGAGCTAGAATCCATGGGACTCCTCTAGGGGGCAGTCTTTGCTCTGGGGCTCCCCACAGGGCTAGCCAGGGCTTTCTCAAAGCTGCACCAAGTCTGAGACAATTCCCATTCAGCCCTCCTTCCTTCTCTATTTTCACAGGTGTCCAACCTGAACTGTGGGCATCCTTGACTATTCCATTTCCCTCCTCCTTTCATTTTTTTACAAGATTTTCCTTCAGTCCATCTCTTGCACATTTAGTTTCTTGTGATCTTCTTCTTAAAGGACTCAAATTGCACAATAACACAGGGAACATGTTAGATCAACTTGGTGGAGGGTGTTCAATAGAGCTTGAAAATAATGCTTATCCGTATGGAAAATTTAAAATTGGATCCCTACCCTACACATATGCAAAATTTAACTTCAGGTAGATTAATGACTCCAAATATCAAAGTTTTATTTTATTTTTTGAGACAGGGTCTCATTCTGTCACCCAGGCTGGAGTGCAGTGGTGTGATCTGGGCTCACTGCAACCTCCACCTCCCAGGTTCAAGTGATTCTCATGCCTCAGCCTCCTGGGTAGCCGGACTACAGGTGCCTGGCTAATTTTTATATTTTTATAATTTTTATATTTTCAGTAGAGAAGGGGTGCTGGCCAGGCTGGTCTTGAACTCCTGATCTCAAGTGATCCACCCGCCTCAGCCTCCCGAAGTACTGAGATTACAGGTGTGGGCCACCACACCCGGCTCAAAGTTGCATTTTTTATTTATATATTTTTTATCCTCCTGGGATCCCTGAAAATATCAAATTTTAAAACTCTTAGTTTCTATGGATGAGTATCTTTTATAATCTATAATTTAGACCTTGAGGTAGGGAAACATTTCTTAAACAAAGACACACATACACTCAAGATAAAGATATTTGACCATTTTAAAATTAAAAGCTTTTGTTCATCAAAACCATTTTATTTTATTTATTTTGAGATGGAGTCTTGCTCTGTCGCCCAGGCTGGAGTGCAGTGGAGCGATGTTGGCTCACTGCAACCTCTGCCTCCCAGGTTCAAGCGATTCTCCTACCTCAGCCACCCAAGTAGCTGGGATTACAGGCACATGCCACCACTCCTGGCTCATTTTTGTAGAGACGAGGTTTCACCATATTGGCCAGGCTGGTCTCGAACTCCTGACCTCAGGTGATCCACCTGCCTCAGCCTCCCAAACTGCTGGGATTACAGGTGTGAGCCACCATGCCTGGCATCAAAAGCATTTTAAAAAGAGAGGGACAAGTTACAAACTAGGAGAAGATATTTGTAATATACATATATAACAAAGAATTAGCATCAAAAATTCCTAAAAAATTGAGAAAAGCACATATAACATAATAGAAAAATAGGCAAAAGATATCAATGGGCATGCTTCAGAAGAGGAAACTTATGGTTAACAGAATATGAGGAGATGTTCAACTTTATTGATTAAGTAAAAATTAAGACCACATTGAGCTAATACTTTGATTGTCAGACTACAAAACTAAGTACTGAAGAAAATGTGGATCCGCTCACAGAGTCTCTTAAACGATGCTGATGGGAGTACAAATTTGTGTATTCACTTTGGGAAAAAGGTTTGATGTTACCCACCAAAATGGAGTGTTCATATACCCTGTTACCTGACAATTTCACTTTTAGGTATAGATCCAAATAGATCAAAGAAAAGCTCTTGCACTCCCTGGTGGTCTAATGGCTGAGGGGTGAAAGGCTCTTCCACATCTATCACAGGAGACACAAGAATGTTCATAGCTGGCTGGGCGTGGTGGCTCACACCTGTAATCCCAGCACTTTGGGAGGCCAAGGCGGGTGGATCACCTGAGGTCAGGAGTTCAAGACCACCCTGGGCAACATGGTGAAACCTCGTCTTTACTAAAAATACAAAAATTAGCCAGGAGTGGTGGCGGGCACCTGTAGTCTCAGCTACTCAGGAGGCTGAGGCAGGAGAATCGCTTGAATGCGGGAGGCGGAGGTTGCAGTGAGCCGAGATTGCACCACTGCACTCTAGATGGATGACAGAGCAAGACTCCATCTCAAAAACAAAAAAAAAAATAAAAATAAAGAAAGGTTAAAAAAAAAAAAAAGAATGTTCATAGCAGCATTATTCACAGTATAAAAACCTGGAAGCAACCCAAATATCCATTAATGAGAAATCAGACAAATGTAGTATATTTATACACTGGAATATCATATAATAGTCTGAATGAATGATAGCCATAAAATATGGCTGAATCTTATGTGTGTTAATTAAGTGAAAAGCAGTCTCAAAAGATTACAAGGACATAATTTTTTCCTTTGTAATAGACTTTTGAGAGCAGTATTAGGTTTATAGAAAAATTGTGCATGAAGTACAGAGTTCCCATGTGCCCTCTCTCCCATTACAAACATAGTTTCCCCTGTTATTACTGTTTTATATTAGTGTTAACAAGTATATCAATTCATAATTGATATATAAACTTCAGTTAATCACAATGTATCAATATTGGTTCATCAATTCCAACAAATGTACAACTGAGGAACAACTATTGATACATTATGATTAACTGAAGTCCATAGTTTACATTAGGACTCACTTTGTGTGGCACAGTTCTATGGGTTTTGACAAATGCATAAGGTCATGTATCCACTATGAGAGTATCATACTGAATAATTTCACTACCAGTAAAAATGACCTGTGTTCCACCTATTCATCCCTCTCTCCTTCCCTGATGCCCAGGGAACCACTGAGTTTTGCCCTTTCCAGAGTGTCATATAGTTAAAGTTGTAGCGTTTACAGCCTTTTCCACTGGGCTTCTCTTGGTGCTGTACATTTAACATTCCTCCATGTCTTTTTGTAGCTTGAGAGCTGTATTAGTCTGTTTTCACACTGCTGATAAAGACATACCCCAGACTGGGAAGAAAAAGAGGTTTAATTGGACTTAGAGTTCCACATGGCTGGGAAGGCCTCAGAATCATGGTGGCAGCAAGAGAAAATGAGGATGATGCAAAAGCGGAAACCCCTGATAAAACCATCAGATCTCGTGAGACTTATTCACTACCACAAGAACAGTCTGGGGGAAACTGCCCCCAGGATTCAAATTATCTCCCACCAGGTCCCTCCCACAACACGTGGGAATTATGGGAGTACAATTCAAGATCAGATTGGGTGGGGATACAGAGCCAAACCATATCAATAGCTCTTTTTAAAAAAATCACTGAACAATATTTCTTTGCATGGATGTACCACCTTGTACGACAGTTTATCCATTCACTTATATCAAGGACATCTTAGTTGCTTCCAATTTGGGATGATTATGAACAAAGCTGCTGTAAACATTTGTGTGCAGGTTTTTATGTAAACATGTTTTCAGCTCATTTGGGTAAGTACCTAGGCATTATGTTTAGTTTTGTAAGGAACTGACAAGCTGTCCTCCAAAGGGGCTATAACATTTTGCAGTCCTACCAGCAAAGAATGATAGTTCCTGTTGCTTTTCATACTCACCAGCACTTGGTGGTGTTAGTGTTTTGGATTTTAACCTTAATAATTTCACTGCCAGTAAACATGCCCATTTTAACCATTCTAGTTTGTAGTGGGCATATTCTTTTTACTAAGTTAAAAAAAAACTCAAATATACATGTATATACATATGATTTTTAGGACTATGTACATGTGGAATAAAACCTTGTAGAAGGAAAGCAATAAATAGTAAAGACAGGATTCAGAAAGATGGTTACCCCAAGCGAAGGCAGGGGTGTGTGTTATTGTGTGTAGGAGGTATAGCATAGATACAGATATAAACTCGTGTCATTATAACTTTTTAGTGTGGTGGGTTTGTGGCTATAATCAAAACTAAAGTAATAAAGGTGGGTGCGGTAAACTGAATAATGGTCCACCAAAGATTTCTATGTCCTAATTCCCAGAATTTGGGAATGTTATGCTAAAAGGGACTTTGCAGATGTGATTAAGAATCTTGAGATAATCTTCGCCCAAAGTAATCACAAAAGGTTCTCGTAAATGAAAAGGGGTGGCAGGAGAATCACGATGTACGTACAGAGGCAGAGAAGAAAGAAGATACTATGCTTCTTTTCTTGAAGATGGAGGATGGGGCCAAGAGCCAAGGAATGCAGGCAGCCTCTAGAAGCTGGAAAAGGCAAGGAACCAGCCCTGCCGACACCTTGATTTTAGCCCAGTGTAACTGATTTTGGACTTCTGACTTCCAGAATTGTAAGAAAATAAATTCGTGTTGTTTTAAGTATCTAAATTTGCAGTAATTTGTTACAGCATCAACAGGAAACTATCACAGCGGGCCAGGCATGGGTTAATGAATTGGATTATAATTAAATCCAGTTCTACACCTAGGTCCAATTAAAAACATAGACAAAACCTTTGAGTGGCTCCTCACTGCCTGGAAGAGAAAGCTCAAATTCCTCAGCATGAAATAGATTCTTGACAACACGGTTCTACAAGGTCCTCTCTAGCTTTAGTTCCCTTCCCCCCGCTCCCGCCCGCATCCCCAGCCCATACATTTTAGCCATGGGTCCTGGCGTCTGAGCCTTTTGTTGTTCCTACGGACTCTTATGGGGCTCAACTCCTTTGCCGTGTCTCTATGAAGTCTTTCAGGTTGAAATTTCCTCCCCTGAAAATGGACAACATAAGGGCTTGCTGCATGGTTGATTCTGCTTTCAAGATTAATGTTCAGTGGCACGCATACGCACCGCCACTTGCAGAGGTCGACATGCACTTAGTACATGTCGGCAGAAGCAACTCTTAAGCCATTACTAACCGGGGCAGTTAAGTTCTGGCAATGGGCTGAAAGATCTTTCTTCATCGCCACTCTTCACTAAGCTACAAGACCAAGTACTTTCTCCTGAAGGTACTTAGAGGAGGAAAAAAGCACACCAGGAACTGTTGTGGGGGGTGAGAAGACAAATTCTACAGGGATGCAGAGCTAGTATGAACATGGCTTCCCCTATCTTCATGCAAAACTGCGTTTCTAGCCCACATGACTGATGTCTGTAAACGCAACTTTATGTTTGTGCACGTCTCTGCCCAAGGATTTTTTTTTCTTTTAACTCCAAGAATACGGGGGGAGTTGGGCAAGTCATTATAATAGGGCTCCTCTTCTTACCCCACTATCCGATGAGACATTTGATAGGGAAACCTCTGAAACTTGTAAAGCAATTTACAAGCAGGCCACCTACTTGTATTTAACAAATAGGCTAGAAATACCTATTTGTGGGAAATCGAGTCCCCAAAACACCCCAACCCCTCCGGGTCCCCGCCAGCACAGCCTCTCTTCTGACTGTCGCGCGAAGCGGCGGTTGACTAACGCGAGCCAGCCGTTCTGATGAACACAGGAGGGCCGGACGGCCCTGCTGGCTCGGACACCACGCGGAGGGAGAGTGCTGCCTGAGCCACAGTTGAAGAAACCGCTCTCGGGCTGGACGAAGGCGGAGCAGCAGCTCAGACTGGGCCAACAGAAGAGCCTTACAATGCCTGGAGCAGTCCGAGGACAGCCCCCGGCGCGAGGAACTCTGGGACTTGTAGTTCGCTTTCCCAGACAGCGCTTTTCCCCACTTGGTCTCCCCGCCTTTCAATGTCGCTTTTATTCTTCCCTTTACCTCCCAGCCCGCCGACTTCCTGGTCGTCGCACGTCCTCACGTATGACTACACTACCCAGAAGTCTCCTCTTCACGTCCCAGCGCGGGTGGGCGCCGGCGGCTCCTCTTAACCACAGGTTCCAGAAGTCCTCTGCAGAAGTGCTTCCCTCTCTCATTTCCAGGACCACAATTCCCAGAGACTTCGGCTTCACGACGTTTCTCTTTTTGCCCGATCTCTCCCGGAGCTGGCTGGGCTTCGGCCGGCCAGAGGCCCACAGCGACGACGTGATCCGTCGTGAGCGGGTCCCAGGGTTTCCTCGGCGGCCCTTTTTTCTCTCCCCTCGGTCGTCCCCCTTGCAGGCTGTCGCGGCTGGCCTGAGCGGTGACCTGGCGGGTCGCGCCTGCGCTCTGCCCTGTTTCCTGCCTGGCTGGTGGCGGCGGCCATTTTGTTCATCCTCCTCCTCCTCCTGCTCCTCCTGGTTGGAGCGCAGTGTCCGGAGCGGGCTGGGGGGAGAGAGCCCGAGAGCAGGGTTCGGTGCCTTTTCCTCTGTCCCCAGCCGGTGCCCAGAGCCCCCCTCCCCTTCCTCCCCACCCCCTCCCCTCCCCAACCCTGCCCTCCCCCTTGTCCCGGGATCGCTCCGTCGCACCCACCATGATGGAAGACGACGGGCAGCCCCGGACTCTGTGAGTACCCGAGACGAGGGGTGCCAGGCGCCAAGAGGCCCGGGCACCGCGGGACGCTAAGGGAGGGAGCAGGAGAGACTGGGCCGAAGCCGGGACTCTAGGCGGCTCCCTGACCAGGGCGGCGTGGACGCGAAGTGCATTCCTCATCTGTCCCCTTTTCCTTGGGAAGGAAATCCTCCCTTCCCCCAAACAGTCACTTCCTGGGGTCTGGGGCTTGTCTCGACCTTTTTCTCTGGCGTCCTTCTTTGCATGCCCTCCCTAGGCCGGGTTTCTGCACGGCTGAGGCTGTCAGGCCCAGGAGAACTCCTGCACCCCCTCCGCGTTGGACGCCCTGGGCTGGGCCTGGAGCTGCCGGCGCCCACGGGGGAAGGGCCTGGCGGGGGTAGGATTGGGGGTGGGCCCGGGGGTGGGCCCCGCGGGCCCTGAGGAATTAGCACTCACCCCTTCCACGTCCTCAGCTCGAGTCGCTCCCAGCTCTTCTCCCCAGCTAAGCTCTCGGAGGAAGCAGGACACTCTTTCACCACTCAAGCCCCTTCTCTCTTTATGCCCCACGTGCCCCCGCCCACGCTGTCAGAAACACCCGCCTAGCGCCCGCTACTTTTGAAGTACATAAGGGATACCTTTTGCTGCCCGAGCATCTTTCCCTTCTTGGATAAAGAAGTTTACTTTGAGCGCTCCCTACGCTAAACTGACAACCAGTTGTTAAACTCCTTTTGCTCTCTAGGTGTTGCCTCTTCCTAATCTGTTTGTGCGTCGAAAGCTTCAGAGTTGGCTAAAATTATGTCTTCATCCGCTATTTGATGTGTGTCTTCTGAACGCTTTTTCTCCTGTCTTGCTGTTGCTTTTTACCTGAAGCTCAATCTAATGAATGAATTCCATCTTCCAACCACTTAATTCTGGTTTCCTTCCTTTCCAATGAAGAGTGATGACTCAGCATTTGCATTCCTTTCTGAATAGTGTGGCACTCCTTTTCTCTGCATCTTTTTTTTTTTTTTTAAGTCTGAATACTTTTTAATTAAATGTTTAAATTGGGCACCCTAATTTCCCGGCCTCTCCAGGTCTAGCACTCCTACCTTGAGTACCAAGGAGTCAGATCGCTGCTTTGTTTCTCTTGCCTCTCCTGGTATTGATAGGATCATAGTCCACTTGGCTCTGCTCTCTGATGGGGAAATTGCTTTTTAGGGAATAGATGAAGGTGGAGGGGCACTCGAGAAGTTTGACTAGCTTCACATCTCTTCACTCCTACCAAAGAAAGGATGCTCAGTAAAGAAGATAGATGTTCAGTATTGATAGAGATTTTTTTGGTGTGGCCTTGTACAGGAATAAATGTGTTCTCTAACGTCTCACTGAAGTATCCGTCCCGTTTTGAGAATCTGAGGCCTACTGAAGCACATCCAATGCTTCAATGAAACGCCTGCTTAATAGAACGTCTTTGTGTTTTGTGTTGTCTTCCATTTCTGCCTTCTCTCCCTAGAAGAAAGAATTGGGACACACTTGAAATTTGTCCTTCAGGCCGGGCGCAGTGGCTCACGCCTGTAATCCCAGCACTTTGGGAGGCCGAGGTGGGCGGATCACGAGGTCAAGAGATCGAGACCTTCCTGGCCAACACGGTGAAACTCCGTCTCTACAAAAAACACAAAAATTAGCTGGGCGTGGTGGCGCGCGCCTGTAGTCCCTGCTACTTGGGAGGCTGAGGCAGGAGAATCACTTGAACCCAGGAGGCAGAGGTTGCAGTGAGCCGAGATTGCACCACTGCACTCCAGACTGGTGACAGAGCGAGAGTTCGTCTAAACAATTAAAAAAAAAATTTTATCCTTCAACATCTGTTGAAGCCAAGACTTGGTGTTGAGTTACAATGTGTACTTTGATATAAGCATCTGGGAAAGCTAGGCTTAAAGACTAGCTAACATGTATTTAACAAAGATAAAAGTTACATTGTATCTAAAAATCTGAAGTATCATCACACACTGAATGATTGATAAATACTCATGGCAGGGGTCTCATTTACTGTATCTGTTCCTTACCAAGAGGAATCTCTGGTTTTGTAGTGCTAAAGAATGTGCTTTTTTGATGTCTTTTATTTATCTTTGCATCTGCCTTGCCTTCATCCCTATCAGAGTTTCTCCAGGGGAATAATAAGCTAACTTCTTTGTCACTTATTTCCTTCCTCTACCTTCTCTAATCTCTTGTTCTTTCTTTGAAACAGTTAAGTTGTCTATGTTTACAGTTCTCTAAAACTGTGACATGTTCATATGAATAAATAAACATCTTAACTCTGTTGTTTTGTATGTCAGTACGTGTTTACTATTCTGTCTTCCTTTTTCCTTCTCCCACCCTTTTCCATAGGGCCTTTTTTTTTTTTTAAGAGAAGGACTACTACATCTTCCTAGGTCTTACCCCCACAGCACTTAGTTCACTGCCTGGAACATAAGAGGTACTCAGAATTTCTACAGTGATTATACTTCTTTCATTAAATTAGTATTAAGTTCTTTTTTAAAAGTCCTGGTTGAACTAAGATTGTAGGCAGACATTACTGTCACATGTGGTGCAGTCTGTTGACTTTTATATATTTTTTAAAACCTTCAAATGTAAAATCTTGAGATAAAAGCAAATGTTTAACAATTGGGATTTTTATTAGAGTTTAATACAAATAATGCATAGTTTTTCTAAGTGTACGTTTTACATATTCTCAAAGGGTTCTATTAGATATAAGTAACATGATGAAAACTGAACATGATTTTAGACGTTGATATCTAGTAGGGTTTTTTGTTTATGGAGATCTTATATTTTACATTGTGAGCTATGGATTAGGTTTTTCAAGTGGCCAGTATGTTTTAAAAGAATGTGTTCTTAACAAAGCTTATCTTAAATTGTTTCCTTAAGATGCCTGTGTGTTACTAGTGAGGTTTTTTTCCTGCAGACACACACAAGCTAAGACATATGGTTCTATCTTCAGAAAACAATATGGTGTTTAGAGCCTAGGTAGGTCTTTAAATATTCATTACCTACAGTATTACTAATTTATTTGATGGTATTTAAAGTGGCAAGAATTGCTTTGATGTTGAGCCTAAATTTCTATTTGTCATATAGTTGCTTTAAAGGTCTGTTTTCTGATGTTCTTCATTCTCATTTGACATTTATTTTGGGGTATTATGCATTGAGTAACTTGTGATCTAAAAAAACAAACAAGATCATGCTGTGTAATACTGGTGTTGGAACTGGACTGTCTGACACCTGCCTTGTGGGACACACATTTCAGGCTTGGGTTGTGTGTATCTTTGTAGTGCAGTGATTTGATCCATGGTATATCTGAATCTACAATATGACACTAAATTGTAATAGTGTTTTATTGTAGCTTATTTTATTTTCTTCATCTATCGGATGCACCAAAATTGCTAGGAATTCGTGTAATACCATGTTACACAATCCCTTCCTTTAAGGCTATTCTTTCTTCCTGGAAATAAGCTAATGATTTAGAGTATAATCTGAACATCTAAGAACAAAGCAGAAGAAAATTCTATAAACTATTACAAAATTGACTGGCTATACCATGGATTTGGCTATACTGTGGCTATAATCAAGCCCCTCATTCAAATTCAACTTAATCATATTCTTTGTTTCTTTAAAGTAAGAGAGAGAGAGTGAGTGTGTGTGTGTGTGTGTGTGTGTGAGAATATCTCATATATATAGTTGGTCAATTTAGTTGTACCTCCTGCAGCTATCTTCCATCATGCCTCCTTCCTAAAATGAAATACTGTACCGACAAATTGAACAATTAATTAGAGATCTATTGAAGGATATTATTGCAAAATCTCTTCTTGTATAGGACTTGTCAAGAACAAAAGCAAAACTATTATGGAAATTTAGCTATAGTTTTTTGTGTGAAAGTGCTGATAATTTCAGCCTTGGTAGGGCTACTCTTTTCAGAGTGAGAGCACATTCAGTGTTGAAAAAGTGTCATTAGTCTTCTGAAAGGCATGATATTCTTAACTTAAAATTCTGCCCAGTCGGACACAGGAAGTAGTTTGGCAATGTGAATTTCTGCCTACTGTGAAACTGCTAAGTTTTTAGCCCCAAATTGGATTTTAACCCTGATATTAGAGATAAAGGTGTCATTTTCAGTTTTTAATGCTTCAGTTCCTACAGTTCCTGTTCTTAGAAGACAAAATAGACTCTAAGGTATGCCTCTTCTGAATTTTTTCGTTGAGTTAAAAATCATTTTGGAATTTCCTAAGTGTTTACTCTTTGAATTGACCTCTCAATACAAAAATTAGAGCCATTTATCTTTTTTCTGTTATTTTGTGTATGTTCTTTAGGTAGCAATTATATATTTAAAGACTTGGATCTTTAGCTTGACTATTTCATAACCAGAGCAGAAAGAAAGTGAAGTGTAGAAGCTATAATTTGGAACGAATAAAGATGTCATTTCAATGAACTACCAAGAGATGATCTTACTAGGTCAGGCATTGAACTTTGTCTTAAATATTTTTGTTAGTATTTACTTTGGGACAGATTATTTTATGATACTGTAAAAGTACTTAAAATAGAATAGTACAGTATTTTAAAAGCTATACAATACGTCTCTCAAGTGTTATGATGCACGAAGGCAAATGTAAATGAAGAGGCAATCTGAAATTTGGGTACAAGAACTCAGTAAAAGAAAAGGCAGTCTGAAATTTGGGTAAAGTTTAGGTGAAATTATATAGTGAATCATGGCCTTTTAATCCTGGTAAATTAAGATATTGTATGTGTTGTTATGGAAGGCCTTTCATGTTAGTTTTTGAAATTTAGTTTGCTGCTTAACATTTAACTTTTAGTGGAGATAATTTGAAAAATAGGAAACCTTAATACTGGATTTTTAAATAAATATTTCATGACATTCTAAACTTAGATATTAACGTTTTCATCTTTGCTTTCAGTGCTAGAAATGTAAATTAATATATCTAAATATGCCTCTAGAAATTCTTCAAGATCTGTAACTGGCGGGAAATAGGTTGACTTAGAATAAAGATTTTTTTTTTTTTTTCAGATGGAGTTTCGCTCTTGTTGCCCAGGCTGGAGTGCCATGGCGCGATCTCAGCCCACTGCAACCTCCACCTCCCGGGTTCAAGTGATTCTCCTGCCTCAGCCTCCCCCAAGTAGCTGGGATTACAGGTGCCCGCCACCATGCCTGGCTAATTTTTTGTGTTTTTAGTAGAGACGGGGTTTCACCATGTTGGCCAGGCTGGTCTTGAACTCCTGACCTCAAGTGATCCACCTGCCTCGGCTTCCCAGAGTGTTAGGATTACAGGTGTGAGCCACCACACCTGGTGGAATAAAGATCTTATTAAGCAGTGACGGCTTTTTTTGTGACTATTAGATATAGAAGGTAACTAATTCCAATACAGTTTTTCCTGAAGAAATTGATGTTTAAACAGTAATGGAAATTTAAAACTATTTAAATCATTTAAAATGTGTTATATTAAAATGATAATTCTATTTTAATTTTGTTATTAGCTAGCTTCAATATGTGAAAACCAGTTTTATCCATCCTTCTTTTCTCTTAGAAGTGAGCTAACTAGCCCTTTAGGCAAGGAGCATAATGTTTAGAAGCTCAAGATCACTTGTTCGTTTCTTTCTTTCTTTCTTTCTTTCTTTCTTTCTTTCTTTCTTTCTTTCTTTCTTTCTTTCTCTCTTTCTCTCTGTCTCTCTCTCTTTCTCTCTTTCTTTTTTATTTATTTTTTTGAGATGGAGTCTCACTCTGTCGCCCAGGTTGGAGTGCAATGGTGCAATCTCGGCTCACTGCAACCTCTGCCTCCCAGGTTCAAGCGATTCTCCTGCCTCGGCCTCCCGAGTAGCTGGGATTATAGGTGCGCGCCACCATGCCCGGCTAATTTTTGTATTTTTTGTGGAGACAGGGTTTCACCATGTTGGTCAGGCTGGTCTCAAACTCCTGACCTCATGATCCGCCTGCCATAGCCTCCCAAAGTGCTGGGATTACAGGCGTGAGCCACCATGCCTGGTCACTTGTTCATTTTTCTTACAGATAGGTCTACTCTGTACAAAAAGAAATCATTTCAGAGATACAGGCTCACAAACCCCTATGAGTTAAGAAGGGGCAAGCAGCCTATCGCTGGCTCATAACCCAATAACCTTTTAGTCCTGCTGGAAAAAGTATGTCACTACATTGGCCTGCTGATGGATCAGCTCCTTAATTACGTGGAAAAGGTGGCATAGTGGACGTAAAACAGTTTGTCACTTGTTTAGTCCTCTAGTTAGGTAATATTGGATGTGTGTTTCAATTTTAGAGCAGGTACACTAAGATTATTAGTACTCATTGCAATAAAATTCTTAACTGGAAAATCGCTACTAATTCTTAATTGGATCTTTTAAGTTTTTTACTTAACCTAAGCTTTCTCAGTCTATTTTTCCCTTTGAGTATTCCATCTTAAAGCATGTTGTGTATTTAATGTGGCAGCTATGTTGCAAGTCTTATTTTGGTCTTAATACTCAGTTTCCAGATGTAATATATTACAAGTAGAAAAAGAAATCTACTTTCCAGAATGAACTTTGTTAAATTTTACAGATATTGTTTGGTTTATGAGGTTGTTCATAACAGATGCAAATTTGAGGAATTATGTGTAGAATACCAGAAAGACTTTAGTGTTTGGCAATTTATTTAGATAAATTAAGATAAATCCATAGTACAAGACATAAACCAAGGTGGTCCTCTCTGTGTGATGAAGTAGCATTTTTTTCTTTTCTTTTTTAAACTTTCCTGTATTTAAAATCTTTTACACAAAACACATTCAATTGTAATTAGGAAAAAAAACCCAAATTTTTAAGTGTCCATAGTCAAAAGTATGCCTGGATTTGTCTTAGTTTTTCTCTGAATTTCTTAAGAAATCTTTGTATTAGCTTTTTTATCTACATTAAGATATATTTTGTTGGCTGGGCATGGTGGCTCACTCCTGTAATCCCAGCACTTTGGGAGACTCAGGCAGGTGGATCACTTGAGGTTAGGAGTTTGAGACCAGCCAGGCCAACATGGTGAAACCCCGTCTCTACTAAAAATACAAAAATTAGCCGGGCGTGGTGGTGCACGCCTGTAGTCCCAGCTACCTGGGAGGCTGAGGCAGGAGAATCGCTTGAACCTGGGAGGCGGAGGTTGCAGTGAGCTGAGATCATGCCACTGCACTCCAGCCTGGGTGACAGAGTGAGACTCCATCTCAAAAAAATACATATATATTTTGTTGATTCTGATGCATTTTAGACTAGGAAATTTTATATTTTACCCTGCTCTCCTAAAATGAAACAGTGAAGACATCATTGCAAACAACCTTACTCAGCCAAAAACAAAACAACAAAAACCCTCCACCCTCTGTATGTTTTACTATAACTTTAATTCTGTTCTTTGTTCATGTAATTGCTTTGGTTGGGAATCTAAGATAAACTCACTTTATGTTTAATATCCTATTACAATCAGATGTTTTAATGAATTAGTATTTGTTGTATGTGTGTGTGTGTTATAAATTATTTTTAATTAGAAATTGTAGTTATCTTGAGACCAGTTTAAAATTTTAACAATTAGAATAAGATGAGAAAATGATATCCAGGGTACAGAATAATAATGCCATTGGGGTATACAAGATCACATTGATTTGTTCTTTAAATGTCTTTCAGAGTGGTATTTTAGTGGCCTAAGAACAATTGTTGCTTTCCTAAATAAGGGTTAATCTTACTTTCATAGGATCAGGTTTAATTGGAGAAATTTTGTTGAAAACAGAGGAAGTTAAAATGAAATAAAAGGTGGCCGGGCGCAGTGGCTCACGCTTGTAATTCCAGCACTTTGGGAGGCCAAGGCGGACAGATCACCTGAGGTCAGGAGTTCAAGACCAGCCTGACCAATACGATGAAACCCTGTCTCTACTAAGAATACAAAAATTAGCCAGGCATGGTGGCATGCGCCTGTAATCCCAGCTACTTGGGAGGCTGAGACAGGAAAATCGTTTGAATCTGGGAGGCGGAAGTTGCAGTGAGCTGAGATCATGCCATTGCACTCCAGCCTGGGCAACAAGAGCAAAACTCCATCTAAAAAAAAAAGAAAGAAAGAAAGAAAGAAAGAAAAGGTGATGAATTAGATGATAACACATTAGAGCCAGAGCTAAAGGAAAAATTGCTGATAACGTATTTTTTTCTTGTGCAGATACGTAGGTAACCTTTCCAGAGATGTGACAGAAGTCCTTATACTTCAGTTGTTCAGTCAGATTGGACCCTGTAAAAGCTGTAAAATGATAACAGAGGTAAGATCTTCCCAGTTCCATGTGCTGACAATTAGCATGATGGGTTGATTAGCATGATTTTAAAATTTCATTGTAAGCCTCAAGTTATTCTGGTGGAGAGATTTGTGTTGTGTTGACTTATTACTTTGATTTGGCTGACAAACTAGGCTTAGAATGGAGTTTTATTTAAGAGGGCAAAGTTTCCGTGCTGTTAAGCTCAAACGGTCATTCTTCATGGTGTGGTTATCTTGAAGTGATTCTGCTTTCAGAACATTATTAGAGCTCATTTCAGAATGGTGAAAAATTGGAAAGTATTTCATACAATTCCAATAAGAATGTTAACGATTTAGACAGCATGTGTTCATGTGCGAGAACACGAAGTTATTATGTGTGTAGTGTGCAGCACCGTTCGTCTCGTGTGTCTGTAGCAAATACTTACCTTTTTATACTTTCCTGCTAAGACTGTAGCAGCACCCAATTAGTCATGTTTTAGGCTTTTCTTCCTTGTGTTTTTGTTCATTGATCAGCTTTCTTTTTTTTTTTTGGACTATTTCCTATGTACTAGATACTGCAGTAAGTGCTAGAGATACACTGGTGAATAAAGATAGTTCCTTGGCCCAGAGAATTTTACAGTTTAGTAGGGAGACAAAGGAGTTAGCAGGCACTTAGGAAGTAGGATAATAAATGCTCTAGAAGCAGACAACTTAAAGTGCTGTGGGAGCAAATGTGTATCCAGTGCAGCCTTAGGTCAGTGAGCGGCTTCTTGGAGGACTCACTGCCTAGGCGGAAACCTTGAAAGGATAGTAGTACATACTGGCTAGAAAGGAATTGAGGGAAGAAGGGATTCCAAATAAAGGGAACTTTGATCCAGGTTGGTAGGGAGAGCAGGAGTGCTTGAGACAGAGAGGGAAAAATAGAACCCGTAGCATGGTTGTAGTTAAAATGGAATTAGTCGTAAGAGATGGCAGGAGTTTATGGAAAGGGCTAGAAACTGTGCTAAAGAGTTTGTTTTATCCTGAAACGGAGAACTGTTAAAAACCTTTAAAGTGCATTGGCCTTTTGATTGTCTTTCCCAAGTAATGACAATCATCATTTTGTTCTGGTGTATTATATTTTTCCTTCCTGCCTTTAATTATTTATTTGTGCTTTCATCGATCAAAAATTTCCTTTGCACTAGGCACTATACAAGGTACTGGAGATATAATGGAGAGACAGCCAAATGAGTTTCCCAAGCAAATAGGGATGTAAGCCATGAAGAGAATAAAACAGAGTTCTGTGATGATTGGAGGGTTGGTGCTATATAGGCTAGGTGATGAGAGATGTCACCTCTTTGAGCTGAGATGAATAACAAGATGGTGCTATCTATGGTAAGAGCTGGAGGCAGAGGAAACAGCAAATACAAGTCTTGAGTTGGTAATGAACTTGTGTTTGTGGAATCAAAGACCGATGGCTAGAGTCTGGTGAGGGATGGAGGGGAGTTAAGGGAAATGAGTCTAACAGCAGGATTCAGAATCACAGGACATTATGGTCCATGACATAGTTTAGGTTTTACTCTGATTGCTGTGGCAGACCAGTGGAGGGGCTTAAGCAGGGGGATGAGGTGCCAAGATTTGCATATTTAAGCTTACTACTCTATGTAGAGAATGACTGTTTTATGGAGAATAGATTGTAGCGGGCAAGAGCAGAAGGAGAAAAACCATCTGGATTTACTTCACTAGTCTAGGTAAGAGATGATGGAGGCTTATTCTCGAAAGTGCTAGCCGAAGTCAAGATAAGGACAGAGGTTGATAGATTTGGAATATATTTTGGAGGTAGAATTGATAGGACTGGGTTGGCTGTGGGACATAGGGAAAGGAAGAAATCAGGAAATACCCTAAGATTCATGTTAATGCAGTTGTATAGTTGGTAATGCTATTTATTTGCTAAAGTGGGGGTGACCTGATGGATGTCACCATGGGGAGTGGTGGGAATCAGAAATTGTGTTTTGGATGTTAGATTTAAGACATGAATTAGACATCAAAGTGGACGTTAGATTAGGCAGTTGGATAAAGTAGTTTGCAACTCTAGAGAGACCGGTGCTGAAGCTTGCAGTGGTATTTGAATCCATGAAGCCATGGGACTAGATGAGTTCACAGAGAGAGAATGATGGTAAAGAAGAGCACAGAGGCCGTGAGGTCTGAGCCCTGGACAAGCTCAACATTTAGAGTTTGAGTAAGGGAAGAAAGATCCTACAGTGAGGAAACAGGAAAACCAGAGTGTGGTAGGAGACAGAAGAGAATGTTTAAAGGAGGATGGTGGTCAACTGTAGTGAATTCTGCTTGGAAGTAAAGATTAGGATGGAAAAGGAATCACAGAAGCAGCAGAGAGGTCATTGTTGAGCTCAACATGCAGTTTCAGTGGCATGGTTAGCTTGGAAGCTGACAGAAGTAGGTTTAGGAGAGAACGGGTTGTGAGAAAGTGGGGAAAGACTCACTAGAAAATTTTTGAGAAACATTTGTAAAGATTTATTTTAACTATTTTTTAAAACCCCATGTATACATACAGCTATTTGAAGGGTAGAGGGACTCGAAATGAATTTTCATAACATCCATATTCTAGAACTCCTAGATTTGAGCTTGTAAAGTCTCATATTTCTCTGTCTTGACATTTATGTCATCCAACAAAAATTGGTGACAACGCTAAATAAGGTAGGGACATAACGGATTTTTTTTTTTTTTTTTTAAGAGACAGGGTCTGACTCTGTCCTCCAGGCTGGAGTGCAGTGGCGCCATCATGGCTCACTGCAGCCTCCACCTCCTGGGTTCAAGTGATCCTCCCACCTCAGTCTCCCAAGTAGCTGGGACAGCACCGCCACACCTAGTTCATTTTTAAATGTGTTTGTAGAGATTGGTTTCACCATGTTACCAATGGTCCCGAACTTCTGGCTGGTCCTAAACTCCTAGGCTCAAGTGATCCTCCTGCCTCTGCCTCATCCTCCTAAAGTGCTGAGATTATAGGCATGAGACACTGCACCCAGCCATAATTGATTTTTTTTTTTTTTTTTTTTTTTTGAGATGGAATCTTGCTCTTTTGCCCAGGCTGGAGTGCAATGGCATGATCTCGGCTCACTGCAGCCTTGGCCTCCTGGGTTCAAGTGATTCTCCTGCCTCAGCCTCCCAAGTAGCTGGGACTACAGGTGCGTGCCATCATGCCCAGCTAATATTTTTTATTTTTTTATTTTTTGTATTTTTAATAGAGACAAGGTTTCACCATATTAGCCAGGATGGTCTTGATCTTCTGACCTCGTGAACCGCCCACCTCGCCCTCCCAAAGTGCTTGGGTTACAGGCGTGAGCACTTTTTTTTGAGACAGAGTCTGGCTCTGTTGCCCGGGCTGGAGTGCAGTGGCACGATCTTGGCTCACTGCAACCTCTGCCTCCCAGGTTCAAACGATTCTCCTGCCTCAGCCTCCTGAGTAGCTGGGATTACAGGCGCCCGCCACCACACCCAGCTAATTTTTTGTATTTTTGGTAGAGATGGGGGTCTCACCATGTTGGTCAGGCTGGTCTCGAACTCCTGACCTCAAGTGATCCAGCTGCCTCAGCCTTCCAAAGTGCTGGGATTACAGGTGTGAGCCACTGCACCCAGCCCATAATTGATTTTTAGGATGTCACTTGGTGGTGTAAATAAGAAGCTTCCAGAGGGTATAAACTCTAGCAGAGTATCTAGCAGCTATTTATTTTTCTTTCATAAATTTCATTTCAGTATGTGAAAAATCCTTTTTCCCCCATAGTTTTATGATTTTTTTTTTACTTTAGATGTTGTTATCATAGATTCTAGCTTTCCTTATATAATACAAATATATATTATTGATTCTAAGTCAAATTTTTTTAGAATTTTAATATCTGACAGTTGGGATGTGACTTAGAAATAAGTGGTGTCTTAAATTAGATGATATGCAGTGTGATGTGAATATATAAAATATGTGATGTCAGTGAATATATGTGTATATATACATGCACGTGCATACATTGATTGGGAGCTGGCCTACTATTAGATAGATTTGAAATTGGTATTCACGAGTAGACTAGTTTCCTAAAGTGTATGGGATTATCATAGATCTGCTGTTGGACCCCTGTATGTTTTGCTGTGATTATCAGTGTTTTCCTTAGAGACCATTGGGGCAAAAGAGATAGGAGTGAAAGGAAAACTCAACTAGCACAATTTTAGCCTCTTATTTATTTTGATGTCCTTTCTTCAATGAATATTTATGGTAAATGTAATAACTCTTTTACAAGAATTTAAATGTGTGTTTTCATTTGAAGTCTTCCCCCATTTCCTTTCTTTACCTCTTAAGAACAGCATTCACGTGGCTACAACAGTAGGATTTTGTATGAGAGCCCATAGTTTTGTTGTCAGTATTAACGATCCCACTTTTTTTCCCTCAAGGAAATGCCTTCTGGTTCCTTTGCCACTATTGTTTAGACGTCTTATTTTGGATTTTTCTTCTAAAACTTTCCTGGAATGAAAAACTGTTGTGGTTGAAAAGATCTTTATTTTATCTGGTATATTTATCCCTTGTAAGTCCAACTAGAATTCCACATTTTAAATATTATTCTTATAGGGCATTTTACATTGAATAATGATGAATGTTTTTAGCCTTACATAAAAATATGTATTTGTACAGTTGTGCAGCTATTCAGTACAGGTTGCAGTTTCATAGAAATTCATTTCTAGTTTGGTTGTCAGGTGAGAATGTTGCTATAGCTTAGGTAGTACTACTTTCTTCACATCTTTATAAATGTGTTTTAGGTAACTACTGTCAAGCACAGGGTTGCAGAATATATTTAATATAGATTTTTTATATGGTGTTCTTATGATGTAAACTTATAGCTTTGTCTTGGAATATTTTATTCAGATACATTTTCAGAACCTCTTTTCTTGATCACCACTGTTATTTCTCTGATCTTTGGAAGACCAAATTCAAAGTATATAGAATCTTCAGTACATTAGACTATTTTGGAAGGTAGGGAATTCATTTCAGTAGCTGGTTATAAAGCTTAAGTTTTCTTGTTTTTATTTTCATTCTTTCCATATCCAGAAAAGAAATCAATAAAATTCAGTCTTTGTAGCAGCATAGAATTCCATCATTTGTAGTATTGATCCTAATTTTGATCAGTAGTTTATGAAGTTGGTTCTTGCTGTATTTCTGTATCCTGGGATACCACTTATAGAGGATTATGATGCATAAGTAGAACGTAATTTAAAAATAATATTGGAGAAGGAAAGTAGTGGTAAGGAGTGGTCCTCATCAGATCTGAGTTTGAGGTTTTGTTTGGTTTAATATAATCTTCTATTTTATATTTAACACACTTCACCAGAATTCTTTATTTTCATTTAATACTGATGCTCATGATTCTACAACTGCTTTTATAGTTCCGTTTGAGTTCAGCAGTATTCTGAGGTGCAAAGTCAGGTTTAGCTTTAAATCTTATTTAAAAAGTGTTAGGCTTTCATAAGCTTATGCAGTCTCACCTTGTATATTCCCAGCTATCAGTAATGTTTTTTCCTGGATTTTCTTCTCAGCAACCCGATAGCAGAAGGGTCAACTCTTCTGTTGGATTTTCTGTTTTGCAGCATACAAGCAATGACCCATATTGCTTTGTGGAATTTTATGAACACAGAGATGCAGCTGCTGCATTAGCTGCTATGAATGGGAGAAAAATTTTGGGAAAGGTAAGATAATAGGATGATGGCACCTTATGAGTACATATATTTGCATGTCAAACTAGTTTGTATTCTTTCTAGGCAAATTTTTGAGCAGATATTCGGCTGCTGAGTGATGGTTTTGCTTTATTCAGCTTAGTGCTTTTACAAAAATAACCCTGCTTGATAAATGATTTAATAAGTGGTAAGTGTTGTAACTCATGACATGCCTAATAATTTTATTAAATATAATCTTTATTTTTAGGAGGTCAAAGTAAACTGGGCAACCACACCAAGTAGCCAGAAAAAAGATACTTCCAGTAAGTACTCCTGCTGCATTTTACTGTGGAAGAGTTCTGAAATTATCCAGGAGGCATTACCAGCTTAAATAGGTTTTTTTTTCCTCCTCTAGAGTTGCCTTAAAAAGGTTTTAGTGGCTGACTTCTTAAGTATTTGATTACCAAATGCTCTGATTTCAGATCACTTCCATGTGTTTGTTGGGGATTTGAGTCCAGAAATTACAACAGAAGATATCAAATCAGCATTTGCCCCCTTTGGTAAAATATCGTAAGTATCATAATCAGTACTACACTCAGTCATGATAGGCAGAATTGTATATGATTAACTTGTAATTGAATTAAGATTTTCTTTCTCTAGTTAGTATGGTTTTGTTTTGTTTCTTATTTTTCATTTATTTATTTTGGTTTGTTTTGAGTAGTGGATGTTGTTGAAAATGTTAATGTCATTTCAGTGTCTTGGGGTCTCGTTTTCATCTAATCCTGTGTATAATATGTTAAAAAAAATTTAAGTGATTCTGTTTGTTATCTTTGAAGCAGATGTTTGAATGGTAAAACTTATAAAGTCTAGCTTTTTGTCATATGTTTTCAAAATTTGATGGTTTAGGATAATGAGTTAATCAAAAGTAAATGTGATCTATACTGTGTAAGAGTTCAATAACTTTTATAGGAGGAATTTATAAATGGGGGAGAGTAGGTAAATCCTTGGATATATTGTGATTAAATTGGAAATGTTCATGTTTTATTATGATAAATGTGTTTTTGATATTTTAGCTATAAGTGAAAAGTACTATTATACTATTAAAATGTTTCAATGTATGAGTCATAAATGTGGGATTAATTAGATGTTTTTGTTAGTGATATTTGATTCTACTAGTTAAGAGGCAAATGTGGTTTGATTTTTAACAAATTTATGCTCAGATTTTACTGTTGTTACTTGGTAAAAAATATATTGGAAAACTAAAAATGGTTATGAATTGTAGAAAATGTTTATCATAATTTATCTTTCTGATTAAAATCAGTTTATTTTGTATATTTCCTGTAGATTTAAATTAAACATCTTAGTACTACTTTACAGGAAAGTGTTTCAACTAAGAACAACAATATTTTCTCTATACAATTTGTTGTTCTATAGATTTAATTTCTTTAAAAGATGTAATTCTTAACTTTCTGTTTTGATATTTGCTTTGCTTTTTAATCTAAATGTGGTAAGTAGTACTATTTTAAAAATCAATATAAAAATAATACAGGTTGCTGTTTTTCAATCTTTATTTATACCTGAGACCTGCAGTTTTTCTTAAGTCCAAGTCACAATTAAAAGTAATAGCATTCTGGTTATTTTGCAGAATTGCTCATAAGAATGGACAGGATCTTGAAGGCTAACTGCAAGGAACTGTGCACACTGGAACTCAGTTGTAGATTTTTTTTCTCATTTCTATTTATTCTTATTATACATTATTTATATATACATATTTTAGTATTTACATTTTAACATTCTATATTCAGTGGAGTTCTATATTTCCAATCATTTAACTTACTCACTAAAATTTCTGTGTAAATTTGTTGTTTTCGTACTGGTGTGCTTAGCATTGTTGTTAGTTTTTTATTCTCCTTTCTTAAATTTCTGAAAATGTCAATTTTTCAAAATTTACAGCTGCCCAAACTCCAAAATGATGGTAGAGAATTGACCAAGAAAAATAAAGAAATCTGTTAACAGGCCATGTATGCCTTTTTAATTCCTATTTTTTCCTCTTTTTCAATTTTTTAATATTTCATATATTTTGTATCACTAGGCAGAAGACATTTAACTATTTAGAGATTGCATGGTAAAGTAGTTAGTATTGTTACAGTAATTTATAGAATCAGTAAACCTTAGAGGACACTAGTAAATAGAATATTAGAAAGGGAAACTGTTGTTCCTATTAATCTTCAAATTTGAGCATTTAGTTTAGAAAGCACAGGCTATTTGATTAGGTTGCATGTTTATTACATGTTTTTGTCCTACTGCTTTTTTCTAACAGGTAAAGAAGCATTAGGGAGAGTTCAGGAATGGTTGTAGTTAATTAGGGCTAACTGGAATTTTATTTTAAAAATGCTCACAATACAGTGTGTGTGGTTCCTTTTAGTTTTTATTTTGAGGGTGGCTCTTACTTCCCTCATTTAGCTGTGCTTCTTTTCACAGGGATGCCCGGGTAGTTAAAGACATGGCAACTGGAAAATCCAAAGGCTATGGTTTTGTATCTTTTTATAACAAACTGGTACGTTCTTCCATCTCAATTTATATTTTTTAATACTAAATTTAGTCATTAGTTACTTAATGTATTGAATCTGAAACTTGAATATACTTGAATGTTAACTACAAACACAACTTTTATGTAATGTTATGTATGTTTTAATAATAGAGTATAATTTCATTCCTCTTTCATAAACTCGAAAATAAATAGCTAGAAAAAGAATGATTATACTATAAGGAAGATTATTAAAATTGTGTTTGTACATTGGTAAAGGTCAGATGGATTTAGAAGTAAAGCCCAAGTCTAGGACAGATGAGCTAATCTGAGAATTTAGAGGTTAGGTAAATTATATTCAGTTTTAACCATGAAAATCTCAGTTTTAACTCTACCTTTTAAATTATTATTCATACTCTTATATAACTGGGATGTGAATGACTACAACAAATTATGTAAATAAAAATTTAAGCAATTCATCTTGATTTTTGCATATATTCTTTGTAAAAGGGGTACCAAAGTAAGCATTTGCATTAACTGTAACATTAAATAATAAAGTGGGCTTTGATTTTAAAGCAGTTTCAATAACTTAAATCAATGTTTTGTTTTGTTTTGTTTTGTTTTTTTGAGATAGAGTCTCGCTCTGTTGCCCAGGCTGGAGTCCAGTGGTGCCATCTCAGCCCACTGCAACCTCCACCTCCCGGGTTCAAGCGATCGCGCTGCCTCAGCCTCCTGAGTAGCTGGGATTACAAGCATGTGCCACCACACCCAGCTCATTTTTATATTTTTGGTAGAGACATGGTTTCACTTGGGTTCGCCAGGCTAGTCTCAAACTTCTGATCTCAAGTGATCCTCCTGCCTTGGCCTCCCAAAGTGCTGGGATTACAGGTCATCTACATTTTATTGAAGTGGTAAGATAAAGGGCCAGAGTATTCTGTTTTTGCTTAGATTGAATCTCAAGTTCAAATCGTTTTCTAATTGGTAATAGTTCAGTTTCGTTTTGTTTAGGATATTTAGTAAATTCATCTACTGATTTGTATGGAACCAGCAGCGCCGATATTTTATTTCATCTTACAGAGTCTTATTTATCACTCTTTTCTTTGTGATTGTGCTTTCTTTTTTATCCATAGGATGCAGAAAATGCGATTGTGCATATGGGCGGTCAGTGGTTGGGTGGTCGTCAAATCCGAACCAATTGGGCCACTCGTAAACCACCTGCACCTAAAAGTACACAAGAAAGTAAGATATGTCCACTGTGTGTGTTAAAATTATATTCTTCACAAAATCATGTATCATGTATTCATCTAGTCTCAATTTCTAATTTATTTATGTAAGAGACAGGGTCTTGCTCTGTTGCCCAGGCTGGAGTGCGGTGGCATGATCTTAGCTCACTGTAGCCTGAAACTCCTGGGTATAAGTGATCCTTTCACCTCAGCCTCCTGAGTAACTGAGACTACAGGGACATGCCACCATGCCCAGCTAATTTGTAATTTTTTTATAGAGACAGGGTCTGGTTACGTTGTCCAGGCTGACGTAGTATTTAATTAGTGTTGCAAGACTCTAATTATTTCATTTTATATTTCATTATCTGAAAATAATTGGGCTGTGGTATAAGTATTTTTGGAGCTGTGAATCACCTGATTTTATAGATCAAGTCTGTGTCAAATCATAGCATCAAGAAAAATTATGTTTTCTCCTCCCATTGAGGCATATCTTTTTTTTTTTTTTTTTTTTTTTTTTGAGGTGGAGTCTCGCTCTGTCACCCAGGCTGGAGTACAGTGGTGCGATCTCAGTTCACTGCAACCTCCGCCTCGCAGGTTCAAGCGATTCTCCTGCCTCAGCCTCCTGAGTGGCTGGAATTACAGGCGTGTGCCACCACACCCAGCCAATTTTTGTATTTTTAGTAGAGACAGGGTTTCACCGTGTTGGTCAGGCTGGTCTCGAACTCGTGACCTCGTGATCCACCTGCCTCAGCCTCCCAAAGTGCTGGGATTACAGGCGTGAGCCACCGTGCCCTGCCTTAATTTTTGTATTTTTAGTAGAGACAGGATTTCGTCATGTTGGCCAGGCTGGTCTCGAACTCCTGACCTCAGGTGATCTGCCCACCTCAGCCTCCCAAAGTGCTGGGTGCCCGGCCTGAGGCATATCTTAATAGTATATAGTAATTAACAGAAGAGTTTCATAGTACAATATAACAGTCAACGTTTTTGTTTTGTTTCTGCATACAGACAACACTAAGCAGTTGAGATTTGAAGATGTAGTAAACCAGTCAAGTCCAAAAAATTGTACTGTGTACTGTGGAGGAATTGCGTCTGGGTTAACAGGTACAATGTTTGGTTTTCTAATCACCTCTGAGGAGCTTCATCACTGTTCATATGAATTTCATGATACACATCAGCCATGTTTTATTTGTATGTTTTGTTTTATAGATCAGCTTATGAGACAGACATTCTCACCATTTGGACAAATTATGGAAATAAGAGTTTTCCCAGAAAAGGGCTATTCATTTGTCAGGTAACACTCTACTTGAAATATCATTATTACTCTTATATTTGATTCATTCCTTTCACTTATGTTCTCCAGGGTATCAGTGTTTGTTATTTTAGTGCTTCTTTGCAGTATAGAAGTTTAAGCTACCTACCTAATGTACTTTAGAAAAAAAATACCAACTTGCAGGTGTAAACTGATGAGTTTCCATGTTATTTATTGTGTTAGGTTCTTAAAAAATAAAAGACAAAACCATATCATTTTTCTTTCTTAGATTTTCAACCCATGAAAGTGCAGCCCATGCCATTGTTTCGGTGAACGGTACTACGATTGAAGGACATGTGGTTAAATGCTATTGGGGTAAAGAATCTCCTGATATGACTAAAAACTTCCAACAGGTAATTCGATTTTTCATAGCATTCTTTAAGGTTTCCATCTTACATGTCACATAAAAGCTTTGGAAACTCTGTAAAATGAACAATAAAATAAAGCATATAGCTACTTTCAGTTGATTGTATTTCAAAATTGATTATTTGCGGTATTAACTGAATCTTAATACTTTCTTTTCACAGGTGTCACCACCCCAATAAACTTAGACAATGATAAATAACAGAGTCCTATTCACATAAGGGTGCTTACTTAGTTTTTCTCTTCCTTGTCTCCCACTCTTTCTTCATATACGGTGTTTCTTATGTGTTCCCTAAAACAATACTTTGCTTTTTCCTAGGTTGACTATAGTCAATGGGGCCAATGGAGCCAAGTGTATGGAAACCCACAACAGTATGGACAGTATATGGCAAATGGGTGGCAAGTACCGCCTTATGGAGTATACGGGCAACCATGGAATCAACAAGGATTTGGAGTAGAGTAAGTTGTTTGGGTTTTTCCAGTATAGAAACGTATGGTTCTGACAAAATAAATAAAAGTGTGTTTTCCTAGGGAGAATCTATTTTAATTATATACATTGAGCTATTTGGCATTATGAGCATTATAGAAACTAATCTAACAAAATATGATTTATGAGGCTAAGAAATTACTTCTCATTACCTAGGTGGAAAGGGGGGATTGGGGTAACATTTAGTGTGTCCTATGATCCCTGTAAGCAGTTGGTAGAATTTGATTTACATTTCTGATACACTTTTATTTATTTTTGCATGTAAAAGATCTTTGTCCAGATATATTCAAAAGTTTGATGGTTTTATGCCTATGTGGTATGTGTGAGAAATCTGAGGTTTGTGTGATACAAAGTAACTGGCCTTTTTTTTTTTTTTTTTTCTTTTGTTGATAGAGTGGTTTCCTCCTTTGTAATTCCCCTGCCCAGGGCCAGCCCATAGCTTTATTTTCAGATTTCTTCCTTTGAGACTGTTTCCAACATGAACTTGTTTTTAAAATTTCTTATGTAATAGATGATGTGTTGAATCATTCACAATTTTTAAAAAATTAGTTTGCAGATACTCCTCAGACATCAGTGTGTTAAGTTGTGGTTATCTTAAAAATATCAAAGACTAATACTGGAATATGTATTCTACACATATATCATTTATTTCTTTGATCTTTCTATTTGTTGTAGGTGTGTTGATTTCTGGTTTTCTATTCTGTGATTAGGCTCTGCTTGATTTTTGTGTAAATACATATGTGATTTTTTTTTTCTTGTGTTTGCTGAAGATTTTTTCTTTTTCTTCCAAGTCAATCACCTTCTGCTGCTTGGATGGGTGGATTTGGTGCTCAGCCTCCCCAAGGACAAGCTCCTCCCCCTGTAATACCTCCTCCTAACCAAGCCGGATATGGTATGGCAAGTTACCAAACACAGTGAGCCGGGACTCTAAAAAAAAATTGTAATTCATGATAGGCTTCGATTTCCTGTGACACTCTGAAGACATGAAAGTAGACATCGGAAAATGAAAATATTTATTTTAAAAATTGAAATGTTTGGAACCTTTAGCACAGATTTGCTTTGGTGAAGGACACGTGTCTTCTAGTTCTGCCTTTTTAAGTTTTTGTTCATGATGGATATGAACATGATTTTTCTTTATGTACAAAAACTAAAATAAAGTCAATAAAGACAATTCTGACTACAAATTTTGATATAATAGGAAAAATGGCTAATACATTTTGATTCTTAGATACTATTCCATTTTTATCTTGCTGTTCAGTATTTTAACTCACTGTGTTTTTAAAAGAGCAAAAAAGGGAGGATCGTGAAAACCTGGGAATCACATATAAGTTCATCCTGAATCCTGATACTCCCCTCCCCTTCCCTGAGGTGGACCACATTTGAAGTCAGCAGAGAAAAAGTGTGATATTCAGAAGAAATGCGTGATTTTGGAGTCGCTTTGGAGGAAATATTTTCTTTCTCTATGCCTAAAGAAACTGAAGCCAGACTGAAGTTTTGCACCCTAAAAAAGGAACAGCATTGTTTGAGTTACTTGAGCAAATGTTGGTGGTCCACGTTAAGACATATTTTTAAAACTTCCAAAAGTGTCGATTATTAAAATTGTAGTATTTTACATTTCATTTTGGGGGGAAATCCAAGTATGGTGTTTGTATTGAAGTCAGACAGTCATACTTGTGCTTTTACATGAAGTTTAAATGATACATATTGTAAATATTCAATAACTACAGTGTTTAAAAAGCATGCTTCAACATAGAAGTAGCAGCAATGTAATTATTTGAAGTAACACTTAACACACTCCGCTGCATTGAATGCAGTGGATTGATCAGAATGTTAAGACTGACATTTCCAAGGTTGGCTACTATGTAAAATTAAAATTACACAAATTGTGCAGAAAAAGCCTTAATTTTAATTTCATACAATCTTTGATGCATTAGTATGTTCTAAAATGTCATTGGGAATTAGTTTTTTGTTTTTGTTTTTTTTTTTTTTTTTTTTTGCTTTACATTACTTGGTATGTAAATACCTTGATTAAAACCTTGTAAACCAATTTCAAGGTTACTATAAGTTGTATAGTACAAGTGTTTTTTAAAAATCTTGGGGTGTTTTTAAAAATTAAGATATATTTTGCCCAAGAATTTTTTTAACAAGATTGCTAAAAACATCTTATTTAGACACTTCAATGTACCAATTTATAATTGGATATTCAGTTTAAATAGTACACAGAGTTGTGGCTTTTATTTTCAATTAATTTTTTTCCTTGTGGGCAGTGTGCATGGTATAATAAGCCTGAGCAGAGGCTTAAGTTGTATGTGTGCAGAGTTTGTAAAGGAATCAATTGGAAGATGCAGAAGACCGAGGTTTGCTTTCAAGGTATTTTTCAGGCTGTGTGGGTAAAATTTGCCTCAAATTTCTATCAAACAGGAATGTAAAATAGATAAAATCCTATGTATTTGAATTGTCAGAGCTAGGGAGTGCAAATGTTTTGGCAATGTATTCAAAATGCTGGCCTGGGCACCAAAGAGAAAATAGCCTTTTACAGTTACATAGTAAGATGCGATTAGTACCCACAAATTACTGTTTTCTAAACATTTGAAGTTTTACGATTAGCTTTAAAATAATGATTTTATAAATTGGTGGTCACAATAATTTTGGTATTACTTTCCTCCTTTTCCCACTTAGCAATATAGCCAAATGTATTCAACATAAAAATTCATAGGGTCTGAAATTCATAGCTGGGCCAAATTTTTTATGGCACCTTAGTTTTACCATAATGGTCATCTATTACACTCTTCTGTTATAAAATATACCCTTATTTCTTTTGTTTATAGTATCTTTGAGGAATGTTTTTGGAAAAGTTAATTTATATTTTATAGGGAGAACACTCAATAAATTATGTTAACTGTGCCCCCGAGTTAAAAATTTTATGAGTATATGTGAAACTTGAACAACTGAAGACTTTTTTTAATTGATAAAAATGCTTAGTATGCCTGTTTTGGTCTGCCAGTAAATTAAGTAGCTTATTGAGATAACTAACAGCTAAATATAGCTGTAGTGTTTCCTGACTGTATATTCTATGATTTAATAAAATTATCCAGACTAGTTATATTGCCACAGTAAACATGTGACTGAAGTGTCCTTCATCTTAATCTGAAAGAGGGCAAAATTTCATGATCAGTTAATGGAAGTTATTTCATATTAAGTGGTTTTTTTTTTTTTTTTTTTTTAGATGGAGTCTTGCTCTGTCGCCAGGCTGGAGTACATGTAGTGATGAGAACTTGGCTCACCGCAACCTCTGCTTCCCAGATTCAAGCGATTCTCCTGCCTCAGCCTCCTGAGTAGCTGGGATTACAGTCACGTGCCACCATGCCCAGCTAATTTTTTTGTGTTTTTAGTAGAGATGGGGGTTTCACCATGTTGGCCAGGATGGTCTCGATCTCCTCACCTCGTGATCCGCCCGCCTCAGTCTCCCAAAGTGCTGGGACTACAAGCGTGAGCCACGGTGTCTGGCTTTTTTTTTTTTTTTTTTTTGAGACGGAGTCTTGCCCTGTCGCCAGGCTGGAGTGCAGTGGTGCAATCTCGGCTCACCGCAACCTCCGCCTCCTGGGTTCAAGCTATTCTCCTGCCTCAGCCTCCCGAGTAGCTGGACTACAGATGCATGCCACCATGTCTAGTAAATTTTTGTATTTTTAGTAGAGACAGGGTTTCACCATGTTGGCCAGGATGGTCTCAATCTCCTGACCTCGTGATCCACCCACCTCGGCCTCCCAAGGTGCTGGGATTACAGGCGTGAGCCACTGCACCTGGCCATTAAGTGGTTTTTAAAATACAAAGCTACTTATCCAAATGAAATGTACCATTTAAAAACTACAACTGGGCCGGGCGCAGTGGCTCAGCCTGACCAACATGATGAAACCCTGTCTCCACTAAAAATACAAAATTAAGCGTGGTGGCCCGTGCCTGTAGTCTCAACTACTCAGGAGGCTGAGGCAGGAGAATCTCTTGAACCCAGGAGGCGGAGGTTGCCCTGAGCCAAGATTGTGCTATTGCACTCCACCCTGGGAAATAGAGCAAGACTCCGTCTCAAAAAAAAAAAAAGTGCAACTGTTGCCGGGCATGGTGGTTCACACCTGTAATCCCAGCACTTTGGGAAGCTGAGGCGGGTAGTGGATCACCTAAGGTCAGGAGTTTGAGACCAGCCCAGCCAACATGGTGAAACCCCATCTCTACTAAAAATAACAAAAAAATTAGCTGGGCGTGCTGGTGGGCGCTGGTAGTCCCAGTGACTTGGGAGGCTGAGGCAGGAGAATTGAACCTGGGAGGTGGAGGTTGCAGTGAGCTGAAAATGCGCCACTGCACTCCAGCCTGGGCGACAGAGCGAGACTCCATCTCAAAAAATAAATGAATTAATTAAAAGTATGGCTGTTGAGCTAACAGATGATTTTATAACATGACCCAATGCTATCTTGATCCAACTTAAGCCTAAGAATCGTTGCTCCCCACCCCGTTCATCAAAAACATCAGCAGAGACTTTTTGGGCATGCAAGGAAATGTTTTTTATTTCATAATTATTTTGAGATTTATTTTGGTGATGTGTTTCTGACTGACTGCCATATTCTTTGTTCTCATAATTTCTCTACTAGTATTTTCACTCCCAACCCCCGTGCCATTCCCACTTGATTTTTATGTCTGCTGGCAGTGAGAGGCTAAAATGGCCAACTTAAGCCAAAGCTGTAAACAACAGTTGAAGTAAGTCTTTCAATAAAGACTAGACTATATGATAAGTGGCTTTTTCTTATTGTCGTTTATTACATAATTATTCTACCAGGTTGCCATGAAATAAGCAACTGGGTTTTAAGTTTTCAGTAGTTATGTGGAGTATGTATGTAGTCAGGACCTATTTCCATGTTCTGTGTAAGTGTTAACAAGTCCATTAGCTTTGCTGAATTTAATCTCTGGATATGAAGGAGTAGAAATTTGCATCCTTCTAAAAATGCATGCTCTGTTTAATATTAATATATTAAAATTTATTAATTTGGAGTCCTCAGATACGGGAACTAATTTTACTGTCTAGGTTGCTCTTTGGTAGTATCTATGAGTAAAGATGATACTTGACAAAAATAATTTAATAAATGTTTTAGATACTTTACTAGTATGTCCAAATTAAATTTTCCCTATTAAAAGCATTTGAGCTTCTACTTAATACATTATAAACATTGACTTTGCAATTTTATTACGTATTGGAAAGATGCAAAACCTATTTCCTTTAGACTTTTACTAGTTTTTGTAAGCCTTCACTCTTAAGTGGTCCAAATGAGGGTTTTGCTTAAATGTGTATTCTACTATGTTTAGTAATTAAATATTCTCGTAATTGGCCAGGCACAGTGGCTCACACCTGTAATCCCAGCACTTTGGGAGGCTGGGGTGGGCAGATCACTTGAGGCCGGGAGTTCGATACCAGCCTGGCCAACATGGCAAAACCCCATCTCTACTAAAAATACACAAATTAGCCAGATGTGGTGGCGTGTGTCTGTGATCCCAGTTACTCAGGAGGCTAAGGCAGGAGAATCACTTGAAGCTGGGAGGTGGAGTTTGCAGTGTGCTGAGATTGTGTCACTACAATCCAGCCTGGGCAGCAGAGCAAGACTCTGTCTGAAAAATTAAAATATTCTAGTAATTATGTTTAAATAGGTTGCTGTAAATTAGATTGCCATCAATTCCATTTTCAAACAAGGAAATTATGTGAATATAACTTAAACTTTTTTTTTTTTTTTTGAGACAGAGTTTCGCTCTTGTTCCCCAGGCTGGAGTGCAATGGCACAATCTCAGCTCACTGCAACCTCCGCCTCCCGGGTTCAAGCGATTCTTCTGTCTCAGCCTCCTGAGTAGCTGGGATTACAGGCACCCGCCACTACGCCTGGCTAATTTTTGGTATTTTTAGTAGAAACGGGGTTTCACCATCTTGGCCAGGCTGGTCTTAAACTCCTGACCTCAGGTGATCCACCCGCCTCGGCCTCCCATAGTGCGGGGATTACAGGCGTGAGCCACCTTGCCCAGCCAACTTAAACATTTTATTGTTCCAGCTGGGCATGGTGTGACTCACGCCCGTGACCCCAGCACTTTGGGAGGTTGAGATGGGAGAATCACTTGAGCCCAAGAGTTTGAAGCTACAGTGAGCCATGATTGTGCCACTCCAGCCTGGCTGACAGAGTGTGAATCTCTGTCTCTAAAATACAATAAAAAAAAATTTAAATGCAATATTAGTATGAAACCTGGGCTCCTATTTTCTACTTACTGATTTTATTTTGAAAGATAGTGTAGAAAGGCCAGGTACTATAATTCATAAGCTACTTTGTGCAAATATTTCTTTTATGGGCAAAGATGACTTTTAGTTTTGGAATTGCCTAAATGTGGAAGAAATTTAATTTATATCTGGGAAATAGGGGTAGATGAAATCTATATAATTTGTTGTTTTTATTTTAAGGGGGATAAAAGGCACTGATAGCAATTGACTTTTTAATAGAATTAAGCTTTTGTGGCCGGGCGTGGTGGCTCACGCCTGTAATCCCAGCACTTTGAGAGGCCAAGGCGGGCGGATCACAAGGTCAGGAGATCGAGACCATCCTGCCTAACACGGTAAAACCCCATCTCTACTAAAAATACAAAAAATTAGCCAGGCGTGGTGGCAGGCGCCTGTAGTCCCAGCTACTCGGGAGGCTGAAGCAGGAGAATCCCTTGAACCGGGAGGCGGAGCTTGCAGTGAGCTGAGATCATGCCACTGCATTCCAGCCTGGGCAACAGAGCGAGACTCTGTCTCAAAAAAAAAAAAAAAAAAAGAATTAAGCTTTTGTTTGGGGGAAGAGAGAGACATGATCTACATAACTTTGATGGCTTGGTTTTTAAACAAGAATATCAGAGTAACAGCGGACAAAAGAAGTATGTTCAATAAATTATTTCCTTAACTTTCCAACTCAAAATACATATGCCGAATTTTGTCTGTTCCAATTTATTGCACTTTAAAGAATTCACTAACCATTGTTTCTCTGAGATGTTCCTCTGGGAGTGATCCACATCTAATAACGTCTTGGAGTCAGCTTGGAAAGTTTGCAAACATGAATCAAACTGAAGTGCTTTTGGATAGCGTTTGAGGAAAGCCAGGGCGACTGTATGCTGGAAAGGAATCTCAGGAGTGAGCTGTCCAGTTGTTGATCTTCCAGCGAGGCTTAGCTTGCCCGTGGGTCTCCTCTTTTCACTTTCCTTCCTTCTTGGGAACTGACAAGAGTTTTGCAAAAAGCCTGGTTGTCATGGTGCTATAGAATTACAGCATTGTTAAGGTAAACCAGATTTTGCTGTATAAAATCAGCAGATACCATAACTTGCCCAAGTGTAATTTTTTTTCCTGGTCCTTTATCTTTCTTCCTTACGTTTTGGTATACCAGCAAAGAGAAGTCTGAAACCATCTAGACAAAATAAAGCATGAAATACGTAGCCATATGCAACTGTGCATGTTCTGAGAATTATTGTATAAATTTCAGGTTTTCACATTCAGTTCACTTTACTGGTTACAAGTTAAGAATTGAGTTGTTCCATATTGGGTTTGTACGATTGCTTTTGCTCACAAAAATAAAGCTAATGTGTAAGTCTTAACAGCTTTTTAAAAAATGAGACTACACATTTAATCATCTTAGCTTGCTACTTTTTGAAGAGGACTAAACTTGAAAAACATTTTTAATTTTCTCTGGCTAGGTTATATTTTAGCAGATGGCATAACTCATACTTTGTTTAATAAGGGTTCAGATTGGGGAAAAAGTGACGAAGGATGATGAAGGAGGGATAAGTCCTTGATTCAGGAGCACATTAACCTGAGACTAGACAATTCTGGGCAGGTGTAGTAAGCCATGAATGGATAATCGGGTGGGGTGTTGATATGTAATATGTTCCTGGTTTAAGACTGTGTACACTTTATCAAGACTAGAAGACTTACCAGGAGACTTACCAGCCTATTGAAAATGAAATATTACCAACATGTTTGCTGATAGATGGCCCTGATAGTTTGTTTTCAATTTCCTTTAAGGTATGTTTTTATTTAGCAATATGGGTTCTACTTGTGTATTAGAATGTTGGGCAAATGGTCCTGTTTTACAATAGTTGCCTTTGAGCATTTTCAGTAAAATGACAGGGATTAGGATGTCCTTTAAAATCCACATTTCTTATACCCAGGGATATATTTTATTTTTTAAAAATGGATAACTTCATTCCTTGGTTGAAGCTCCCCGAAGGCAGGGACTTGGTTTGTTAACTACACAAATTCTAGTACTTGTAACAGTTCTTGGCATGTGGTAGGTGTTCAGTAAATGTTAAATACATTAATATGATAAGAGGAAATGAAAGTAAACATGTATTTTATTTAGTCTCCCTCTTGAAACCAGAACATTACCTCGTGTTCTATTTGAGTAGAACTTGATCAGAATTGGTGGGGTGCTTGTGAAAAGGTAGATTCTGAGACTCTGCAGTTGTGGGTGAAGGTAGTCTGAAATAAAATTAATTGGCCTGGCGGGGCGCCGGTGGCTCACGCCTGAAATCCCAGCACTTACGGAGGCCGAGGCAGGTGGATCACTTGAAGCCAGGAGTTCGATACCTGCCTGGCCAACATGGCACAACCGCATCTCTACTGAAGATACAAAAATTAGCTGAGCATAGTGGTGCATGCCTGTAGTCCCAGCTACTCGGGAGGCTGAGGCACGACAATTGCTTGAACCTGAGAGGCAGAGGTTGCAGTGAGCTGAGATTGTGCCACTGTACTTCAGCCTGAGCAACAGAGCGAGACTCTGTCTCAAAAAATAAATAAATAAATCGGGGCCGAGCGTGGTGGCTCACACCTGTAATTCCAGCACTTTGGGAGGCCGAGGTGGGTGGATCACCTGAGGTCAGGAGTTCGAGACCAGCCTGGCCAACATGGTGAAACCCCGTCTCTACTGAAAATACAAAAAACTAGCCAGGCATGATGGTGTATGCCTGTAATCCCAGCTACTCGGGAGACAGATGGAAGAATTGCTTGAATCTGGGAGGTGGAGTTTGCAGTGAGCTGAGATTGTGTCACTGCACTCCAGCCTGGGCAACAGGGCGAGACTCCGTCTCAAAAAAAAAAAAAAAAAAAAAAAAAAAAAATTGGCTGAGTGTGGTGGCTCATGCCTGTAATCCCAGCACTTTGGGAGGCCAAGGCAAGCAGATCACTTGAGTCCAGGAGTTCAAGACCAGCCTGGCCAAAATGGCGAAACCCTGTCTCTACTAAAAATACAAAAATTAGCTGGACATGGTGGCACATACCTGCAGTCCCAGCTACTCTAGAGGCTGAGGCAGGAGAATTGCCTGAACCTTGGAGTTGGAGGTTTCAATGAGCTGAGATCACACCACTGCACTCCAGCCTGGGTAACAAAGCGAGACTCCCTCTCAAAAATAAATAAAAAAGTAATTAAAATTAAATTAATTGGCCTAGATTTCTTTTTTCTTCCTGGCTTGGGAGATTAAAACTACTAGCCATGGTTACACATTTTTCACAAAAACTAGGTGTTTTTCTTTTTTTCAAAAGTACAGATTTTTTAAAATCTAGGTTTTTTTGTAGTTAATGTTATCCATTACTGCTATGCAATGTAGTTTGCCAAGCATCTTTCAGCAGTGGTCAGGGCTGGCCACAGTGGCTCACACTTGTAATCCAGCACTTTGGGAAACTGAGGTGGGAGGATTGCTTGAGGCCAGGAGTTCAAGGCCAGTCTGGACAATGTAGTGAGACCCTGTCTCAAAAACAAAACAAAAAAAACCCAGGCATGGTGGCATGCCCCTGTGGGTCCCATCTACTTGGGAGGCTGAGGTGGGAAGATTGTTTGAGCTCAGGATTTCAAGGCTGCAGTGAGCCCTGGTTGTGCCACTGCACTCCAGCCTGGACGACAGAGCGAGACCCTGTCTCAAAACAACAAGAACAAAGATGATTAGGATGCACTCCTAATGGGAATGTGCTGGGTGTGTGCCAGGTAGGAACCATAACTACTTCTGCATATCACTCCAAGAATGTGGGTGATCCTGGGCCATGTTTTAGGAAGAGGGGCTGCTAGCACAGCAGAACTGGGTTTCTGGACAGGCAACATCTGAGTATAACAGACAAAAATGGAACTAGCCATGGGAAGTGACACAGTTGAGATTCTTGAAGTGGAAAAAATATATATATATATAGCACAGACATCTGAAGTCAGCTTGTGCTTCAGCATATTTGCTGATAAACTAGTTGGATTAGAAAGAAGTTTCTTAATTGTTTAAGTGAGAATAAGACAAATTATAAAAGACTTGTAGCAATCCTAGGAAAACAGTAGGCAATTTGAGTGTTGACATTTGACTGTTTGATGTTCCCCATGTGAAGGCACAATTAAAGTAGTATGTTATTTAGAATTTGGTTTGCCCTTTTTGGGGGGCTGGAGTGCAGTGGTGTGATTATGGCTCATTACTGCCTTGATATTCTGGGCCCAAGCAATCCTCCCAGTGCAGCCTCCCAAGTAGCTGGGACTACAAATGTGCACCATCGTGCCCAGCTTTTATTTATTTTTTGTAGAGACAGAGTCTCAATATGTTGCCCAGGCTAGTCTTGAACTCCTGGGCTCAAGCAGTCCTCGTGTCTCAGCCTCCCAAAGTGTTGGAAATACAGGTGTAAGCCACCATGCCTGGCCAGTTTGCCCTTGTATCATGAAGGATAAATGTTTCTTGAGTGGCTTATATATTGTTTCTATTTGTTTGTTTGTTTTTTAGACACAGTCTCCCTTTGTTGCCCAGGCTGGACTGCAGTGGTATGCGATCTCGGCTCACTGCAGCCTCCGCCTCCTGGGTTCAAGCGATTCTCCTGCCTCAGCCTCCCAAGTAGCTGGGATTACAGGCACCTGACACCACGCCTGGCTAATTTTTGTATTTTTAGTAGAGATAGGGTTTCACCATATTGGCCAGGCTGGTCTTGAACTCCTGACCTCAAGTGATCCACCCACCTCAGCCTCTTTCAAAGTGTTAGGATTACAGGTGTGAGCCACGGCACCTGGCCGTATATTTTGTATTCCTAATCTGGTTAGGTCTTAAATTAGTACCGGGATTCTATTTGTGCTGTCAAATACGAAAGTTTTAATTTTTAATATACCTGGAAGTTACCTACATTCATTCGCAGCTATATATAGGCTTACTGAAATTTACTCTTTCAAGAAAATGCTTCGTTTTGACATTAGATTTGCTGATGATTGTATTATATTTACTAAAGTGGTTACAAAATGGAAAATTGGAAACGAACAAAAAACATAAATGGATCACTTTATGGTTCTTCTTACCCTAGTCTAAACCAACATCTAACCAGGCATGGTGGCTCACGCCTTTGGGAGGCCAAGGCAGGCAGATCTCTTGAGGTCAGGAGTTCAAGACCAGCCTGGCCGTCATGGTGAAACCCCATCTCTACTAAAAATACAAAAATTAGCCAAGACTGGTGGTGCACACCTGTAATCCCAGCTACTCGGGAGGCTGAGGCAGGAGAATCGCTTGAACTGAGGAGGTGGAAGTTGCAGTGAACCGAGATCATGCCACTTCACTGCAGCCTAGGCAACAGAGCGAGACTCTGTCTCAAAAACAAAACAAAAAAAACCCAATATCTTCCTTCATCCAGACTACTGCAGTATCTTCCCATCTGGCCTCTACCATATATATACTTGAAAAATTAAAATATTACACAGAAAAGTATACGTCATATGTGTACAGCTCTGAATTTTCTTTGCTTTTTTTTTTTTTTTTTGAGACAGAGTCTCACTCTGTTGCCCAGACTGGAGTGCAGTGGTGCTATCTCGGCTCACTGCAACCTTCACCTCCCGGGTTCCAGCAGTTCTCCTGCCTCAGCCTCCCAAGTAGCTGGGACTACAGGTGCACGCTGCCACACCCAGCTAATTTTTTTGTATTTTAGTAGAGATGGGGTTTCACCTTGTTGCTCAGGCAATCCACCTGCCTCAGCCTCCCAAAGTACTGGGATTACAGGCGTGAGCCACCACCCCGGCCTGAATTTTCATAAAGTGAACACACTCATGTGAATGGTAGCCAGATCCAGGAAATATGACCATTGCCATTACCCTGCAAGCCTCATGCTCTGTCCTAGTCTCTAACCTCCACTCTTCCCCAAGATAACCACTCACTGATTTATATGACCACAGATTAGTTTGTCTATTTTGTAACTATATAGATGGAGTTAAGCAGTATATGTTCTTTTGTATCCAGCTTACTTGATACTGTGAGTTTCATTCGCGTGTGTGTGTGTGTGTGTGTGTGTGTGTGTGTGTAGCTGAGTTTTTCAATGATATGGTATGATATTCTATTATGTGAATGTGCTACAATTGATCCATTCTTTTTTTTTTTTTTTTTTTGAGATGCAGTCTTGCTCTTGTTATCCAGGCTGGAGTGCAATGGTGTCATCTCAGCTCACTGCAGCCTCCAGCTCCCAGGTTCGAGCGATTTTCCTGCCTCAGCCTCCCAAGTAGCTGGGATTACAGGTGCCTGCCACTGCACCCAGCAAATTTTTGTATTTTTAGTAGAGATAGGGTTTCACCATCGTGGCCAGGCTGGTCTTGAACTCCTGACCTCGTGATCCACCCACCTCGGCCTCCCGAAGTGCTGGGTTTACAGGCATGAGCCACCGCACCCAGCCATTATTTTCTTAGTAGAGAGGGGGTTTCACTATGTTGGCCAGGCTTGTCTCGAGCTCCGGACCTCAGGTGATCCGCCTGCCTTGGCCTCCCAAAGTCCTGGGATTACAGGTGTGAGCCCATGCCCAGCCTAGGAATTTTTAAAATGTCCTTTGGGGAACATGTGTACACATTTTGTTTAGTGTATACCTAGGAATGGAATTCTGGGTAATAGGAGATGTGTTTGATCAGTTTTAGTAGACGTTGCAGCAGTCTTCCAAAACGATGGATTGGTTTACACTCACATGCAGTACTGAAATGAAAACTCCAGGTGCTTTGCCAGCACTAGATATAATCAGATTTTTTTTTTTTCATTTTTAACTGTTCTTGTATCTTACCTAAGCTTTTAACCTTTTTAGTTTTTGTTGTTGTTGTTTTCGAGATGGAGTCTCGCTCTGTCACCCAGGCTGGAGTGCAGTGGCATGATCTTGGCTTACTGCAACCTCCACCTCCCGGGTTCAAGCGATTCTTCTGCCTCAGCCTCCTGAGTAGCTGGGACTACAGGCAAGTGCCACCGCACCCGGTTGTATTTTTAGTAGAGATGGGGTTTCACCATATTGGCCAGGATGGTCTTGAACTCCTGATCTCGTGATCTGCCCACCTCAGCCTACCAAAGTGCTGGGATTACAGGTGTGAGCCACCGCACCCGGCCCTTCTTAGTTTTTTTCCTACACAATGGCCAGAATGACTTTTCAAGTTAATTTACTGTTATACAGTTAATTCTTTTTTTTCTTTTATTTTGAGATAGGATCACACTTCTGTCACCCAGGCTGGAGTGCAGTGGCTCAATCTTGGCTCACTGCAACCTCCGCCTCTCTGGTTCAAGTGATTCTCGTGCCTCAGCCTCCCAAGTAGCTGGGATTACAGGCGCCTGCCGCCACTCCTGGCTAATTTTTGTATTTTTAGTAGAGACGGAGTTTCACCATGTTGGCCAGGCTGGTCTGAAACTTCTGACCTCAGTTAATCCGCCCACATCGGCCCCCCAAAGTTCTGGGATTACAGGCATGAGCCACCGTGTGCCACCTGATTTTTGTATTTTTAGTAGAGACAGAGTTTTACCATGTTGGCCAGGCTGCTCACGAACTCCTGACCTCAAGTGATCTGCCCGCCTCGGCCTCCTAAAGTGCTGGGATTACAGGTGTGAGCCATCGTGCCCGGCCCTGATGGACTTTTCATCAGGAATATTCTGTGCTGGATTATTAGTGACTAGAATAAGGATAGAGTGTTCAAAATAGAATTTTGAGAGTCCAGAATCACCCATAGAAACCCAACGATCCAAGAGGAGCTTAGAGCTGTGACTAGGCCACTGATGGACCCATCCCAAAAGCTTAACCCAACCTTGACCCCAGAGTCTTCTCGGATGCCCACTGAAGAAAATTCCCAGGAAGATTCAGCAGCCTGTCATCCCGTCTGCTCAGAAATGTTGGTAAAGGATCTTAGTAACTTGACTCAACCCCGGTACCAAATTCCCCTCCCCTCTTCCAGACGGTTCACTCCAACAGCAGGACAGATCTTACAGGAGATCAGAGATGGCTTGCCCTACAGGAGGAGAGGAGTAAGGACATTGATTGTGATCTGTGCAGAAAGAAAGGATGTTAATACAGATACCTCTTACTCAACAATTTTTCTCAGCTTGAAAGAACTAACAGACACTGGACTTAAGGGAGTTCAGAATGAGTCAAGAAATGAGCCATTCAAATGTGACTGCAGTTATTGCCTTTATCACAGGTGGGATTCTTCTTCTTCTTTTTTTTTTTTTTTTTTTTTGAAGTGGGGTCCCACTCTGTTGCCCAGGCTGGAGTGCAGTGGCATGATCTCGGCTTACTGCAACCTCTGCCTCCCAGGCTCAGGTGATCCTTCCACCTCAGCCTCTTGAGTAGGTGGGACTACAGGCGCATGCCACCATGTCAGGCTATTTTTTTTTTTTGTATTTTTGGTAGAGACCGGGTTTCACCATGTTGCCCAGCCTTGTCTTGAACTCCGGAGCTCAAGCGATCCACCTGCCTCAGCCTCCCAAAGTGCTGGGATTACAGGTGTGAGCCACTGGGCCCAGCCAGGATCCTTCTAAGAATGCTAGAATGGATAATTATGATACAGAGCCAACTTAGCCATAAACCTTATTTTGTACTATTCTTTCTTGCTGGTAATTTTTATGCAATAGGTTGAGAAAGCTACTCTATGCTAGGATAGACTACATCAGTAATTCTGATAACATATGATGAATTCTGTAATGTCTTCTTGAATCTTTTCCTTTCTTGATACCAGTAATTTATAAGGAATCTGTGTAGTTTGAATGTATTTGAATGACTTCAATGTACTTTAGCTCTACCAATTTGACCCAAAGAAATACCAATAGATCTTAAGTATTCCTGGGTTTTAGAAGCCTGTTGTCAGTGAAATGATGAAACTCAACATTAGAAACTTGACACAGAGTAACTTGTGGGGAAGGAATGCAAAAAGAAAAAAAAAATTGGGTAGTTTGGCTGGAGCGTAATAATTAGGGCAGATAATTGGTTTTCCAAAATTTGAATTGTGGCTGGGAGCCATGGCTCACTCGTGTAATCCTAACAGTTTAAGAGGCCGAGATAAGCCAGGTGCTGTGGCTCACACCTGTAGTCCCAGCACTTTGGGAGGCCAAGGCTGGCAGATCACCTGAGGACAGGAGTTCGAGACCAGCCTGGCCAACATGGTGAAACCCTGTTTCTACTAAAAATACAAATATTATAGCCAGGTGTAGTGGCGGGCACTTGTAGTCCCAGCTACTTGGGAGGCTGAGTCAGGAGAATTGCTTGAACCCGGGAGACGGAGGTTGCAGTGAGCTGAGATCATGCCACTGCACTCCAGTCTAGGTGACAGAGCAAGATTCTGTCTCAAAAAAAAAAAAAAAAAAGAGGCCTATGTGGGAGGATCACTTGAGCCCAGGCGTTCGAGACCAATATAGCAAGACCTCATCTCTACAAAAAATAAATTAAGCCAGGTGCGGTGGCTCACGCCTGTAATCCCAGCACTTTGGGAGGCTGAGGTGGGCAGATCACCTGAGGTCGGGAGTTCAAGACCAGCCTGACCAACATGGAGAAACACCCTCTCTACTAAAAATACAAAAATTAGCTGGGCATGATGGCTCACACCTGTAGTCCCAGCTACTCGGGAGGCTGAGGCAGGAGAATTGCTTGAACCTGGGAGGCAGAGGTTGCGGTGAGCTGAGATCGCACCATTGTACTCCAGCCTGGGCAACAACAGCGAAACTCAGTCTCAAAAATAAAATAAAAGTCCCTCTCCCTCTCCCCCTCTCCCCCTCCCCCCTCCCCTCTCCCTCCACCTCCCCCTCCCCCTCTCTTTCCACGGTCTCCCTCTCCCTCTCTTTCCACGGTCTCCCTCTCCCTCTCTTTCCATGGTCTCCCTCTCCCTCTCTTTCCACGGTCTCCCTCTGATGCCCAGCCCAAGCTGGACTGTACTGCCGCCATCTCGGCTCACTGCAACCTCCCTGCCTGATTCTCCTGCCTCAGCCTGCCCAGTGCCTGCGACTGCAGGCGCGCGCCACCACGCCTGACTGGTTTTCGTATTTTTTTGGTGGAGACGGGGTTTCGCTGTGTTGGCCGGGCTGGTCTCCAGCTCCTAACCGCGAGTGATCTGCCAGCCTCGGCCTCCCGAGGTGCTGGGATTGCAGACGGAGTCTCGTTCACTCAGTGCTCAATGTTGCCCAGGCTGGAGTGCAGTGGCGTGATCTCGGCTCGCTACAACCTCCACCTCTCAGCCGCCTGCCTTGGCCTCCCAAAGTGCTGAGATTGCAGCCTCTGCCCGGCCTCCACCCTGTCTGGGAAGTGAGGAGCGTCTCTGCCTGGCCGCCCATTGTCTGGGATGCGAGGAGCCCCTCTGCCCGGCCGCCCAGTCTGGGAAATGAGGAGCCTCTTCCCGGCCGCCATCCCATCTAGGAAGTGAGGAGCGTCTCTGCCTGGCCGCCCATCGTCTGGGATGTGGGGAGCCCCTCTGCCCGGCCGCCCAGTCTGGGAAGTGAGGAGCGCCTCTTCCCGGCCGCCATCCCGTCTAGGAAGTGAGGAGCGTCTCTGCCCAGCCGCCATCGTCTGAGATGTGGGGAGCGCCTCTGCCCCGCCGCCCCGTCTGGGAGGTGAGGAGCGTCTCTGCCCGGCCGCCCCGTCTGAGAAGTGAGGAGCCCCTCTGCCCAGCAGCCGCCCCGTCTGGGAAGTGAGGAGCGTCTCTGCCCGGCAGCTGCCCCGTCTGGGAAGTGAGGAGCATCTCCGCCTGGCAGCCGCCCCGTCCGGGAGGTGGGGGGCAGCCCCCGCCCAGCCAGCCGCCCCGTCCGGGAGGTGGGGGGCGCCTCTGCCCGGCCACCCCTTCTGGGAAGTGAGGAGCCCCTCTGCCCGGCCGCCACCCCGTCTGGGAGGTGTACCCAACAGCTCATTGAGAATGGGCCATGATGACGATGGCGGTTTTGTCGAGTAGAAAAGGGGGAAATGTGGGGAAAGAGAGAAATCAGATTGTTGCTGTGTCTGTGTAGAAAGAAGTAGACGTAGGAGACTCCATTTTGTTCTGTACTAAGAAAAGTTCTTCTGCCTTGGGATGCTGTTGATCTATGACCTTACCCCCAACCCTGTGCTCTCTGAAACATGTGCTGTGTCCACTCAGGGTTAAATGGATTAAGGGCGGTGCAAGATGTGCTTTGTTAAACAGATGCTTGAAGGCAGCATGCTGGTTAAGAGTCATCACCACTCCCTAATCTCAAGTACCCGGGGACACAAACACTGTGGAAGGCCGCAGGGTCCTCTGCCTAGGAAAACCAGAGACCTTTGTTCACTTGTTTACCTGCTGACCTTCCCTCCACTATTGTCCTATGACCCTGCCAAATCCCCCTCTGCGAGAAACACCCAAGAATGATCAATAAAAAATAAATAAATAAATAAATAAATAAAATAAAATAAAATAAAATAAAATAAAAAATTAGCCAAGTGCAGCAGTACACGCCTGTAGTCCCAGCTACTAAGGAGGCTGAGGTGGGAGGATATCTTGAGGCCAGGAGTTCGAGGCTGCAGTGGGCTATGATCGTGCCACTCTACTCCAGCCTGGGTGACAGAGTGAGACCATATCTGTAATCTGGTATTTTTAATGTAATGTCATAAAAATAATGGACATGAAGGAATAAAGTGGATCAGCAACCTCAACAATATTATTAGCTGCCAGGTGCCTGCGAAGTGTAGCCAACACCAATCTTCAGTCTTCAGTTGCCATAATGTCATCTCGCCTGTAAAGTCAAGGATGTTATGTGAGCACTTGGAGAATTGACTGCTGTTTACGTTCAGGGTGAAAAAACTTTCTAGTGACTCTGACTAAAAAAGGTTGAGGGTACTGGTGGCTGAGAACAGACTAGGCCCAGCTGGAAAGATTGTTTTAGGTTGTAAATAATGTCTGGCAGCACGTTTTACCTGTATTTATAAATCCCTTCAAAACATGGACTGGACCCAAAATGGCACTCTATAACCTATTATGTAAATATATGGGACTTATAGTTATTAAAGAAAGTATTTTGGTATTTATGACTGGAGGCATGTAAAGCTAAGTACTGTTAATGGATTCTGTCTTTATCAATAGGGATCATCTAATGATCCTGATAACCAGAAATTTGTGGCATTTTCCTCCTCATAAAGGTAACTTATTTTATTTTATTTTATTTTATTTTATTGAGACAAAGTCTCGCTCTTGTCACCCAGGCTGGAGTGCAATGGCACGATCTCAGCTCACTGCAGCCTCCACCTCCTGGGTTGAAGCGATTCTCCTGCCTCAGCCTCCTGAGTAGCTGGGATTACAGGCGCCTGCCACCACGCCTGGCTAATTTTTGTACTTTTAGTAGAGATAGGTTTTCACCATGTTGGCCAGGCTGGTCTCAAACTCCTGACCTCAGGCGATCCACCCGTCTCGGCCTCCCAAAGTGCTGGGATTACAGGGGTGAGCCACTGTGGAAGTTACCTTTCCATAAAGGTAACTTCTTTATGGAAAGGTCTTTGGGCTTAAAACTTTGCATCTGACAATTGCCAGATCTCTACGGAATTAGTTTTTAGATCTCTGTGGAGTTAGGAATTATTAATTTTTTTTTTTCGAGTTGGAGTTTCACCCTGTCGCCCAGGCTGGAGTGCAGTGGTGGGATCTCGGCTCACTGCAACCTCCACCTCCCAGGTTCAAGCGATTCTCCTGTCTCAGCCTTCCAAATAGCTGGGATTACAGGCACCCACCAAAACGCCTGGCTAATTTTGTATTTTTAGTGGAGATGGGGTTTCAACTCCTGACCTCAAGTGATCCGCCGGCCTGGGCCTCCCAAAGTGCTGGGATTACAGGCATGAACCACTGCACCCAGCCCATTAGTGCCTACTCTTGACAGAGGTAAGCCATGCAGGCTGTCTCTAAAGTGTGCTCACATAGCTGCTGTGCCAGTGACTCTCACCGCTTTTCAGCTTGTTTACAAATCCCTTTAAATATGTATAGATAAACACACATGTGTATGTGTGTATATGTGTACATATATGTATATGCACATGTGTATAGACATACATACATGCACACATATATATTTCCTCTCCTAAATATCTTCAAAATCTGAGTTATGGCTTTATATATGATTTCAGCTTTTCTCATTAGGGTGTAAAATTATCTGTGTCACTAATAATAACACATATAATGTTCCTTTAATACCTGATAAAAATATCAAACTTGTGAGCCAAAATACATTTCCTGAGAACATGAGCAGTGTATATCTAGGAATTAGTGATTCTGGAAAGTTTCCAGCTGGTTAAAAGTTGAGCAAGAACAACATAATATTCAGACCCTGAATTTTATTTTATTTTTTTTAAATTAAGTTGAGGTCTTGCTCTGTCACCCAGGCTGGAGTACAGTGGTGCAGTCATAGCTCACTGCAGCCTCAAACTCCTGGGCTCAAGCGATCCTCCCACCTCAGTCTCCCAAGTAGCCGGGACTACTGGTGCGTGCCAGTCCCTGCATTCTTGTCAGATGATTTTTATTATAGGTTTACTACCTTTTTTGAGATATTTCCTATAACCACATGTTAAACAGGTGGAAAATAGCCTTTAGCTGAAATTTGATGGCTGATAAAATGTATTTGGAAATCATAAATAAGAATGTTTGATAAGTGATGTATCTTTTGAAGATTACTTTCTAACTATTTCTCAGTTGGGTTTTATGATTTTAAAAAGCATTGAAAGTGTTTGAGATTTGTTTATAAGTATAGATGAATAACCAGAAGACTTTTGATAAAAACCACTAAAGACTTTTATATTTTTCAACATCAGAGAAATGTAAGTGAATAGGCTTAGGTTAAAAACATAGTTAAAACAATTTTTTTGAATTGAATTCTGTCTTGTGGGGCTTATTATAATAGTTCACACAATTTCTATTATTTTTATTAATAGTAAGGAACATTCGTAGGTGTATATATGGTGGCCATAAACTTTAGTAATGTAACTACTGCTTTTATAAAGTGAGCCTCCTTTAATCATGCTAGACACATATCCAAAATGGGAAATGTCTGTTTGCCCTAAAAGCTAGTCATCTGTAATCCTCTTGCCAAGTGCTGATTTTTTTTTCTTTTTTTGAGACAGAATCTTGCTCTGTCACCCAGGCTGGAGTGCAGTGGTGTGATCTCAGCTCACTGCAACCTCTGCCTCCCAGATTCAAGTGATTCTCCTGCCTCAACCTCCTGAGTAGCTGGGACTATAGGCGTGAGCCACCATGCCCAGCTAATTTTTGTATTTTTAGTAGAGTTGGAGTTTCGCCATGTTGATCAGGTGAGTCTGAGCTCCTGGTCTCAAGTGATCCACCTGCCTCAGCCTCCCAAAGTGCTGGGATTACAGGCATGAGCCATCGGGCCTGGCCCCAAATGCTGATTCTTCTAAAGTTATTTCAAGCATGATTTACATGGCACACCAGTAAATTGGCCCAACTATTTTATAACTCTGTCTCATACACCCCTCCCTGTTTCCCAGCATTTCACAACAGTTATCACCCACCTTATTCTGCCAATTTTCACCAATGGTTTTTGGCAGTTTCCAAAAACCAATTAGGTCCACAAAATATTGTTCTAGAAATGTCCGAGAGAATGTGAGTGACATTCCAAAGAAGCTTGGGAGAAGTCCTGAGCAGTGGTAGCTGCTCAGTTGACTCAGTGGAGTGTGAGTGATTACACTGAATAGGACGACACTCTTGGGAGGTGTGTGTTTCAGTGTGATTATTTAAAACAAACAACCCACTCACCCCAGAACAGTGTTAACATGTTACACTAACACCTTACATGTGTGGGTGTCTGTGGAGTGTGTGTGCACATGTACACTGTTTTGCTTTTCAGAGGACATTTTTATATCTAGATTTGAAGTTTGTTTTTTTTTTTTTTTTTTTTTTTTGAGACAGCGTCTCACTCTGTCACCCCTGCTGGAGTGCAGTGGCCTGATATGGGCTCACTGCAACCTCCGCCCCTCCGGTTCAAGTGATTCTCCTGCCTCAGCCTCCTGAGTAGCTGGGATTACAGATGCGAGCCACCACACCCAGCTAATTTTTGTATTTTTAGCAGAGACAGAGTTTCACCATGTTGGCCAGCCTGGTCTCAAACTCCTGACCTCAGGTGATCCATCCATCTTGGCCTCCCAAAGTGCTGGGATTACAGGCGTGAGCCACCTCACCCGGCCTGTATCTAGATTTGAAAGAAGAACTGGGTGAAGATTCTTGGAAATCGTAAACTCCTTTTTCCTTAACATTTAAAAATAACATGAGAGAGTGGCTCATGCCTGTAATCCCAGCACTTTTGGAGGCCAAAGCAGGTGCATCACTTGAGGTCAGGAGTTTGAGGCCAGCCTGGCCAACATGGTGAGACCCCGTCTCTACTAAAAATACAAAAATCAGCTGGGTGTGGTGTCACGTGCCTATAATACCAGCTACTCAGGAGGCTGAGGCAGGAGAATTGCTTGAACCCGGAAATCAGAGGTTGTAGTGAGTCGAAATCACACCACTGCACTCCAGAGACTCTGTCTGAAAAAAAAAAAAAATAGCAGGAGGGAGCAATTTACAAAGCAAACACCTGAAACTGATTTTTAAAAAATATCTTTGACTGGGCACGGTGGCTCACGCCTGTAATCCCAGCACTTTGGGAGGCCGAGGCGGGTGGATCGCGAGGTCAGGAGATCGAGACCATCCTGGCTAACACGGTGAAACACCGTCTCTACTAAAAATATAAAAAAATTAGCCGGGCATGGTGGCAGGCGCCTGTAGTCTCAGCTACTCGGGAGGCTGAGGCAGGAGAATGGCCTGAACCCGGGAGGCGGAGCTTGCAGTGAGCTGAGATTGCGTCACTGCACTCCAGCCTGGGCGACAGAGCGAGACTCCATCTCAAAAAAAAAAAAAAATTTTTTTTTGTTTTTCATGGATTTGGGTGCAGTTATGTAAAGATTTGGCACCAGGAGCCCAGAGACCTGAATTCTTGCTTTTCACTTTCACCTCTGCTGTTGAGCATTTCTCCAAATCTGAGACTCAGTTTCTCCAGCTATAAATTCCTATATCACAAGGTTTAGTGATGATCCAAAGAATATATCTGTAAGTGGTACTTTTCAATCCATGAAGAACTGTAATTTCACTTACAATTGGTGTTCTGCCTGCCATTAGAGGCAACCTGGGGTAGTGATTAAGGCCCCTCCAAGGGGTTGTTTAATAAGAACAGTATCTAAAATAGTACTTGGGGCCAGGCATGGTGGCTCACGCCTGCAATCCCAACATTTTGTGGGGCTGAGGCAGGAGGATTACTTGAAGCCAGGAGTTTGAGACCAGCCTGGGCAACAAAACAAGAACCACATCTCTACAAAAGTAAAAAATTAGCCTGGCATGGTGGCATGTGCCTATAGTCCCAGCCACTTAGAAGGCAGAGGTGGGAGGAACGCTGGAGCCCAGGAGGTTGAGGCTGCAGTGACCTTTGACTGAGCCACTGCACTCCAGCTTGGGTGGAGGAGCAAGACTCCATTTCTAGAAAAATGTTAAAAATTAAAAGATAAGATAAAACAGTGCCAAGTACATAGTGAGTACTCAGTGAAATTTAGCTGTTACTATTATTGGTGATACCACCAAGTCCTCTCTTTTGTTATGGACTAGGCAAGTGGTGACTACTAGAACTTTTTTAAATTAATTTTTATTTTCATTAAAATAATATATCTGTATAATAGTCTAAAAAGCCAAAGTGTACTAAAAGTCTTATGAAAAACAGCACTCCCAGCCGGGTGTGGTGACTCCCGCCTGTAATCCTAACACTTTGGGAGGCCGAGGTGGGCGGATCACGAAGGTCAAGAGTTCGAGACCAGCCTGGCCAACATGGTGAAACCTCCCGTCTCTACTAACAATACAAAAAAATTAGCCGGGAGTGGTGGTGCATACCTGTAATCGCAGCTACTCAGGAGGATGAGGCAGGAGAATTGCTTGAACCCGGGAGGTAGAGGTTGCAGTGAGCCAAGATCTCACCATTGCACTCCAGCCTGAGCAATAGAGTAAGACTCCATCTGAAAAACAAAACAAAATAAAACAAACAAAACAAAACAAAAAACCCCAGCACTCCCTTTCACCCTCCTCTCCCAGGCCTACTCCTCAAAAGCTACTCATCTTTCATTCTCAGCTGTTCTTCTAGTATTTGCCTCCATCTATCTGAACAATATGCATATACTACTGATTCTTCTTTTCTCTCTTTTTCTTTCTTTCTTTCTTTTGTTCATTCCTTCCTTCCTTCCTTCCTTCCATCCTTTCTTCTTCTTCTTTTTTTTTTTTTGAGAGTCTTGCTCTGTCGCCCAGGCTGGAGTACAGTGGCATGATCTTGGCTCACTGCAACCTCCGCCTCCCAGATTCAAGCAATTTTCCTGCTTCAGCCTCCTGAGTAACTGGCATTACAGGTACAAGCCATCACATCTGGCTAATTTTTGTATTTTTAGTAGAAACAGGATTTTGTCATGTTGGCCAGGCTGGTCTCAAACTTCTGGCCTCAAGTGATCCACCCGCCTCAGCCTTCCAAAGTGCTGGGATTACAGGCGTGAGCCACCACGCCTGGTAGAATCAAATGGTTTTCAATACAGTTTCTCAAATTCAAGGTCATCAAAGGAGGCTTCTAGAGGCTTCTCTCGTGCTTCCCCCAGCACCTGCTGCCATAGTCCCACTGCACTCCTGTTACCCTGATCAGGACTCTGCTGCTCTCCCAGGTTGGGCCCTTGTTCTCTGGAGCCTGTGCTGCCCTCTCTTTTTGCATTTACTCCTTTTATTTTTTCAGATGAGGTCTTCCTTTGTCACCCAGGCTGGAATGCGGTGGCATGATCTCGGCTCACTGCAGCCTCAACCTTCTGGGCTCAAGCAATCCTCCCACCTCAGCCCTCAGCCCCCGCCCCAGGAGCCGGGACTGCAGGTATGCACCACCACGCAGAGCTAATGTTTGTATTTTTGTTTTGGAGAGACAGGGTCTCACTGTGTTGCCTAGGCTGGTCTCGAACTCCTGGGCTCAAGCCACCCACCTGTGCTGAAATTACACTGCACCTGATCCTTTTTTTTTTTTTTTTTTTCAGGATATCCCTCAAGCTTTCTAGCTTTCCAGAAAGTCCAGTGACATTTTGATTTCTGATCCTTTGTATGTGACCTGTTTTTGCTCTTTGTAAATAAACAGTTTTGTTGAGATAGAATTTATATACCAAAAAACTTGCCTATGTAAAGCACACAATTAAATGGTTCCTAATGTATTTATGGGGTTGTGAAACCATCAACATAATCTAATTTTGGAACTTTGTCATGATCCAAAAAGAAACCAGGTACCTATTATAGTCATTCCCCTTCTTCCCTTGTTCCCAGGCTTAGGAGATTGCAAATTTACTTTTTGTCTCTACAGATTTGCCTATTCTAGACTTGGTATAAATGGAATCATGCAGCATGGGATGCTCTCTGTGATACTCTTTCACTTACCGTAACATTTTCAAGGTTGAGAGCATGAAGGACGCGCCACCCCAAAATATGCCTAGTTGGTATATCGATTATTTCAAGTTGCAAACATTGGAGAAATGGTGGCTTCAGAAAGGGCCAGCTGACCTCCCTCTTCCTGCATGCATCAAGCGGTAAAGATTCCTCTGGGAGGGGTCCCCTCTCCAAACCAGAGAGAGAAAATAGCCCTTATCACCAGAGACTGGAACTGAGGACGGCAATGGACCTGAATAAACATACTTCATGAAATAACACTTATCTTCCACCTATTTACACCCCCTCCTGTATCTCCTAGTGGATCTCCTAGAACATTTTATCGCCCTTGCCAGATTTTCTTTGTCCTATTTTTTCCTCCTCAAATCTATTGTTCTTTGTCTAAAAAGTATAAAAGCATCTTGCTCTGTGTAGTCCAAGTGATGCAGAAAAAAAGCATTTTGCTTTAGCCACTTGAGACTTGAGTCTCTTGTGAAGATCTCCACGTACATGCCAAACTAATAAAATGTGTATACTTCGCTCTTGTTGATCAGCTTGGTGTCAGTTTGGTTTCTAGATCCAGCTGAAGAGCCCACTAAGAGCCAAAAGGGGTATTAGAGGTGATCACTGGCTCCCCTGTGAGGCTCATCCATGGTGTAGCGTATCAGTACTGCATTCCTTTTTATGGTTGAATAATATTCCATGTAATAGATGGAGAGCTACCAGGTTTGCCTGTGCATCGTCAGCTGATGGACATGGGTTGTTTCTGCTTTTCTGCTATGGACCTTTGTGTACAAGTTTTAGCGTGGACGTATGTTTTCATTTCTCTAGAGTAGACATGCAGAAGTGGAATTGCTGAGTGATATGGTAACTCCACATGGAGCTTTTTGAGGAACTGCCCAACTGTTTTCCAAAGGGGCTGCATCATTTTACATTCTCAGCACATACATACTTTTACAAACAGCTTTATTGAGATAAAATTACATACAATGGAATGCACATATATAAACTATATAAGTTTTGACATGTATACACTTACAAAACCATCACCACAGTCAAGATAGTGAACATGTCAACTCAAAATAACCTTCATGCCCCTTTGAAATCCATCCTTTCAGCTGGGTGCAGTGGCTCATGCCTGTAATACCAGCACTTTGAGAGGCTGAGGCAGGCAGATCACTTGAGGCCAGGAGTTCGAGACCACCCTGGCCAACATGGCGAAACCCTGTCTCTTAAAAATACAAAAATTAGCTGGGCCGGGCACGATCGCTTACGCTTGTAATCCCAGCACTTTGGGAGGTCAAGGCAGACGGATCACTTGAGGTCAGGAGTTTGAGACCAGCCTGGCCAACATGGTGAAACCCCGTCTCTACTAAAAACAGAAAAATTAGCCGGGCATGGTGGCGCACACCTATAATCCTAGCTACTCGGGAGGCTGAGGCAGGAGAATCGCTTGAACCAGGGAGGCGAGATTGCAGTGAGCCAAGATCATGCCACTGCACTCCAGCCTGGGTGACAGAGTGAGACCCCGTCTCAAGAAAAAAAAAAAAAAAAAGCAACTAGCTGGGCATGGTGGCATATGCCTGTAATCCCAGCTACTCAGGATGCTGAGGCAGGAGAATTGCTTGAACCTGGGAGGTGGAGTTTGCAGTGAGCTGAGATTGAGCCACTGGCACTGCACCCCAGCCTGGGTGACAGAACGAGACTCTGTCTCAAAAAAACAAAAAGAAATCCATCCTTTCTATCACTCCCCTACCCCTACTCCCTATTCTCCCCCAAACAACCACTGATCTGTTTCTGTTACTATAGTTTAGTTTGCATTTTCTAGAATTTTACATAAATGAAATCATACAGTATATATCTTTTTTGGTCTGTTTTTTTTTTCATTGAGAGTAATTATTTTGATATTTACCTATGTTTTTGAATGTGTCAATAATTCATTCTTTTGTATGTTTATACCACAATTTGTTTATCCATGCAGCTGCTGACAGACATTGGGTTGTTTCCAGGTTATGACAACTAAAGCTGGCATGAACACTCATGTAAGAGTTTTTGTATGGACACGTTTTCACTTTTCTTGGGTTAAATACCTAAGAGTGGAATGTTTGGATGATATGATAGGTATGTATTTAACTTTTTAAGAAACTTCCAAGTCACCTTTGAGAGTGGCTGTACCATTTAGTATTCCCACCACCAATGTGCTCTTTCTGAGTTTTTTTTTGGAAATTGTCTTTGTTTTGAAATTTTATGCAGGTGTACCTTGTTGTAGGTCTCACATTGTGCCCGTTATGGACTCTTTGCTTTTGGAGATGAATTTTCTTCAGTGTGGGAAATTTTCATTCATTCTTTTTTTTTTTTTTAAGAGATGGAGTCTTGATATGTTGCCCAGGCTGGAGTGCTATGACTATTCATAGGTGAGATCACAGCACACTACAGCCTCAAACTCCTGAGCTTAAGCAGTCCAGCTGCCCCAGCCTCCTGAGTAGCTGGGACTACAGGTCACACCACCATGCCCATCTCAGTCTGGGCAATTTTCTTGAATTATATCTTTAATTTTCTCTCTAACATTTTCTCTGTAATGTCTTTCTGGAACTCCTATTACTTGGATTGATTCTCCAATCTTTCTTTCTTTCTCTCCTGTTGTACATTTCTTCATCTGCTCTAATCTTCAGGAGATTTCTTCACCTTTATCTTCAAACTCCTTTATTGAAATGTTTTGTTTCTACTTCATTTTTATATTCCAATCTTTCTTCTTTTATGAATGGATGAAATAGCTTCTCTCTCTCCCTCTCTGAGCTAGTTATAGTATTTTAAAAGATTCATGCCTATTCTCTCTTGTCTTTCGCCTGAATTCCTATTTTCTATTTCTCTCTGTCTCTCTCATTAGAGACGTTCCTTAAATGTCTGTGGTCTTTGCATAGTCCTCATCCTTGAGAAGGAGGTGTCCAAAGCTCTTTGGAACTGTGTGTGTGAAAGAGGCATGTGGATTGTGTATGTCTGTGTAGTTGGCCAGTGCTAACTCTGGAGAACGTTAAATGTTAATTTCCATTGTTTTGTTTTGTTTTTTGTTTTGGAGAGAGTAAATTTTTCTAGTACATCTGGCTGCTGGGGAAGGGGCTGAGGAAGAAGGGCCTCCCAATCCTGTGTACAGATCTAGGCTTAACACTCTCTTTGATGCCCACAGCTCATCTGCACCTTTAGCTCAGCCAGTAGTTCATAAGTCCAGAGCTTCTGTACTTCACTATTTCCCAAGATCATTATTTCCTAAGGTAGGTGGCAGGGGAACTGAAGTCTCCTTATATAGACTTCTATCAATCTCCCCTTTTCAGTCCTTGCCTGTCCTCTTCTCTGTGGTCTGTGCCTTTGGGTCAGGAGCTCCTCTGAGGCTCTGCAGGGTGAATTGGCTTGTTCTAACTGGCACGCCCTGCCTGCATTTAGGTTGTAGCTCCTTCCTCTTGTTAAGTGTTTCTGCTTCTCCATCTCCTTTCTGATTGGCTGAAATCTCTCTCCCATTGTTGTCTCCTTTTTCTTTTCTTTCCTTCCTTCCTTCCTCCCTTCCTTCCTCCCTTCCTCCCTTCCTTCCTTCCTTCCTTCCTTCTTTCTTTTCTTTCTTTTTTTTTTTTTTGAGATAGCGTTTCACTCTTGTTGCCCAGGCTGGAGTGCAATGGCACAATCTCGGCCCACCGCAACCTCCGCCTCCCAGGATCAAGCGATTCTCCTGCCTCAGCCTCCCGAGTAGCTGGGATTACAGGCATGTGCCGCCACGCCCGGCTGCAGACATAGACAAGCAAGCTGGATGCTTGCACGGGTGAATGCCGGCAGAAAAAAAGCTACTTGGGACTAGGCATGTTCAGAATGGCGGCTCCATCTTCCCTTGTCTTTGCCAGCCACATGTGTATAAGGAGCAGACAAGATGTCACCAGTCAAGTGGAAAACTCATTTGTGTAGTAAGATTAGGGTGGGGTGGCCAGCCTTCCCTGGGCGCTTTGTAAACGTCACATCTGATCTAACCAATCTGTGGGCCCTATGTAAATCATTCACCGCCTTCTCAAGTCTGCCTATAAAATCCAGTGAACCCCACCACTGTTGGTCTTTCCTTTCGGAAGCCCCTCTCTCTCCCTAGAGAGAGAACTGTTCTCCTTTCTCTTACTCCTGCGTATTAAACTTTCTGCTCCTTAGCCCCACACCCTCCAAAAAAGGTGGGAGTCCTGAGATGGGAAAAGGGTATTTGATATGAACTCTGGATGATAACGATGTGTCATTGTAGGTTCCTTGATTGCACAAAGGTACCTCTCTGGTGTGGGAGGTCATATGCTATAAGAGGCTATGCGTGTTTGGGGCAGGAGGCATGTGGAACTCTACTTTCTGTTCAATTTTGCTGTGAACCTAAAATTGCTCTAAAAATAAAATTTACTTTTGCCAGGTGCAGTGGCTTACGTAATCCCAGCCCTCTGGGAGGCCGAGGTGGGCAGATCACGAGATCAGGAGATGGAGACCAGCCTGGCCAACATGGTGAAATCCCATCTCTATTTATTTATTTGAGACTCCATCTCAAATAAATAAATAAATAAATAAACAAAATTAAAAATAAAAAAATTAATGAATAAATAAATACATACGTACGTACATACATAAGTAGCAGGGTATGGTGGTGCACTCCTGTAGCCCTAGCTACTCAGGAGACTGAGGTAGGGGGACTGCCTGAGCTCAGGAGTTCAAGGCTGCAGTGAGCTATGATCGCAGCACCACACTCCAGCCTGGGCGACAGAACAAGTCCCTGTCTCTAAAAAACAAAACACAAAACTGCAACAGAAATGAAGCCTTATGTATTTTTGTGGCATTAAACCCAGTAGAGATTTCAACTAGTCTCTAATTAGTGATTTTTCTCCCTGATTTAAAAGCACATACACTGCAGAAGTTTGCAAAACAGGAAAATGTAATGAAGAAAAAAGAACCCATTATCCTATTATCTAGAGATATAGTCTAGTAATATTTAGGTGTAATTAACTGCTAGCTTTCTAGGTATAAACATACCGTATTCTCCTCTTCCTCCACACTGAAAATTTTCTCTATATTTGTATCCTGATTTTTCAACGAGAGCTTCGTCTAAGATTCTTTCATCTTTCTCTTTGCACTAGTTTTTTCCACCAAGTTCCAAAGATTCTTCACAGTTTTTTATAACTGTTAAATATTCTATCAGGAGAATATGTTATACCTTAGTCATTCTCTTAGCGGGCATTTTTAGCTACTGTAAATAACCCTGATAAAAGGAAGTGTTATGTTTAATTGTACACGTAAATGTTCGCATCATTTATTGTTTTTCTTTTGGCACAAATTACCAATTATAGAATTATTCACTAGTCCAAGAGGTATAAACATTTTGAAGACTCTTACATGTGTTGTCAAATACATATATTAACACATCTGCTTCTCTTCCTTCTAGAGAGGTTGTAACAATTTACTTTCCCTCCTTCACAGTGTAGTAACAATGTGAACATCAGTGTTACTAACCCTGCCAATTTCCTATAATTGAAAAGAAATCCACTTTTGACTGGCTGTACCATAAAGTTTATCATTTATTAAAACATCATTGTAGGGGGAGTAAGAGTAATTAAAATTCCAGTAATTTTTTGTGTGCCTACATGTGCTGGGCACGATGCCAGATGCTTTTTTGTTTATTGCTATTGAATACCACTTGCTCGGAGTGTAGGTGGACCTCTCCTTGCCCTGTCCCTTGAGGCTACGATGTGTTTGAGGACACATCTGGTGTGTCCACACAGCTGGTTGCTGTTTGGTCAGATTAGTACCCAGGTCTCTTGACTTTAAGTTGGCCACTTATTCATTTTACTATACCTTGTCTGCCTCAACTGGCCTAGAATAGTCTTGTTACATAAATTCTGGTGATGAGAGGCTCTAAAATGTATTCACAGCTTACCAATATTTTAGTTTCTGGGTAGAATGAAAATATTGAACTCCAAAGCCAGTAATCCCTCTGAAATCTTGTGTTACCAGAAGACATCCGGGGCTCTTGCTTCTTGCCTGATGTAAACATCCTTGAACCAAAAGTGAGACCAGCAGGGGAAGAAAGGGGCTAAACCGCTCATCCTCTTCTTCCCCACACTGGCTACCGCAGTTTGTTTGTGAAGGCTTGACTTAGGAGGCTAAGGAGGGAGGATCACTTGAGAGCCCAGAAGTCAGAAATCAGCCTGGACAACATAGTGAAACCTCTGTCTCAAAAAAAAAAAAAAAAAAAAAAAAAAGCTTCAGAAAGTGCATGCTGGAATTACAGGAAAAATGCCATTGGGATGGTGAGCACCTTCAATCCAATGCAAACCACGGTTGGAACTTAATCGTGTGTGTGTGTGTGTGTGTGTGTGTGAGTGTGTGTGTGTATGTGTGTGTGCATTTGGCGAGTTTTAGGAGTTAGGAGGCTTTATACTTTTATACGTGGTCTTTTGCACAATACACTTTGAAAACTGGCTTTTGAACCTTCAGACACTTAAAACAGGTATTTATAGCAATTTCAATGTCCCAGGCAAAAATTTTAAACTGTGCACTTAAACGTTAACCATGCATTTTTTTTTTTTTTTTTTTTGAGATGGAGTCTTGCTCAGTCACCCAGGCTGGAGTGCAATGGCTCGATCTCAGTTCACTGCAAACTCTGCCTCCCGGGTTCAAGCGATTCTCCTGCCTCAGCCTCCTGAGTAGCTGGGATTACAGATGCCTGCCACCGCGCCTGGCTAATTTTGTATTTTTAGTAGAGATGAGGTTTCACCATGTTCGTCAGGCTGGTCTCGAACTCCCGACCTCAGGTGATCCGCCCGCCTTGGCCTCCCAAAGTGCTGGGATTACAGGTGTGAACCACCGCACCCGGCCTTTTTTTCCTTTTTTTGGAGACAGAGTCTTGCTCTGTGGCCCAGGCTGGAGTGCAGTGGTGAGATCTCAGCTCACTGCAACCTCCTCCTTCAGATCTTGGCTCACTGCAACCTCCTCCTCCCAGGCTCAAGTGATTCTTCTGTGTCAGCCTCCTGAGTAGCTGGGATTACAGGCACCTGCCACCAGGCCTGGCTAATTTTTGTATTTTTAGTACAGATGGGGCTTCACCATGTTAGCCAGGCTGGTCTTGAACTCCTGACCTCAGGTAATCCGCCTGCCTCTGCCTCCCAAAGTGCTGGGATTACAGACGTGAGCCACAGCGCCTGGCCCTAACTATGCATCTTAATTTTTGTACTTACTCTCTGATGTGCTAACAGGACAGTAAAAGTGATTTAAGGCTGTTATATTTTCCCTTTATTTAAGAGATGCCTGGGGTTCTTAGCTCAGGAGGGATTCATAGCATGTCTTAAGCCACACCAGTGTTTTTCAGGACACGCTAGGGTGGACTTGGCAACTAGCAAAACACTGAGCTGCTGTGCCTAACTTTTACCCCTGTGTGCCAGTGTGCTTATTTCCTGTCTTAGGATTACTTGTAATTTGGTCTCGGGGAAGTTTTCTGGGTGAGTGCGTTGCACCAATTCCCTTATTGTTTTAAGAACGCAGTGACCTCACTTGGATCCAGGACTCTGCCAGCATTTAAAATCCCGCTCTTACGAAAGGTGAAACTCTTGCCTATAGTTAAGTATCACAGCTTGATCCCATTACAATGAGATGGAAGTTTGTCTGGGCCCGGAGTAGGCCAACAACAGCAGTTTTAAAAGCAGAACTCCCCGCGCTGGGTCTAACCCTGTTCTTGGTCACCGCGTTCGCTTCAGGAGCCTGGAAATCCTCTTTTGGCAGCAGAAGGGGGAGAGTGCTTGGAAATGCTCGGAGGAAAACGACTTTTGGAGGGGGAATAGCGGGGAGGGAAACAACAAGCAACCACCGGCCACACTTGGGGTGCAACTGGGGCTGTGGGGTGGGTAGAGGGAGAGGGAAAGTGAGCAGAACTGGAAGCTCAGAATAGAAGATACAAAAGAAAGTGCCAAGTAGTGAAAAAAACTGCAAAAGGACGGGGGGATGGGGGGAGGGCGACTGGGGAACGGTTTGGAAAAATAGCAATTAGTACAGCTAAAAATAAAGACCAATTTAGAGACAAAGCCAGATACACAAGGAGAAAAATAAAACTCGCCAGAAAGACAATTTCTTGCAAACCAAATGTTCAAGAAAATGGGGGCTAATGACATCCCCTCTGGGGCTGCTCCATAGAAGAAATGAAATAATAGGAGACCGTAGAGCGCGCAGCGCCCAGCAGGTGACGCCGTGGGGGCTTGAGTGGTCCCGGTCGTGGAGCCTGAAGGCCCTGCCAGAGGCAGTGCCCACGTGTCCCCAAAGTTAGAGAAGTGTCCCGAGAGCGCGGTGTGCGGGACAGAGCACCGCCCGGCGCAGGAACCGGGGGGTTCCTGCAGAATCCTCTCAGATCTCCCCGAGTCCTGGCGCCCGCGCGGCACGGCCGGGGAGAGGGCGCCCACCCGCGGCGGCTCGGCTAGCTCAGCGCACGGGCCCTGGGGACGCCCCACCCGCATTCGCGGGGCGGGAAGGCGCAGCGCCCACGAAGTCGAGGAGCAGCCAGGCCCCAGCAGGCGGGGATCCTGGTGACGAGGAGGCAAAGGCCACAGGCTGGGCCGCGCCCGGACTCTGCAGAACCGCGAGGCCTAGGCTTCCCAGCCTGTGACCCGGGAGGGGACCCCGCCCGCCACCTGCGAAGGCTCGCTGAGAGCCCCGAAGCGCGGTGCGCCCGCGGCGCCGTGCCAGTTTCTCCGGGGCTACAGGGAGAAGGCGGGAGACCGCGATGGGCCCGGGAGCTTGAAGCTGGGCGGGGCGGGCCGGGGCGGCATCTCAGGCGAGGGCCAGGGACCCCGGGACGCGCTAACCGCCTCCGCGGGGCTACTAAGTTCCCGGCGGCGCGGGCTCCCTCTGGGCCAGTGCACCTTATCCCAGGCGCGGGGCACACTCTGGGCGATCGGGGGTCACCCGGGGCTGCCCTGCCCTGCCCCGCCCGGGCACCCCGGAGCGGAACCGCGAGTCCTCACCAGCGGGGGCGGGCAGGGCGCACTGAGCGCGCCACGCGGCGCCTGGCTAGGAGGAGGGCGGCGGGCGGGGACCTAGAGCTCCGGGGCGGTGCTGAGCCCGCTCCTCCTCCTTGCCCTCCTCCTCCTCCTCCTCGCCCTCCTCCTCCTCCTCGCCTTCCTCCGGCTCAGCCGCCGCGCCGCCGGGCTGCTCCTTCTTCCTCCTCGGGCGCCCGCGGCGATGTTCAACCGCGCCGTGAGCCGGCTGAGCAGGAAGCGGCCGCCGTCAGGTAAGCGGCTTCGGGGGCCCGCGGGCTCGGGGTCGGGGCGCCGTTTCGCCCGCCCGGCCTCCTGCCCTCCCTCTTGTGCTCGGGCGCGGCTCGGTGGTACCTCCCAGACTGGAGCCCCGGCCGACCGCACCACCTCTCCCCGCTGGGTACCGCACCTTCGCGGTCCCAGCCGCGACGGGAGCGCAGAGCTCCTCCGGGAGCCCCGGGGAGGAAGTTTGGCTGAAAGAGGAACAGCCGCAGTTTTCTTTTTAGTGATGGTCTGGGAGAAAAAGGAGCGCCCCAAATCTCCAAACTTTGGAGGTGACATGGGGCTCCAGATTCCGAAAGCGGAACGGCGCGCGGGCTTCTCCCTCCGTGACGCTCTCCGCCTCCGCTGCGGGCGTGGGTGGAAGGATGCCGAGCGCCCGGGGGAGCACGGCTGGACCCGGGCATCCGACTGGGCCCCTGGGCCTGGGGCGTCGGGGGCCTTCGCTTCTGCCGCGAGGAGCCAAAAGGTGGGATCGCGAGGGTGGCGGAACCCCAGGATGGAGAAGGGCACTTCTGCGGTCCGAGCCAGCGAAGTTCTGACGTTACGAAGGATTCGCCTTGGCCGTCACTTTGGGCCAGCCTGAGCCACGATCTCGGGCAACTTGATAGGCCAAAGACCCCACGGTGAAGGTGGAGCCGTGCCCTTGATTCCGGTCCTTCCACCCTTTTGCTCATCACAATAGCTACGACCTGTGCAGGCCTTTGGGTGCGCCAAGGGCTTTGTCCACCGCGTTGGGTGAACTCTCCCTTCACCCCTAGGACAACCCGGTGAGTGAGGAGGGAGCGGAAGCCAGGCGCTGTTAGGTAACTTGCCCCAGTCACACTCCGCAGGTGATGGGGAGGCTTTCAAACCCAGGTTCCCCTGACTCTGAAGTTCGGGGGCTTTGCCGGGCTTCCCACGCCAAGATTCACTTCTGCTTGGCGCTCAGAGTCCCAACGCGTTGGTGCATTTCCTTTCTGCTCCTGGTATTTTATGAGGGACATTGTGGTTTAGAGACTGGGACCAGACTGGCTGGATCCGAATCTCACCTTCGCCATATTCACCAGCCGTGGGACCTTTCTGCAGAATGAGGTTCTGCACAGTGGGAATAACAGTAGCTACTCGCCTTTTAAAGTACTTAATTGGAACCTGTCTTCCATCCATCAGGTTTTGCAAATTATTGTATTTAATATGTAGGATTTCATAGGGTTGTTGTAATGATCTTACATTGTTGCCCGGCAAGTACTAAGTGCTCCGTTAGCGTTAGTGGTCATGTAAACCTTTTTGTGTTGCATGTGAGTCAAAGAATTCCCTTGTGGGTGTTAATGTTAACCAGTCTCTATGGTTGGCACAGGCCTGTGGAGCGCTGCTCAGAGCCTGGACTCGAATTAAACTCTTGGTTCTAACCTTGACTCTGTCATTCAGCAACACTGGGCAAATTACTTGATCTCTCTGTGCCTCCGTTTCAGTGATGTGCTGGAGCTGGCTCAAACTGGCTTGCAAGAGCCAGTTGCCAAATATTCAAAAAGTTTGGAAACTGGTTGTAAACCATAGGTAGCTTGAAAGTAGTTATGATGGGATATTTACATCATGAAAATCAACAAAGCTAAAAATGAAGGCTTCATTTTGACTCAGGAGAGCTGATGTTCCAGCACCTTTCTCCACCTGCAAAGTGGGTTTCATAGGGTTATGGGATTAAATACTCAAAACCATATGAAGCCCCTAGTACAATGTGTGGCACATAATAAAAGTGTAATAATTAGTAGCTTTTCTCCCTTTTGCCTGTTATAAATAGAGCTGCTATGAATAGCCCTGTACGCGTTACTTATTACTTTAGATTGCTTTTGGGTTGAAGACTGACAGATAGAACCATTGTATCCTGGGAGATACATGGATTTGGGGTGATTTTGCGTGTAGCCAGGTTGCACCCCAAAAAGGCTGAAGGCAGTTTTAGGGAACAAATTATTTCAGGGCAACAAATTTTAAACCTCATAAAATGTGGTTACATCACTGACAGAAAGGTCGGTCTCAGGCCGGGCTCAGTGGCTCACACCTGTGATCCCAGCACTTTGGGAGGCTGAGGCAGGAGGATTGCTTGAGCCCAGGAGTTCCAGATAAGCCTGGGAAACATGGCAAAACCCCGTCTCTACAAAAAAATTAAAAAATTAGCCAGGCATGGTGATGCGTGCCTGTAGTCCCAGCTCCTTAGACGGCTGAAGTGAGAGGATGGCTTGAGCCTGGGAGGTTGAGGCTACAGTGAGCTTAGATCGTGCCACTGCACTTCACCCTGGGTGACAGAGTGAGATCCAAAGAAAAGGAAAGAAGGAAGGAAGGGAGGAAGGAAGAAAAAAGGAAGGAAGGAAGGAAGATCAGCCACTAAACATCATGGATTGGTACTGGATGCCTCCACTCCAATAGCCTGATTTTCTTTGGAATTGTAGGTGTAGGGTCTTTCCCCATTATGGAAAATAACATAAGTTCTTGCCTGACTGGTCATCACCACCCAGCCGTGTGAAAAGAAGAAGCCTAGTGAGAAAGGGGTCATTTGGGCCTGTGGGCCGAGGTACTGAGAAGACAGCCAAGTGATTTTTGGGACCCTGTACTTAATTTTTTTTTTTTTTTTGTAATTTTGAATTATTTTTCTTAAAGAGGATCCTCAAATTGTATAAACTTCAGGCTCCACAAAAGCCAGAGCTGCTCCTGCAGGACCCCTGATTTGGACCTGGCTGTGGTCCTGCCTCCCCCAGTACCTTCTATTTTACACTTTTCCTACCTTTCAGCAAAATCTCACTGGAGACACTGTCTTTCCGCGGAGGATTTTGAGTTCCTAACCCCTCCTTCCAAGGTTCAGAGTGGGATTTCCTTATTCTTCCTGAGGTTTCTCAAAGTGTGTTCCACCCGTCCTGTGGGTTCAGGAGGGCTTTGATAAAGTGCAGCTTCTCAGGCCTTGCCCAGACTGATTCAGTGTTGGGGACTGTAGGTGGGGCTTGTCTTTGACAAGCACCCCAGAGAATTCTCAGGCCAGTGAAATGTGAGGGTCCCCCAACGGGATTCTGTCCACTCACCCTGCCCAGTTATCAACCTTGCATTGTTGATAGCTGAAATATGCCCATCTGAGATGCCAAGCTGAAGCCACCCGACTCCCTACCCCTGCAGCTGCACCCAGGGGTGACCTCTCAGGGGAATTCCCACCCTGCCGGGCAGGTTTCGGCCGTCCCCTCGGGCCTGTCATACAGGATCCGATTAAACCCTTGGGAACAGTTTTAAGTTTATGGCTGGGCTTGTTTTATTTAAAGATGACAGTTTGCACAGCAATTTAATGTCTTTGTTTTAACAACTCGGCAGCAGGGTAGCCTTGGCAGCTGGGACAACTTTCTCTGCAGAATATCACTGGCCCAGGCCTGGGGGGACAGAGGGGCCAGCCGAAGGGCCTTGTTTTCTATAGGTGTGGTCAGCTTATGAGCCAGTTGAGCCTCTGGGACCTGCTCTGGGCACCACCTAGTGCAGCCCGTAGCCTGGTGGGTGTGAGGTGCTCACGGTGTTTTATCTCTGTTGGCTGATTTGTATTTGATGTGATGTCTCCTTTCTTCATGGTTAGAAAATGTAGATGCCTGGCATGGCCATTTCCTAGGGCTTCCTGGGTGAACTGAGTCACTTCCCTCCCTGGGTGGAGTGAGTCCCCAGATGCTGGGCTCTGGGAACCTGTTGCTTAAACTGCACTAAATTTATGCCCCCAAGTTTCTTCTGCTTCCCCCAGATAGTTCTTTGCTGCAGCAGCCTGCGGGTGGCAGCAGGAGCGGAGGGGGCCCCAGCAGGCAGCAGCAGTGGCCCCTTGATAAGAGCTGTCAGGCGGCATCCGCTGGAGTGAGACAGTCCCTTGCAGACTTGTGGGGACAAATTTCCCTTCCAAGCAAGTTCCCATCTGTCAAGAGCCCTGCTAAGCTCCCTCAGGTCCACCTTGCTGCCCCACTGCCTGGTGGGGGACCCCTTATCTGACTGAGTCCTTCCCAGCCCCATTTTTCCTGCTCCCTACTCTACCCCTGGAGGGACTGGACAATACTCCCTCTGTGCCTTTGCTCCCCCAGCTGTCCTTTGTCCTGTCCCAAAGCCTGGGTCCCCCTGCTCCAACAGACCCACCCTTCTAGGCCTCGCTGCCTCCCACCCTCCATGCTTGACAGAGCAGCTTGTCTGAGCAGGAGGGAACCATTTCATTTCTCCCTCAAGGGCTGCAGAGGCCACTAAGGGGCAGGGACTTGTCCGGAGGCACCCATTTCTGAAGGGGCAGAGAACTCAAGTCTTGGACCCAAGTCCACGGCCACCTAAACACAACAACCATTTAGCGACTTTGCTAAAATATATTTAGAGAATGAATGTGGAGCTGACAACTTTCCTCCCTTCCTCCATCCCTCTCTCCTCCACTCCCTCCCTCCCTTCCTTCTTCCCTCCCTCCTTCCCTCCCTTCCTTCTTTTCTGTAGTCAGGACATTAGAAACAAACAAAGCCATCATCAAACACCTTTATCATTTCACACAGAAAAGGACATTTTAACACCCCCAATAGTAGGAAAGATATAATCTCAGGTAAAGAGCTGTCCTGATCCACAGAATCTTGTAGAGGTTGTCGCTCCTGGGGAGAGACACTGGGCACCTGAGGGACAGAGGTGTGAGGAAGACTATTACACCACACTCCCTTTTGTATGTCCTGCACTGTGCCCCACGTAAAGAAACATAGTGATCTATTTCAAAGCAAAAGCAAAACAAGCAACCCAAGACTGTCCTTCCTCTACCAGCACAGTTCACTTGGTAAATATTTCCTAGTCTTCCTTCTCGTTTATTTGTGGACTAGTGAAGAAAACCGCCTACCAGCCCGTGGCACTGTGGGCAGGCGGCCACCTGGGAACCCCTGGCCTCCTCTCCTCAATTCATTTTAAGTTCTGTGAGAAAATAGCCCCCACCTTTCATTTCTGGCATCTTTCTCTGTGTTTTTCTCTCCAGCCAGACAACCTGGGGTTGCATCCCAGCTCATCCACTTCCTTGCTTGCTTCTTTGTAGCAAATTATTTATCGTCTCTGTGCCTCAGTTTCCTGATCTGTAAAATGGGGCCCTTGAGGAAACTAGCTTGCAAGGATTGTTGCAAAGTTTCGATGGGATATAGTAAGTGCTCAGTAAATGTCAACTTTTCTTTTTCTTTTTTTTTTTTTTGAGACGGAGTTTCACTCTTGTTGCCCACGCTGGAGTGCAATGGCGCAATCTCGGCTCACGGCAACCTCTACCTCCGGGGTTCAAGCCATTCTCCTGCCTCAGCCTCCTGAGTAGCTGGGATTACACGCATGCACCACCACGCCTGGCTAATTTTGTATTTTTAGGTTTCTCCACATTGGTCGGGCTGGTCTCAAACTCCCGACCTCAGGTGATCTGCCCGCCTCGGCCTCCCAAAGTGCTGGGATTACAGGCGTGAGCCACCACGCCTGGCCTCAACTATTTTTAATAGCTATCCGTCCTCCTTTCTGTGCCCTCTACCCTTAGCCTGGTGCCTGGCTTGGCTCATTCCTTAGAAAATGTTTATCACTATAAAATATATACTTGAGTGCCAGACATCATGCTGACCCTGAGGAAGACTCAGCCCTTGCTTTCAAGAAATGCACCATCCACCTGACTGACCCTGGAGGAAAAAGTCATTTACTTTGCCTCGAGGGAGGGTGCGGGACAGATTGAGGCAGAGTAGGAGGGTGAGGGCAGCTTTACGCAGAAATGTCAGGCCCCAGAGGACACACAGGGGCTTCTGGAAGTGGAGAAAATCGATGACAGGGTCTTTGTTTTCGGGCTAGGGCTGCTGGGCCATTTTCTTTTTTCTGGACTTTGCCTAGAAAGTGGAGAGTCTAGGGAGGCTACAAATAACAGTTTGGCGTTCTTATTTCCTTCCCTCTAGTAGAAACTGGAAACCAGTGGCCATCTGTTGTTTAGTCCACTTAAAAGAGGATGTTGAGGCTTGTTTTTTCTTCGGACCCAAGGGTGCTCGGGAGCCCTCCAGTCTCTGCCTTTCTCACACAAGGCGTCTCTGGGAAGGCAGTGGATTGTTGGTCTGCGTGGAACTTCTCAGGTGGACACCAGAGCATGGAACGTAAGGAATCGCCCCCACCCCTTTCCATGTCCGCAGTTTGCCTGTCGCCTTGGCCCTGGGCGGGGCAGGGGCTGGGAAGAGTGTGCTGTGAGGACACAGAGGTGCACAGGTGACTGTGGAAGGGCCAGTAGGAGCACTTGGCTTTCTGTGAGTCCCGAACCCTCGTGTGAAAACGCCACGATGCCCTTTCTGAGTGGAGCCAACCCTCTGCCACCAGCTTTCCTGCTCCTGACTTGGATGCTGGCTATTACTATGATTATTGAAAAACTTTTTTCACTTTTGATGTTATTTCCTGCTAACTGCAGTTCAATCAGATCTCTCTGGCAAGGGAATTGCATGCAGGTGGGGTAGTTATTCTCAGCAGCTAGATACTGGAGCCGATAAACACTTAAGTAATATTTAGATACCATGTTTCCATGACCCAGTTTCTCTGGAGCCTTACACAGATCACCAGTTGTAACAAAATGACTCTCTGATTCTAAATTGGGAGGACTTTTTAAAAAATGTACTACACTTGATGTGGTATAGGTGACAAGAGGTTTTAAATAAGTTTTGTGGGGTGTGTACTTTCTTTGAAACTTCATTACAAAGTAGAGTATTTTAAAGGAGTACAGTGTGTGTGTGCACGCCTGTGCATGTGAGTTGTACCAAACCACTTTGGAATTTAGGGTTAATATCTCTGCCTTTTCCTGGACTCGAATGTTTAATAGTCTGTGAGTTTGGGGGAGTACTTAGGACAAACCTTCTGAGGATGTAAGTTGACTCTGCTGTTGAGGAAACTGGATAGTGAGATATTACTAAAATATTATTTGACTTGGAGAAATTGTCTATGCAGGATGATTACACAGACCTTCCTGCAAATTAACAGCAGAAATCCATGCTGTGAGCATTCATCTCCGATGAGTGTTACAGATGCCTTTTGAGTATGGATTTCCAAGGAATTAATGTCTGGAGAAGGTCTCTGTTAGATATGACATCATAGCATCTATAAATAATGCATCATAAAATAAGCTGCAAGCAACCAGCCCCAGCCATCTGCACTGTGATGCTTCACCCATCCTTGAAATAATGGCTTTTACTGACGCCAGAAGCCACATAGGACAGCATAATCATAAATGGAAAACGCATATACATTGTGTTTGTGTGCTGGATGATTCCACCTGGTCTTATGTGACTTTTTTTTTTTTTTTTTCTGCATGGATTGGACTCTTAACAGTTTTCTGTTTTTTCCCCAAAGTGTGATTGTTCTTGGTCTCTTAAAGGCTGTTGTGTTCTGGCCTCTGTGAGTATAAAGATCAGCAGATATAAAAGCTAAAAATGGCAGTAGAGCCCTTGGTAAAGAGCGTGTACTCTGGAGCAGGAGTACCTGGGTTTGGGCCGTGATTTCCCATTTTCTAGCTGGGACGCTTGTAAGTTACCGTGCCTCAGTTTCTTCGTCTGCAAAGTGGAAATAATACTAACCACGTCAGTAGGTTATTGTGAGAACTGAATCATTTAATTCAGGTAAAAGCTTGGAACGGTACCCAGCACACTGTAAATCATTTGCAAGTTTTTCTTTTTTCTTTTTATTTTTTTGAGACAGAGTCTTGCTCTGTCACCAGGCTGGAGTGCAGTGGCTTGATCTCGGCTCACTGCAACCTCCGCCTCCCAGGTTCAAGCAATCCTCCTGCTTCAGCCTCCCGAGTAGCTGGAACTACAGGCGTGCACCACCACACCTGGCTAATTTTTTGTATTTTTAGTATAGATGGGGTTTCAGCACATTGGCTAGGATGGTTTCGATCTCTTGACCTCGTGATCTGCCTGCCTCAGCCTCCCAAAGTGCTGGGATTACAGGCGTGAGCCACCGCGCCAACCTTTTTTTTTTTTTTTTTTTGAGACAGAGTCTCGCTCTGTCACCCAGGCTGGAGTGTAGTGGCACGATCTCGGCTGACTGCAACCTCCGCCTCCTGGGTTCAAGCAATTCTTCTGCCTCAGCCTCCCGAGTAGCTGAGACTATAGGCACGTGCTACCATGCCTGGCTAATTTTTGTAATTTTAGTAGAGACAGGGTTTCATCGTATTGTTCAGGCTGGTCTTGAACTCCTGACCTCGTGATCCGCCTGCCTCGGCCTCCCAAAGTGCTGGGATTACAGACATGAGCCACAGTGCCTGGCCTTTTTTATTTATTTATTTATTTATTTATTTATTTATTTATTTATTTATTTATTTTAAGACAGGTTCTTGTTTTGTTGCTCAGGCTGGAGTGCAGTGGTATGATCTCAGCTCACTGCAACCTCCGCCTCCCGGGTTCAAGTGATTCTCCTGTCTCAGCCTCCCGTGTAGCTGGGGATTACAGGAGTGCACCACCATACCCGGCTAATTTTTGTATTTTTTGTAGAGACGTGGTTTTGCCATGTTGCCCAGGCTGGTCTTGAATGCCTGGCCTCAAGTGATCCACCCACCTCGGCCTCCCAAAGTGCTGGGATTACAGGTGTGAGCCACCATGCCTGGCCCATCTGAAGTATTAACCATTATTATTAGCTAATGACAGAGTAGTCTGAAAATAAATTTGCTGAAAAATACGTATTTTGCATGCAAAAAATTTGAAGATCTAAAATGACGTAAAGAGCCCAGGAGCTAAGAAAACAAAATGAAACACCAAAAACTTTTATTCATTGCAAAAATGTTTTACAGCTGAAGTAAACAATGACAACAAAAATAAAACAGCATGATAAAATTGAAACAAACAAATATCACAAGCAGGTCTTCCCTAGCTGGAGAGATCGTAAAGCTGCTGGAGAACATGCCTGACATTTTTTCCACCTATTCATGTCAGTCCTGCTTTCTTGTGTAATCTGTCTGAAATGGAAACTTTTATCAATGAAAAGGGATAGAAGAATATTGCAACTTTGTGGATCCAGGTACCAGAAGTTGGGCAGCTGGGAAATCTTGGTTTTGCTTTATTCTTAAGTTCAGAGGTAAACCTGCTTTGCTATTGAGAAAGAGTATTTATTTCTTCTAATATTACTGGACTGGTTGTAACATTTATTTATGTATGTATATATGTATTTATTTACTTACTTACTTTAACCTGCTTCCCCTTCCACCTTGGTTGTTAACATTTTTTTCTTTTTTTTTTTAAACTTTTTTCCCTAAGACGGAGTCTCTCTCTGTCACCCAGGCTGGAGTGCAGTGGCGCAATCTCAGCTCACTGCAACTTCCGCCTCCCGGGTTCAAACAATTCTCCTGCCTCAGCCTCCTGAGTAGCTAGGATTACAGGTGCGTGCCACCATGCCCGGCTAATTTTTGTATTCCATGTTGGCCAGGCAGGTTTTGAACTGACCTCGTGATCTGGCTGCCTCAGCCTCCTAAAGTGCTGGGATTATAGGCGTGAGCCACTGTGCCCGGCCTCTTTTCTTTTTTTATGATTTTTTTTTTTTTTTTTTGAGACAGCGTCTGGCTCTGTCACCCAGGCTGGAGTGCAGTGGCGCAATATCGGCTCACTGTAGTTTCTGCTTCCTGGGCTCGAGTGATCCTTCCACCTCAGCCTCCTGAATAGCTGGGCCTACAGGCCCATACCACCATGACCAGCTAATTTTTGTGGTTTTTTTGGTTTGTTTGTTTTTGTTTTATTTTGTTTTGTTTGAGACAGAGTCTTGCCCTGTCACCCAGGCTGGAGTGCAATGGTGCCATCTCGGCTCACTGCAACCTCCACCTCCTGGGTTCAAGTAATTCTCCTGCCTCAGCCTCCCGAGTAGCTGGGATTACAGGTGCGCACCACCACTCCAGGCTAATTGTTTGTATCTTTAGTAGAGACAGGGTTTCACCATGTTGGCCAGGCTGATCTCGAACTCCTGACTTTGTGATCTGCCCATCTCGTCCTCCCAAAGTGCTGGTGTGAGTTGCCACGCCTGGCCTAATTTTTGTATTTTTTGTGGAGACGGGATTTCACCATGTTGCCCAGGCTGGTCTTGAACTCCTGAGCTCAAGCAATCTGCCTGCCTTGGCCTCCCAAAGTGCTGGTATTACAGGCATGAGCCACCGCGCCCACGGGTCGTAACTGAGCTGAGATGGCTTAGGAATTCATTACTTAGTGTGTCCCCTGAGCAGGGGACCCTGAGTTGCAGAAGTGCCCTCAGCCTAAGGGCTATCCCTGTCTGCTCAGTCATATTGGAGGCTGGGGATAGTGACTTGGAAAAGAGAGATGCCACTGGGTGAGTGGAGTTTGCAAATGCTGTCTCATCAAGATCTGTCTATACTGATATCAGTCAAGATGGATTTGAAAAGGGTGGGGTGCCATAGCCAAAAGCCTTAAACTTGAAAGACAGTCAGGAAGTCTTAGAAAAATTCAAACCAACATTTTTGGGGAAAATAAAAACTTATGACAGATAGAGAGCAGGTATCTCAGATAGAAGGATCTTCTATTCCACTTATGGGGACAGAAGGTGAGCAAAAAGGCAAGAAGGAATTGCTCTTTATCTAGAGCACCATAGCCAGAAAACCAATACCCATGGCTATAAAAAGCAGCTCCATCTTGGCATACTTTCTGACCCGTCCCTGAAAACTCCATGCTCTTCTGTAATAGTGTCAATTGTTAACGTATTTCATGGCATATGATATAAGGGAGATCTTAGCCCAGGAGACCATGGAATGGAAGGGCCCATCGGTTTTCTAACTATGTTCCCAGGAGCCCTGGGATTCTGCAGACATGGCCCTGGTGAGGACAGCTGACCTCCCATACAGGTCCCAGTATTGGGTCCATCCAGTGATTCATTAGCTGCATCACCTTGGATAGGTCATTCTATCTTCTGGATTTTTGCTTCCCAGTCTATAAAATGAGGTGGTGGGGGAGGTGGGCCTGGACCACATTAGTGTGTTTTGAGTTGTAAAATTTTTTGTTCAAATGAAAACACATTTGAACACATAAACCTAATATGCAAAAATGATTAGAGTATGAAATAAAGGGTGGGGGTTGGCAATTGTCTAACAGTGAGGTCAGTTCTTTTAACTCTCAGACATTTTGTTGGCTAAATGGTAATCTACTGTGTGTATTTATTTGCAAGACAGCGTGGCAGTGAAAACCCAAACATGGTCTGGTTTATTATGGAAAAGAATGTCAAGAGTTTTGGAATCCTTTCAGACCAAGGTTGAAAACTTATGGCCAAAGTGGTTCTGCCATGGCAAGAGAAATTTGCAGCTGCCTAGATTGTTCCTGGAACAGTGAACTTGTGTCTCTAGATTTATTTACTTAAGAGAAGATCTGCTGGGGAAATGGAGTAAACTGTCAAACTGTATTCTCTGGGCAAAGAGCAGAAGAGTAAATTAGTGGAATGCTTGGCAGAATGAACCCTGCTGCAGAAATTTCTTGTAATAATGATCTTTTAATTGGATTTATACTTTGTTGGAAAGAAACTCAGTGTTCAGGAACTTGCCACTGCAGCATTTACAAAGAGAACAGGGAACTAATTTAATATCCACGAACTGGAGGGTCACTTTAGAAAAGCATCAGCTCCATTTGGTGATGTGTTTAAGTGAGTTTCCTTCATGGTTAGAGGAAAGGATTTGTCCCAAATAATTCTCTTACGTACTCTATTGCCAATGAGCATTGAAGCATGGTCCCTGCTGGGTTTCTGGGTTTCTGCTTTATTGATGATTGATTGATTGAGACAGGGTCTTGCTGTCATCCAGGCTGGAGTACAGTGGCCCAATCATGGATCACTGCAGCCTTGAACTCCTGGGCTCAAGCTATCCTCCTGCCTCAGTCTGTCAAATAGCTGGGACTAAAGGCACATGCCACTATGCCCAGCTAAGTTTTGTATTTTTTGTACACACAGGATTTCACTATGTTGCCCAGGCTGGTCTCGAACACCTGAGCTTGAGTGATCTGCCCACCTGGGCCTCCCAAAGTGCTGGGGTTATAGGTGTGAACCACCGTGCCCAGCCTAGTTTTTAAATATTTTATAGAGATGGGGTCCCAGTATGTTGCTCAGGCTGGTCTTGAACTCCTGAGATCAAGCCATCCTCCTGTCTCAGCCTCCCAAGGTGTTTGGATTACAGGCATGAGCCACTGTGCCCAGCTGGCCTGGTTCTAATTTAGCTCATGTCATCTGGTGAATGTCTAAAATCCTGGTAGTTTCCCCAGGTGCTTGGATTTGGAGTCCCAGGGGATCAAGAAGTCAACATGTATTTTGACCCCCCATAGAACATCAGAGATCACAGGAGCTGTTACTATTAAGTAAGTCCAGTGTGCTCTGATACAGATTTTCTCCAAAACCATTTTTAGCTGTGTGGCCCCCTAGCTGTTTGCAGCAATTAATATTTATGAGACTTTATTTAAAAAAATATATCATTTAGAGGTGGTTTGCTGTGCTGATTTATTTATGTATTTATTTAATCAGATGGAGTCTCGCTCTGTCACCAGGCTGGAGTGCAGTGGTGCAATCTCAGCTCACTGCAACCTCCGCCTCCCGGGTTCAAGCAGTTCGCCTGCCTTAGCCTCCCTGGTAGCTGGGATTACAGACATCCACCACCATGCCCAGCAAATTTTTGTATTTTTAGTAGAGACAGGGTTTCACCATGTTGGCCATGATGGTCTCGATCTCTTGACCTTGCAATCTGCCTGCCTCGGCCTCCCAAAGTGCTGGGATTACAGGAGTGAGCCACCTCGCCCGGCCTTGCTGATTTCTTAATTAAAAGTTTATTTTCTCCTAGATTTGAACTTTTTTTTATAGAAACATGTCTCTAGCTTTGGAAAGAAAAAAAGTCAATGGGGAAAAAAGTGTTAGTTATAGAAGTAGTTTGCTTGATAGATGGTTATTTTAGAGATGGGAAGAAAGGAGCTCACATTTGTTGAGCATCTACTGTGTCCCAAGTGTGCTGCTAGGTGCCTGATGTGCTTCCATTTTTGAATCCTTATGATAACCCAAGAGATGGGGGATGATTTTCAAATATACACAAGAATTTTGCCCAAGATCCTATAGTTTTGAATTGGGGAAACTGGGTTTTTTGTTTTGTTTTGTTTTGTTTCGTTTGAGTCAGAGTTTCGCTCTTGTCACCCAGACTAGAGTGCAGTGGCACGATCTTGGCTCACTGCAACCTCCGCCTCCCAGGTTCAAATGATTCCCCTGCCTCAGCCTCCCAAGTAGCTGGGACTACAGGCACCCACCACCACACCCAGCTACTTTTTTTTATTTTTAGTACAGACGGGGTTTCACCATGTTGGCCAAGCTGGTCTTGAACTCCTGACCTCAAGTGATCCACCCGCCTCAGCCCCCTAAAGTGCTAGGATTACAGGCGTGAGCCACCGTGCCCGGCCAGAAACTGGGTTTTGAACCTGGCCCCATCTGAAGTGACATTCCATGGTTCTTCCTTGACTCCAGGAAGGGATCACATGCCATAGAATGAAGCATGCTTTAATTGTTCCCTCCTCCTACAGGCAAGTGGCCAAAGTGTGTTATTTGGAGATTCCCTGTTCCTCCCAGGAGACTTCTCAGTGTCGTGAGTCAGAGAGTACAGTGGAAGATGTGCAGATGCAAAGAGTTTTCATCCATTTTCTCTGTGCACCAAAATGTAAGAGGGTTGCCAAAAACCTCAGGCATCAGGATAATGATATTTATTTATTTATTTATTTATTTATTTATTATCATTATTTTTAGATGGAATCTTGCTCTGTCGCCCAGGCTGGAGTGCAGTGGTGTGATCTTGGCTCACTGCAACCTCCGCTTCCTGGGTTCAAGCGTTTCTCCTGCCTCAGCCTCTCAAGGAGCTGGGATTACAGGTGCATGCCACCACACCCAACTAATTTTTATATTTTTAGTAGAGATGAGGTTTCACTCCTGACCTCTGGTGATCTGCCTGCCTTGGCCTCCCAAAGTGCTGGGATTACAAGTGTGAGCCACTGCACCCAGCCTATAAATGATATTTAATGCAGTGTTTTAAAAGATCAAAATTAATGCAGAAACATCCGTAATGAACAAATATCCGAAGTTTAAATAAAGTCAGGAAAAATAACAGTGTGATGCTGAGCCATATTGGACTCTGAAGCAAAAGGAAAAATCAGCATAACCGATCCTGTCTTTATTTAAAATTTGGGTATTTTGTTCATCATGGATTTTTTAGCATAAATTTTGATTTTTTGAAAAAGTATTGCCTGAGGAACTGGGCGCGGTGGCTCATGCATGTAATCCCAGCACTTTGGGAGGCCGAGGTGGGTGGATCACCTGAGGTCAAGAGTTCGAGACCAGCCTGGCCAACATGGTAAAACCCCGTCTCTATTAAGAATACAAAAATTAGCTGGGTGCGGTGGGAATCACCTATAATCTCAGCTACTTGGGAGGCTGAGGCAGGAGAATCGCTTGAATCTAGGAGGCAGAGGTTGCAGTGAGCCGAGACTGTGCTACTGCACTCCAGACTGGGAAACAGAGTGACTCTGTCAAAAACAAACAAACAAACAAAAAGAGCTATTGCCTGAAATGACATTTATCTTGATGCCTGGGTATTCTGGCAACCCTCTGACATTTTGCGCCATCACGTGGGTCCCGTCCTGCAATGAGTTTTTTAATCTCTGTGCCAGATAATGAGCTAGGTGCTGGAGATACAAGATGAGGACACATAGGAGCCTTCAGACTAGTGGGAGTCAGTCATGTAAATAGTCACAACACAGCACCATAATTCTAAGTCTGTGCACAAAGCGCCATGGGGAAGCAGTTGCTGTTGAATCAAGGTTCTCTTGGAGGAGGGTTTGAGTGTGACTTGAGGGCTGCCTCTGAATTGGCCAGTGGACACAAGAGTAGGGGAAGGATTTGGTGGGAAACAGCAGGTCCCTTCATCCCTCCGAGCCTCAGTTTACCCCCATCTGTAAAATGGAGGAAATAGTAGTGCCTGCCTTACAGGGTTGTGTGACAAGAATGAGTCCATCATGTTAAGCACCTAGAACAGAGCCTGACGCATAAGTCGGTGTATGTCAGCCGTGATGGTGACGGCAGTGCTGACCATTGCATGCAGATTTCTTAAAATGACAGTGTCTGTTGGCCACATATGCAGTCTGAACTTTGCTTTGCAGACATCCACGACAGCGATGGCAGTTCCAGCAGCAGCCACCAGAGCCTCAAGAGCACAGCCAAATGGGCGGCATCCCTGGAGAATCTGCTGGAAGACCCAGAAGGCGTGAAAAGATTTAGGGTTTGTCTTTTTCATTGTTAATCGGGATGGATGCAGTGTGTGCAGAAGTTCAGATGCACACAGGGGAGAAATAGGCCAGTTCAACATTGTCTGTCAGCGTAGCACTCTCTATGCCAGCTTGAGAGTTCAGTACTGTCTATCCCAGCTTGAGGGTGAGACTTTCTCATCTGTCATGACTGTGTTGGCAACGCTGTCACAGATGGGTAGCCTGTTTCTGGTTTTTGTGTAGTGAGGTGGGAGGGGTACAGGGTGGGAGGAGAGAGAAGATACCGTGCCTATTGGTGGAGTCTGTATGAGGAATTCCCAGCTCTGGGTCTCTCTGACGTGAAGGCTTGTTCTCTCGTGCTTGGGGGATTCTCAGAATGCATTGTTGACAGAGTAAGAGAGGCTGGCAATGAGAACTTGGCGAAGGGACCTCCGAGAGCAGGGCTGATGGATGGGGAACTGTTGATCCCATCTAGAAATAGCTTTTCTGACCAGCAGAAGCCCCCGGTGCCAGATGGAGGACCATATGTGAATTTCAAGAATGAGTCCTGGTTACTTCTGTCTTTAAGTCTTGGGTCAGGAATAGGATGAGTCCTCATGCAGTTGGTGCCTGTTGGAGCTCCCAGGGAGGGAGTGGCAGGTGGTACTAGGCTTCTAGTTCCTGGTCGCCAGGCCACTGTGAGCAGTGTTTGCAACTCAGGAGGTCTCTGCACAGCAGAGTAGCTGGCTGTGCCATGGACTGCCCAAGATCGGCCATAAGAAAACACACATACCTCCAACTTAAAATAGTTTGTATCATGGTGTCTTTAGACATACTTAATGTGCTTTCTTTTCTTTTGTTTAAAAAACAGCCTGATTTTAGAGGAATGTACTTTGTTTAAACACTGTCTGGAAGGAACCAATATATCTTCCACTTTAATTTACTTTTTGGTAATTTATTGTCAGCTTAGAAATATGAGTACATTCCTGCTTCATTTGTACTCTTCTTTACAATGTCAAAACCATTAAGGTCAAATGCATATGAAATTATAGCTTTAACATTAAACATACTCATTTGTTTTTCAGAGTGGGGTTTTCGAAGAGTAACTGAACCATGCTCCTCTGTTGAATTTTGCCAAATCAGTCTTTGAAGGGAAATGCCATTTGTTTTATTTTTTTTTTAAAGTAGAATACTGTGTGACTCTTTTTCTTTGTATCCACAGGAATTTTTAAAAAAGGAATTCAGTGAAGAAAATGTTTTGTTTTGGCTAGCATGTGAAGATTTTAAGAAAATGCAAGATAAGACGCAGGTATTTCCTCCACTCTGATAATTTTTTTCCCTTATAAAGTTACAACTGCCTTTCCAATAGATTCTGAAGTTGCCTAAAGAAACCTGATTCATATTAGTTTTGGGGGAAGATTTAAGCTTCAGATTAGGTATCTTGTGTTGATCAAATATTAATCATTTTTAAAAGGGTGAGTTAATCCATTTTTAAATGGAGCTGTTCAAATGGACCAATATTTAAAATAAAAATAACAATTTATGTCACTTAGAGTTCCTCATTGCATAGAATTTTTTTCTTCATGAATAAGTTATGAGGATGTTTTCCCCACATTTTGACATGTTAGCATTTTGGACGTGGTAAAACGATACGCAGATGTGTAATGATAAAAGCACAAGGTGCATCAGAGGGATTGTCAATTATTCAGTGTATCGTACTGAGCGTCCCATAGTTGGCGAGCATCCTGCAGAGAAAGCCTCTGATTGTTCTCCTGGGTAGATGTGTCCTCTTTGCCTTCATTCCCAGTGTCAGCTGGTTGGGTATGAGGGAGGGTAGATGAGATTATGGGGAAGGAGGCCTGTGCCCTGGGTGGGTTTATGAGGCCTGGCCCTGTATCTTTCTAAGAGGCTGCTGGCTAAATGCCTGCAGGAGCCAGTAAGTCATGTGAATGAAGGAGGCTCCTGGTGTGAGGCTGGAGGGAGTGTTGGGGACTGGGGCCAGCTAAGGACGTTCTGTCTGCCTGCACAGGCTGCAGCTGGTGGTTCAGGGCCTGTGGCTGTCTGGGCTTCCCCTGCTTCAGGTTCCGTCTCCGCCAGCTTACTGATGGTGATCTCCTAGATCTTTGCTTGCCCTGCGACCCTGGTGGACTTTCTTCCCAAGGCATGTCTTATATTCCACCTAGTACCGCCTGTTTTTCTAAAGAAGCTGGACATTTGGATCCTTACGTGAAACCAGATGATTTTTAAATGTTGGAACTAATTAAAAAAAAATTTAAAACCTTGCCTACCAAACAAAACATACCCATGGGCAGATGCGGCTTGCGCGTTGCCAGTTTTTGAGGCCTCGTCTCCAAAAGCTGGAATCTATGGGCCAGAAGCCGTGAAGCGTTTGCAGACAACTGCTTGGAAAATGTATATCATGGGTTTATTCAAAGGCCTTTCCGGGCGCAGACACCCATCCTCCTGGATGGCGCAGCGCGGCCTTTTCTCCACCACCTTCCTCTCTGGAGGTGGCAAGGGAGTATTCTAAGATGGATTCTCTTTGGCTTGAACTTCCCAGGCCCACCTCGAAAGCTGTTACTGGGCGGGACCCTTGGATTTTGCTTTCTGGCTTTTTCTCTCCTCTGGATGACGTTGGCCGGAGCCTCCTGGGCAGAGAGGGGCCCCAGGGGAAAGTGAGAAGCAGGTGGTGGGGGATGCTTTGGGATGCTAGGATTCAGGCTGAGGGCCTTCAGAACAAGAGCCTCATTGTTGTCCTTTGTCTCCAGCACCGAGGACAGGGCCTGGGGACCACCATCGATAAATGCTAGACTGTGCCACCGCTGCGACCAGCCTCACCATAAAATCCTAGCTCAGAGTCAAGCAAGCCAACAGATGTCCATTCCCCTGCCTTATTCTTTTGAGTGTTAGAGGTAGGAGGGGCCTGTGGGTGGGCCGGTCCGCCCCTGCAGTGTAGACAAGGAAGTGAGGTCCCCGCACCGTGGCAGAGCTAGGACTTGAACTAGCTCCCTGAAGTCACCCGTTGTTGTCTGCACCACCATGCTGCTCTGTGCCTCCGTTCAGTTGAATTCCCCAAATCTTTGTGAAGTGCCTGCTTGGTGCCCAGCACTGAACAGGAAGGCAGCCCAGGGACAGGACAGGTGAGCGGCTCCAGGGAACGGGCACCTCAAGGGGAGCAAGCCTGTGCAAGTGCAATGAGTGTAGAGATGGGAAGCACATGTGTCGTGGGAGCAAGGCGTGGGCAACGGGGAGGGATCCAGGGGAAGTGGCTTTTTAGCTGAGACTTGGCATTGAGATTGGGAGGGGGTTCCCGGGAGCAGGGACAGTGTGTGGGCAGGCAGGGCTGGCGACAAGAGCTGAGGGAAGACCAGAAGGGCTGAATGGCATGTTTGAGGGGGAGGCCACTGTGCTGTGCTTCAGGCTGGCAGGGCAGCCACACCTGGGAATCTGGGTGCCAAGGTGAGCAGGGCTGGGAAAGCCCCTGTAGGACTTTAATGGAGTGGTTGGAAGGAGGGGGTCAAACTTTCAATGTGCCTCTTCCAGCCTTTCAGGTCAGGCAGGTCTGGTGTTGGGTTGCCCTGCCCTGTCCACATCCTACAGAGAGAGCTTCCGAATGGGCAGCCCCTTTCCATGCCTGTACCCCTGACATCCAGCATAGGACTTCTTTTCCTTTTTTGAGACAAGGTCTGACTCTGTTGCCCAGGCTGGAGTGCAGTGGTGAGGTCTTGGCTCACTGCAGCCTCCGCCTCCTGGGTTCAGGTGATCCTCCTGCCTCAGCCTCCCGAGTAGCTGGGATTACAAGTGTGTGCTACCATGCTTGGCTAATTTTTGTATTTTGAATAGAGACAGGGTTTCACCATGTTTGCCAGGCTGGTCTAGAACTTCTGACCTCAAGTGATCCGCCTGTCTTGGCCTTCCAAAGTGCTGGGATTACAGGTGTGAGCCACTGTACTCGGCCCAGCATAGGACTTCTTGAAAGTCTGTGTCCTTAAGCCTGGAATGCACCCGGCAATTGCTTTAGAGCAATGAATGCCACCCTCCTGTCACTGCCTGAGAATGCAGATTGGGTGGAGGCATTGGTGACACCTGGGGTGTTTGGCCTGGAGTGTTTGGGCCCCAGTGTGAGTCACTGTTCCCATTCGAAGATGCAGGGATATGACTTGAGTGGTTAAGCGGCAGCTCGCCCGAGGCTGGGCACAGTGGCTCACGCCTGCAATTATAACACTTTGGGAGGTCAAGGTGGGTGGATCACTTGAGCCCAGGAGTTCAAGACCAGTCTGAGCAACATGGTGAGACCTTGTCTCTACAAAAAATACCAAAAAAAAAAAAAAAATTAGCTAGACATGATGGAGTGCGCCTGTAGTTGCCCAGGGAGGTCAAGGCTGCAGTGAGGTATGATTGCGCCACTGCACTCCAGCCTGGATGACAAAGTGACACCCTGTCTCAACAAAAAAAAAAAGAATTCAGAGCCACATTTCTGACTCCAGGCATTCCCTAGTGAGTCCCGCTGCCTAGGAAGTAAAACCAGGGAGTAAGCTCTAAATTACTACAAAAAGTGTGGAGGAACATAGGCACTGGGAGAAGTCGCCTAACTGAATGTCTTTGTTTTTTTTTTTTTTTTTGAGACGGAGTTTCGCTCTTCTCGCCCAGGCTAGAGTGCAGTGGCACGATCTCTGCTCACTGCAATCTCCGCCTCCCGGGTTCAAGTGATTCTTCTGCCTCAGCCTACTGAGTAGCTGGGATTACAGGCATGTGCCACCATGCCCAGCTAATTTTTGTATTTTTAGTAGAGATGGGTTTCACCATGTTGGCGAGGTTGGTCTCAAACTCCTGACCTCAGATGATCCACCCGCCTCGGCCTTTCAAAGTGCTGGGACTACAGACGTGAGCCACCGCGCCCGGCCAGTTCTTTTTAATCCTCTGTTGTGCACGTAACCTAACTGGATTTCACAGTCAAACTTATCACATCTGTTCCAGCAGGGAGACCATGGGAGGATTTTTCTCTCTCCATCAACTAAGGCTGTTGAGGAGTCGATACAAATCCCACTCTCGCCTCTGTTGTTTTAATAGGACCTGTGTTGGTTCATTCCTTGACGTGGATTATCCAGCATTCAACAACTTCACATATCCATGTCATTTACTTGTCCGTCTTCTGTGTGGTTTGTCTTCTGGAATCTGGGAGTGGGGGGCCTCTTCTTCCCCACTGTCTCCGAGGGTCTAGACCCATGCCTGACACATGGTGAACTTCCTTCCTCTTTGTAGGATGAAGGCATTCCATTTCCTGGATCCAAGTCCTCTTCTCTCCTGAGTCATTCCCTCATTTTGGGAACAGCACACGAGAATGACTTCTTCCCTCCAGAATGACTCATGAGAGAAGAGCCCAAAACACAGCTGGCAATAGCTTCCTGAGAAGGGGGGTCTGGCAGGTAGGTATGTAAAGACCTTGTTGAGTGGAAATGTTATTTTTTTCCCTACTCTCCTACTTCACTGATAATCTGACAGAGCATAGAATTCTGGGGTGAAACACACTCAGAAGTTTGAAGACATTATTCCTTAGTCTTCTACTTTTGTTGAGAATCAGTAATTTATATGTAAACTGTTCTGTTTTTTTTTTTTTTTCTTTTTTTCCCTCTCTGGGATAGTATAGGATCTATTTTCTTTTCTATTTTTCCCCTTTCCTCCTTTCCTTCCTTCCTTCCTTCCTTCCTTCCTTTCTTTCCTTCCTTCCTTTCTTTCTTTCCTTCCTTCCTTCCTTTCTTTCTTTTTTTTTTTAATGGGGTTTCGCTCTTGTTGCCCAGGCTGGAGTGCAATGGCATGATCTCGGCTCACTGCAACCTCTGTCTTCCAGGTTCAAGCGATTCTCCTACCTCAGCCTCCCAAGTAGCTGGGATTACAGGCACCCTCCAACACACCCAGCTAATTTTGTATTTTTAGTAGAGATGGGGTTTCGCCATGTTGGTCAGGCTGATCTCAAACTCCTGACCTCAGGTGATCCACCTGCCCTGGCCTCCCTAAGTGTTGGGATTACAGGTGTGAACCACCACGCCCAGCAATTTTCTTTTCTTTTCTTTTTGAGACAGGGTCTCACTCTGTCACCCAGGCTGGAATATAGTGAGGTCACGGCTCTTTGCAGCCTGGACCTCCTGGGTTTAAGCAGTCTCACCATGTTGCTTAGGCTGGTCCCAAAAGAAATCCTCTCGCCTCAGCCTCCCAAAGTGCTGGGATTACAGGTGTGAGCCACTCCACCTGGTCAGGATCTTTTCATCACTAGTATTCTAAAACTGTTCAGTCAGGGGCTTTGGAGGCAGAGGCGGAGTTCATTCATTGTGTGAATTCTTTGTGGAGCCATATAATCTGGAAATTTGTAGTTCTGGGAAATGGTCTTATGTTGTTATTGTTATCATCATTTTAGTAACTTTTTTTCCTTCCATTGTCTCTGGTCTCTTTTCCAATGATGACCTTTCACGCCCTGCATTGAGCCCTTAATTTCATGTTTTATTCTTCCTATTTTTTAATTTTTTTTTTTTTTTTGCTTTTGGAGATTTTGACTACATCTTCAGATCCTCCTATTGAGTTTTTTCTGCTTTTTTATTTTTCCAGACAAGGGCCCTCTAGTCTCTTCCTGGGGGGCCATAAGCCTGATATGTTCCTGAACTAAACATATTTCTAATTAACTGTGTCAGGAGAATTTTGCTGGCGCGGGGGGTCTATATTTGGAATTTCCCTGAATCCCTTTATTCGGTTCGGCGTCTCATTCTTGCCGTCCTCTGTGCCTCTCTGTTCCGGAGCCTCCCTGGGTCTGTTTCTTTAGATAAGAAAACTCAACTCTTCTGTTGAAGGTGGCGGGGGAGCCACCTGACTGCTCAAGTTTGGAGCAGGACCTGGGGTGGAGGACCTGGGGGTCTGATGGCTTCTTTCTGCCGCCCTCATCAATTCCGTCTGGGCTACCTGATGCCCTCGAGCTCCTGCCGTCTCCGGACGCGCTTCTCGTTGGCACCCCCTCCCCACCTGTTCAGGGGCTTGGCTTCATTCTTCTGGGTCTCTGCAGAGTCATCTGCTGTGTCTCCGACTGCTTCTCATTTCCTGAGCCAGTTCTTGAAAATATTCTCATATCATTTATTGGATATTTTCTTTGCCTCATTCTCTTTCTGAAATTGATGTTAGTAAAGTTAGTGTCTTGATCCTTTCATTGTCCTAGGAATTGTCTCCCACATTCCATCTCTGGAAGAAGACGGGGTGGAGAGGAGCCGGAGGCCAGCAGACGGGATGGGGGTGGGGAGTGGCTACAGGGGATCGAAGTTTCCAGCTTCCCAGAGTAGGGGCTACAGGGCCTGCCAGCCAGAAGGGGACCACTCTGTTCCTTTGTGTTAATTCAAGGTGTCAGTGGGATGTCCATGCCCACATTGCTAGAAACCAACTGGCTACATGGGTCAGTAGCTTGGGGGAGGGTTGGTCTGAAATCTGGGGGGGACATGGAGTTAGAGTTGTCACCAAGGACAGAAGTCTGGGAAACCCCAGAATTCACGGAGGGGACAGGGAGACAGGAGCTGGGGGACAGACAGGGAGACAGAAGCTGGGAGACAGACACAGGGAGACAGGAGCTGGGGGACAGACAGGGAGACAGGAGCTGGGGGACAGACACAGGGAGACAGGAGCTGGGGGGCAGACAGGGAGACAGGAGCTGGGAGACAGACAGGGAGACAGGAGCTGGGAGACAGATACAGGGAGACAGGAGCTGGGGGACAGATAGGGAGACAGAAGCTGGGAGACAGACACAGGGAGACAGGAGCTGGGGGACAGACAGGGAGACAGGAGCTGGGGGACAGACAGGGAGACAGGAGCTGGGAGACAGGGAGACAGGAGCTGGGGGACAGATACAGGGAGACAGGAGCTGGGGGACAGACAGGGAGACAGAAGCTGGGAGACAGACACAGGGAGACAGGAGCTGGGGGACAGATACAGGGAGACAGGAGCTGGGGGACAGATACAGGGAGACAGGAGCTGGGGACAGACAGGGAGACAGGAGCTGGGGGACAGACACAGGGAGACAGGAGCTGGGGGACAGACACAGGGAGGTGTTGGGGATCCTGAGAGGACAGGGCTCTTACAAGGTGAGGGAAGCGGGAAGAGAAGAAAGTCGCAATGCTGAGCAGGGCTGGGGCCAGCTCACTCCAGAGGAAGGTCTGAGAGGCCTCGCTGCCTGGGCAGCGTCAGCCGGCTGGTGGAGCAGCGCTGGCTGGGCGGAAGCCTGTGTGTAGCGTGAGGAATGAATGGGAGGGACAATGGAGGCAGGGGTGCATGCTTTTCTTTTAAGAGATTTCAAAAAGGAATTGGAGACTAGGCACGGTGGCTCACGCCTGTAATCCTAGCACTTTGGGAGGCTGAGGCAGGTGGATCACTTGAGGCTGGGAGTTCGAGAGCAGCCTGGCCAACATGGTGAAACCCCGTCTCTACTAAAAATACAAAAAATTAGCCGGGCGTGGTGGCGGACTCCTGTAATCCCAGCTACTTGGGAGGTTGAAGCAGGAGAATTGCTTGAACCCGGGAGGCAGAGCTTGCAGTGAGCCGAGATCGCGCCACTGCACTCCAGCCTGGGCGACAGTGAGACTCCATCTTGAAAAAAAAAAAGAGGGATTGGGGGTGGTGAGGCCATTAACCCCCATGTAGAGAGCTGTGGGGTCAAGGGGGATCTTTTATTTTCCAGTGGGAAGGTTCGATTGGGGAGGGCGGGGCCAGTGTGGGAAGCAGCGCTCTTCTGAGCTTTGGGCCCCTGGTGACTTTGCTGTTCGTCTGCATAGAGGTGCACTTCTGGGGCTGATAGGAAAGTGAATTTGCTTCTCCTGATCGTGCACCTGCAGGGAGCCGGGTTCGAGAGCTGACGTCTGGCTGAGCATTGTCACAGTTGAGCCACTGCTGGGCCTCGAAGAAGGGCCTCAGCCTTGTGGGGTGCCTGGAAGGTGCTCACTGGGGTGCAGGTGCTTCCTGGGCAGTCCCCGAGTTGATGGGCCAAGGTGGGGCCCTCTCCAGCACCTGCCAGGACAGCCTCAGATGCTGGACACTTCAGGTCTCCCCAGGGAGAAAGGGGCTCTCTGGTCCAGGCTGTGGCCAGCCACATGTGTCAGGGCCGTGGAAGAGAAGTCGGCCATCCTTCCAGGCCACAGACACAGAATCAACTCCACCAGCTCTGTTCCTACCCGGACAGTAGCTAGAATAGGGTTAACAAAGCTCTGGAAAAATCTATCAAAATAGCTCCACAGACTGTTTCTTCTTTTCTGCTCATGTTCTCGGCCTAGACACCAGGCCTTCCCGTGACTGGCTTGTGGTCGCCGTCTCAGGGTTTCCCTTTTCAGTCATACTTCCTAGCTCCGCCGAGATAAGCTGAGCCCTGCAGCTGCTCACAGTGGGCATCTGGTCAGCCAGGGCCTTGAACCCCACATTGTTCTCACGCAGACTCAGGAGGGACAGCCGGTGGAAGAGGGCAGGGCTGAGACCCTCAAAGCTTATATACCTGCAGTCACTGGAACCTACTTCCTCTCCCCCGGCCTCTTCTGCCCCACCTCAAAGACTCAAGCCATTCATTGCACTTCTCTATTTCAGAATCACTCAAGATATCCTGGATTCATGTGTGTATGTGTGTGCGTGTGTGCACGTGTGTGCGTGTGTGTGTGCGTGTGAATGTCAAGGGGAGGAGGGGAGGTCTAAAGTGATTTCTGCCCCCAGACCTCTGCATGGAGTTTGCTCATCTGCCTGGCCGAAATTCTCCTTTCATGAAGTGGCTTTAAAACAGGAAGTGGTTTTCCAAAAGGGTTGCTTCCTGACGGAATGGGGGTGGTGGAGGGAGGCTGTGGCTTCATGGAGCTGGTGGGTCTTGGAGAGGACAGCAGGGCCAGCTCCTAAGTGCCACCCCCTTGGGTCTCGAGGATGGCCCCCAGACCTGTCCCTTAGATAGCCACGCTTGTCTGGAGAGACTCCTGTGTCACTGAGTCTGGCATCGATTCATTGCTCCTATTGACAGTGAAGACAGGGTGGACAGCATGGCTTTCGGTGTTCACCCAACCTGGGCCGTCTCCCTGCAAGTGCTGGTGAGGCTTGCTTTCTCGCAGAACAGGACATGGCCAGGCCGTGGCTTCTCAGGATCTTTTGTCCCCAGTGCCCTGAACTAAAAAAGGGCTACCCTTCCTTCCTTTCATGCCCCAGCTATCAAAACCTTCTGGTGGTTTCCTTAAGGGCAGAAGGTTTGCAGAGCTTGGGATTTCCCAAACCAAGCCCCACAGCACATGCGGAGCCCCAGTTGGGCTCTTGGAGAGAAAGGCAGTTTTCCAGGCCCCCCACACACATGTCATAGCTGTGTGGCTGCATTTTAGAGGCATTTGTTGTCTGCCTTGCTCTGTAGGGTAAGGTCATGCTTTAGACTCTAACGTTCAGAGAAACAGCCCCGCTTTTGCTGTTGGCGAGGTATGAGCACAGGAAGTCTCCTTTCTCTAAAAGAAAATCGAGCCCTCAGGGGAAGTTCTGGAGGAGAGGGCTCCTGCGCCTGCAGCCCCGCCCTGAGGCGCCTGTCCTGAAGACACAGTTCTCACTGTGAAGTCATCTCCTTACCATCAGTGAGTGCTCCTGAGCCAGCCTCGGTTAGTTTCGGGTGAAACAGGAAGCCGGTACCTACTCACGGCTCCTGCTTCCCAGCAGGACTGCACTCGGGACTTGAGGGCGGGCAGCGAGTGTTTTCTCCACTGCTGTGCTCAGTATCTCGTTAGCTAAAAGGAAATGCACCCTGCCTGGGAAGGCCGCATACCGCACAACCTGGAGGGGCCAATGTGTCTTGCGGAAGTGGAACTGAGCAGAATTCAGAGGCCTTGGAGCCAAACAGTCCTAAGGCTCCCGGAAGCTCTCAGATAAGCCATGCCACCTCTCCTGACCTCTGTGTCCTCATGGGGAAAGTGGGGCTAACAGGAAAATGCCCTTTGCTGCATGTCCAGGGGATTAAGGAAATGGGATCCCTCCAAGCAGGTGCCTGCAGCCCAGTGGGCGCTTAATAACTGGTAGGGATAGTAGGTGTGCATACTTTAACTTGATTTTTTTTTTTTTTTTTGAGAGACAGTCTCACTCTGTCACCCAGGCTGGAGTTCAGTGGTGCAATCTCAGCTCACTGCAACCTCTCTTTCCTGGGTTCAAGCAATTCTCCTGCCTCAGCCTCCTGAGTAGCTGAGATTACAGGTTTGCACCACCACGCCTGGCTAATTTTTGTCTTTTTACTAGAGATGGGGTTTCACCATGTTGGCCAGGCTGCTCTCGAACTCCTGACCTCAGGTGATCAATCTGCCTCGGCTTCCCAAAGTGCTGGGATTACAGGCATGAGCCACTGTGCCCGGCCACAGGATGGCTGTAAATGGTACTGAGTGCTCTCTGCGGGCCAGGATTCTTTCTGTCATCACTTCTGAATGGTTAATGCAGCAATTTTGTTCCAGGAGAAGTGGCTGCAGGCGCATGAAGGGGCGGGGGTAGGGGCTTGGCAGTGCAGGCTCTCCCATATAGAAATTCTCTCTGGAGTGGCCTGAGAGCCCCTGGGCTGTGGGGGGTGCCTTTCTCTTGCCACAGCAGCTCCTGTGGGCCTGGCTGGAGGGGAGAGCAGGGCTCAGGCCGGGAAGGCTGTGTGTGCAGATAGCACAAGGCCCCATCTGTCTCCTCCAGATGCAGGAAAAGGCAAAGGAGATCTACATGACCTTTCTGTCCAGCAAGGCCTCATCACAGGTCAACGTGGAGGGGCAGTCTCGGCTCAACGAGAAGATCCTGGAAGAACCGCACCCTCTGATGTTCCAGAAACTCCAGGACCAGGTAACCCGACTTCCCTGCCTGCACCTTGATTTGAAAACCTACATTAATTCCAGGCCTGGAAGAATTTACTGAAACACCCGATGTTAGACTCCCTGGAAACCATCTCATACGGCCGGGCAGACCGAGGTACACTGAGGGGCCATGGTTGGGGAGAGTGGGGACCAGAATTCTAAGCTTGAGATTTGCCCCACAGGAGTCCCCCCAGGCCTGTTTAATCTTGGTCTACACACAGTTTAGACCAGTTTATCTGCCTTCTCAGTCCAGATTAGAGGGGAGGCTGGAGCTATTTGAGGAGCCTGTACTGAGAAAGCAACCTATAATTGCTGAAGGTAAGAATAGACGGAAAACTCCAGAAAGCAAGCAGGAGAACTCAAAGTGGCAGGCTGTTTCTGTGCAAATATCCAGACACCTCCACATACTTCTGGTGGCCTAATGCTGTAAGCTATTAATAGTTCATCATGTAGCCCCTGAGGCATAATGAAAAGGTTAGCATTGGGCAGCATATTCCATGTGAATTCTGATTCACATTTGGCTATTGAAGGAGACTTGCGGAGGGCCTCCTGGAAGTGGTGAATTTGAGCCAGTCGGAAGGACGCATGGGCATTGATTTGCGCTGGGAAAGGGAGTGGAATGTATGGTGAAAAGGCAGTTTTTGTGACTGTAGCCATATGAGGATATCGACCCCACCCTGGACCTCAGAATCTTGTCAGAGCTCCCTAGGGCACTTGAAAGTGCAGCCAGGGTTGCGAACCTGTACTGACCTCTGTGCTCTAGGTATTCTCAGTAATGACAACACTAACTACCATTTCGCTTTTGGTTCTGTGTTTTTGTTCTTTTTTTTTTTTTTTTTTAATACCGAGTCTTACTCTGTCTCCCAGGATGGAGTGCAGTGGCTTGATCTTGGTTCACTGCAACCTCCGCCTCCCAGGTTCAAGCGATTCTCATGCCTCAGCCTCCTGAGTAGCTGGAATTACAGGCGCCCACCACCACACACAGTTAATTTTTGTATTTTTAGTAGAGACAGGGTTTCACCATGTTGACTAGGCTAGTCTCGAACTCCTGACCTCAAGTGATCCACCCTCCTTGGCCTCCCAAAGTACTGTGATTACAGGCGTGAGCCACTGCACCTGGCCTTTTCAGGTTTTTTTCTTTGAAACGAAGTCTCACTCTGTTGCCCAGGCTGGAGTGCAGTGGCTCGATCTCGGCTCACTGCCACCTCTGCCTCCTGAGTTAAAGCGATTCTCCTGCCTCAGCCTCCCTACCAGCTGGGATTACAGGCCTACACCACCACGCCCGGCTAATTTTTTGTATTTTTAGTAGAGACGGGGTTTTACCATGTTGACTAGGCTGGTCCCGAACTCCTGGCCTCAACTGATCCGCCCGCGTCGGCCTCCCAGAGTGCTGGGATTACAGGCGTGAGCCACCACGCCTGGCCCTAACTACCATTTAGGACTGCCCGTTTGAGCCTGATGTCACACTTGGTGTGTATTGTCTCATTTTATCTCCAATGAGTGTTATTATTCCCATTTTGCTGATGAGAAAAGCAAGGTTCAGAGAGATTAAGTGTTTTTTTTAGCATTAAGTCATGCAGGGAGCAAAAGTGCTGGAAGCCAGATTCCCTCTTGTCCATCTGCCTTCAAAGACCATGCTCCCCCCATGACCATCATGGCCTGTGTTGCTCTGCCAGGCTCCTGGGCAGCCTCTTGCTGTTTCTCAAAGCTCGGTGAGGCCCCTGGAGCAGAGGGATTGGAAAGGCTTTGTGAATGCAGGTCATCCCACTTCCCAGGACTGCGGGAGCCAAGGTAGGATGAGGAATGGGAGAGTTCTGACTCCATGCGGTAGCACTGCAGGCTCTGAGAGATCCAGCCCGCCTGCCCAACAGCTCAGAACGGAGCTGGACCTTATGAGTAGGCGTGCCCCTTAGACTCATTCAGTGGGAGGCTTAGCCAGCACAGAAAGGAAGAAACACAGGGGACAGAGGCTGATTGTTTTTTTTTTCTTTTTTAATGACAAAGAATTTTATTTATTTATTTATTTTATTTTATTTTTGCGACAGGATGTCCCTCTGTTGCCCTGGTTGGAGCACAGTGGCATGAACCCGGCTCAGTGCAGCCTTGGCCTCCCGGGCTCAAGTGATCCTCCCACCTCAACCTCCCAAGTAGCTGAGACTACAGGTGTGTGCCACCATGCCCAGCTAATTTTTGTATTTTTTTTGTAGAGATGAACTTTCGCTATGTTGCCCAGGCTATTCTTGAACTCCTGAGCTCAGGCAATTCTCCAGCCTTGGACTCCCAAAGTGTTGGGATTACAGGCAAGAGCCACCAGGCCCAGCCTCAGAAAAATTTTTTAAAATAGTTTTTATCCAACTGTAAGCATCACACATGCTCAGCAAAAGAAACTTGGGAAACAAAAATATAAAGAAGAAATCATTTCTTTATTGCATAATTGCACACTTGGAGATAACCACCAAATAGTATTTTATCTGTAGACTTTCCATCTTTTTTTCTATAAATACACATATGCACATGCCCCTAACAGATGTGGCCTAATAAGTGTAATAATAATGTATATGTTTATGCACACCAAACAGATGTGCAGTCCAAACTGCTGAATGTAAAGCAAGTACTGTTATACTCTGTTGTTAAAAATCTATTATTGGAAGGCTGGGCTCAGTCGCTCACGCCTGTAAACCCAGCACTTTGGGAGGCCAAGGCGTGTGGATCACCTGAGGTCAGGAGTTCCAGAGCAGCCTGGCCAAGATAGCGAAACCCCATCTCTGCTAAAAATACAAAAATTAGCCAGGCGTGGTGGTGGGCGCCTATAATCCCAGTTACTCGGGAGGCTGAGGCAGGAGAACTGCTTAAGCCTGGGAGGCTGAGGCTGCACTGAGCCGAGATAGTGCCACTGCACTCCAGCCTGAGCGACAGAGTGAGACTCCACCTCAAAAAAAAAAATTTTTTTTAATTGCATAGAGAGAAAGATCCACGAACTTTCTTCCTAAGGCATAATTGGGTGAAAACAAGGTATTTGGAATCAGAGCCGATTTCACAGTGAGTCTCCATGTGAAGGGCCCCTGTGTTCCGTTTTGCTTTGAAAACTCTGTCTCTCCGGGGCCTTGCTGTAACTGTCAAAATGCGTGCTCAGCATTAGCCCCGGTTTTTTTCTTGCAAAGGCTCCCTCGAGAGCTCTGTTTTCCTAAGTGAAGGAGATTGAAGCTGAGGGGAACATGTTTGGAGCCACAAGATTTCACGGAACTTTCAAAAGCCTCTCCCGCGGCTTTGGCTTTGCTGAGCACTGCTGGGCTTCATGGTGGAGCCGCAGAGCAGCCGCTTTCCTGTGTTCAGCACCGCCGCCCCCGAACTTAGCCCCTCATCACCACGTGCGGCTCCGCTGCTCTCTGAGCTTCTAGTAGGGCAGCTCTGACTTTGTAGGGCACCGCTGGAACCTAGAAGAACGGGAAAATCTTCCCTGAGCCCCAGGCTAGATGAGCCAACTCCCATGCACCCTGTTTAAAGGAGAGCTTCAAGAGTTTTCAGTCAGGTCCTGTTTATTCTTGGTTTGCACACAGTTCTAACAGGTTTTTCCATTCATAGCAGATTTGAAGTTGTGGTAGAGACTATGGAGTGATGAGCAGCAAGAGGTGATCACTGACAGCTAGGGAGGACACAGAAATGACACTGAGTACAAGCACAGCACCGAGGCCTGAGCCTGGGCGTGGGGACCTCCATTGCCACACGCCGCACCATGGGCATCCCTGTGCTGTGGGACAGTGACATGATAAGTGAGCCTGGTGACCCCAAACCATCAAGTAGAAGTGAAATTGAGGTCGGCGTATTATGTGAAGAGTGCATTATTCATTTTAATGAGCACTTCATCAAAAACATTTTTTTTGGAGACAGTCCTGTTCTGTCACCCAGGCTGGAGTACAATGGTGCCATCTCTGCTCACTGCAGCCTCTGCCTCCTGGATTCAAGCGATTCTCCTACCTCAGCCTCCTGAGTAGCTGGGATTACAGGCGTATGTCACCAGGCTAGGCTAATTTTTGTATTTTTAGTAGAGATGGCATTTCTCCATGTTGTCCAGGTTGGTCTCAAACTCCTGGCCTCAAGTGATCCACCCACCTCGGCCTCCCAAAGTACTGGGATTACAGGTGTGAGCTACTACTGTGTCCAGCCAAAGGCATCCTAAGAGAAGCTTGAGGGGCTTAAAGCTTTGCTACCTGGGAAATTCATGTAAGTGGCGAGATGGTTCTCTGATTTAATTCAGTTCTGCAAGCTTGGTGTGCCCAGCCCTTTGGAGGCAAAGCCAGGAGAGGCGAAAGGTGGTGCTGTGGGCATTTCCCTAGTACGTTAGCCTAGAGTCAAAGGCTGCCGTTGGACAAATTTAAGTTGGAGGAAGCAGGAAGGAAGGGGGTTACCTTACAAAGAGGTGGTTTCTTCAGGGAATTGCAGTTCCTTACAGTGTCTTTTCTTCTTTAAAAACATGTATTACGGCCGGGCGTGGTGGCTCACACCTGTAATCCCAGCACTTTGGGAGGCCGAGGCGGGCAGATCACAAGGTCAGGAGATCGAGACCATCCTAGCTAACACGGTGAAACTCCGTCTCTACTAAAAATACAAAAAATTAGCCAAGTGTGGTGGTGGGCGCCTGTAGTCCCAGCTACTCGGGAGGCTGAGGCAGGAGAATGGCGTGAACCCAGGAGGCAGAGGTTGCAGTGAGCCGAGATTGCACCATTCAACTCTAGCCTGGGTAACAGAGCGAGACTCCATCTCAAAAAACAAATAAACAAAAATATCTATTCCTAGGAGTTTTGATTCAGTCCTTGTTGGTCTGCTGGTTTGTGGATTTGTTGTTTTATTCATTCCTTTATGCTGCAATTATGAACTGAGGCCCTACTCTGTACCAGGGACTGTGCTAGGAACTGTGTGTACAACAGGGAAATCAGCATCTGCCCCCACACGGAGGGCAGAGAAAGATCAATGCTAAGAAGGAAATGCAACAGGGGATGAGCTGAGAGGTACTGGAAGAGGCCTGCTAGGGTCTGTGCTCAAGGAGGGCTCCCTGGAGAGGTGACTGGGATCTGAATGGCAAGCGGGATCTGGATGAGAGGACCTGGGAGCCGGGACCTTCCAAGGAGAGGTGAGCGCAAAGGCCCCGAGGCAGGGGCAGCAGGTGCGTTAGGGGGTCAGCATTGTAGGAATGTAGCACATGAGGGGGTGGTGAAAGTTCAGTTGGGAGGGACTGGCTGGGTCAGGCCCCGAGGCTGTGGTAGACAGTTTAATTGCAGGGATGTGAACAGTGGCTGTTTATAGAATGTGCTGGTTGGGCTGGTAAGGCTTGGACCTCTTACAGCCTGAGCCCCTTGGCTCAGGTCCCTAGTTCAGGGCTGTGCCCGTCCCATACCAGTTGGGCAAGAGAAGGCGGATGGCTTGGTGCAGAGCCAGCTCCGTTATTAGAAAGTCAGCCGTGAAACCCTGACCTCCTGACTGTGGCTCACCATTTGTATGGTGAGTGGGAGTGGCCTGAGCTCTGCCCCTCCCCTCTCCCCCCTTCCCCCTCTCCCCCTGCCCATCACTCCCTGGATATGGAGATGCCAGATTCATCACTGTTATCACAGTGCATGCATGAGCTTGGCCCTGAGCACCAGAGGCAGAAGTGGGGGATTCTAGTCCAGCCCTGCCGCTGTCTGACCCCAGGAGGGTTCTGTTTCTTACTGTGGCTTCTGAGTCCCCATCTGTAACATGGGGCTTTGGGCAAATACTCTGCTACCTCTCTGAGCTGCGCTGCCAAGCAGTCTATGAGCGTTCAATGCCCTGGTGTTAAAAAGTCACTGATAACTACAGCCTTATTTCCTTAGATCTGACTCCCCCTGCTGCCCCTACCCCAACTTCTTTGACTTTATTTATATATATATTTTTGAGGCAGGGTCTCACTCTGTCACCCAGGCTGGAGTACAGTGGTGTGATCTTGGCTCACTGTAGCCTTGACCTCCTGGGCTCAAGCAATCCTCCCACCTCAGCCTCCCAAGTAGCTGATACTACAGGCGAGCGTCAACATGCTCAGATTTTTTTTTTTAATTTTTTGTAAAGATGGGGTCTCACTATGTTGCCCAGGCTGGTCTCAAACTCCTGGCCTCAAGCAATCCTCCCATCTTGACCTCCCAAAGTGTTGGGATTGGAGGCATAAGCCACTGTGCCCGGCCTTCTTTCACTTTAGAATTTAGTTACTGTGAGATTGTGGACAAGACTTGCTCCCTCTCCGTGCCTAGCTTTTCTCATTTGTGAAGTGGAGGTTATAATAATAAGGTATTTATGAACTCCTGACCTCAAGTGATCTGCCCACCTCAGCCTCCCAAAGTGCTGGGATTACAGGCATGAACCACTGCGCCCTGCCTATTTTAATTTTTTTTATACTGGGTCTCCCTCTGTCATCGAGGCTGGAATACAGTGGCACCATCATGGCTCACTGTAGCCTTGACCTCCCAGGCTCGATCCATCCTCTAACCTTAGACTGCTGAGTAGCTGGGACTATAGGCATGTGCCACCACACTTGGCTAATTTTTAAAATATATTTTTCTAGGGATGGGGTCTTACTATGTTGCCCAGGCCGGTCTTGAACTCCTGGGCTCAAGCAATCCTCCAGCCTTGGCTTCCTAAAGTGCTGCTGTGATTACAGGTGTGAGCCACAGTGTCTGGCCTAAAATTATCTTAAGTTATTGAATTAGTACATGCTTATTGTTAAGATAAAGAAAAGAAAATTCATGTGTCCAGGTGGGTATGAAGTGAAAAGTTAAGATCCCCCAGTCCTGCCGCTCCTTCTCTCTTCTTAGCAGGAAATCGATGACGTTATTGGTCCTTTCAGGCTGTACTCAAACATTGAAGAATGGAACACATTGAAGTCTGCTCAGTGACTTAAAGTTGTTCCATATGAAAGATTTAAAACAAAATTCTCCTCTGGCACATTTCTTAGCCCCAGTTTACACACCTTTCTTGCTCAGAAGCCTTTGGTTTAAGTTCTATATACAGCGCAGCATGGTCTGGAACAGCCATGAGCTTGATGAAGATAGAAAGGTCCAGATCATTGCACATGGCAGCTTCGTGGCTTTCTCAGTCCATGGAAGAGAAGGGCATGGGTTTGGGGTTGTGGGGTGCTCATTCTTCTTCCATGAATATCAGGGGTCCCCATGCCTACACTTAAAAGCAGATTTTGGGCCGGGCACAGTGGCTCATGCCTATAATCCCAGCACTTTGGGAGGCCGAGGCGGGTGGATTAGCTGAGTTCAGGAGTTCGAGACTAGCCTGGCCAACATGGTGAAACTTCGTCTCTACGAATAATACAAAAAAATTAGCCGGACATGGTGGTGCACGCCTGTATTCTCAGCTACTCAGGAGGCTGAGGCAGGAAAATCGCTTGAACCCGGGAGGTGGAGGTTGCAGTGAGCCGAGATCGTGCCATTGCACTCCAGCCTAGGTGACAAGAGCGAAACTCTGTCTCAAAATAAATAAATACACAAGCAGAGTTTGCGTCTGCTAGGGTGCCTTCCCGAGGCTTTGGATCTGGTGCTAAACTCTAGCCTGGAAAAGCAGAGATGAGGTGGCCTTCTCCACTCAAAAAGAAGTCCTCAGCCTCTGGTGCTTACAAAAAAAATGGAAAACCAGCAGTTTGGGAGGCTGAGGTGGGCGGATCACCTGAGGTCAGGAGTTTGAGACCAGCCTGGCCAACGTGGTGAAACCCCGTCTCTACTAAAAATACAAAAAGTAGCCGGACATGGTTGCATGTGCCTATAATCCCAGCTACTTGGGAGTCTGGGTCGGGAGAATCAATTGAACCTGGAAGGGAGAGGTTGCACTGAGCTGAGATCATGCCACAGCACTCCAGCCTGGGCAACAGAGTGAGACTCTGTCTCAAAAAAAAAAAAAAAAAAAAAAAGCCTTGGGTGAGATGCTAGTGCTCCCAGCCACATCCTTGACAGAGAAAGGAGCCATGAATGGGGTCCCTTTTTAGCAATGCAGTTTCTTTGAGTTTTCCCAGAACGTAAGAGGGGAAAAATGCTTCCTTTTTCAACGTAAGTAAGAGGGGTGGGCCAGCTATTGAGGGCCTCGGAGGGTGAGAGAGGGGCTGTCCGGCCTGTGGCAGTCATTTGGGGGCCCATTCTCTCCCTTGCCCCATTATTTCTCCAAACAGGACCTTGGCCTGAGTGCCCCTGCATGACCATGGTCCCCTCTCCTGGGTGGTGGCAGAGGCTGTGGTGGTGGCCAGAGCCAGGGACTTAGGATGTGTCAGTCTTATGGGTGCCAGGTGACATTTGCTCCAAAAGATCAAATGCAGGGAAGAAATGGGTATTTTCCAGCATGCTCCGCTAGAAAGGGCAGGTGTGGTTTTTTGTTCAAACAGAAGGGAGGTTGGCTGTCTGTGTACACCGTAGCCATCTGCCTCACGAGGGTCAGGATGGGAAGGGCAGTATTCGAGATACTTTGAGATGTTTCTTGCAACTTTAAAATGGTATTTGGTGCTGGGCATGGTGGCTCACGCCTGTAATCCCAGCACTTTGGGTGGCTGAGGCGGGAGGATGACAAAGTCAAGAGATTGAGACCAGCCTGGCTAACATGGTGAAACCCCGTCTCTACTAAAAATACAAAAATTAGCTGGGTGTGGTGGCACGTGCCTGTAATTCCAGCTACTTGGGAGGCTGAGGCAGGAGAGTTGCTTGAATCAGGGAGTTGGAGGTTGCGGTGAGCTGAGATCGCGCCGCTGCACTCCAGCCTGGCGACAGAGTGAGACTCCGTCTCAAAAAAAATAAATAAATAAAAGTATTTGGGGGAAGAGGAGGGGAGAGTGGCACTCAGAGGAGCATTCAACTCCCCTTCCGATGGCAAAAGGCAAAATTAAAATGCCTTCACCCCCAGCAGAAAGTGAGTCATGTCATTTGGGCCTGGAATTTGAATCGTGTGGACGGTAGAAAAAAGCGGACAATCCGCTCCACACGTGTGACCGCCACACGCGTGAACCCGTGAGCTTGGGAGGGGATATCGTCCAAGCGAGGTCTCTCTGATCCCGCTGGTGTCCAGACTCCTTCTGGAGTTCCAATCCCACCCCTGGCACACTGTCCATCTCTGGCTGGTCTGTCGTGAAGCTGGAGAGCCGTGCAAGGCGACAGAGCCTTCTGTGTGGCCCGTCCTGGCGCTCTGGGGCAAGGGCTGACTTGAGCTGCTTCGTCTGCTCATCTGCTGTCTGCCAGCTGCCCTCAGACCTCCTCCTGGGTGCAGCCCGTTCCCACTTGAGAGGGAGGTGGTCTTCACTTTAGGGGGTAGGCACATCCCTGTTTGCGCCTTGCCCCGACAGCCTCGTCAATGCCCAGCCACTTCTGAGGGCTGGAGGGACAGGAGCTTCCTTTCTTCCCCCTTTCTGTCTCCTCGCGTGGGTACAAAAGCACGTCTGTAGTCCATGTGTGTGAAGAGAGGACGCATTCTAGAGCCGCAATTCAGAGACGGCGGTGCTTCCACCTTCTTTCAGCGATTTTCATATACAAGCGAAACCAAGTTCTTAAAGCAGATATGATATCCCGCTAATTAAACTTTCATTGCCTTAAGGAATGATTTTTTTCCTCCTGTGCTGGATTAAAATAAAATGGCAGAGGGTTTTGAAGAGAAGAGAGGATGCATGTTTTGTTTAGGTCTTCTGTACTTGTCTTCTGAGAAGTGTTAAAATATTTATTAGGCTTGAAACGCAATGAATGGAGACAGTGACGCAATATTCACAGAGGGGCCTTCAAGGCTGGTTGAGGTCCTCGTTTCTGCACAGATGAGTATGCGTCAGGGGGACGTCCTTTCCTGGAGCGGCACATTTGGAACAGTCTGAAGTTGGGGCACTGCATGGATATTTTTCTTTCAGGAAGGCAAATCCTGCTCAGCCATGGCAATGTCTGGGATCTGGAGAGGAGGTGGCTTGGTGATATAAAGACCTTGTTCTGCAGGACGGTTGTGCAGAGTTGCACATCTGCAGGAAGCCTCCCTCCTCATTTTTGTCCGAGTCTCACTTCCAGCAGCCTGTAGGATTGGATCCCAAGGCAACGATGCTAAACAGTTTACAGTCCAGGCGTGCAGCTTGCAGATGTGGGGCTGCCAAAACCCCAAAGCTTGCTAAGCCGCAGCTGTCTTGGCCAAAAAAAAAAAAAAAAAAAAAAAAAGATGCAGAATGCAGCTCAGCCGCCAACTTGAGTTTTCCGCTTCACCAGCAGCCGTTTGTTGGACGGATGGTGGCCTCAGCTCTGTTCCCGTGTCTTCCACTCACCTGCGGCCTCCTGCTTAGCCCAGATAGCTCCATTTTCTTCTTTCTCTGCCTTGTGGACCCTTAAGGAGTCTGACCGTGTTGTTCAGGTGCCCATCACAGTCCAAACCTGGTGAGGTCATGTCTCCCCCTCAGGGATCCCTGCTTGTTGGAACTGTCTGGGACCCCTAGGCCCATCTCATTTTCTGTGTTTGAGCCGGGGTGAGGTGAAATCAACAAGCCAACTGGATGAGCCTCCTTGGACTGTCATAAGCAATGACCCCAAGTCAAGTGGCTTCAAACAGCAGAAACGTATTCGCTCAGCAGAAACGGATTGAAAATATGACATCAAGGTGTTGGCAGGGCCCTGTTCTCCACAAGACTCTGGTGGGTGGTGGCGAGAGGGTGTGGGGGGTGCTTACTTGCCCCTTCAGCTTACAGACTGCTGGTGGCTGCCGGCACTCCTTAGCGCTCCTTGGCACGTGGCTGCATCACCGATGTCTCCCTCTGCCTTCACACGCCTTCTTCCCTCAGTGTGTCCCCTCCTCTTCTGATAAGGACACCCAGTCCCTGGATTTAGGGCCTACCCTAAATGCAGTATGATTTTATTTTGAGACCCTTATGCAACCCTCTTTTCAAATGAGGTCCATTCTGAGATTCGAGGTGAATGTAAGTTTGGGGGAACACCATTCACCCCACTACTGACCTTTGGGGACATATTGTTTCTCACTTAGACACATGGATACACTCTTAAAGAATGTATTTGGAGCCGGGCGTGGTGGCTCATGCCTGTAATCCCGGCACTTTGGGAGGCCTAGGAGGGTGGATCACCTGAGGTCAGGAGTTTGAGACCAGCCTGGTCAATGTGGTGAAACCCCGTCTCTACTTAGCTGGGTGTGGTGGCGCACACCTGTAATCACAGCTACTCAGGAGGCAGAAGCAGGAGAATCGCTTGAACCCAGGAGGCGGAGTTTGCAGTGAGCCAAGATCGTGCCACTGCACTCCAGCCTGGGTGACAGAGTGGGACTCCATCTCAAAAAAGCAAACAACAACAACAAAAAAGAACGTATTTGGGATCATTGTTTTTAGATAGGGTGTGTTTTTAAAATTTAGTATCAGTCATTTAACATTCACGGGCAGTTTTCCATGTTACTCTCTTTGCAGCCCTCGTTTTTATTGTCCTGCCATGCGAGTGGCAGATGGCCTCATGGTTGGGAGTGGGGGCTGCAGAGCCTGCCAGGGCTGGCCTTCCGCCCTTCTCTTTTGCTCACTGTTATGGGCTGAACTGTGCTCCCCTCCCTAATCCATATGTTGAAGTCCTAATCCCCAGAATGTGACTTTATTTGGAGATAGGGCTTTAAAGGGGTAATTAACATTAAACAAGGACATTGAGGTGAGCTCTAACCCAATCTGACTAGTGTCCTTGTGAGAAGAGGAGGTAAGGACACACGTGCACCGGGGAGACCCTGTGAAGACGCAGGGAGAAGGTGTGGTCTACGAGCCGAGGACAGCGGCCTCAGGAGAAACCAACCCTGATGGCACCTTGACTTGGACTTCTAGCCTCCAGAACTGTGAGGAACCCCTAAGCCCCTCGTTTCTTCCTCTGTCAAATGGGGGTCTTCAGAGCGCTGGAGGGAGAACTGAATGAAAGAATGCCCACACGCTGCCCAGCGCAGGGCTGGAGGGCACTGCAGCCGCGTTGGTACTAGCCGGGTTCATTTCCCCAGCCTCTGCTGCTGCACAGCGCACGATTTCTCTTCAGCCACTGGTAAACACTTACTGGGCCCCAGTCACAGCTCTTTTCCCTGTGATAGATGAGGCTCTGGCCAGTAGCTGGGCACACGATCTCTGGCCACTTTCTTGGAAGAAAGTTTTAGGTGCATTCTCTTTTTTTTTTTTTTTTGAGACAGGGTCTGGCTCTATCACCCAGGATGGAGTGCAGTGGCGTGATCTTAGCTCACTGCAGCCTCAACCTCCGCGGGCTTAGGTGATCCTCCCACCTCAGCCTCCTTAGTAGCTGGGACTACAGGTGGGTGCCACCAAGCCCTGCTAATTTTTATATTTTTAGTAGAGACAGGATTTTGCTATCCGCCCGCCTCAGCCTCCCAAAGTGCTGGAGTTTCAGGCATGAGCCACCGCACCCGGCCTTAGTTGCATTCTCCATCCTCTAAGTCACCTTTGCTGAGCCCCGTCCCAGGAGCACCCTGTTGCTGTGTGCTCCTGAGCCAGGCCCAGGGGGTCGTTGGCCGGTGGCAGTCAGAAGTCTGCCCGTGCACCCCATGTAAAGCAATCAGGCTTCCCACAGCCCAGGCGCACGAGGGCTTTGGGGGCGACATCCTCTCCTTTCTCCAGCCTGTCTGGGTCCAACAGCCACAGCTGCCTCCCAGTCACTGCAGCAGCACGGGAGATGGGCAAGGGCTCTCAGAGGAGGAAACCTCTGCCTGAGGGACTTCTGCACTCGTGGGGCATTTCACACCTGCCCCAGTAGGGAGTGGCCCTTATGCTCTTAATAAATAGTTCGCAGCCCCCTCCCCTCAGGCTTGCTGGCAGCCTTGGGATCTCGGGATCTCGGGGTCGAGTCCTGCCAGCCCGGTGCAGCCCCTGAGCTTCCTCCCAGCCGAAGCAGCCTCCTTCCCTCCCCCTCCTCCTCTGCCCTGGGTGCCCCCAGCACCGGCCTTTTTTCTTCTCTACTTTGAAGTCTGAGCCTCAGAGCCACTACAGGCAAACAGGATGTTCCTCTCCCACATGCAGACTTCACACGAGACGCTTGGGTCGCACCGCATCCTGCTTAGAGTGGTGGGTCCCATCTGCGTGGACCTGGGGTGGGAGTGGGTACAGGACTGAGGCTGGGTGCCAGGTGGGACCTTCGTGCAACTGGTTTCATTAGTCACATTTGAGCGTTCATTGCAGACTTTGAACTAGGTGAGCCTCTGAAAGTTTCCCCTTGGGGACTCTTGTGCCTGGAAGGGCTGAATAAGGCAGATGGTGACGCTTGCTTAGCACGTCGGTGGGAGGCCATGAAGGAGTAATGGCGTTTCTCATCCCCCACCTCAGCCCTGGCTATGATTTTTGTATTTTCTGGGATTAAAAAAAAGTTTGTTTTTTTTTTCTGTAAACCTCAGCAAATTACAATCACACCTGGAATTACAGGATGGCTACAAGATAGATGACTGCTCTAGTGTGGCACAGGACAGGGGCTTAAGGAGGCAGGGTCTTGCTGAGCAGCTGGAGGACTCGGGCAAGACTAGAAGGGCACCAGGGGATGGGCAGGCGCTAGTTTAACAGTTTAAAGAAAACCTAAAGTCCCAGGTCTTTCTCTGGGTTGTGGACTCTGTTTATAGCACAGTGACTCAGGCAGTTCTGCTGTGGTTGAAGCCATCTTGGGAAGATGAAGGTGTAAAATTTGAGGGTTCCAGTTCCCTCCTGAAGCACCTCCCATCCTCCAAGCAGATGTTCTGAGTCCTTTGAGTCCCTCAGATGTTTGTTTTATTTTTAATTTTTATTTTATTTCTTTTTTTTTGAGACAGAGTCTCACTCTGTTGCCCAGGCTGGAGTGCAGTGGTGTGATCTCAGCTCACTGCAGCCTTTGCCTCCTGGGTTCAAGTGATTCTTTGGCCTCAGCCTCCTGAATAGCTGGGACTACAGGTGTGTGCCACCACGCTCGGCTAATTTTTGTATTTTTAGTAGAGACGGGGTTTCACCATATTGGCCAGGCTGGTCTTGAACTCCTGACCTCAAGTGATCCACCTGCCTCCACCTCCCAAAGTGCTGGGATTACAGGTGTGAGCCACCGCCCCCAGCACCCTCAGATGTTTAATTTACAAAATAGTGTATGTGTGTTGGGAGAGGGCAGCCTTAAAAGATGTCAGGGTTTTACCATCCACTTGACAACCCCGCCTGGCAGTCAGTGACATTCTAGACATCTCTGGAACTTTCCACTTGGTTGTTCCGTGTACCAGGGTGAACCATGTGGATTTTTAGTTGCAGAGTGTACTGCGAGTTAAGTGGAAAGGTCTGAGAGAGAGAGAAATGAGGGGTGGGAAAGAGATCATAGCCCTTGACAGCTGGAAAAGGCTTTGTGCTTCTCTTTCTCTGCCCCTTTCCTGGGGCAAGGGAGGAGGGCAGATGGCACAGGATTGGGTAGCAGTGGGGGAGAATGAATGCTGGTCACAAGGACTGTGGCCCAGAAAAGAGGTTCAGTGGCGGCCAGAGGAAGCTACTGTGCCTGGGGACAGCCCTCTGAGCACCTGCCATGCCGGCGGGGGCAGCCGTCTAATCTGGGGCACTTCAGCTCTGTCGGGTGTCCTCTTCGCTCACCTGACATACCTTAGAGTTGTTTCATTCTAGGGATGTGCTCCCCAGCCTGTCTGATGGCACAGATGTTGGCATTCTGCAGCTGGCTGCTCTATTCTTTATTTGGGACCTGTTCCCTTGCTAAGATTATAGTTTTGCTGCCCTGCCCTGCAGTGAGCACGCCTCATTTTGACTCCTGGTACAATAATAGGTTTGTTTGAGATCTCGGATGCCAGACTTACTGGGAGTCTTAACAATGCTGGCATCATATGATATGTCAGTGATCTTTTTAACACCACTGTCTCTACAGAAATGGTTTCTATTCGGCTGTCTCAAGCTCTTGGAGAAATACATCCTTGTCTTATCTAGGCAAATAAAGTGGAGAGTCTTGAAGGACTTCTTGGTACAAGGGTCTGAATCAGTGCTGTGTGAATCTATATTTCCGTGGAAAATAAAGGCATATTTGTTCATGTGACTGTCTATATATTCCATTGAGATTATTGCATAATGACCAAAAATCTCCAGGAAATCTGCCTTGTCTAGCAGATGACTTATTTGAGCTTTCTTAGTGTGTTCTTTGCACATGTTAGTATTCTTTGGCACATGGTAGGTATTAATACATATCTGATGGGATGATTTATGGCCTGGATTAGCCTCAGCCTTCAGACTCTTTTTTCTTTTCCTCCTTAGATCTTTAATCTCATGAAGTACGACAGCTACAGCCGCTTCTTAAAGTCTGACTTGTTTTTAAAACACAAGCGAACCGAGGAAGAGGAAGAAGATTTGCCTGATGCTCAAACTGCAGCTAAAAGAGCTTCCAGAATTTATAACACATGAGCCCCCAAAAAGCCGGGACTGGCAGCTTTAAGAAGCAAAGGAATTTCCTCTCAGGACCGTGCCGGGTTTATCATTGCTTTGTTATTTGTAAGGACTGAAATGTACAAAACCCTTCAATGGGATGTGTGTTTTATTAACTGCTTCACCAGTAAATTTTGCATGATGGCTAAGCTAACATAAAAAAAGAATAATAATAACTTGGAAGTTTTAGTTTACAAAACAGAGATTCCTTCAACACTGGACACGTCGAGCATTTTGTAGCTTAATTAAACCTCATGTAAGGCCACAAGGTGAAACGTATCACACTACCTTTTACCTTGTAAGTGTTTGCTCTGCCTCTCTGGTGAGTGGACGCATGTCCACAGGTCACTTGGTAAATTAACTCAAACATGAGTTGATCCGGCAAACCCAGGCTACTGGGGGTATGGCCTGCCAGTCGCCTTTTGGGTTAAATATTTCTCGAGAGCAAGTTCAGTGCTGGAAAAAGAAAATGAATCACTGACAGCCTCTAAAGACTTGGGAAGCTTGTGTGTGAGTGTCATCAAAGGGTTATTATTTCTTGTGCGTGGGTTGGTCCTGGTTTTGACCACAACCCATGACATTTCATGCAACACAGATAAATAGTTCATCTTGACAGAAACAAGATCTCAACCAGGAAGGAAAAAAAACACAAGTGGGAAATTGTTCAGGGTCCCCATGGCAACTCAAGGTGTTGTTGAATGGGATTGTAGCACAGGTGCGTACTGAGGTTGGAGTTGGTGGGGCTGTTCCCTTCTCCTGTACCCATCGGGGACACATCATAATCCTTTCCTCTCTGCTCCTGCCCTTTGCTGAACTTGCTAACTCTGGCTTGAGACTTCAACGGGGAAAAGAAATGCTGCCTTGAAGCCTGCCCTTCTTGGGTGAGGAGGCTGTGAATGGGGCACGCTTGGGCCAGGCGGGGCACGCTTGGGCCAGGCTGTCCCCGCCAGCCCAGGAACTCCACTTTTAGAGCAGAGCCCACCAGGGCCAAGGTCAGGCTCAGTTCCCTTTGGTGAATTGTTCCTGCTATTTGTAGGGGGTTGGGTGCTGCCACCAGGCCTTTTCCAGGATGTTTGCTAAGCCCTTTCTATTTGTACAAAGTGACCAGCTTCTGTTGCGTGTGAGCCTCCCAACTCAGACTTTCCTGTTTGCAAAATTCACTAATGTTGAAGGTGGCTGTATAATTTATCAATCAAACTAGGACACTTTTGGGAGAAAAGAGGGGGTGATCTCAATAATTAGACTAGGATAATGCCTATTACAAGCCCTAATCTGGTTCTAGTCTGGGTCAGTTACCCTACTGATGGCTGTCCCCCATATGAGCTCCTGGGCAGCCCCCCAGATTCCCTAGCCTCGCTGTCTAGACACTGTGGTCAAATGTTTCCTGCCCTTCCATCCAGGGCCTGGGAAAGGGATGGTCTTCAGGGAACCGTTCACTGCCAAGCACTAAATAACCCAACAACATTCATCAGAAACAGCAAACACAGGCTTCTCCACCCTCCTCAGGTACTTCCCAGACAGGCCTACTCTGCGCCTGTCTTCTCTCTGCCTATTTCCAGAACTTAGGAAGGAGACGGTTATGCTGAGAATGACACACAAGGGCCCCGTGATCAGAGAAATTCAGTTCATTGTCAAGCAGAGCAGATTGGTGCATTTATTATTTATTTTTGAGACAGAGTGTCGCTCTGTTGCCCAGGCTGGAGTGCAGTGGCATGATCTTGGCTCACTGCAACCTATGCCTCATGGGTTAAAGCGATTCTTCTGCCTCAGCCTCCTGATTAGCTGGGATTACAGGCATGCACCACCATGCCTGGCTAATTTTTGTATTTTTAGTAGAGACGGGGTTTGACCATGTTGGTCAGGCTAGTCTCAAATTCCTGACCTCGTGATCCTCCTGCCTCGGCCTCCCAAAGTGCTGGGATTACAGGCATGAGCCACCGCGCCAGGCCTATTTTTTATTTTTTGAGATGGAGTCTCACTCTGTCTCCCAGGCTGGAGTGCAGTGGCATGATCTCAGGTCACTGCAACCTCCGCCTCCCAGGTTCAAGCGATTCTTGTGCCTCAGCCTCCCAAGTAGCTGGAATTACAGGCACCCACTATCATGCCCAGCTAATTTTTGCATTTTTAGTAGAGTCGGGTTTTCACCATGTTGGCCAGGCTGGTCTCGAACTCCTGCCTTCAAGTGATCTGCCCCCCTCAGCCTTCCAAAGTGCTGGGATTACAGGTGTGAGCCACCGCGCCTGGCTAGATTGATGCATTTTAAAGAGTAAAGATGAAAAACAACACAGGTTCTCTAGCTCAGCTTTCGGTTTATTAACCGGATGCAGTTCGGTTATTCAGGGATGTGGGGACAGCCCACTGCACCATTGCAGACGTAGGGAGGCTTCATGGCGACCTGATTGACTCCCTTTGGAAGAGCCTGTTGTGGGCAGGTCCCAGAGACTGAAGGTGGGCGAGGAGGCTGCTCTCTGACTTTTCCCCTTTTATCAATGGGTGCAGAGACTCTTTGAGATGACCATCTCTTTTTAAGAGTTTGAATAAAGCAAATAGCCAGAGTTAGCCAGAAGATCGGACATTAAAAGAAAAGCCTTCCGCCCGCCCCCACTTAGGAGCTGCCTGAAGAGCTGAATGCCAGCAGGGTGGTGAGCCTCAGAGTTTAATCACCATTTACTCCTACTAGCGTGAACTTATGCCACTCCCTCTGGCTTGCTCCTGCCTGATTGCCTACGTCTATGCCAGTCGCAGAAATGAGGCATATGCAGAATTTAGTGTCCTGAAGCAATTGCAAATGTGAGGCTGAAGTGTAGGGACCCGCGTAGCCAAACAGATGCTTCTACCCAGCCCTTTGCTTTCGTCCCTATGCCCATCCATTCATCGATTAGCGTTGAAATTGTATCTTTGGCTGGGTGTGGCGGCTCACACCTGTAATCCCAGCGCTTTGGGAGGCCGAGGCAGGTGGATCACCTGAGGTCAGAAGCTTGAGACCAGCCTGGCCAACATGGTGAAACTCTGTCTCTACTAAAAATACAAATATTAGCTGGGCATGATGGCGCATGCCAGTAATTCAGCTACTCAGGAGGTAGAGGCAGGAGAATCGCTTGAATCCGGGAGGCGAAGGTTGCAGTGAGCTGCTCTCCAGCCTGGGCAACAGAGCAAAACTCTGGCTTAAAAAAGAAAGAAAGAGAGAGGGGGCGGGGGGGGCGGGGTGGGGAGAGAGGGAGAGAGAGAGAGAAAGAAAGAAAGAAAAAAGAAAGAAAGAGAAAGAAATTGTGTTTTCAACGTGCCAGAGACTGTGCTAGGTGCCGAGATTCACAGGGGGAAATAAAGCAGCAATGATGATCTGTGCTCCGGTGGGGTTTACAGATGTATGAAAATACAGGTTTTCTTACTATTCAGGCCTAATGAGGCCAACAGTCAGGAGACAACTGCCACTGGAGAGAGTTTGTTGCTCGCAGTTCCTAAGCTGAGGTGGCATGCGATAGTCATGCAGGGCCACGTGGGGGAAGCACCAGGGTCAGGAGGCAGCCCAGAGGGAAAATGTGGGCAAGAGCCTCTACTGTGGTTTCTTTGGAAAAGGCAAGCAGGGTAAACAGGCTTCGGACGGGCTGGTTTGAGTCATTTCAGCAGGCTCTGGGGTATAGGGACTGTCCCTAGTTGTCTGGCCAGCCCGTGAGGTGCTTAGGGCAGATGGGTCATGGCCCCCAGTGTGAGAGTCTGATCAAGGAGGCATCTGGGTTACATGCTCTGGATTGGTTGCTTTGCATATTAAAGGTACACCCTAGTTGTTTACTATCTCTAGGAATTAGGGGGCCCTGCCCGGGAGGGGCAGTCTCTCCAGTGTCAGCAAGGCCCCAAGTGAGCATTGGAATAAAAAGACGTGCTAGAGACCCAGCATGGTGGCTCACGCCTGTAATCCCAGCACTTTGGGAGGTTGGGGCGGGCGGATCACCTAAAGTCAGGAGTTTGAGACCAGCCTGGCCAACGTGGTGAAACTCCGTCTCTACTAAAAATACAAAAATTAGCCGGTGTGGTGGCGCACACCTGTAATCCCAGCTACTGGGGAGCCTCAGGCAGGAGAATCACTGGAACCTGGGAGGCAGAGGTTGCAGTGAGCTGAGATTGTGGCACTGCACCCAGTCTGGGCCACAGAGCGAGACTCCATTTGAAAAAAAAAAAGACATGCTTGATACAGCCATCTGCAGGGGTCTCAGACTCCCAGCCAGCAGGCCATAGATGCGTTTTGCTGTTTCATGGGGTGTAAGTTTTAAATCTTTTTGCAAATGCCTGAAGCAGAGCATGATTGTAATCTCTAGTTGGCTGCAGGCCCCACCATTCCCTATTGCCTTACAGCAGGCCACTCCCATATTTGTGTTATCTGCTGGCTCCATATTTTGTACTCTGATTTCTAGTTCCCATGTGCAGAGAGCACAGCCTGGGTGGCCTTGTCTTCTGTGACTTTGCAGTCATTCATTATACCTCCAAATCCACTCTGCTTACCTGCTGGCTTTCTGAGAGTAAGTTGCACACCATGTCTAACCGTGGTCCTCCACTGCCCCGCCTTCTCAATTGCAGAACTCCCCTCTGAGGTGTGAGGGGAACCACATCACACTTGTGGAACCCCTTTCCAAGTGCTTCTTTCCCATCGCGTCATCGCAAACCCTTAAAAAGTGGGGGGACAGCTATTCCTCCTGTTTTAGAGATGGGAACACCAAAATGGATGACGTGGCTCACATGAGCACATGCTTGTGAGTGGCAGAGTCTGGGACAGGAGCCAAACCTTCTGTCTCCTACCCAGCTCCCTTTTTGGTCCATCCTCTGCCTGGACAGGGCCTTCGGGAAGTCCAGGGCTGGAGTGAACATTGGCCTTTTGGGAAAGATGCTCATCCACTCACACAACAGATATTTAATGTGCACCTATTACATCCAGGCCAAATACTAGACACAGGAATGTAGGGGGATGAAAGAATGAGGCATTAACCCTGCCCTTGGAGAGCAATTGGCTAGGAGAGGACATGAAGTCTGCACCAACAACTGCCATCAGAAAGAAAGTGACCAGCCCCTGGGAGAGGGACTGATGGGACATGCCTGGGTGGTTGGGCTCATCTCTTCAGTTTACGAGCGGGGTTGTTTTGCCTTTCCCATAAATATCAGGATGTTAAGTTTCATGTTGACACTGGCAGTGAAGTGATTCTTTCAAACAATGTGAGCATGAGTGCTCTGTTCTTCAGGGAATAAGCTTTTTATTTCAGTTTTAAGTGAACTCCAGATAGCAAAGTGACAGTCAGTTAGCTAAGTTCCCCTCATGACTTGCTAATGAGGACACGTGTCCTTTTGTGTGTGATAGAGTTAAGGGCTGATTAATTGGTACCCAACTCTCAGGCCATGGCTCTGAATTTGGGAGGATGCTTTGTTTACAATCTTTGCAAACTACTCATGACTCACATTCTGTCATTATTTACTTTCATTTTGGCTGCAGATGTTCTAGAACTTGCATTTATTTAAGTGCTAAATAGTCTTGTAACATTAGCTTCCAGGGTTTTAAAAACTCTTTTCTTCACAAGGTTAGTTGCGTCCAATGCAGTGAGTACTGTAAAAAGTCTGGTGCCCAGGCAGGGAGGGAAGAAACTTCACACACAGCTGGAGCCAGGGGTAGAATCACTGTGTTGAAATGGTCCCTAAACCTTGGGCAGAGCCCAGGGCTCCCCTTGGATTGCCACAGACACTACAAGCTTTGCAAGTCCAAAATTGACCAGGTCTCTGAGTGAGAATCAGGGGCTTGAGCAACTTCGCACTTGCAAGGGAGGGTCTCAGGGTGAGGGTCTTGCACGGGTGCCCTGTGCTGCATGCTTGTTTAGAGGAGCCCTTTTCCTGATTCCCACAAGGCCACTGGGTAGGGGCAGCTGGAAGTGGCCTGAGAGTCTCCTCTGTCCTGCACTTCGACATCTGATCATCAGAAAGTCCTCTAGATTCTTCTCCAAAATATAGCTTCACCGTGTCCATGCCTGCCATCTCCATGGCCACGGGCCCTGACCAGGTCACCTCATCTCTTGCCCAGAGGCTCCTCCTCCTAGCTGGTCTGTCCTCCTCACGCCACACCCCTGCTCCTCATCTTCATCTAGTATCCTTCTTTTTTTTTTTTTAAGAGACATGGTCTCACTCTGTTGCCCAGGCTGGAGGGCAGTGGTGTGATCATAGCTCACTGCAGCCTCAAACCCCTGGGCTCCAGTGATCCTCCCACCTCAGCCTCCTGAGTAGCTGGTGCTATAGGCACACACCACCACACCTGGCTAATTTGTTATATATATGTGTGTGTGTGTGTGTGTGTGTGTGTGTGTATGTGTGTGTGTATATAATATATATATATATATATATATTTTTTTTTTTTTTTGTATAGATGGGGGTCTCCCTATGTTGCCCAGGCTGGTCTTGAACTCCTCACCCTAAGCGATCCTCCAGCCTTGGCCTCCTAGAGTGCCGGGATTACAGGTGTGAGCCATCGCGTCTGGCCTAGTATCCAGTTTTTTAAAAGAACAAACCTGGTCATGCTGCTCACTCTTCTTAAGCCCCTTTTGTGTCTTTTTCTTGTTCTCAACATCAAAATTCAGATCATAACCAAGGCCCGGGACATGTAGCTCAGTCCCACCTCACCCTCCATCCTCCACGACTGGCCCTTCCCAGCCTCACAGGCCTGAAGCCGACCGGAAGCAAGGCAGGATGTTGCTTCCCGCAGCCTTTGCGTGGGCCACGGCCAATGCGCAGAGTGGCTTCCTCCAGACCCTGGTGTGGCCGGCTCCTTCTCATCCTTCAGGTCTCAGGCTGTGTGTTAGCTCCTGAGGAGGGGACCGAACCCCTCGAGGCAGCCCCTTCCCCCTCATTCACAGCCTGCCACCCCAGGGCTGCCCATTGCTCATGGCCAATCCATGCCTTTGTCATAAAAACACAGATTGGAGGCCGGGCGCAGTGGCTCATTCCTGTAATCCCAGCATTTTAGGAGACTGAGACGGGCAGATCACTTGACGTCAGGAGTTCTAGACCAGCCTAGTCAACATGGTGAAACCCCGTCTCTACTAAAAATACAAAAATTAGCCGGGCGTGGTGGTGGATGTCTGTAATCCCAGCTACTTGGGAGGCTGAGGCAGGAGAATTGCTTGAACCTAGCAGGCAGAGGTTGCAGTGAGCCAAGATTGTGCTACTGCACTCCAGCCTGGGAGACACAGTGAGACTCCATCTCAAAAAAAAAAAAAACAATAAAAAAAACACAGATTGGAGGGAGAGAAGCCCACCCTTTCATGAGCACCTCCCCTGTGTGCAGGAGATGTGACTTCCACTGTGTCAGTGGAGAAGTGAGCTCCAGCAGCATTGAAACTGCACTAGGTCACCACGACTCATAGTGGGGCTAGGACTGGAACCCAGGTCTTTTGGATCCCCAGAGCCCACCATCCATCACTACACCAGGCTGGGCTTATCCAGCTCAGGCAAATCTTTGGTCATTCCTGCTGGAAAATGTGACTCTGTCTCTGTTCTCCCAGGAAGAAGGCTACTACCCAGCCAGTCTTGGCCCATTCTACCCTTTCCTCTATGGGATACACAGAGGGCCCCGGCCCCAGCCAGGGAGGCAGAGTCAATGCTTCTTTAAAAAGCCTAGTTTGTGTTTGCAACCAGTTTTGTTTTTTGTTTTTTGTTTTTCCTTTAGTGATATATCATGAGCATCTTTCCATGCCAATAAACATAATTATATACAATCCAAAAAAAAAGGCCTGTTTTGAGATTATCTAGGAAAGATAAATGTTTCCCTTGTGCTAATTCCAGCACCGTTTATATGCTGCTTTGCAACACAGGCAAACTGTTTTCTTCTTCTTTAAGCATTTAAACTCTGTTTTTTAAACTGTTATGGCATACAGATCGCAAAGAGTAACAGATGTCTGCCTGATAGACTTGTTTCCCAGGAAAAGAATCTGCTGCTTCTTGGTCTCCAGAGGAAGGATGACTTTGCAAGTATGTGGCTTTTGGTCTCCTTCTGCCCCTCTCACCCCCATAAGAATGGGGGAAGAAATAGAGCACCGCAGACTGCCTCATAAATATCTGTGTCTACAGATCCTGGCTGATTGCAGAGGCAGAGGCGAGACTCTGATCTCCCAGGAGGCTGTCCCTGTGCCTCCCAAAGGGAATATTTCTCTCTTTTTTCCTAAAGGAGCGAGGTCACTCATCATGACCTGAAAACATGAAAATGTGGGTCCACCTTTACTAAATTTGCAGGTTTCCCCAGAACCTTAGCACTAAAAGAACCTCTGTCAACTATCATCATCATTATTATTATTTTTGAGATGGAGTCATGCTCTGTCACCCAGACTGGAGGGCAGCAGTGCACTCTTCGCTCACTGCAACCTCTGCTTCTGGGTTCAAGCAATTCTCCTGCCTCAGCCTCCCGAGTAGCTGGGATTACAGGTGTGCGCCACCACGCCCGGCCAATTTTTGTAGCATTCGAAGAGATGGCGTTTCACCATGTTGGCCAGGCTGGTCTCAAACTCCTGACTTCAAGTGATCCACCCACCTCAGCCTCCCAAAGTGCTGGGATTACAGACACGAGCCACTGCGCCTAGCCTCATTATTTGTTTATTATTATTATTTTACTATTGGTTAGCATGAGAATTGTGGTTATGTTCATGTCATGAAGTTCAACTGCCTAAATTCTATCCCAGCTCCGTCGCTTATTAGCCCTGTGAGCTTGCGTAAGCCATCATGGATCTTTTCAAGCCCAAGTTTTCTCAATTATTAGATGGGATAATATTGGTCCCTATGCCTTAGTCTGTTTCATCTGCTATAACAAAATACCTGGGTAACTCAAAAACAACAGATATTTATTGCTCACAGTTCTGGAGGCTGGGAAGCCCAAGATTAAAGACACTGACAGATGAGGTGTTTGGTGAGAGCCTGTTTCTCATCCATGGTGCCTTTTATGTCCTCACATGCTGGGCACATGCTCAGCTGGAAAGGGCAAGCAAGTTCCCTAGGGTCTCTGAGCACTGATTCCCATTCATTCAGGTGCCGACCCAGAGCCTTCATGACCTAATCACCCGCGAAAGGCCCTGCCTCTTTTTTTTTTTGAGATGGAGTCTCGCTCTGTCACCCAAGCTGGAGTGCAGTGGCATGATATGGGCTCACTGCAACCTCTGCCTCCTGGGTTCAAGCGATTCTCCTGCCTCAGCCTCCTGAGTAGCTGGGATTACAGGCATGCGCCACCACGCCTGGCTAATTTTTGTATTTTTGGTAGAGAGGAGGTTTTGCCATGTTGGCCAGGGTGGTCTCGAACTCCTGACCTCAAGTGATCCGCCCGCCTTGGCCTCCCAAAGTGCTGGGATTACAGGTGTGAGCCACTGTGCCCCAGCCGGCCCTGCCTCTTGATATCATCACACTGGGGACTCGGTTTCAACATGTGAATTTGGGGCGGGGGTCGGGGGCGGCACAAACATTCAGACGCTAGCACTATATAAAATCCAATGAGATAATACATGCAATGTGCGCAGCACAGTGCCTTGCGCACAGCGGCTTAATAAACCTTGGTGATTATTATGAGGCCACCAAACCAGGGATAGGTCGTGTGGTCTGCCTAAGGTGCGCAGGGAAGGGTAGCAGATCCCGGCCGGGTCTGACTCCTGGATCCTTGCCTGGGACTCTTTCACTGTCCCCCCAGTCCCCCGCACACACATGCACACGATGTTACCCCGCGTTCGAGTCGTGATCGACGGGCAGCCAGCTGGACCTGAATGTCATTCAAATGATTGCAGGCTCGAAACCAGGGGTGGGGGGGCTCTCAGGAGAGGATTTGGGCCCAGAAGGGGACATGCAGGGGGAAGCCAGAGAAGTGAGAGGGAGATCTGAGTGGTGGGTGCCCCAGCAGCGTAATATGGCTCCATTTCCAACCTGGAACCAGGTTGTTGCCTCTCCAGACATTTTGTGTCCGAAGGAAGGGGAAGGGAATTCAGTAGACATTCTTTGGAGGAGCCTCTTGGACTTCGGTGACTTTTTCTTGACAAGAACCATGGTCTCCTAGGGCAGAGCTGCCCACATGCTTTTCTGGGAGGTCCCGGGCTCCCCAGGCTCCTTGGAGTAGAAGGAAGTCTGGGGACCCCCGAGAGCCTGCCTGAAATTCCTGGCTTGAGCTCACGGGGGAGCTGGTGAGCTGTGGAGGGAGGCAGCTCCCGGGGTTCTTGCGGGTCCCTGCAGCACGGGAGGACCCTCCAAGGCCCTGGGCACCCATCCTGGTCAGACCGTCCCCTCCCACCAACTTTTCTCCTTGTCTCTCCCAGAAGGGTGCCCTGGGGAGACCCTCTCCCCAGAGGCTGGGACTGGGCAGGAAGGTGGGGCAGCTGCTCCCATCCTTTCTGCCCCGCACAGTTCAGGCAGTTCATCTTCGGGCAGGAAGATGAGGTTTCGAGGTACTTCCTGGGCTTGCGCTGACGTTTTTGACTACCGTCCCCGCCCCCACCCCGCCCCACTCTCTAGTTTGGCCTCTGCTGGCTCCAAAACCCTCTCAAATATCCCACGAGGGTCATTAGTGGGAGACCTTTGTTCAGTTCATTCATTTTTTAAATCAATGCTATATATTTTTTTAATGCTCGGAAACAGTGTTTTGATGTGAGTTTATTACTTGAAGAACTGCAGGACTTTGTACAACAAACTGCCTGATACTAAAGTTATATTAACAAAGAGATCAAGAAATGACTGGCTGTGTGCACAGAGGCTTAAAGGTTTAGTGTGGCTGAGATACTAAACGTCTCTCTTTCCCACCACTTTATTTTATTTTTATTTTTGAGACAGAGTCTTGCTCTGTCACCCAGGCTGGAGTGCAGTGGCATGATCTTGGCTCACTGCGACCTCCATCTCCTGGGTTCTCATGCCTCAGCCTCCCAAGTAGCTGGGATTATAGGCGCATGCCACCATGCCTGGCTAATTTTTGTATTTTTAGTACAGATGGGGTTTCATCTTGTTGGCTAGGCTGGTCTCAAACTCCTGACCTCAGGTGATCCACCCGACTCAGCCTCCCAAAGTGATGGGATTACAGGTGTGAAGCACTGCACCCAGCCTCCCATCACTTTATTTTAAAAGTGTATTTCCAAATCCTCGTCTTCTACCTCGGGGTGGTCGTTCCAAAATGTTTTATTTCTGAAGCTTCCCAGATAAGCAGCTACAATTTCACTCTTTCCTCCCCAGCTCACTGGGATGCATTTTTTCTTCTTCTTTTTTTTTTTTTTTTTTTTTTTGGTGGAAGGAATTTTTTTTAAAAAAACTAAGACGTACCTAATTTCAGTAAAGAGTAAAGTACACAAATCTTAAGTGGAGAGCTCTATGGATGTCTCCATTTGTCTACACACTCATAACTACCACCGCATTCGGCTATGGAATATTTCTAGCATCTGGGGTGCAGAGTTTTTTTTGTTGTTGTTTTTTGTTTTTTTTGAGACAGAGTCTCACTCTGTCGCCCAGACTAGAGTGCAATGGCCCGATCTCGGCTCACTGCAACCTCTGCCTCCCAAGTTCAAGTGATTCTCCTGCCTCAGCCTCCCAAGTAACTCCTGACCTCAAGTGATCTGCCGCCTCGGCCTCCCAAAGGGCTGGGATTAGAGGCATGAGCTGCTGCACCCAGCCTGGGATGCAGTGTTTTTTTGTTTGTTTGTTTTTGTTTTTTGAGATAGAGTCTCACTGTCACCCAGGTTGAAGTGCAATGGTGTGATCTTGGCTCACTGCAACCTCTGCCTCCCAGCTTCAAGCGATTCTCCTGCCTCAGCCTCCTGAGTAGCTGGGACTACAGGCACATGCCACCACGCCCAGCTAATTTTTGTATTTTTAGTAGAGGCGGGGTTTCACCATGTTGGCCAGGCTGGTCTTGAACTCCTAACCTCGGGTGATCCACCCACCTCAGCCTCCCAAAGTGTTGGGATTACAGGCGTGAGCCGCTGTGCCTGGCAGTTTTTAAGGAACACTGTGTTTGTCTATTTGGGCTGCGGTAACAAAATACCTTAGACTGAATGGCTTAGAAGCAACAGACATTTCTCACAGTCTGGAAGCTGGGAAGTCCATGACCAGGGTGCTGGCAGATTCAGGGTCTGGCAAGGACCAGCTTCCTTCACAGATGGACGTCTTCTCCCTGTGTCCTCACATGGTAGAAGGGGTGAGGCAGCTTTCTGGGGCCTCTTTGATAAGGGCACGAATTTCACTGGCGAAGTCTCCAGCCTCATGACCTCCCAAAGGCCCTACCTCTTAATACTTTTGCTTTGGCTTTTAGTTTCAACATGAATTTGGGGGTGAGGACACAAACATTCTGATCATAGCAAGCATCTCCTTGAGAAGTCCACCCAGGTGGAACATTCGACGTGAGCCAGGAGCTGTGGTGATGCTGGGGATGGGGTATCGAGGGTCCTGGGCCTCTCACTGTGCTGTCATCCTGACGCCCAGCTCTGGTGTCTCAGTTCTCAGCAGATGGATAATCCACACACTCTGTCCTCAACTCCTCGTCCAGCCATGTGGAGTGAGAAGAAGGTGGCCCCTCCTCCTCCATGCATGAGCTTTTTGAGGTTGTATTCTGATTTTTCCCATTAGGGAGATTGGCTACTTCACAAAACCTTCAGCAGCCAAGGTGCCATTTTGCCTATGTCCGATTCTGTGGCAGAGTTGGGAGGAGTTTCAGTGGAGTTGTCCATATTTTTATATTCCTGCCTATTCAGTGCAAATCATTTTGCTCAGTTTACCACTAACCCATCACTTTTAACAAACTTTGTATTAGGACAATTTCAAAATATTCCGAAAAGTAAAAACACAACCATAACAAAAACATTACCTTGACTTAATAATGAACACTTTGCCATGATTCATTTCTCTGCTCATGTTTTGCTGGCAAACTATTTTAAAGAAAATCAGACATAATGCTTCACCTAAAACAAGGACATTTAGTACACCTAATAAAATGAACAATAATTCCCAATATCATCTAATACCTACTCCATATTCAAACTTCCCAAGCTATAGAACATTTTGAAATGTCCTTTTTTAAAAAAATTATTTGTTTATTTATTTTGAGACAGAGTCTTGCTCTGTCACCCAGGCTGGAGTGCAGTGGAGTGATCTCGGCTCACTGCAACATCCACCTCTTGGGCTCAAACGATTCTCGTGCCTCAGCCTCCCAAGTAGCTGGGATTACAGGCGTGGGCCACCAGGCACAGCTAATTTTTGTATTTTTAGTAGAGACGGGGTTTTACCATGTTGGCCACGCTGGTCTCAAACTCTTGACCTCAAGTGATCAGCCTACCTTGGCCTCCCAAAGTGCTGGGATTACAGGCATGAACCACCACACCTGACCTGAAATGTACTTCTAAAAACCAGGATCCAATAAAAAAAAGTTGGCATTGTAATATCTCTCAATGTAGACCAATCTTCAATCTATTTTTAATGTAGTGGCAATACCATTTTGAAGACACTAGGCCAAGTATTAGTGTAAAACGACCCATGTTCTGGATTTGTTTTATTGTTTCTTCTTGGTGTCCTTTAACTTGTATTTCCTTCACTTCTGAGAAGGAAACAATATTACTTATGCTGACCCTTCCCATTAGTCCAAAGGTTCCTGAATTTTTTCAGTTCATGATATCCTTAGTGTCTCAGTAATTTTTTCATGGTGTCCTTCGATCAAACAAAATCGAACAATTCCATATATTAAGTGATTAGGTCCAAACAACTTTATAAGTATTTGTGTCCTAATTTAATAAATATTAGCAGCCATTGGGAAAAAATGCATACATAAATTGAAAGAAAAAAGAGCATTTCTATTTCAGTGTAAAACAACCAAAGCTGCTCACTACTGAGGTGTGTATGCTCATGGAAATCACGCAGCTTCCCAGACCTTGGAATCAGATTGACATCACCACCCTGATTTCCTGTCCCACACAAGTACCCATTGATTTTTGTGTGGTACTTACTTTTTATCACAGCAATCACCGAAAACCCAGCTGTGCGAAGATATGATTCCATCAAAAGGAAGGTAGCATGACCAAGCTTTGAAACTGTGAACTACCTGGAGCTGGTTCACACATTGTTAATGACTGCTATCTAGCCATTGAAGATTTAAAATATTCAGCCTGGGCGCTCTGGCTCACGCCTGTAATCCCAGCATTTTGGGAGGCCTAGCAGGGTGGATCACCTAAGGTCAGGAGTTCAAGACCAGCCTAGCCAATGTGGTGAAACCCTGTCTCCACTAAAAATACAAAAATTAGCTGGGCGTGGTAACCGGCGCCTGTAGTCCCAGCTACTCAGGAGGCTGAGGCAGGAGAATCTCTTGAACCTGGGAGGCTGAGGTTGCAGTGAGCCGAGATTGCACCACTGCACTCTAGCCTGGGTGACAGTGCGAGAGTCTGTCTCCAAATAAATAAAATAAAATAAAATAAAATATTCGATGGCATGCCTGTGAGTTTGCTGTGGCATCTGGGTGCCTGGATGGACAGTTTGGGGACCACAGTACAAGTGCAATGTTTGGTAATTCCGGTTGTAAGGGTTACAAGCTAATTGAAGGCAAAGCAAACACACATATATTTGTCTCAACTAAACAAACAGAAAACACCACTTCCTTCTCTCAAGCAGTGATTCTTAACTTTGCTATGCTTCAGAAACATCTGAGAAACTTAATAAAATGAGCACTCCAGGCTCTGTCTCAGAAAAACTGATAGAGTAGGTTGTCAAAGTTATCCAAAGACCATTGAGTTGGGGGGAGGTCCCCAAGACCACTCTCAGGTTCCCTGATTTGCTAACAGGACTCACAGAACTCAGAAAAGCTCTGAGTTATACTCAGAAAGGATCCAGATTCAAACCAGCAAAGGTGCATAGACAGGCACGGCTTCCAATTGTCCTCGCCCAGTGGAGTCATGTGAACGGCACTTACTTCTCCCAGGAGCAGTGGGAGGCAACATACATGAAGCAACCAGGGAAGTGCAACGAAGTCTTGGTGTCCAGGGTTTTTTTTTTTTGAGACAGAGTCTCTCTCTGTCGCCCAGGCTGGAGTGCAGTGGTGCGATCTTGGCTCACGGCAACCTCCACCTCCTGGGTTTAAGCAATTCTCCTGCCTCAGCCTCCCGAGTAGCTGGGAATACAGATGCCTGCCACCGTGCCCAACGAATTTTTTTTTTGTATTTTTAGTAGAGACAGTGTTTCACCGTGTTAGCCAGGCTGGTTTCTATCTCCTGACCTCATGATCCGCCCACCTTGGCCTCCCAAAGTGCTGCGATTACAGCGTGAGCCATTGCGCCCGGCTTTTTTTTTTTTTAAATTGAGGATCATTCACATAGGTGTGGAACATCCATATGGCTGATCTTAGTGACTCAGTCTCTAGCCCCTCCAGAGGTTAAACTGATACCATATGGCCCATGTCTCCAACCATAAACCACACTGCCTGCATAAACTATCTGGCATGGCCCAGGCCTCAGCATGTAAAGACAGTCTGATTGGGCTGGATTTTCTGAGGGCCTAGAGGTCATCTCCTAGGATCCCATCAAGGGCCAGACCAGTCTATGGAATGTGCAGGGTTTGAACACTCCATGTTTTGTGTGTTCAAAGCCATGCACAACAATGCTTTGGGAAACACTGATAGACACCCAGGCTCTCGGGCTGCATTCAGTTAGGTCTTCAGAATGTAAAGGGGGCCAGGCACGGTGGCTCACGCCTGTAATCCTAACACTTTGGGAGGCCAAGGCAGGTGGATCACTTGAGGTCAGGAGTTTGAGACCAGCCTGGCCAACATAGCGAAACCTTATCTCTACTAAAAATACAAAAATTAGCCAGGTGTGGTGGCAGGCGCCTCTAATCCCAGCTACTTAGGAGGCTGAGACAGGAGAATTACTTGAACTCGGGAGGCAGAGGTTGCAGTGAACCAAGGTTGCGCCACTGCATTGCAGCCTGGGTGACAGAGCAAGACTCCATCTCAAAAAAAAAAAAAAGGAACATAAAGGGCCCTGGAGGCCAGCCTTCCTACAGTCTGAGTAGAGACAGTGCCTTTATTCTCCGTGACGACTGATAGGCCACCTGGCTGAGTGCCATTGTCGTGTCTCCAGTGGTCAGAGACCTTATTCGTGGCTCTGTTAGAGGCGGGCAAGTACGGATCCAGGAAGTAGATCTTTGAGAATGTTTCATTCCACAGGAAATATATAACTCCGCAAGTTTTTTTTGCTTTTTTTTTTTTATTTCCCTTAGCTATTAGAAAATAGATGCCAAACTCTCTGCCAGTGCCTGACTTGGCTTGGGTGCCTGGAGCTGTTTACACCCTCCGAGTTCCGTGGCCGTCTCTGCTCTGTTCCACCCATGGACGTCTGACTTTACAAGTTATTACCCCTCAGGCCACCTCAAGGACTTTCACCATCAGTTTAATGACCGCAGAGGTGGGTGAGATCTTTGGGAGCAGCCCTGGTCAGCCCTCCTGGCATAGATAGGAAGCAGGCTGAGGGGGAATGGGGATACCCAAGCTGACAGGATGGAATGAGGACTGTCTTTGGACTCCCAGTCCAGTGCTCTGTCCTCCTCAAAGCCCCTTTCTTGGTCAGGAGCCCCCAGCCTCAGGCCCTGGAACCTTTCCATCAAGCACACCCCAGATAAATCTTGTCGGGGAATAAGGGGCCATTGGAGTTTCAGGGCAAACACCAATGAACTGTAAAATGTCTCATACTCAATGTCCTCATATGCGTTAGGACAAATCCTCTTTGACAGATGTACTAGTCCATTCTTACACTGCTATAAAGAAATACCAGAAACTGGGTAATTTATAAAGGAAAAATGTTTAATTGACTCCCAGTACTACATGGCTGGGAAGGCCTCAGGAAATGCACAATCATGGCCAAAGGGGAAGCAAGCACATCTTACATGGTGGCAGGAGAGAGAGAAGAGCGTGTGAAGGAGGAACTGCCAAACACTTAAAAAACCATCAGATGTCGTGAGGACTCACTATCCCGAGAACAGCATGGGGGAAACCACCCCCATGATCCAATCACCTCCCTCCCTCCACACGTGAGGATTACAGGTCCCTCCCTTGAGACGTGGGGACTACAATTTGGGATGAGATTTGGGTGGGGACACAGAGCCAAAGCATATCAACAGAGTCCACTCTCAGGGAAGAAAATGGGAAAAAGCAGGAAAAGAAGGGCTCAACCGCCAATGAGAGATTCATTTCAGTGGCCACTGAATGCCCCTCACCAACTCCCATACTTGCTGGCCTAGGACTTCTCGTGTGACAGTCACTGAGCTCCAGGCTGTGCCCGACCCAGAGAGGAGCAAGCCCAGCCCTGCCCTCAAGTTCCTCCAGCAGCTGAGAGGGGAGAGGAATAAGCAACGCATCTTCAGGGCACGACTTGCTGCCAGGGTGGGTTTAACGGTGTTACTGCAGTTTTTCAGGGATATGGAGTGATACTAATTTGTATTCCCTACTCCACCCTACACATGTCAAATGAGGCCATTTTCCCCAAGTCTTGATAGGTAGGAGGAGTTTGGGCTCTTTTTCTATGAAAAATCAATATCTCCTTGGAGAATTATTAAAATTATAAATTGAGGCCAGGTGCGGTGGCTCACACCCACAATCCCAACATTTTGGGAGGCCGAGGCAGGAGGATTGCTTGAGCCCTAGAATTTGGGACCAGTCCTAGCAATAGAGTAAGATGCCATCTCTACAAAAATTAGCTGGTTGTGGTGGCATACGTCTGTAGTCCCAGCTATTTGGGAGACTGAGGCAGGAGAATTGCTTGAGCCCAGGAGGTCAAGGCTGCAGTGAGCCATGATCACGCCACTGTACTCCAGCCTGGTCAACAGAGCGAGACCTTGTCTCAAAAATAAATAAATAAATAAATAAATAAATAAATAAATAAGATTATAAATGGAGACGTTGGGACTGTTCTGTGGTCTTTATTCCTTAATAATAGGAAGAATAATAAGAATAACCCTTATGTTTATCAAGTCCTTTCCAGTTCACATATACATTATTTCCACTAAAACTGAAAATGGCCTGTGGGCCCACAGAGCAGGGACCGTCAGCCCCACTGTCCAGGTGAAGAGGTGGGGTCACAGGCCGAGTGAGTTGCTCAGGTCCCCGGGTGTGAGGTGCCGGCAGAGCCACATCCTGCACCCAGTTTTTGTTGGCAGTCCCGGTGAGCAGCGTGTGTCCCAGTTGCCTCCACACTCATGGAGCTCCCTTCTTGAAAGTAACTGGTTGATCAAGTTTAAATCATTTTCCTCGAGAACGTTCATCTGCTTAAACATTTTGGGCACCTGCTGTACACCAGGGATGGTGTGGACACTTCTGTGCCACCTCCTTCGACCTCCCAACACCACCACTGACCACTGGGAGTTGAGTTTGTGGGATGGGAAGGCTAAGGTGCCCTTTGGGGAAGATTTTCTTGGAAAAAAATCAAACATGGTCTGCTCAGCCTCAGGGGGTAGAAGGGGGGTTCCTGCTCCCAAGAGGCATTCGAGCAGAGGCTGGGTGGTCACCTGCCAGGATGTTGTAAGGGGAATTCAGACATCACCGGGGATTGGACTAGCTGGACCCTGAGGCTTCCTTCAGCTCTGAGAGTCTGTGCATTTACGTTTTGGAAGATGCTTCTCAAGAAAGATAGGAAATCGGGTGGGTGCGGTGGCTCACACCTGTAATCTCGGCAGTTTGGGAGGCCGAGGCAGGTGGATCACCTGAGGTCAGGAGTTCGAGGCCATACTGGCCAACATAGTGAAACCCCATCTCTACTAAAAATACAAAAATTAGCCAAGCGTAGTGGTAGGCACCTGTAATCTCAGCTACTCGGGAGGCTGAGGCAGGAGAATCGCTTGAACCTGGGAGGTGGAGGTTGCAGTGAGCCAATGTCACGCCACTGCACTCCAGCCCTGGGCAATGAGAGCAAAACTCCGTCTCAAAAAAAAAAAAAAAAAGAAAGAAAATAGGAACTCAAATCTTCATTTTCACCCGGAGGGAAGGTAGGAAACAAGCTTGAAAGGAAGATCCAGGAGAGAAAAAAATACTCAAAAAGGCACGATTTGTTTTGACACTTGCATGGGTTTTAAGTTTGAACCCAGGAGAGCTTTGAGGACAACATTAAATGAAACAATGGCAGTGGGGTAATAAGTATTAGTCTGCGAGCCTTCCTCTGTTACCAGCTGCCTTTGAAAACCCCGTCATTGCCAGCTGGCTTACATCATCTCCGCCCATGGAAAAAATGCCAGGCAAAGCTACATGATACAGGAAGGGGCAGAAGAGGGAAGGGAGAAGTGAAGGGGGTGCCAGGGTGGCTGCCAGGGTGAGAGACATGGATAGGAGAGAAATGAGGATTTTAATAGGCTCCCAAACCAGGTACAATGTCTCACACCTGTAATCCCAGCACTTTGGGAGTCTGAGGTGAGAGGATTGCTTGAGCCCAAGAGTTTGAGACCAGCCTGGGCAACAGTGTGAGACCCCCATCTCTACAAAAAATAAAAAATTAGCTGGGCATGAAGGCACATGCCTCTAGTCCCAGTTACTTGGGAGGCTAAGTAGTGGGAGGATTGTCTGAGCCTGGGAGTTTGAGGCTGCAGTGAGCCATGATTACACCACTGCACTCCAGCCTGGATGACAAAGTGAGACCCTGTCTTTTAAAAATAAAAATAAAGGCCAAGCGCAGTGGCTTACACCTATAATCCCAACACTTTGGGAGGCCGAGGTGGGTGGATCACTTGAGGTCAGGAGTTCGAAACCAGCCTGGCCAACATGGTGAAACCCTGTCTCTACTAAAAATACAAAAAATTAGCTGGGTGTGGTGGCACATGCCTGTAATCCCAGCTACTCAGGAGGCTGAGGCAAGAGAATTGCTTGAACCCAGGAGGCAGAGGTTGCAGTGAGCTGAGATTGCACCACTGCACTCCAGCCTGGGCAACAGAGTGACTCCTTCTAAAATAAAATAAAATAAAATAAAATAAAATAAAATAAAATAAAATAAAATAAAAATGCATTAAAAATAAAAAAATTAATAAATTATTAGAACTTGGTGTTGGGCTCTCCTTCAGAGTGCTGGGGAAACAGAAGAAAAACACACTGGACTGTGCTTCTCCAGCTGCACAATGGCTCGAGACTGGACCATGTGGGTGCTGGAGAATGTAAGAGTTACTTCATTGATCCTTGGGCTTCATGAGGAGAGAGGCCTGGGGAATTGCCACTGGGGAGGAGTTAATGCTCGCTGCTGTAGGAGGTGGGGTTAAGAGGCTTCTTCTTCCCGTGATTTACCTTAGGAATGGCACTGTCCTTGTGGCTGCAATTCCTGAGGCTCTTCCTTAATGACGACCCCCACTGTGTAGATCACAAAGACTTTCCCTTCCAAGTGGCCTCCCGCCAGCCTCACAGCAAGTCTAGAAATACACACACCAGGATCAACATGCCCATTAAGCAGATGGAAAAAGTACGACTCAGAGGCATCATGTGACAGCTACATCAGGAACACGGTGGCATCTGAGCTCACTTTATCTGACGATGAATCGGGCACCACTGCTTGCCCCATGGATGCCAGGCTCTGTCCATCTGAACTTGGATCAGATTGAACTCGGAGTTGGTTTGGCTTCACTGTTCCCAGAGCAGCTCTCAAGTAACTTTGGCACTCGGGCTGAGTTGTCACTCTGGTTTCTTTCCGTGACTTTCTTTGCTTGTTGTCGGCACTTTTAAAAGACCTATTGAATTGTTTGTGAAAATGAGCGACAGTACATTTGCCAAAGCATCATGTGGGTGGCGGCATTCTGCTATCTATTCTGCACACCAAAGCAATGATGCTGCTAATTACATCTGTCCCGTCTGGCTGTACCCGTCTGCCTCTCTGCCTGGCTCAGCACTGTGACTGTTTATGGTGTTCCCAGCTTAGACGTGAGAGGGAGGAGGGCCAGGGAGTCAAGGGCTGTATCCTCTCCACGGTGTTCACACAGAGCCAGGAAAGGCTGCTGTGGCTGAAGTTCTGATTTCTCGTTTTTTTCAGTTGTTGATGGGAGTTGGGGTAGAAAGGGAGGAAGATGTTGCTCCTTGGAAGCAAATGGCATGGGGAAGACACCCTGAATTACAACTGAGAAATGAAACCTCTACAGTTTAACTTGCAGCAAGTTCAAAGGATGTGTTAGGAAAAATTGCAGGTGCTGGTTCTGTGGTATTTGGGGTTTAGATGAAAAAAATAAGTAAACAAACTAACTTCATAGCTCATCTGAAAGAGGGCCTGGCTCAGAGATCATCACTTCCCACAAGAACCCCCTTCTATGGGTCCAAAGGAGGCAAGGATGATGGAAGGAGACAGAGGGAGGGAGAGGGGAAAATCACATCTATTTTTTGGAAGAACGTCAAAGGGAACTCAATAAAGACCCATCCCGTTCACCCAGCTTTCTCTATAGAAACAGAGCTGAGGACTGGATCTGCTATTACATCAGAGATGGGGCAGGAGGAAATAATTTTCTGATGTTCCAGTTTTGCTCAAGTTCAGGCTGTAGAAACCACAGTTTCTTAAGAGGTGGAACCGGTTCACTGGACTTTTTTTTTTTTTTTTCTGTGATGTAGGAAGAAAGGTTCCAAGATGCTACAAACCCTGCAACACTTACTTTAAGTATCCCAGAGGTCTGGAGTGGGAGGAGGCTGGCTGACCTCTTTACTTCTTCAGTTCAGATGCTTAGGGACAGAGGTCATGTGACACCTGTTCCTCTCCCCCCGCCACGCCCCTGCCACACACACAGAGAGACCTGCAGTGAGCAGGGGGCTCTGATGCCCGGTCCTGTGACCTTTCCTCTGCACCTTTGGGTCTATGTAGATTGCAATTTCCTGCTCACCCTCTCTGGGGCATCCCCTGCAGTGCTGACTTCTTTAACCGTTGGCTGGTGTGGCCAAGCGTGCAGCACACAGGCTGTCCTGCCCTGAGCTATGATTCTACATGAAGCTTTCCAGTGACCTCCCTTTCTGCCATTTATTCTGTGTCCTGCAGAATAGCTTTGATTCACAATGAGTGACACGGATCTATAGGAATCTGGAATCTGTGGCAAAGAACAACAGGACAGGGTACGGCATCAAAGGTTAAAAGGGCTGGAGGTGCCTTTTTGAGACGGTTTAAGGAATGGGCTAGATCTATGGCATTGTAGGGAGAAGTGCAAGCCCTCTGTCATCATCAAGGTATCATGACCATCTCCAAAGTGTGTAGGATGAAGCCACCTATAGGAAAGGTGGTGGGAAGAACTGGGAGCCAGAGACACAATATGCCCATGGGGTTTGAAGAGAACCAAGGGCTGTAAAAGACAGGCTTGCAAATGATCTCAGCTGGAGTGACCCAGCACCGTCAACCTGCCCAGCTCCCTCTCTGGGGAGGCACCCTGCCTTTTATGAAGCCAGATGTGTGTGTATTATACTCATAAGGAAAACTGCAGAACAGGGCTCGAAGGCTTCAACCACTCACCACAACAAATTTAGCAATAAGGACTAATATCTAGAGAGGGTAAAAAACTCTCAAACTCTCAAACAACAAGCCAAACAATCGAATTTGAAAATGGGCAAGAGACATGAAGAGACACCTCATTGAGGAGGATATGCAAATGGAACTGAGCCTGTGAAAAGATGTTCAACATCATTAGCCATTAGGGAAATGCAAATTGAAACCACAGTGATGCACATCTATCAGAATGGCTAAAATAAAAAACAGGGACAACATCCAATGCTGGTGAGGATTTGGAAAAACTGGATCACTCTTACACTGCTGGTGGGAACATGAAATGGTAGAGCCACTCTGGAAAATATGTTCACAGTTTCTTTAAAACCTGAACATACAACTACCATGCGACCCAATGGTTGCTTTCCATTTATTCCAAAGAAATGAAGATATATGGGCAGGCAACAGTGGCTCATGCCTGTAATCCCAGCACTTTGGGAGGCTGAGGCAGGTGGATCACTTGAGCTCAGGCAGGAGTTCGAGACCAGCCTGAGCAACATGATGAGACCCCATCTCCACAAAAGAAAAAAAAAAAGAAAAAAATATTAGCTGGGCATGGTGGCACACACCTGTGGTCCCAAGCTACTCAGGAGGCTAAGGTGGGAGGAGCACTTGAGCACAGAAGATCAAGACTGCAGTGAGATATTATTGCGCCACTGCACGCCAGCCTGGGCGACAGTGAAAGACCCTGTCTCGAAAGAAGAAATAAAAAGAAGAAAGAAAGAAGGAAAGAAAGAAAGAAAGAAGGAAAGAAAGAAAGAAAGAAAGAAAGAAAGAAAGAAAGAAAGAAAGAAAGAAAGAAAGAAAGAAAAAGAAAAAGAGAGAGAGAGAGGGAGGGAGGGAGGGGGAAGGAAGGAAGGAAGGAAGGAAGGAGGGAAGGAAGGAAAAATGAAGATATACGTTCACATTGTTGGGGTTCAGAAGCGGATGTTTCAAAATATGGCATGTTGGACATGCTGAACTGAAAAAGGAGTTTCAAGGTCTCTCTGACTGCCCCAGCCCAACTGTTCTCCAAAGCATTGGATTCTCTGAAGTTTCCTTATCTGCCTGAAGTCCAGACCTACCTAAGAAGAAAACAATGCCTTCTGATCCTTTCTCTGAGTTTTCATGAACTAAACCCATATTGCAAGGAAGGAATTCTCTTTTAACAAACCTGGGCAGACTTTTGTCACAAACCATTGTCCGCTCTGCAGGCCCAACAGACTTTGCCCCAGATGCTTTTATGTTCCTCAAGCCCATTGAATTCTCCATAGGAATCCTTTATTGGCCCTCAGCAAAGTTCCTCCTCTCTCCCTTCCTACAACCTGCTTTGCCAGCATCCGAGCCTCCATTCTTTCTGTAACCTCAGGACAATGTCTAAGCTTCTGCACTCTCCTGGGTGTTGGGTCTCTATTCTGATGGCTCCCATGTCCCATAAAACTATGATCAAGTAAATTTGTACGCCTTTTCTCCAATGAATCTGCCTTTTGTGAGTTGATTTTCCAGAGGACCTTCAGAGGACAAAGGGGAAGTTCCCTTGGCCCCAACAACACAAAACCCTGTACGCAAAAGCTCACAGCAGCTTTATTTGTTAGAGCCAAAAACTTGGAACAACTCTGATGTCCTTCACCACATTAATGGTTACACAAGTTGTGTCCATCCGTTCCATGAATACTACACAGCAATAAAAAGGAACGTGTTATTGTCATGTGCAAACACCTGGTAAATCTCCAGAGAAAGATGCTGAGTGAAAAAAAAGACAATCCTTACAGGGTACACATCACATGATTCCATTTCAAGAGTTTTCTTTTCTTTTCTTTTCTTTTTTTTTCTTTTTCTTTTTTTCTTTTTGAGACAGGGTCTCAACTCTGTTGCCCAGACAGGAGTGCAGTGACACAATCATGCTCACTGCAGCCTTGACCTCCTGGGCTCAAATGATCCTCCCACCTCAGCCTCCCAAGTAACTGGGACCACAGGCACACGCCACTATGCCTGGCTAATTTTTTGTACTTTTTGTAGAGATGGGATTCAAGGGCATTCTTGAAATGACAAAATTTTAGGAATACAGAACCGATTACTGGCACCAGGGGTTAAGGAGGCAGTGGGGGCAGGAGGAAAGTGAGCGTGGTCATGAAACAGCAACAGGAGGGACCCTCGTGGTGATGGACGTGCTCCGTGTGTTGAGTGTCCGTGTCAGCATCCTGGTTCTGTACACGTGGTGTTGGACCAGAGTTTGGTGAGATGTTGCCTGTGCAGGGAACTGGGTGAAGGGCACAGAGGATTGTTCTCTATTACTTCTTACCACTCATATGTTGGGGAAACAGTGGGCATCAAGTTCAGGGGCCCCAACTTTTCTAAGGAGAAACTGTATACTTTTTATTTCATCAGAGGCTTAAGGTCGTCAGGTGGGGAGGGCCCTAAAGCCTCAGTGAGGGTTGGGTAGAGTGGGGGTGGCTGCCTCTGGAAATGCCCAAGATACTCACCCAAGAACCTCCAAGCAGGCACACTGGTAGTACTGGTTTATTCTCCTTATGGGCAAGGTGAGGGCCAGCCTGATGGTGACGTTAGGTCGGCTAGGAACAAACTTTATTCTCAAGCCATGGAGGTCCCACTTCCAAGAGCCTCACCACTCCTTCTCCCTGCTCCGACCACTCCTGGCTAAAGGACAGAGGAGCTCCTTCCTCATGGGCTGAGGTTCTAAGGCCTTGCATCGGGCATGTACCTTGCTTCACCAAAATTTCCCTTGGACATACCCTAGGCAAACACTATGGTGCAGACTGGCACGGCTGGTTTCCCTCCACCTCCCGGGCTCAGGGGACAGATTCTTGGGTCTTAGGGCAAGGGCCTCGCCCAGTCGTTGGTCTCTGTGGAGGGCCCAGGCTGGGTGAAGAATACGTATGGGTAAACATCAGAATGACATGCAGTGGTGGGATGTTTTCACCAAGCGGGGCAGTTGAGAGCAGCCGACTGGACTCACATCTCCAGCTTATACTCACTTAGGGGAAATATGCTCCCCGTGTGGGATGGAACATGCAATTGTCTGGACCATTAAGACAGGCATTTCTCTTTCTATAAAGTAGGTAGAGTTGAATCTCCTAAGTAGCTGGGACCATAGGCATGCAACACCATGCCCAGCTAATTAAACAAATTTTATTTTTTAGAAATAGGGTCTCACTATGTTGCTCAGGCTGGTCTTAAACTCTTGGGCTAAAGTGATCCTCCTGTCACAGCTTCCCAAAGTGCTAGGATTACAGGTAGGAGGCCATGGGGAGGGGATGAAGGGCTTTGAGAGGCTTGGGGATGCCCAGGTTACCTCCAGCCCAGTCATGCCATCCCCCACCCCAAAATGCCTCCCGGGTGCTTCCCAGAAGGAAGCAAATCTGGCTGTAGGTGATATTTCTCCCCCACTGCCACTTGGTTCTCTCACTGATATGGGGTGTGTGCCCTCCAGGCCCTGTCCGAGCCCCTCCAAATATGATGTATTAGTCTGTACTCATGCTGCTGATGCCCTAGACTGGGCAATTTACAAAGATCTACGTGGCTGGGGAAGCCTCACAATCATGGCAGAAGGCGAGGAAGAGCAAAGTCACATCTTACATGGATGGCAGCAGGCAAAGAGGGGGCTTGTGCAGGGAGACTCCCCCTCATAATAACCCCAGATCTTACTATCAGGAGAACAGCACAGGAAGGATCTGCCCCCATGATTCAATTACTTCCTGCCGGGTTCCTCCCACAACATGTGGGAATTCAAGATGAGATTTGGGTGAGGATACAGCCAAACCATATCATATGGGGACATATGAGTATTTCCCTCAGGGTTTGGTGGGGTGTCAGGCAGCACAGCAGGGCTGCGGCTCCCAGGGTCCTGCTGCACTCCAGCCTTGTTACCACTGGGGAAGTCGAGGCTCAGAGACTCACCCGAGGGGGGGCCTGGTATGGGCAGGACCAAGACAGGGATCGGGCTTTTCTTTTTTCTTTTTTGAGACAGAGTCTTACTCTGTTGCCCAGGCTGGAGTGCAGTGGCATGATCTCGGTTCACTGCAACCTCCGCCTCCTGGGTTCAAGCGATTCTGCTGCCTCAACCTCCCAAGTAACTGGGACTACAGACATGTGCCACCATGCCCAGCTAATTTTTTGTATTTTTAGTAGAGACAAGTTTCACCATGTTAGCCAGGATGGTCTTGATCTCCCGACTTCATGATCCGCCCTCCTCGGCCTCCCAAAATGCTGAGATTACAGGTGTGAGCCACCATACCCGGCTGGGGATCGGGCTTTTCAATTGCGAAGGCAGCAGTAGACACTGGACCACCAGCAAAGGGAAAGAGAAAGTAGCAGAGGTGGTCCCACCTCCGCCTCTCAGGGGCCATCTGCACCAGCCTCTCTCACTCTCCTGCTTCCCTTGGTGAGCGAGGAGTTGTCTACTTCTGCAGAAAACCTCCTTCCTCTTGGGGCCAAAGGTCCTCTTGCCAAGCAGGTGCTCAGAGCTTTACATTTCTCCCATCAGCAAATCAGGCAGCTGCTGTTGTTAGATCAGTTTATTAGTTGAGGAAACAGACTCAGAGTTAAGTGACTTGCCCAAGGTCACACAATCTAGTAAGTGGCAGAGCCGGCATTCAATCCCAGGTCTCTCTGGGTCCAGAGCTGGAGCTTTCAGTGAACATGTTATGTGCCACCTGGAAACCATGGAGGAAGCCCGGAGAGTTGGACATATGTAAGAAGAATGAGCAAAACCCAGGGATTTAACTGTTTAAATTTAATTTTGGAATTTTTGTATTGCTGGGAAACAGTCCTTCCTGACTGACCTCATTGAACAGCTGTCAGTGATGAGGTGGGCTTAGAGCTTTTACCCTGTGCCCTTTCATATGGCTTGGCACATTTTCTCTATGCCTGTGTCTTCCTTTCCCTCCCAGACAGTAAGTTCCTTGAAGGCCCTGCAAAAGGTCCAGAACTTAGCACTCAGTAGTCCCTCAGTCAATATGTGGTGAATGAATGAGGAAATGGTTACCTGTTAGAATTCTAGAGAGGTATGTTAGAAAGGTCTGAGCAGTCCTCAAGACTACAAGCATATACACAGCCACCATTTCCCCTCTCACATCCATTGCAGACATCACTAATCGGTCAAGTCATTCTTTTCCACCAAGATGCCTGGGAGGTTGCAGCTGCCCCTCCCCTGATGCCCATGGCCAATGACTGATTGATGCAGAAGCATAACACCTGCTGTTTGACCTCTGAGCTGTAATTTATGCCCTAAAGGTCCTTTTGGGGTTAGGTTGAGGCTGGGCTTCTCATGAAGCCACATCTTTCCCCAGCTTCCTCCAGGGCCTGTCCTGCTTTCCTCCCTCCCTCAATAAATCACTTGCATCAGAATTTCCATCTCAGGTTCTGCTTCTAGAGAACCTGAGATAAATAGCAATATTAATATTATATATTGAGTAATCCCTTCTAGAAACAACTTCAAAGACACACCCAGAAATATTTTATCAGCTATTAATATTTAGGCATCCCTTATCCCAGTCAAGTTAATATTTAAAATTAACCATCACAATTACCACCTTTGTAACTCAGCCCACCAAGGCGTAGCCCAGCACCCACCAAACCATCACCAGTACTGCCAACCACAACCAATCATTTTGCGTTCTGTTTTATTTTGAAATCCCAGACCTCATATCATATCATTGGCAGATATTTCAATGTGCGTCTCCAAAAATGATGAACTTAAAAAAACATAACCACCATACTATTGTGACATCTAAAAAGCTGAGTTTCTTATTTATTTAATTTTAATATTTTTATTTTTTTATACACAGGTTTCCTTCAACCAAAAAACTGAGTTATTTAAATATAACACAACACTAAACTCCCCAGTAAAAAGAATCATAAACTAGCATTTATTGAGTATGAACAGCATTCCAAGTTCATATCGTATCTCATTTAAACCATCCACCTGTCCTCTGAAGTAGTAATATGGTTTGGCTGTGTCCCCACCAAAAGCTCACCTTGAATTGTAATAATTCTCACATGTCAAGGGAAGGGCCAGGTGGAGATAATTGAATCATGGGGTAGTTTCCCCCACACTGTTCTCGTTGTAGTAAGTCTCACAAGCTCTGATGGTTTTATAAATGGGAGTTCCCCACACAAGCTCTCTTGCCTGCCACCAGGTTAGACGTACCTTTACTTCTCCTTTGCCTTCCACATGATTGTGAGACCTCCCCAGCCATGTGGAACTGTGAGTCCATTAAACCTCTTTCCTTTATAAATTACCCAGTCTTGGGTATGTCTTTATTAGCAGCATGAGAACAAACTAATACAAGTAGTAACATATTGTTAGGCACTGTCCAAAATTTTAACACCTGCTACCCACATAGTGCCTATCCTTCTTCCCTGGTTTAGTCTATATTGCCTTACATATATTTTTGAAAACTTTTAATTTTGAAATATATTACAAATATACTACCTTATAGGTTCACAGCAAGTTGCAAAGATAGTACAGAAGGGACCCTTGCACTCTTCACCCAGTTTCCCCCAATGCTTGCATCTTACATTGCTAGGATCCAACAGCATGGCCAGGAAATGGACACTATTCCAACTGGTCCAATATGTGTGTAGTTTTATGCTATTTTAATACATGTGTGCATTTGTGTAACTGCCGCTGCAATCAAGGCACAGAACTATGCTATCACCACAAAGATCTCATTCTACTTCTTTATAATCATACCTCCCTCTACCCCACCTATCCCTAACCCCTCCAATTTGTTCCCTATCTCTATAACTTTGACATTCTGAGAATGACATATAAATAGAATCATATGGTATGTGACTTTTTTTTTCAAACAGTGTCTCACTCTGTCACCCAGGCTAGAATGCAGTACCGCAGTCATGGCTCACTGCAGCCTTGAACTCCCAGGCTCAGGTGATCATCCTGTCTCAGCCTTCTGAATAGCTGGGACTACAGGTGCATGCCATCACGTCTGGCTAACTTTTTTTTCTTTTAGAGGCAGGGTCTCCCTGTGTTGCTCAGGGTATGTGATCTTTTGAGGTTGACTTCTTTCACTTGGCAGAATTCTCTTGAGCTCCATCCACATTGTTGTGTATCAATAATTCATTCCTTTTTATTAACTAAGTAGTATTCCACGGTACGGATGGACCGCAAGCTAGTTAACTATTCACCTACTGAAGGACACTTGTTTCTCCCTGCTTTATTGCTTTTTCCTTGGCGTTTTTAACAAGCATACTATATATTTATTTACATGTCTTGTTTGTTTTCTCCCCTCCCCCTGTATAATATATGCTCCATGAGAGCAGGGACTTTTTCCTTGTACGTGCATCATTGTATCTCTGGGACCAGGAACAGTGTCTGGCATGTAGGAAAGAGCTTAATAAGCCATTTGTGGAGTGAATGTTGAATGAATTTTACAGATGAAAAGCTCTAGTTCCAGGGAATGTAAATAACTTTTCTAAGGTCATAGCACCTGTCGGTTGCAGAGCCTGGTCTTAACCTGCTCTCTTGGCTCAAAGCGCCCCGCCCTCAGCCCCTTGCCGGCCCCGATCTTTCTTCTCCTTGGCCAAGCGTGGGCAAAGCTGGCTCCTGCTTCTGTGTTTCTTTTGGCTTCAAGGAGGCTGGCAGGGTTTTCCAACGGAACTTTACTGACAACCCACAAAGCCCAAAGGGAAATAAACAAGGGAAATCTGAGGACTTATAAAGTGTTGAGCTTATAAAATAAATTTTCTTTTCTTTTTTTTTTTAAAAAAAGGGATGTTGTATTAGTTTCCTGTGGCTGCTGTAACAAATTACCACAAGCTCGGTGGCTTAAAACAACACCTCCTTATGACCTCACGGTTCTGGAGGCCAGAACTCTAAAATCCAGGTGTTGGCAGGGCTGGAGGGCAGGACTGGCAGGTGGGGAAAGGTGGTTTGTGAACTGTAACACTCTTTGACCTATATCATGCTGGCATACAGTACATTAATAAAACATTTAAAATGGCCAGGTGTGGTGACTCATGCCTGTAATCCCAGCACTTTGGGAGACTGAGGCAGCAGTGTGGACACTCAACTCAGTCACACTCCACAGTCAGAGGGTGCTGGGTCCACAACCTCGCGCTGCAGCTTCCTCCATGTGTGGCCTTGGGTGAGTCACTTTAGCAACCAGGTCAGCGTGCCCATCTCCATAGCGGGTGCCACTGCCCACCTTGCCAGGGAGTTGTAACATCACTCGAGACCACAGGAACATGGCCACTGTTTCTTGGCACTTACCACCTCCAGGCCCCCGGTGAAGCGCTCCTGCCAGGTCACCTCATTAAATCCCACGACAACCTTGTTGGAGGGCTGTTATTGTCCCCATTTTACAGCAGAGGCGCTGAGACTGAGACACCACAGCTGAGCCCACCCCTAGGTGTTCTGACTTAATGGTGTCCACCAGGGCCACCACCAGCCCTAGTTCTGCAAATTCTTCAGGTGACTGTGGTGAGCAGCAGGGTTGAGAACCTGGGCCCTGGCTTGAAACCATGAAGCACACCCTGTGCTCCCCCAGCCGGTCCATCCCTCCTCCCTTACTCTGTTCCCTCCTCCCTCGCTCTGTTCCCTCCCCCCTCGCTCTGGTCCCTCCCCCCTCGCTCTGGTCCCTCCCCCCTTGCTCTGTTCCCTCCCCCCTAGCTCTGTTCCCTCCTCCCTCGCTCTGGTCCCTCCTCCCTCGCTCTGGTCCCTCCTCTCTTACTCCCTTCCAGGCTCTGCCTTGGGTACCAGGGCTGAATTTTGCCATGTACAAGCCAGTGGTCTTGGGACCGTGTCTGTGTCTTGTTTACTCAGCCCACACATGGGCGTACTAGCTGGCCTGCCTCCCCTGCGAGGGTGTGTGGGGAAGGCAGGGAGTAGTCAGATCTGCCGTTCTCTGCCTGCCTCTGACTGAGGTAAGTTGGGGGCCCCCCTCGTCCCTGCTATCCCGGGAGTCTTTGTGGCTTCCCCATCTGTGTGCAGCCCCCTCACTCTCCTAAGATGTGCCTGCTGTCCCAGTGTGAGTGCCCAGCCTACCCTGCTCTGCTGGCCATGGCTGACTCCATGGTGGTTTGAGGGGCACCTTCCCAGATTGGGCCAGAGGATGTGAACTTGGGAGCTGGGGGTGGGGGGGGAGATGAGGGGCCATCGTGTGTGCTGGGAAGCAGGGAAAGCCATTCCCAGATGCAGGACGATGGAGAAACTCAAGAGGCCTATCCACCGCCGTGGACCCAAGAGAGATGAGAAAGAGGGCCGGTCAGTTCTCACCAGCCTGCGAGGCCACTCCCTGCCCTAGAGTTCCAAGTGAAAGTCCAATACGTTTCCTTTTCTCTGAAGCTCATTGCACTCACGATGAAGAGACTCGGTGAAGACAGAACCGCTCGAGGACTGACGGCAGGGCAGGGAGCAACCCGCCTGACAGAGATCTCAATGGCAGGAGAATGGTCGCCTACAACTTCCAAAGAATACTCCATAAAGCTGAGAGTAGGCCCATCCAAGCAGAGGCAAAGAAGCCACTCTCCTCCCAATCCAGGCACCATGTAGTAACAACTGGAACTCTAGCCACCCATCCCTGGGCTTTCCCCAAGGAGCCCAGGACGATGGCGTCCAGCAGGAAAGTTTCAGCCAAAGGCCCCGCTGCTAGTCGGTTTCTGGGCCGCCTAGGGAAGTTTCACCCAAAGCCCCCGTTGCTGGTCGGTTTCTGGGCCGCGTAGGGAAGTTTCAACCAAAGCCCCTGTTGCTGGTCGGTTTCTGGGCTGCCTTGGGAGTGTGGTTGGTTTCTGGGCCACCTTGAACTCCCTAGGGTAGAGTCTGAGAATCTAAATGTTGAATGTGCTTTGGGGCAGGATCTGGTTAAATGGCAGATCCTGATTCAGAAGGTCTCAGCAGGGCCTGAGGGTCCACCACCTGACAAGTCCCCCAGGAGAGGCTGCTGGTCTGAAGAGCACACCTGGAGAAGGTAAGGCTTAGCTGAGTCTGATGCTCAGTTAAAATTGGGAGCCCAGGCTGGGCGCGGTGGCTGAGGCCTGTAATCCCAGCACTTTGGGAGGCCGAGACAGGTGGATCACTTGAGGTCAGGAGTTTGAGACCAGCCTGACCAACATGGCAAAACCCCATCTCTATTGAAAACACAAAAATTAGCCGGGCATGGTGGGAGGCACCTGTAATCCCAGCTACTTGGGAGACTGAGGCAGGAGAATCACTTGAACCTAGGAGGTGGAGATTGCAGTGAGCCAAGATCGCTCCATTGCACTCCAGCCTTGGCGACAAGAGCGAAACTCCGTCTCAAAAACAAATAAATAAATAAAACAAAAAAACCTGAACCCAGGTCGGTCCAGCTGCCCCCTGGCTCCCTATTTTACAGAAGGAACATTCCACCCACTGTAAGGCCCAGAGAGCTGGGGATGCCGGCTGGGTTGATGGCTGTTCTCCCAGCGGAAGAAAGGAAGCTGGCAATGCAGAGAAGAAAGAGCAGGGACTCTGGAGACAACTGTGAGTTTCAGCCTCTCATTTGCTTAGTCAACTTGGATAAGACACAGAGCCCCTCAGAGCCTCAGTTTATGGAGCGTTGTTTGTGAAGATAGTGAGACTTGGGTAGATGGTGACTGTTTATAAGTGCTAGTTCTTGTTTATTAATTGCAAAAGGAAATGCTTGCAGCCCATACCTAGCTTGGTGCCCTGGCTGTGCCTTGGGAAGCTCTTACTGTGTTATGGGAGCTGTGAGTCACATGTGAGCAAAGAGGGGCAGCACCCGCTGGCAGGACCATGGCCACCGCCAGGCTTGCTGGGCAGGGTGGATGTCGGGGTGGGTGGTTTCCCCAACAAGCAGACCACAGGGCGTGACCCAGCAGCAAACCGCTCATGCCTCCTGATGACAGTGCACCTCTGCCTGCCGGGGAAGCTGGCCTGGCCCAGGAACACTGAGGACACCCAGGCTGTTAGTTCTCTTGCAAATTACTTAGTTACTCTGAGTGGCTAATGGACCTAACCCGTTTGTGACCTCTTTCTGGGTTAATTCTGATAACTCAGAAAAAGCAAGCATTTTTAAGAGAAGTTTTTTATGGTAGTTCTCCATTAAAGGAGACATTTGGCTTCTCTTAGAAAAAGCAAAAAACATCCCGAGTGGGTCCCCATGAGACTGGGTGGGACTTCTCAGTGCCCTGAAGGACCTCACAGGAAGGAGGAGGTTTGCTCCCAGGAAAACACACTGGCCTCAAGTGCACGCCTGCAGTGAGCTTGTGGGAGCCTCGGGATGCCCAGGCTGAGAGGAAGGGGTGAGGGCGTGGCCCACTTAACGCTTTCTCCTTCACAGAAACGGATTCTCGCTCAGGGACCAGTCTGTGTCTGGAGCTGGGTGGAGAGCCAGCCGCTGCCTTGGGGAGTCCACAAGTGGTGGCGGGAGCAGAGCTGGCAGCTAGGTCATGGGGTCACCTGGCTGGAACCTTCTCCTGACAGCATCCCCTCCCCTGAGCCAGGTCTGGACGGCATACAGGTGTGCAGGTGAGTCTCTGTGGGGAGTTGAGCACTAAGCTCCTCTCCTTTCTGCCGAGGGCTGGGGACAAAATCTCCTGCCAGGGTTCTCTGGTGCCCTGAGGGGACTTCAGACTTAATTCTAATACTTCTCTCTTACTCCCTGACTCACTGTAGTTATCCAGAAGGAGTAGTGAAACCCTGTTCCATCCCGAGTGTCTTTACCAGATCCTTAAGAGCAGAAATGGCGTCACTATGGTGACCAGCATTGACCCAACCCTTCTATATAGAGTTCAGAATGTGCGCTCTGTCCCACATCATTGCATTGGGCACTGCCACACAGAAGTGCTTGAAGGTCAGGGGCTGCCATATCAAGAGCTGTAGACCTTGGTTAAATAACCACCCTCCATACCTGATTCTGCTGGGCCAAGTGCCACCTGCATAAATACAAGATACCAGGCAAAGGTTTGGACATTCTCTGGGGAAGGTCTGCTTTGCACAGGTGCTCCTTTGCAGAAGTGTATCCTCCACTGGGTCTGTATATAGAGCGTAACTTGTTCATAGGACCATGGCCACCCATCCAACTGTCATCCACTTTTCCTTTCTTCTATCCATCTGTCCATTGAGCCATCCATTCATCCATCTATTCCTCTATCCATCCACACATCCATCCATCTACCTACCTACTCATCTTTTTATATATCCATCCATCCATCCACCCACCCATCCATCCATCCACCACCCACCCACCCTTCCTTCCATCCATTTAACCATCCATCCATCCATTCATCTATCCATCCATCCACCCCCCACCTTTCCTTCCTTCTATCCACTCATCCAATCCATCTACCCACCTACCCACCTTTTTACCCATCCACCCATCTACCACCTACCCATCCTTGCTTCCTTCCATCTAACCATCTATTCATTCATACTCATGGATCTTCCTTTCCTTTTCCTTCCTTCCCTCCCTCCCTTCCTTCCTCCTTCCGTTCCCTTCCCTTCCTTCTTTCCTTCGCCTCCTACATTCCTTCGTCTCCTACATTCCTTCCCTCCTTCATTCCTTGCTTCTACCCGTCCATTCAACCATCCATCCATCCTAGAACATCTGAATAGCATAACTCCAAGGAGTACTACAGTACAATGTAAATGGTACCCCCGATATTTTTCACCCTTCATTCATCCCTTCATTTATTATTATTATTTTTAGAAATGGCAATTATTTTATTTTATTTTTTTTGTGACGGAGTCTTGTTCTGTCGCCCAGGCTGGAGTGCAGCAGTGCCATCTCGGCTCACTGCAACCTCTGCCTCCCGGGTTCAAGAGATTCTCCTGCCTCAGCCTCCTGAGTAACTGGGATTACAGGCGCGACAGGTGTACACCGTCACACCCTGCTAATTTTTGTATTTTTAGTAGAGACGGGGTTTCACCATGTTGGTGAAGCTGGTCTCGAACTCCTGACCTCATGATCCGCCTGCCTCGGTCTCCCAAAGTGCTGGGATTACAGGTGTGAGCCACCATGCCCGGCTGAAATGGCAATCCTTATATCAAAGAGAAAATAAAAGGGAGGTAAAGTGGGAGGCAAAGATAGAACGAGCTGCATAAGTCTGGCAGAATGTTGGAACTGGAAGGAACCTCCCCGTCATCAAAGTCCAGTACTCCTCCATCTCCCGTGGCCAGGAAAAAGTCCTGAACACTCACGGGGAGTCAATGGTGTTGTCTCAAGGAGCCAAAGTTCTCATGGATGCCTATTTTATAAAGAGAAAGCTTATTTTGGGTTGGATTAAAAGGCTTTTCTTCTTTGATATTATTTTATTTTTTTATTTTTTCTTACATTGAAAAATCTTTGCTCTTAATTACATTAACAGAATTAGATGTTTTGCCCTATAATATACATTAGTTGAGGAATAATAACATCCACGTTATTACTGACAATATGTTTAGTGAAAATGGCTTAAGATTTTTTTGGCAACTCTTTTTGTCTTTAGGGCATGCCCCTCTTTGGGAACCTACAGTCACATTTCTGTGCCTTAAAGTCACTTGGGGATGGTCTCTGTGTGATTATGCCACCACCTGCATATGAACAGATTTGTTTCTTCCATTTGTCTTCTGGTTTATAGGGGCTGCTATAAAAAATTTTTAGTTTTGTTTTACAATTATCAAAAACATATATTACATATGACAATAGTGAATTTTACTTGAGCCCGGTGCTCCTGGAAAACAGTGAAGATTAAAGGAATTCCCCCTGCCAGGTGCAGTGGCTCAATCTGTAATCTCAGCACTTTGGGAGACCGAGGCAGGAGGATCCCTGGAGGCCAGGAGTTCAAGACCAGGCTGGGTAACATAATGAGATCCCAGTTCTGCAAAAAATTTAAAAAAGTTAGCCGGGTGTGGTTGCACATACCTGTAATCCCAGCTACTCTGGAGGCTGAAGTGGAAAGATTGCTTGAGCCCAGGAGTCAGAGGCTGCAGTGAGCTATGATTGCACCACTGCACTCCAGCCTGGGTGACAGAGTAAGACCCTGTCTCATAAAACAAAACAAAACAACAACAAAAAGCCAAAACGAGAGATTCTCCTCACATTTTTGTTTTCCAGGAAAACAACATGCTGCAAAAAACCACCTTTCCCCATATGACTTTGTATTAGTCTGTTCTCACATTGCTAATAAAGACATACCTGAGACTGGGTAATTTGTAAAGGAAAGAGGTTCAATAGACTCACAGTTCCACATAGCTGGGGAGGCCTCACAACCATGGTGGAAGGCAAGGAGGAGCAAAGGCACATCTTACATGGTGGCAGGCAAGAGAGAGTGTGTGCAGCAGAACTCCCCTTTATAAAACCAACAGATCTCATGAGACTTATTCACTATCACTAGAACAGCATGGGGAAGACCCGCCCCCATGATTCAATTACCTCCCACTGGGTCCCTCCCACAACATGTGGGAATTATGGGAATTACAATTCGAGATTTGGGTGGGGACACAGACAACCACATCAGACTTCCATAAGGCCGAGGGATGTCCCCCTTATTTATCTATGAAAGGCCAGACACAGACCCTCCAAATTCCCATTCTTTGCCTCATAAATGATTAGCTGAACGGCCTGTTCCCACTGATCCATGGAAACAAAATGCTTGCTAGCCAGACTTGGGTAAGTTTCACTCCTTCTTCCTGGACTCTGAACTTTGACCAACTCAGCCTGAGCCTGCAGGCAGCCCCTCCAGAGCAGAGGCTGCCTCAGGGTGACATTTTCTGATCTATTTATCTAATCACATCACCCTTTCATCCCACTTTCCACACCTGGCTCTTTCTAGCCTTGTTCTTTCTACAAAAGAGATCATCTTTTCGCCTAACCCTCAAGACCCTTGCAGATGGCATGGTCAAGCCTTCTGCGTTTTGCAGTGCTCTCCATCCCAGCCCCTGTTGCAGTAGCCCCTTTCCTCCCTTGCAAAAATCTTTCAAATAGTTCTCTCCCCACTGAGTCTGGATTTGTGTTTTATTTGACGTGTGCTTGCAAAGTCAAATCTACAAGACAAGGCACATTTCTGAGCAGACTGGCTTTTATATCTGTCTCTCACTCTCCTCCCCTGGTGGCTTCCCTCTCCCTGTAGGTAACTTTTTTCCTTTTTTTGGTTTATCTTTTCATTAAAAATATGACAGTAGGATTCTATGTCGTATCCTCTTTCCTTTTGTTTAAGAACAGTGGTAGCCAATTGTACCCACCTGCTTCCATTTGCAGGTAAGAGCCTCACTCTCTTCAGCCCTCTGTGACTCTGAAAAGCCATCGGCAGGAAGATCAGTGGCTGCTTTGCCCTAAGCGTCCTCAATGAGATGAAAGCGCTTTGTAAACCAGTGGGCCTCAAACTGGAGTGTGCACCCCAGTCACCTGGGGGTCCTGTTCATAGGTCCCACCCAGACTCCTAACTCAATAGGCTTGGCACGGGGAGCAGGAACCTGGATCTCTCAGAAGTTCACAGGGCTGCTGCTGCAGCCTGTAGTGGTGAGGGTGTCAGACTTTGAAAACTACTGGTATCAGTTCCCCTCAAGGGCAGGGCAAATGTTGGTGAGTATTAATAAAACTTCTGTACCATAGAATACAGGACCTGGTTTGACTATAGACCCAGCCTGCCATTCCGGTTTGGGGCTTTCTTTCTTTCTTTTTTTTTTTTTGGGACAGAGTCTCACTCTGTCACCCAGGCTGGAATGCAGTGGCACAATCTCAGCTCACTGCAATCTCCACCTCCAGGGTTCAAGGGATTCTCCTGCCTCAGCTTCCCAAGTAGCTGGGATTACAGGTGCATGTCACCACACCCAGCTAATTTTTATAGTTTTAGTAGAGTTGGGATTCCACTATGTTGGCCAGGCTTGTCCCAAACTCCTGACCTCAGGTGATCCACCCACCTAAGTCTCCCAAAGTGCTGGGATTAGGTGTGAGAAATGGTGCCCAGCCAGGTTTGGGGCTTTCTAAGGCCTCTCTGCTCAAAGTGTTGTCTGAGGACCAGTGGCTTCGCCCAGGAGCACTCAGAAGCACGGGCTGTGCCCTACCCCACACCCACTGAATCAGATTCTAGTTTATCAAGATTCCAAATGAGTCAGAACTCCTGAAGCATGAGAGGTGCTGACCCAAGCCTTCTGCGCCTTGTGGTTTACCTGCCAGTAGTTGATGCCCCTAGAGTGCAAACTCTAGATCTCACCCCATGGCCTGCTGAATGGGCTTTTCCTGCTCTCTCCCCCAAGATAGCCAAGCCAAGGCCCCATGACAACTGGCCCAGGCCTGGGCAATGTTTGGCTTGGCAAACTGCTGGGCAAAGTGGTACCAGGAGCCCTGCCATGCTGTGGCTCAAGGGTCTGTTCCCAGGGCCCCAGCTCTCCCTCCTCTTCACGGTCTCTGGATATGGCAGGTGGATCCTAACAGCTTTAAGGACTGCCTCCCACAGGGGTTGTGGCCTGGAGCTCTCTGGGGCCCAGGGATGCTGGCTTTGAGCCTTTCCTGAAAATGAGTTAGATGGAGGCTCTTTTGGTCCCCTCACCAAATCCACGGTTGTCTGGTGTGGACAGGACGGGCACAGGCCTGAAAGGTGTGGAGGAGGTAAGAGGTGGGTACTCCTCCTGCCCAGCCCAGCCCATCTGCCTGGGAAGGGGCCAAAGCTGCTGGGCAGGGCAGTGTAAATGGTGAGGGGGGCCGGAGCTGTGGGGCTGGAGTTTCTCCCACTGATACCCTACCTGTCCCAGGAGAGACGGCAGCTTCTGTCTGCCTGGAGGCTGGCTCGGACAGTGGAGTTTCTGGAGTGGTGAAAGCCCCAGAGACAGAGCTGGGCCCTGCGGGGAGGTCCTCCCCATCCCTGTTCTGAGATCAGAGCATTTCCTGCCCCACCCCTGCATCTTCTGCCCTTGAGGGCTACCCGCCTGGTCGGCAAATCCTCGGCCATGAGTACCCCCATTCTTCCATCCTGGGAGAGCCCCTTCCTCATCCCACCCTCATTGCCAGCCGGCCCCTCTTTCTCTCTGTCCAATTCCACAGGGTCCCCCAGTAAGCAGATTCTTCCCCAGGCTCCAGGCCTGGCTGGAGTGTGGCTCCAGGCAGGGCTGGGTGTGAATGGGTGTGAGGTCAAGGCCAGGCCCCTGCTCAAAGCCAAGGCCTCTGTGCTGGGTGGCCCATGAGTTCCCACTGAATCCTCCAGCAGCCACATCACTGAGGTGTGATCTCATTTACAGATGAAGACACCGAGGCTCAGAGTGGCCTGTTTAAGGTCATATATCATCAATAGGGTGTTGGCTGAGTCCCAGCCCTGCTCATTCTATTTATTTATTTATTTTTAAAATTTATTTTTACCTTTATTTTTAAAACAAACATCTCAGAGTAAGCCCTGCTCATTCTAACAGCTAAGGCAAGCAGGTCGAGGGAGACAGAAGAGGTCTTGGGTCCCAGATCGGGAATCCCAGTTCTGAGGTGCAAGGGCCGCTGTGCCTCACTGGCTACCCCACGTTCCAGCATGTGCCTGGCATGGCGAAGCCTGGACAGCCAGAAAGGCTCCCTCTGCAGAGCCCGCCTCTTCTGTATAAGACCGGGCAGGTGGGACCTGCAAATGCGCCGTTTGGTGTCATGGTGCTGGCACTGGCTCGAGCCCTTGTCACCCAGCTCCTCCTTGGTGCCAAGTGGCCAGAGCACTTCTAGAACCATCTGCTGGGTTTGAGATCAGAAGCCGGCGGCCTGGTAAGAATTCAGGTTTTCTTGGGCCCCGCCCACTGGAGCTGGGCCATCTGTGGGCAGTTCAGGGGGTGGTCAGTGTGGGGGCCGGGTTTGGGTGGGTTCCACTGTCAACCTTAGGAAAGGGTTAGCCCAAAGGCCACAGGCATCTTGGGGACAGCTGTCGTATGCAGAAGAAACAGAACAAGAGCTCAGCAGCAGGAGAGAGATGCCGATGCCATGCTACTTCCATTAAGGAATTTATTTCTCTTTTAAAAACAACAACAGTGGCTCCATCTAGATCCAGCGGCACTGTGACGCGATAGACGGAACACACAGAGTTACAGCAGCGGGAGAACAGAAGCCGCTGCCTTCAGGAGTGACCGCCACTGTGGAAGTTTCCATTCATTAATGTCCAAATCTCCCTGAAAAAAATTAGAAAGCTTTGGATGCTAGAAGGATTCTTATTATTTTAACAACACCAAAAGCCACTAAACTCTTCTAATTGAGAACACTCGCTTAGGGACTGTTACAAAAATGACTTCTTGATGGACTAGGGAAAGACATCTAAATTCCACTTTGGGGGGGAAGTGTCTTTCTCTGCCAGGGAGAGCTGGCTTTTCAAATGTTTTCAATCACTGTCTCCGGCACAAGCCTTTACGTTTAGGCCAGGTGAGACACCCCCGGCCTGTGCAGGGTCTGACTTGCACACGCTGAGCTTCAACAGCTGGGTGGTGGGTGGGGAGGGCAGGCGCAGAAGGGGTCTCTGGGAGAGGAGGCTTTGCAATCGTGGTCTATTGTGATCAGGAAGATGGCAGCTCTCTGTATTCATAATCCACACAGCGATGTCACTTCCAAATGCACAAAGACTTCATACTCACTATCTTTCCACAGCCGGGGCTAAAAAGTTGGAAGATCCTATCTCAGAGTGTTGGGTTATGAAAACAGGAGACCACCTCTTGGAAGTACAGGTATTCAGGAGGACGTGCATGCACACCAGGGGACCCCAGAGGACAGCTGAGTGTCACTCAGGTGTTTCCTCTTCTTCTCAGAGATTTCCAATTATCCAGGAAGCCACCGTCCCCTTTGGCAAGGCCTGGGATGCCAGGCTCAAGGAGGCTGCGGTGCCCCCTCCGTTTTGAGGGCAGCGGCTCGGTGGGAAAGTCGATGGGTAGCTGGAACTGATAACACGAGCCTTTGGGGAAAGGACAGGGTGTGGAGGAAGAGAAGGGATTTCTGCAGCGGGGCCAGGCTCCCGGGAGACGCATGGAGACTTGCGGGCCTCAGGGAGGGAAGGCCTCGGTATCCTCAGGGGCTCACCTGGGCTCTGATCCTACTTGTGCTGTCAATGCAAAGGCTGTGTGTGTTCCCAGGACTTCCCACCACCATTTGTCTCGGCAGCTGCTTGCTGGTATGTGTATGACCCAGGCCTCACAGCTGTGTCTGTGGGGCAGGCTAGGCCTCCCCGCCCCCGCCCCTCCGAGCAATGCCTTTCAGGAAGCCTCCCGTGGCTGCGCAGGCCACAGCAGCAGCGAGCAGCCCTAGAGCCCCGGGTTCCCGGCCAAGGAAGAGGCGAGAATGGGTTGCTGTGGCATGTGAGTGCATCGTCCGCAAGGCGGGGACCGGGTCTTCTTGCTATTTTGGGTGGTATTCTGGGTGCCCCCCAGGGGACTCAATAAACACTTGTAGGGCATCATGGTGACCATGGCAGAGACCGCCTCTGTCCACCAGGGACAGCAGCTCATCTCCTGAAATGCAGATGCAGAGACGCTTCTGAGAGATCCCATGTCTCACCTCAAAGTCACGAAGTCAGTGAACGTCTGGTGAAAAAAAATGTCATGCCTGGAGCAAGAAAGACTCTTCTGTGAAGCGCTCAAATGCATGAACGAGAGTAAATCCGTTCACCGTCCAAATATGCCTTATCCTGGACAGGTAGATGGGTGGACAGTGTTGTTTGCTTTTAATTTTAAAATATCTTTTAAAAAATGACCGTATAGGCCAGGGACAGTGGCTCACACCTATAACCTCAGCACTTTGGGAGGCTGAGGCAGGAGGATAGCTTGGGCTCAGGAATTCGAGGCCAGCCTGGGCAACATGGGGAGACCCCCCCCCCATCTCTACAAAAAATTTTAAAAATTAGCTGAGTATGGTGGTGCACGCCTATGGTCCCAGCTACCTCGGAGGCTGAGGCAGGAGGATAGCTTGGACTCAGGAGTTTGAGGCTGCAGTGAGCCAGAATCATGCCACTGCACTTCAGCCTGGGGAACACAATGAGATCTTGTCTCAAAAAAAAAAAAAAAAAAAAATGCAGCTATAGAAACCAAGGTTGGAGGAGGAGCGAGTCAGGGAAGGGACAGGACTGGGGACTCAGTAGGGAGAAGGGCTGATTCCCAGGCGCTGTTCTAAAGACTTCCTTTCTCTTACCACAAAGCAATGCATGAGCCAGAAGGAACAGGAGGCTTTAGTAGGCCAAGTGACTCTGCCCCCATCTCCTCTGGGCACTCAGGGAGGGCTGGTGGCAAACATGATGGAAGACTCAAGTTATCATAGAGTCCACGTGCAGGCCTTGTGGTAGTATCGCCAGAGCTCTCATGACCTAGAAACACGGCAGCCACACTTCTGTCATCTTTCTTGCTCCCTGGGGATTCTCTACTGCAAACGGACAGGGCATTGCCTTTCAGGAATAAAAAGAGGCTGCTTCCCAACACCAAGAATCCATCTGGTAAGGACTGAGCTGCTATGAACTGGGCAAAAGGAACCAACCTCCTGGATGGGTGGCTGGGGTGGTGGCTTGGGCTGGTGACCATCCTAGGATGATGGTCCTTCTTTTCATTGAAAAAGGAAGTTCAGCAAGAGCTTAAGGATCTTAAGATACCATTCAAAGAGTTTTCTACTTCCTTGGAAGACTTGAATGTGGCTGTATTTGTTTTGCATTCAGCCCAAGAAAGGTAATGGAAGGAGCCTCATAAAACAAGAGCTGGTCTTGAACAAAAAAATACTGCACATTAAAAAGATTTGAGGGAAGCCCAGCTATTTCTTCTCCCCCATTTCTTTGTAAAAGGGCCTCAAAATGATCAGTCCCAAAGGCCAGGACCCTTTTAGCGGTACGCCCCAGGACCCAGGGGTAGAGTCCGGGGGTTAGGCATGGAAACCGGGCCTCACAGCTGGTGTGCTCACGACTGTCCTCCCCACGGCTCATGCTCCAATGCTGCCTGCGTCATCCAGAGAAATGTGTTTGGGATGATCACCCCCAAAGCCCCGCTGAGAGCCCACAGCAGGGGTGGGCTCCCAGGCATTCCCATTCTGTGGTTTGGGGTGGAACCTGCGAGTCTGCACTTTTGACAGGAGGTGCAGCTGCAGCTAGGGCAGGGTCCACATGGTGAGAGACCCTGGCAGCTGCTGGGTGGCACAGTCAGACATCAGGGACTCAGCCGGGCAGGGGACAGTGAGGTCAAATGTTCACCCTGTCCTGGACGGGAGGTGGGAGCAGATTGGCCCCTGGTCACTTCTTCGAGGCAGGAGGAGGTGGCCAGCTGCTCCCTGGGGATGGACAGCCCTGCTACAAGGGTCTGGGGGCTGCCTTCAGAGGCCCCTGGGCTGGCAAAGCCACCAAGTCCTCTAGGAGCTCCTGCCTGAAACTTTGAAATGTCCGATAGATCTTGCCTCTGCCCCACCTTCCTGGGGAAGGAACAGTGACTTTGTCTTGAGCCCTTTGGTGGCTTGGTCTCTCCTTGGGCCTCTCATTTGCCCAGAGAGACTACCCCATCCATGCCACATGGGCCAGCACATTGATGGGGCTGTGAAGGTCTCAAAACCCTGTGAACGCTTCAGGAACATGCCGGGCCCCTGGGCCAGCCTCCCTCCCCGCTACAGACACGACGCTGCTCCGTCAGGATGAGCGCACTGCCTCACTTCCCGATGCTCCTGTGGGCCCCGAGGCTTTGGGACACTTGGGGTTTCATGACACATCTTTACGGTCCTATGCTTCTGTTAAAAATAGAGCAAAAATCCCCCAATGCAAACCTCTTGCAAATGACTGGCTTTAGCAGTCAGGACCTGCTTAGAAGGAAAGAGGCCCATCGCCCACCAGGCTGCAAACACCTAGATCCGCGTGCCAGCCGCCTTCCTGAAGGAAGAGCAGACAGAGGTGGGTGCGACAGTGGCTCGGCGTGCCCCTCGAGGAGAAGGGCTCAGCCTAGGCGACTCCGAGGGCCCCAGGAGAGGACATTCTGGCTGGGAGGGGGAAGTCCCACGTGTGTCTGGAACATTTAATTCAGATTGTTCCAAGCCGACAGAAGGGTGACACCAATGTGAGGAAATGGCTCCAGAGATAGATGTGGGTAAATACAACCAATCCTTCAAAGGTGAAGTATGGATCACTTTCTACATTTAATAAAGACATTTTCTCATTTGAGGCTCTGGAAGTCTTGAGTCACATTTTTTTTTTTTTGATAACCCCCTCCCCGCTAAAATGCCTTGGAACACATGGCTTAACAGTGGCTGCACAGAAAATATACACCCTCAAAGTCTCACTTTCATTTAAATACAAATATACAAAATGTAAACTGAGACAGTAGAGAAATTTACAAAACTTTTCTTTAAAAATCATAAAGACAAAATTCAGTTCTAGTTATGACGCTATTAAAATACGTGCAAGTTGTCGTATCCAATTGGATTTCTATTGCAATGTTCACCAAAGACAAATCCAATCCACCCCGGCCGGGGCCGCCTCGGAAAACAGACCTGAGTGGAAATTTCTTTGAGAAACCTCGAGGTTCTACGTCGACGGGATGGACGGCCTCCTTCCCCGGCTCCCGGGGTCTCCCCTGGCAGCCCCACCAGAGCAGGGGCTCCACTACTTCCACTTCTAAGGAGAAGGGTCTGGGCTGGTTCCACTGTGGACTTGGAGGCCAGAGCCGAAACTAGCTGCTTCCGGTGGAGTTCGAGCTGACATGGTTTGAGTTTATGTGGTGGTTAAAACTGGTCTTGGAGCTGGGCGAACTCTTGGAATTGTTCTGATGCTGGGGTTGGGGTTGGGGGAGACGGGGTGGAGAGAACAGAAGTCAGTCCTGGGAGCCCTGGGGATGGGTCGGGGCTGCCTCTGCCTGCTCCAACCCTTGCTTTTTATTGCCTTTTGCAGTCTCCCCTCAGAGCCAGGTACAAGGGCCACCCCTGGAGGCACAGGTACCTGGGAAGAGCTATGGAATTAACAGAACCTCCAATCAGGGTGGAGGCGGCCCCTCCTATAATATCCACCTTGGTTAAGCCTGCAGGCATGGGGTTACGCTGCCTGGGCTGGAATTCTCAGTCTTCCCCTCCCTCGCAGAGTGGCCTTGGGCATGCAATTCCATCTCCCAGTTTCCTCTCCTGTAACACGGGAGAAGAGCAGCTTCCGCACAGGGTGGCTGGGAGGATACAATGGGGCCTCATATGCAAAGGGCTCTAGCGAGGGCCGGCCTGGGAGAGATGGGCGGTCGTTCCCATTGCTCAGGCCTTCCCTCTGCATCCCGTGAGTGCTGGGCCCTTCATGTTGCAGAGGGGAGGAGGAGGGAGGCAAGAAGCGTTTGCTTCACAGGTGCTGGTGCCCATATGTGGGCCGCCACCCGTGGCTCTAGGCAATGGGCATTTCTATCCTGATGTTTCAGGCAGGCAAACTGAGGTGGGAGAGGTTCCGTAAGTTGCCACATAACCAAGAAGTCTCAGGGCTGGGTTTGAACCCGGGTCTGTGAGACTCCATGGTAATTTCTTTTTCTAGGACCCAGGGTGTTCTTAGCATGCCTGGCCATCAGGGGAGGGAGAGGTCATTCTTTCTGGAACTTCCGTTTTACTTGATGGAAGCATTGAAGCGTTGTATTTTTATATTATCACTGGCTGAGTGTGTCCATCCTGGAGCTGGCTCTTTGTGGAGAGGAGGAAGGAGCAGAACTAGGTGAGGGAGCCTCCCAGGCTCCAGGGCGGGCACACTGGGCCACAGCTTCCTCAGGGGCCAGGCCAAGACGGGGTGTATGGTGGCCACCTTCATGGTGTGGGGTGAGGTGGGGGCCCTTCCCCCGCATTTCCTCCATTGGCCCACACCAACCCTTACCCAGGGCCAGGCTCTAAGTGTCATTTCCCAAGGGCCCTGTCTCCTCTGGCTGCCAGCTAGAGGGCACAGCATTGGATGGGGGCCATCCCAGGAGCCGGAAGGTTCTGTGGGGTCAGCTTCTACCCCCAGTTCTCCCTGGGCTTATGATGTTCAGTCTTTATATGACTGAGGCTTCGTAAGGGCCAGAGAGGGCAGTGGCTCTCAATCAGGGGTGACTGTGCCCCTGAGGACATTCAGCAATGTCTGGCTCCTTTATGGGCTCTCACGACTGGGGGATGGCGTGTTGCTGCATCTGGTGGGTGGAGGCCAAACTTGCTGCCCCACATCTTGCGATGCACAGGACGGCACTGTGACAAGGAATTAACCGGCCCCAGGCGCCAACAGTGTCAAGGCGGAGAAACCCAGAGGGAGGGTGAATTTGGGCTGGCCCTGCCCTTCTCCCCGGGGATCCCATCAGCTGCCGTGGGTATCAGGGGCCTTGGACATAATCAGTTGCCCTTCCAAGCTGCTACTGCCCCAGACTTCCAAGCCTTCCAAGGGTCTCTACTGTGGGTCTTCTCGTTTCCCATGGAAGTGAGCCAGGGGTCTCGGAGCTGATGCCAGGACTGGCCAGGCATGGGTGTCTCACCTGCCGCTTGAAGAGTCTCTGGAGCAGCCCTTTCTTGGGCGGTTCCGGAGGGTGGTTTCTGTTCAGATCTGGCGGGAGGGTACCATTAGGTCCAAACACGTTCAGCTCCTTAAAGCATTCTGTTTCTATCATCTGGAGGGGCCGTGAAAACAAAACACAGGCCGTCAACTGGGGCAGTCAGGAAGCCCAGCAGCAAAGCCACTGGGGCTCCCTCCCCTGGCCTCACCTGCCCCTGAGCCACACGCCCTCCAGGTCTCAGGGGCTGGGCGAGGCTCCCCGTCAATGACTGGCCCGTGGTGGCTACAGCTCCCTACTTGGCCACTGACAGCTTTTGTGTGCTGCCTTCATGGAGAAAACAGAAACCATGCGCTCAGCCTCCTGCCGCCAAACTCATATTCCCGACGCCTCCTTCCACCCGTCAGTCCCTCCCTCCCACCCAGACCAAAGCAAGTGGTCTGCCCTGCTCACCTCGTTTTGCCATGGGATGGACACAGAGCCCGTGGAGAACTTGGAGTAGAAGTCGTCGTCTGTGTGGTCCAGATTGACGCCCTTCACAGTGGAGAACTGCTCGATGTCCAGCACGTCCTTACAGTACACAGCGCGGGGCTGCCAGGGGCAGAGGGCCGGTCACACATATGTCCCGCCTGCGGCTCCAGTGGCCCCGAGCCAGGCCTTGGGGTTTTGGGGAGCAGAAGGGAGTCTTCCCAGGACACACCCCCAGAACTGCTATGGGTAGTGGCTGGAGGGTGTGTGGCTCAGATGCAGGTGAGTCCAGGGGAGGGGTCGGCCCCAGTGGCTTGGCTGGGCTTCCTGTCCACCTCAGATGATGGCCTGTGGTTTTTTTGTGCGACCCCTCCAGATGACAGTGCAGCCCTCTCTCAGATCCATGACGGGGACCCTGGCTGGGGTGACACAGGAGCTCGGGGCACCTGGGTGCCCAGCCCAGGGCTCATTCCTGCCATCACTCCCTTACCCATACTGGACAGACGTGGGCTAGAGTCCCAGCTGTGGGGCTTAGGAACTTTGGGGAAGTCTCATATCCCCTGAGGCCTATGTCCTGTTTCCTTACCGGCAAAATGGGGACAACGAGGCACCTGGGCGATGGGGCTGCTGTCAGTGCTGGCCACCGAGCCTGGCGCCCGTAACTGGGAGCTGGTATTATTATGGTAGGCATATCTTTTGCCTTACTCGTCCCTCAGCTGTGCACTGGGGGCCTGCTCTATGCCAGGGCAGAGATGAACCTGGGTGGACCCTGCCCTCTAAGAGTTCAAGGTTGGTGTGGGGAGGCTTCCCAGAGCCTCTGGAGATGAGGCCTTTATAGAGACAGCCCCAGGTGGGGTGTGAAGGGATCCCCAGACCTGGTGACACATCTGTCACTGGAGGGTAGAGGCTACCTCCTGCTTATAGTCTCCTGACATTTGGCTAATACGAAGGTTGTGAATCAGTGCACCGGCTCAGCATGGGCTCCGCCATGCCAGGAAGGTTCTAGCAATGGTCTCAGGGCTCGGCACTTTCTGGGACTCTCCCCTCCAGTCTGCTCTGGTCTCCAGCTCAAGGCTCAAGGCCATGCTGTCCCCAGCAAAGCAAACCATGGGCCCAAGTGCACGTGGACGGAAGCAGGGGTGCGGGCAGGGGTGTCCAGTTGCAGAGCTGCGACCCTTCTCTAGTTCCCAAAGCCCGGGGTGCACGCCACCGTGGAACTCAGCGGACTTTTAGCTGGAAGCAAGACCACATCATTCACATGCTCAGCGCAGAATGAAAACGCAGGGTCCATGTTCCACATTTAGAATTTTAAGATGGCAACAGAGGGCACTGAGCCAGGTGTGGGGACCCAGGGTGCCCTAGGGGGTGCCAGGTCAAGCTCACGAAGCTGGCCCTGGGTGGCTTGCAGAGGAATGTTAAGAAATGAGCGTATTTTAAAAATCTGTAATGGAACAGAAAGTTACCTGGCACACCCAAACCCCTCTTTCATGGCTATTATTTCCTTGGAAAGGTTTCCTTTTAAAATACATTGATTTTTATTTTAAAAAAAGAGTCAATGGAAGTGAAAAAGATGATGTCACTCACAGTGCTCGTGGTTTAGGAATGTGGCAGCAGCCCCGACAGTGGTGTGGGGATGGGATGACTGTGGGGGGCTGGCATGGATGACTGTGGGGGGCTGGCAGGGACGACGGTGGGGGGCTGGCAGGGACGATGGTGGGGGGCTGGCAGGGATGACTGTGGGGGGCTGGCAGGGACGACTGGGGGGGCTGGCAGGGAAGACTGTGGGGGGCTGGCAGGGAAGACTGTGGGGGGCGGGATGACTGTGGGGGGCTGGCAGGGATGACTGGGGGTTGGCGTGCAGCCTGGGGAGGGCCAGTGGGGAAAAGGCAAAGTCCCCAGCTCACAGCGGCTTCGCACTCCAGGGCCTGCAACCTTTGCTGACCTGAGGCCTCGGATGCCAGGAACAGAGGCCCTGGGCCACAGGGTACACGGCTGAGGCAGGAGGGCACCGGTGGGCTGCTCTGTGCACCTTGTCAGGCTGTGCGCTTTGCGGGGCTCTGCTACCTCATCCTCCTAATGCCCTGATTCGAAGTGGCCAGGGTCACTCCCAGGGTGACCAACTGTCCCTGTCTCCCCAGGACACAGGACTTTCAGTGCTAAAAGCAGGACAGTCCCAGGCAAAGCAGGACAGTTGGTCGCTCTGACCCTCAGAGCCGCCTCCTTCCACATGCTGCTTCCAGGGCCTGGAGCGCTTTTCTCCAGCCATGCCTGGGTGCACGCACGGAGGCCCCGCTACTCTCCCATCTTCCCGGAGGCTGCCTGTTCTCTTCTCTTGTGACTCGTATTTCTACTTCTATTTAAGGGGTTTTGCTGACACCCCTGCTCCTCTTCAGACTGGAAACAACCAACTGTTTTGTGTGCCATGGGATCTCCCTTGGGGCCTGGCACGGGACCTGGAGTGTGCTGGAAGGTAGAGGAATAGCTCCAATGCGATGACTAATCTCAGCCCGTCACCATAGCAATAGGTAGCCCAGAGGCCACAAGGATGGCCACCCGGGTTCCAAACCTTTGCCACACCCCCAGTCTGGATGCCCACATCCTCTCCAATTTCGGACATCAGCCCAATGGCACAACCGTGATGTTCATGCACTCAACACTATGTGGTTTCCTGGAACACCAAGGAGTGGCCACTCCCAAAGCCCTTGGCACTAAAAACAAACAACAAACAACACACTCCTTGCATGTGGCACTTCCCATAATAGTGACTCTCAACCCTGGCTCTACGCTAGAATCAGCTGGGGAGGTTTCAAAACTCCTGAAGCCCGAGTCTTACCCCAGACTCCCTGGGGACTGCATCCAAGGCGAGTGTTGTTCATGCTCCCCAGGCGGTTCGCCAGGCAGCCAGGGTCGAGAGCAATGCTGTGATTACCATCCTCCCCCTGCCTGCTCAAGCTCATCTGCAGATTGAGTTTGCAGCATTCAGTGACTTTCACTTTTTATTTTTTGAGATGCAGTCTCGCTCCGTCGCCCAGGCTGGAGTGCAGTGGTACAATCTCAGCTCACTGCAACCTCTGCCTCCTGGGTTCAAGTGATTCTCCTGCCTCAGCCTCCCAGGTAGCTGGGATTATAGGTGTGTGCCCCCAAGCCTGGTTAATTTTGTATTTTAGTAGAGATGGGGTTTCACCACGTTGGTCAGGCTGGTCTCGAACTCCTAACCCGACTGCCTCAGCCTTCCCAAGTGCTGGGATTATAGGCATGAGCCACCGTGCCCGGCCTACTCTTTATATTCTCAGTGGCCCCCGTGTTTCTCCAAAAAGCATTCCCTGATTACCCATCACACTGATGCCATCCCTGGCCAGACGGGGTCTGTGGTGTGGTTGCCATGGACACTGATCCGCACCTAGCAGCTTCCCAAGCCACCTTCTGTCCCAGAGGACCAGGGAATCCCCATGTATAGGGGGTGCCAGAGTTCCAAGGACGGTCCCCACCTGCCTCCACTCAGGGCGGTACTGGTAAGTGATAACCACTGGTTCTGGGAGAGGGGGACGCAGAGGCCCTGATTTGTAGCATTTGCAAATTGCTGCTGTGCAGATGCTACCACCAGATCTACTGTAAGCTACCGACGCAAAGCCATTGGACACGGAATTGGGAAGAGAGGTGCACATGAGCTCTCTGGAGATGCAGTCATTCGCCTGCAGCACACTGCTGCTCCCACGGCCTCCATAGTCCCCGGCCCAGTCCCCCTGCCAGCAAGGGGTCATCCGCGGGAGCGTGGCAGGAGCCGAAGCACAGCAGGCCTTCCTGGCTTCTGACTCCCTGACTTTAAACAGAGCAGGCCCCGGAATCACAGCACGTATCCCGCACAGATCACCCAGCCTCTGCCTGGTCTGCATCTCTTGGGCCTCTGATCCAGCTGAGAGCTCATGATTTATAGACCATGTAGGGGACTTTCAAGGACAATTCTACCTCAGCTGGAATCTTGCCTCACACACCGACTGGGGGACCTGGGGACCTCCTGGGAAGATGCAACTCCCTGCAATGTGAGCTGCTGGGGGAGGGGCCTCTTATGTTTCTGCCTGGCCCAGAACCTGGCGTCAACAGTAGTGCTCGATGCATGCATGCTGGTCAAGATGAACTGAATGTAGTGGCCGTCAATGCTCTTGAAAGCATTCCCCATTCAGTTCTCATTTCACCCTCAAATCTCCCAGGCAGGTGGGAGGCATGAGTGTTACTGGTTTCACTGGACAGGGAGGAAACTGACGCTTAGAAGGAATCTGTCCAGGACCCCCAGACCTGGGAAAGTGCCCAAGTCTCTGGACAGCCAATGTGGGCTCCCTGGCCCACGCCTCTTCTGCACTGCCTGGCGTGAAGTTCATCTGCAGCTTAGGTGAGGAGTGGCCGGGAGGGGACCCTGGTCCCCACAAAGACACGATGTGCCCCACACTCTGCACCAGCTCACTGTGAGGCAGCACTCGGGGGCAGCCCTGGGTACCCTGTGAAGGGAGCTGCTGGGGGCTGGGGGAGGCTACTCACGTCTGGAACGAAGGGAGGGTCCAACATCCCGGCTTCTAAGCGCTTGAAGTTCATGTTCCTGAAGAAGGGGTGTCTCTTGACCTCTGCAGCCCCCTCCTCCTGGCAGCCCAGCCTCTGCTTCGCATCTTTCGTGAGCAGCTGAAACAGAGAGCCCCATGAAGCCACGTCCCCTGGGCCTCTCCTCCTGTCCGGACCTCCTGCCTCCACAGTGTCTGCACCATGCCTAGGAACCCAAGACACGCTGCCCCACCCTGCAAAGGTCTTGCTTCAGGGCTGCCTCTGAGTCTTGGCGTGCATCTGTGCTCACACACTCACAGCCTGGCTAGATGCCTGATGGGACAGGAGAGCAGGAATCTTGTTTCTCTCAGGATTACAGACCTCGTTCCTGGGTTATGGTGGGCACTCATTAATGGGTGTCGAGTCACTGTCACCTCTTCTGTGTAGGGTAAGCAACAAAAGGCAAGGACTGCATCAATAGCTCTGTCTCGTGCACATACTCAGCTAATTTGCAGAGTTGTACCTCCTGGGTGCAAGCCCCTTCCTGACAGAGAAGGCACCACCGAGGCACTTGGCCTCTAGGAGTGCTCAGACTCATGGGGGGCTAATCATGCTCAGAGGACGCATCAAGGTGATACAGATCGGGCACCCCGGGGGCAGGGGGCATGACTGGCTGCCAGCTGGAGGTCAGGGAGCTGCACGGGGAAGAGGTATTTAAGTTGAGTCTTGCAGGACAAATAGGCTTTCAAGGTGTGGGTAGGGGGAGGGGTATACAGGTAGAGGGAACTGCACCAGCAAAGCAGAGTGGCAGGACGTGCAGGGTGAGTCTGGGGAACACCCAAAACACGTTTGACTTAGAAAGCGGGAGGAGGGTGCAGAGATGGGTCAAGGGGAGGGGGCTGGTCAGGGAGAGATGATAGAGGATCCTGAAGGCCAGGTCAGGTGGCGGGATTTTCATCTGGAGGTAGAAGGAGCCAGGGATGGTTGAGGTAGGAGAGTGTCTTCATCAGAACCACGAGGCAGGAAGGTTACTAGGAGAGGAAGAGTCTTTGGGAGCAGACACCCAGGTGAGACGGGATGAGGCTATGAATGAGGCCAGAGGGCTAGACCTGCGCAGGGGGCCTTGACTAGCCATGGCCAGCCACACGACCACAGGGCCCCGGCCCCTGACCTGCACTCCCAGTGCCCCAGCCTCGTGATTCTCTCTTCTCCTCTGCCTTACTGAGCGCTGCAGCTGTACGCAGTTGGTGTCTACTAAGTGTCTGCTTTGAGGCTAAAATCCAGAGGAGCAGACTGCTTGGGGTAGGGGCCCAGCCTTGTCTTTTCCCAATGCCCTGTGCGCTTTGCTCATATTCATCCCATGTACACTTCCTGCTGGTCCTTGTGGGGCAGGCACTGCACCGGCTGGGGACGCCGGGGAGAGTGAGCAGCCAGACTGGCCTCTTGGGGCTCAGGGTCTGGAGGGGGCTGCCCCCCAAACAAAGGAATCGAAGGTGGCATCAGGGCCAGCACCAGGTTCCACCCTTGAAAGGACAAAGCAGAGCACTCAGTCGCTCAGTGTTGCCCCTTAACGCCCCCACGGACCACCAGGCTGGCGGCTCAGGGTCTGGCACTCATGCCTCTGCTTCTCTCTCTGGGGGCTTCACTGTTCAACAAAGGCTCAAGGCACTGGGTTGGGCTGGGCCCAGGTGCTGCACTGTTCTAAGCAGTCCCTCAGAGGCAAGTCTCCTTCTGCAGGGGCTGCAGCAGCTGGCCAGGAAGGTGGCACAAACGAGGATGAGAAAGGCGAGGGGTGGGCTGGGTGGGCCGGGCCGGGCTATGTGTCAGCTCCTGCCAGGTGGGACGGCAGCCAGGGCCTGGGGCTTCTGCTTTTCAAGAGAAGCCAGAAAATCCAGGTTATTACATGAAATCTCCTCATTTCTAAATCTTGGCAATGAACCTACCATTTACTTCTTTTGAAAAACCGTGTGCAGGTTGAACACCCGCCTATATGCTGCCATTTGAAACCCTGGCATCCAGTCAACAGTTTGCAGCCACATCGTCAGGTAAAGAGTTTGCAATCATGCTATCAGGTGGACACCAGGAGAAGTGAGAGGAAGAGAAGGTGTGAGCTGGGATGGGTGGGGCAGGCAGAGCGGGCTTCCTGGAGGAGGGGTACAGATGGGCTGGAAGGACAAGTGAGACCAAGACGGCTGAAAGGCAAGAGGGAGCTGGAGGGGGGCTAAGGCCCAGTGCTGGGACTGAGCAGGGGTTTGGGGAAGATGGAGGCTGAGGTCTGGGCCCATGGACTGGGCTCAGGAGACAAAGTGGTGAGATGTGTGAATTTCTGGGCTCCAGAGGAGGGGGAGTGGGTTCTGCGGCTGCTAAGGTAGAATGGGGGACAGACCTGGGGGCCAGAGACTGGCTTCCTCACTGATTGTGGAGGGACCCTCTTAGGCAGGCAGGGCTGGAGCCACCAGAGCCTAGAAATAGCCCTGTGAACCCAGGACCTGCGAGGTCTCCTGGCAAGTCAGGCTCTGCAGTGTCCTGAGCTGCCACCAGCTGGAGGGGACAAGGTAGGCCTAGATGCCGGAGATGCTGCAGTCAAGGGCGTGAAGGAGGCCTAAGACTAGACTCCCAAGACCAAAGATCATTTGTAAGGGAAGCCGCAGCAAGGCCAGAGGCTTCCAGAGGACAGTGGTTTTGTACCCACGGGACAGGTCCTCCGGGAGCAGCAGGCTTTCTCTCAGTGTCCACCAGGGGGCAGCAGAGGGACAGCAGCACCCTGGTCCAGGCTGCAGCAGGAGATCCCAGCTCCAAAGCCAGGGGCCAAGGTGGGTGTCTGGGGTCTGGGGGTGGGACTGGGGCCCTCTCCGCCTCGTCATCCTCTTAGTACGTCCCATATCCCTGCTGAGATCTCTCAAGACCTGCTTCTCTGATTGCCTGGCCCTGACCTGGGACATTTGGTGATGCTCTGCCCACGGCTGTCTGACCCCTTCTTCTTTCCCTTGTCTCGTTTTGTCGCACCTGACAGATATCTCCCAATGAGACAGCCAAGTATGGCTCACACCCACATTTCCATTTACCCGACCAGTGCTGCACTGCTCCTCCGGTCCCCCCACCCTAGCCCTGGCTGCGATGACCATGTGGCTTTCTCTGAGGCCCCAGCTGCATGGCGGGCCAACAGCTGTGGGGTTAGAGTGTGGGTCTGCTGTACACACAGGACTTCTTCCCACAGCTCTGTGATGTGAGGATGAGGTTGGTGACAGGAAGGGGCCAAGCAGAGGTGTCTGGCTGCAGGAGAGGGGCCTCTGGGGTGAGGAGCCGAGCCAGACCCTCCTGGGGCCGCTTGCGGCGCAGATCTCAGGTCTTCCTGAGCAGAAGCATTGCGACTTTTAATCAACTCCCAGGACTGCTGCTTCCTAAACTCCGGGAGTTGCCTGGGTTGTCAATGCACACGCTGAATCTGCCCCAAAAGTGCCTGCAGATGTAGAGGGGTGGGAAGTGTGGCTCCCCCCTCCCAGGCTCGGTTTGCCCATCTGTGGCTCCGGGTACATGGGATACGGGGTACATCTGTGGCTCCAGGGAGAGGAGAGGAAGTCTGTGGGCTGGCAATTGTGGAGCTGGGTGCTCCGGCCCCTCCTGTCCCTATGAGGCTGGCATTAGAGGGCAGCTGCTTGCAGTGGGGGTGCCAGCACAGCTGTGCTGGGGACCATAAGGAGGAGGGCCCCAAGGGGGCATGGGCTGGACTTGGGGGCTGAGAGCCAGGCAGCAGCAGGAAGTGGCCATCTCCCCACAAAGCCAGCCACTAGTCCTGGTTCCCAGGGAAGGGCCTGAGGGCCGGCATGGGGCGGCCCAGTGGCAGGGGTGCACGGGCGGACTCCACTCCCATATCCCCCACTTCCAATGGCTCCTGTCACTCCTTATCTGGCTTCCAGTCCCCCCATCTGGCCCCACCCACCCAGCTTTTGGGTGGGTCTGACCTCACTATCCCTAGACCCTGTCATGCAGGAGCCAGGCTGGCGTGACCAGCAGTCCATCTAGTGGTGGAAAACTTTGTTATAAGATGTTCAAAGACTGAAATCGTCGCCCCCACCCCCTGTAGCCCTTCGTCTTAAACCAACACCTTAGGATCCAGAGGTGGAGGGAGCAGGAGGCCCACGGGCAGGGGCCGGGGCTTGGCCCAAGGTTGCTTTGTGTCTGGGGCACCAGCTCAGACCATCTCTTCTCCGCCCTGTGTGGACCCCCCCACAGGCTGGATGTGAGGGTGTTCCACACTGTTCCCCTCACCCCTCTTCCCTTGGTTCCTGGGTGTCCCTGCCCCACCCAGGCTTTCTCCTGGAAGTCTCCGCTGACCACCCCAGTCCACAGCAAGGAGTGCCCTCAACTCTAGCTTGGTGGGCTGCAACCCCCACCCCCATGCTCAGACCCCTGTCCCTTCAGCCTGTTTGCTGTTCTGGGGACAGACTGGGGCCAGGCCCAGGGAGGGGAGCCACCAGCTTGAGGGTGGCATCTGGCCACCAGGAGCTCACCATCTTGCAGATGGACTTGGCCTCCTCGGAGAACTTGTGGGAGTACACCTCCTCCGTCTCCAGGACCCGGCGGTCCACCTCCTCCCGCTTCACCTTCTCCTTGCGGCCGCGGAACGGCGACTGGCCCTCGATCATCTCATAGATGAGGCAGCCAAGGCCCCAGTAGTCGGGGCTCAGGCCGTACCTCTGGTTGTTCAGGACCTCTGGAGCTGGGGGCAGAGGAGAGGAGAGAGGAGTGAGGAGGAGGGAGACAGCTGGTGGCGCTGCTCACAGAAGGCCTGGAGTTTCATGGCCGCCACCAACTCTTACCCCACCAACTGCTGTGAATACCACCCCCTCCAGGGAGCTTGCCCTGATGACTCTCCTCTGTGCCCCCGAAGGACTTTGACTGTAGCTTTAGAACTCTGACCACCGTGGATGGAGGTGTCCTGCACTCTTGATGTCCCCTCGCCTAGAACATGAGCTACTTTATTCACTACCGTAACAATATGACACCTGGCACAGAACAGGTGCTATCAGTATATTTGTTTCAATGAATAAAGGTGTATCTACCCAAATTAAAGATGATCTTAAATTTATCTGTAATTCAAACAATCTCTTGCTATGTCTTCTGTACCACTTTGATAAACCGAATTACAGATTTACCATAGAAATACAGAAAAGATAGTTCTGCAGCATCAGCACGTATGTCTGGAGGGAAATGCATCCACACATGTGCTGGTTTGCACACAAGAGCCGGGGCAGACAGATGCATGGAACACTCTGCAAAAGGAGACCCAGGCAAATGCACACACAGGTAGGCAGATCTATCATCCACCCATCCATCATCCATCATCCATCCAACCATCCATCCACCCGCCCACCCGCCTACCTATCAATCATCGATCAGCATTCATGTGGGCACACACACACTCACATACACACAGACACACACTCCACAGGTTGCCAAATGTCATGCAATCTGAAAAGGACCCTCTAGCACCAGAGACAAGGCACACCTCCTGTGCAGCTGCTGTCAGTACCAGCCTGACTAGAGGGCGGCAGCGTGCCTGCTCCCCGGGCACGCGCCTCTCAGGGGAAGGAGGGTAGGTGTGTGAAATGCACAGGAGGAAGCCCAGGGCGTGCCCCCAATTGGACGGGGGATTCTAGGGCACAGGACTTAACTCTGGGTCTCTTCCCTGCAACCCCCAGGACGCTGGTCTCAGAGCAGACTGAGGAAAGGTGGCAGGAGCCCAAGGCTGCTCTCTACTGGAATCATGCTTGGTGACACAGCAGCTGTGCGCGCCTCTCATTTGCGGGCTCTTGTGAATTACCTCCTTCCTCTCAAAGGCCTCTCCTCCCAGACCCCTGCTTCAATGTGGCCTCCCCTAGCAGCGCTGTATGCCAGGCCCCGACCCCTAAGAGTGGCTTGGCTTTGGACACAGGTGGGGCTGGGGGCCTGGGAGTGCAGAGAGCTCAGAGCAGTCATCACATCTGGGGCCCCTGTGCTCCCCCTCCCCCTGGCTAAGGCCGCCCCCCAGCAGCCCTGCAGAGACTGTGACTCTGTGTGTGATCAGCAGTGCATGAAGAGGCGAGAGGCTCTGCGGGCAGGCTCTGGGGGCTCGGCCGGCGGTGAGCAGGTGGTGGGTCTCAAGGTGCATTGACACAGGCAGCCCAGCACTCACCCATGTAGCCAACAGTGCCCACCCGGCCGCGGATCAGGTCTCCCTCGGGGATCTTCACAGCCAAGCCCAGGTCTGAGATCCTAATGTGGCCTGAGGGGGACAGCAGGGTCAGTGGGTCCCTGGGACAGCCGCATGGGCACCCGGCCTTGCTGTGTGCCCTTGGGCAAGGCATACGAGCTCTCGGCATTCTCATCTGTCCAAGGACAACAGGGACCCCAATCTGCCATCTCAGAGTGACCACAAGAGCCTTGGGAGAGTGCAGGTGTGGGAGGACACAGGAAAATGCCCACTCTTCAGGAGTGGAACATAAAGATGCAATAGGATGCCTGGACCCGGCTGGACGTTGACCGACCTGCCTAGTCAAAGGCTGAATGGGCTTCCTGGAACGCTGAGGTCAGAGAATCTTGGCTTGGTTCTGGGATTACTTCATGGGAAAAATGTGAGGTTCTTCTGGCATTATGCAACAATTTGCTTAAGGGGAAAAAATTATAAAACGATTTGGGAAGCAGCTCCCCGGCCTGCCTTGTTGGTCTCTGGAGATTGGTTGTTTTTCACTTTAGAGAAACGAGAAGGGAAAACATCTGGTCTGACCTGGCAGAGCCTGGAGATGAATCCCAGCTCACAGCCCAGGACTGAGCCCCCAGAGCGGGAGACGCTGAGCTGAGGCTCCACTTTGGTCTTTGTCCCTCCCACAGCCCACCTGGGCAGGGTCGCGGCCACAACTTACCCCACAGGAAGGAACACGTCCCCTTCCCTTCCCTGCCTATGGACACCAGGGCCCCACCCCCATCCCTCCAGCCTAGATGTCAGCAAGGGCCAGTGTCGAGACCCCGCCAGGCTGGAGCCGTGTGGACTCCCTGGCTCGGTGGGGGCTGACAGTCAGGATAGCAGAGGAGCAGCGTGGGCTTGGTTCTTAGACCAAGGGAGGCACCGGGCACATCCAGAGAGGGGCGGCAGGCCTGGGCCCTCCGACCGCCCCTCCACAGGGCAGTATCCCATGCAGACCTCTCTTCAGGTCATCAGCGACCCGGTTTCTCCCCTCCCTCTACTGGGGGCTGCCAGGTTCTGGGGCCTGGTGGGAGGAGACCCAGTTTCTGCCCTCAGCTCCCCACTGATGCTGCTGGGTGACTTTGGCAGGATGGCTCCCCTGAGGCTCAGTTTTGTCATCTGTTAAATGGGCACAGAGATGCTGCCTTGCCCTTCTCTGTGCAGGTGGGAAGATCTAGTCAGATCAAAGGTGTGGAAACCGGTGGCTCATGCCTGTAATCCCAGCACATAGGGAGGCCAAGGAGGGCAGATCACTTGAGGTCAGGAGTCTGAGACCAGCCTGGTCAACATGGCAAAACCCCATTTCTACCAAAGATACAAAAATTAGCCGGGCGTGGTGGCACGTGCCTGTAATCTCAGCTACTTGGGAGGCTGAGGCAGCAGAATCACTTGAACTTGGGAGGTAGAGGTTGCACTGAGTTGAGATTGCACCACTGCACTCCAGCCTGGGCAACAAGAGTAAAACTACATCTCAAAAAAAAAAAAAAATACAAAAACTAGCCAGGTGTGGTGGCGTGCACCTGTAATCCCAGCTACTTGGGAGGCTGAGGCAGGAGAATCACTTGAACCTGGGAGGCAGAGGTTGCAGTAGGCCGAGATCACGCCATTGCACTCTAGCCTGAGCAAGTGAGACTCTGTCTCAAAAAAAAAAAAAGAAGGTATAGGAACTATTTTCCAGGTGTGAGGCTAAACAGCTGTGAGGGGTACTGTGGTTGTTCTTATTATTCAGTGTCCACAGCCAAGAGAAAATAATGATGGTAATGCACAAACGTAATGCCTGAGACATTTACAGCTGGCTAGACTGACAAGCAATTCCCTCTCAAGCTGTCATGTAGAAGCCTCTCCACCACCCTCTTCCTTCTGGGTGGGCAGGGCAGGGCAGGACGCTTTGTTTCCATTTTACAAACAAGATGAGAGGTGGAGAACTTGATGGAAGTTAAGTATTTGCCCAGCATCTCTGAAATTCTGGACTCCTTGTTCAGTGCACTGTAGAGACCACGCCCGGCCAGAAGTTATTTTAACACTTAGAGCCTTATGGTCAAAGGGAATTTCAAAAACTCTGAATTTCAAAGTCTCTCTGAACACTGCCTGTTCACCAAGCGGAGCTCTGTTCACACTCACAGCTTTCCCCCTTCCCCAGGTACCCAGCACTGAGCAGTGGGAGTGGGGCCCGTGGTCAGCTTCCCCAGCCCTCTCTGAGAATCCCTGGGAGGCCCTTTGCTTTCTTGGGGTTGCAATGCTCACCTCAGCTACCGAGTAGGAAAAGACTTACCATAATCATCTAACAGGATGTTTTCAGGTTTCAGATCTCTGAAAGGAAAAACAACAAGCATCAGAGTGTGGGCATTCTGGGCAGGTAGGATACACTGGCATCTGGGTCGACCCCTCGGGCTAATCAGGCCTGAGTGGCCACAGTGTGTTTCCTTCCCACCTCCTGGCTCAGGCTGTCTGGTTTGAGTCAAAATGATCTTCAGCTAATTTTTCTCCTTCCAGTAATTTAAAGCAACACTGCCGTTTGCCACAGGCATTTCCCAATCCTGGAGGGTGACTGGGAAAGTTAGGAAAAGGCCAGTCATGGCCCCTGTTCACACATCAATGACTGCAGGTCTGAGGATACTCCAAGGCTGAGAAGACCCTGCAGGTCTCAGGAAGCCCTGAAGGCAGAACAGGGCCTGGAATGAAGGGAGCTGTGCAATTGGGAAGAGAGGATCAAAGGGGAGAAGGTGGGGACACAGGAAAAAGACCCCCTTTGGGATGGGGCCTGCAGGAGACTGGCATATCCCCCAACACCAGCTACGCTACAGCCTGGGAGAAAGAACAGCTACGGGGCATGGCATAGGTGTGGCTGCCTTATCCTGTCCCTAATGTCTCCTCTCTTGATGACAGGATCTTGCTCACAAGTAAGGGAGCCTCTGCATTCCCAGGATGAGGGGAGAGCCAGCAGAGGAGCTGCTTTTATAGGAAAAGGTCTTCTCTATGGGTAAAAGAACAGCCAAGAGGAGAGTGTGTGCAACTCAGTTAAGCCATGGGGCAAACAGTACACAGGATCTGGATGGAGGCTCCAGTTCTCAACCACCCAGCTTTGTTTATTTAACTGATGGCAGCTGTCCTCATGCGGAGTGGTTAATGTACCCAAATCCAGCCAGTGAGCCTCATCAAATGATAATTGGTGTTTGTGTATCCTTATTTATCATAAAATACTTTTGTTGCTGTTATTTAAATGGCATTCTTTTGATGTGTTAACAATTCCAAATAAGGGCAGCAGCCATCATCTCAACAAGCCGGCTGCCACCAGGCTAGCATGGCAGCTCACTAGTGGGCACTGGCCAGAACGGAGCCCAAAGAGAGGCCGTGGTGAGTGGTCACAGCCAGGGAGGAGGCACTGTGGTTCTCTTTCCCCCGGAAGAAGACGAGCTGGAACTTGGAGGGCTTTCTTTTTTCTTTTTAAATAAAAGGCAATCACGTAGAGAATTCTTTGTTCAACCCTTAGGGAAAATTTTGACTCTTTTCATTTGAATGAAAACAAAACAGAAACATAAATGGGGGGATGGTATGGGGGGAAGGGCATGTCATCAAGACCATTCTTTCTTGTTTTCAAAACCTTCTTGGTCCCAAGATGAGCTCCACTGCAAAGGTCTTCAAACTGGGCTGCGTGTCGGGGTCTGCCAGGACCGAGCAGGGGGTTCCCTCCTGTCCGCAGTTTGAAGGGTTTGGATTTCTTCACATCAGGATGCTCTGTCCTGGCATCTTTTGGGATCTCCCTCCCATCTGCCCTTTCTCAATAACTCTTCTCCCAAGTTACAGAAGAAAAGCAGCCTCCTCCCCTCCCGAGTATGACTGTAGCGACCCACTCCAGATGTCAAAACCCCTGCTTCCAAAGGACTGATTAGAAATGAGATCTACTACTAATTACAATGGCAACTCGACAGAAGAAGTTATTTTATTTTATTTTGAGACGGAGTCTCACTCTGTTGCCCAGGCTGGAGTGCAGTGGTGATCTTGACTCACTGCAACCTCCAGGTTAAAGCGATTCTTTAGCCTCAGCCTCCCAAGTATCTGGGACTACAGGCGCGTGCCACCGCATCCGGCTACTTTTTGTATTTTTAGTAGAGACAGGGTTTCACCACGTTGGCCAGGCTGATCTCAAACCACTGACCTCAGGTGATCCGCCTGCCCCAGCCTCCCAAAGTGCTGGGATTACAGGTGTGAACCACCACAACCGGCCAGAGAAGTTATTTTAACACTTAGAGACTTACGGTCAAGGAGAACTTCAAAAACTCTTGTATGTATCTATATATTTGTTTCAGAGATGTACGCTAATCAGTGAAAGACTTTCAGGCAAAAAAATATATTATTAACATTCTGGGGGGATGGAGAGAGTGAAGGAAATGATAGAAAATTCCTCATCACTAAAGAGCTTTCTGTGCATTTTTTGGATAAATGCAGGTGGAAATCAATTGGCTACAGCAACTAGAGATTCCACTGGATCCCCTGAGGAGTGTAATGTAACTGTTCAATTTCAATATATCAAAAATTGCCACTATTTCAATATGATGGAATATTTCAAATGTCTACTTAAAATGCAGCATCACAGAGATTTTTCAAAATTCTTTCAGAAGGACTGGGAGAAAAATCTGAAGGGCACTGCTCATTGTGAGTGGAATCTGGACCCCTGGCCCTACAATGTCCAGGTCCCTGTGGGATTGAGGTGGGTGGGGAGAGGGGGTGAAGACCAGAGCAAGCTGAGGACAGCATGGAGTGGGACCATGGGCCACTCCGATTCTGCTTGTGGGCAGTGACCCGACCCAAGTCTTCCCAGGACTGATCCCAGATAGCGGCCACCAGGCCCCCTCCCAGCTTCCCTGGCTGCTGGGATGGAGGCAACTGGAGGGAGCAGTGGTCACGGCCCGTCCTCCTTGACTTGAAGGAGCAGTCAGTTTCAGGAACATCATTTCACTTGCTTGGCTTCCCTAAACTTTGGAGGCTGGAGAACACTGGCCAGAGGGTGGCCCACCTCGCTTCCTCAGTGCCGGAGGCCCCAGCTTCCTGGAGTGGAAAGTCTGTCTGACTCTGCATCCTCCCCTGGTGCTGACCAGGGCTGATTCCCAGAGCGATGGCAACCACCTGCCCGAGGGTGTGGAGGGGCTGGCCCCACCCCCTCGGACTTAGACTTGGAAGTCCTTGGTGCCTTCCACTCACCGGTAGACGGTGTTCTCACGGTGGAGGTCTTCTAAGCCGCAGAGGATCTCTGCCGCATAAAACAAGGCCCGCTCCTCCTCGAAGCCAGGGTTGCCCATGTTGTAGATGTGGAACTTCAGGTCACCCCCATTCATGATGGTCAGGACCAAGCACAGTGCATCCTTGGTCTCGTAGGCATAGGCCAGGTTGACCTGGGAGCACAAGAACAGTGCCATGGGGAGGTTGTGACAATGGCCACTCACTTCCACTTCCCTCCTCAGGATCCTGGGAGCTGGGGTGTGAGGGAACAGAGGAGCCTCACCCTGCTCCCCTGCACCCAGATGGCCTCTGCGGTGACCCTGCCTGCGGCCTCCTTGGCTGATAAGGGGCTCACACCTGCTCCTCCCTTTCAGTGGATCAAGGTGAGAAGGCCAAGGCGGGTTAGGGCAGGCTAGCACCCCGACCTCCCAGTGAATCCAACAGAATGGCGTCTGTGCTTCCTCCACAGAAGCACATGTGTGCATCAGCTGGGGAAGACTGGAGGGTGCCTTCTTGGCCAGTCAGAAAAGCAGGGCTCACTTGCCCTTTTGGGTATGGGAGCCATTCTCACAGGGCCAAGTAAGGGTGAGCTGGAGGGGCAGTGGGGCTTTGGGAAGTGGAACATGGCCTGGTAAAGGCTTTCTCTTGCATGCAGGATGTGCCTAGTTGATATGGTTTGGCTCTGTGTCCCCACCCAAATCTCATCTTGAATTGTACTCCCATAATTCCCATGTGTTGTGGGAGGGACCAGTGGGAGACAATTGACTCATGGGGGCAGTTTCTCCCATACTGCTCTTGTGGTAGTGAATATGTCTCACAGACCTGATGGTTTTATAAGGGGAAGCCCATTTCACTTGGTTCTCATTCTTCTCTTGCTACCGCCATGTAAGAAGTGCCTTTCACCTTCTGCCATGATTGTGGGGCCTCCCCAGCCACGTGGAACTGTAAGTCCATTAAACCTCTTTCTTTTGTAAATTGCCCAGTCTCAGGTATGTCTTTATCAGCAGTGTGAAAACGGACTAATAGAGTAAATTGGTACCAGAAGAGTGAGGCACTGCTGAAAAAAATACCCAAAAAGGTAGACATGACTTTGGAACCGGTAACAGGTAGAGGTTGGAAGAGTTTGAAGGGCTCAGAAGATAGGAAAATGTGAGAAAGTTTGGAACTTCCTAGAGACTTGTTGAATGGCTTTGCCCAAAATGCTGAAAGTGATATGGATAATAAAGTCCAGGCTGAGGTGGTCTCAGATGGAAACGAGGAACTTGTTGGGAACTGGAGCAAAGGTGACTCTTGTTATCTTTTAGCAAAGAAACTGCTGGCATTTTGCCCCTGCCCTAGAGATTTTTGAAACTTTGAACTTGAGAGAGATGATTTAGGGTATCTCACAGAAGAAATTTCTAAGCAACAAAGCACTCAAGGGGTGACATAGGTGCTGTTAAAGGCATTCAGTTTTGTAAGGGAAGGAGAGCATAAAGGTTTGGAAAGTTTGCAGCCTGACAATGCAATAGAAAAGAAAATCCCATTTTCTGAGGAGAAATTCAGGCTGGCTGCCTAAATTTGCATAAGTAACAAGGAGCTGAATGTTAATCCCCAAGACCATGGGGAAAATGTCTACAGGGCATGTCAGAGGTCTTCACAGCAGCCCCTCCCATCACAGGCCCAGGGGCCTAGGAGGAAAAAGTGGTTTCACGGGCTGAGTCCAGGGTCCCCGTGCTGTGTGCAGCCAAGGGACTTGGTGCCCAGTGCCCTGAGTCCCAGCTGCTCCATCCGTGGCTGAAAGGGGCCAATGCAGTGCTCGAGCCATGGTGGAAGCCCCAAGCCTTGGCAGCTTCCATGTGGTGTTGAGCCTGCGAGTGCACAGAAGTCAAGAATTGAGGTTTGGGAACCTCCGCCTAGATTTCAGAAGATGTGTGAAAACACCTGAATGCTCAGGTAGAAGTTTGCTGCAGGGGCGGGGCCCTCATGGAGACCCTCTGCTAGGGCAGTGCAGAAGGGAAATGTGGGGTCAGAGACCCCACACAGAGTCCCTACTGGGGCATTGCCTATTGGAGCTGTCAGAAGAGGGCCACTGTCCTCCAGACCCCAGAATGGTAGATCCACTGACAGCTTGCACTGTTTGCCTGGAAAACCTGCAGACACTCAATGCCAGCCCATGAAAGCAGCCAGGAGGGAGACGGTACCCTGCAAAGCCACAGGGATGGAGCTGCCCAAGACCGTGGGAACCCACGTCTTGGCATCGGCATGATCTGGATGTGAGACATGAGGTCAAAGAGATCATTTTAGAGCTTTAAGATTTGACTGCCCTGCTGGATTTCTGACTTGCATGGGGCCTGTAGCCCCTTTGTTTTGGCCAATTTCACCCATTTGGAACAGCTGTATTTACCCAATGCCTGTACCCACATTGTATCTAGGAAGTAACTAACTTGCTTTTGATTTTACGGGCTCGTAGGCGGAAAGGACTTGCTTTGTCTCAGATGGGACTTTGGACTATGTATGGACTTTTGAGTTAATGCTGAAATGAGTTAAGATTTTGGGGGACTGTTGGGAAGGCATGATTGGTTTTGAAATGTGAGGTCATGAGATTTGGGAGGGGCCAGGGGCAGAATGATATGGTTGGGCTGTGTCCCCACCCAAATCTCATCTTGAATTGTACTCCCATAATTCCTATGTGTTGTGGGAGGGACCCGGTGGGAGATAATTGAATTGTGGGCAGTTTCTCCTATACTGTTCTCATAGTAGTGAATAAGTCTCATGAGATCTGATGGTTTTATAAGGGGAAACCCCTTTCACTTGGTTCTCATTCTTCTCTTGCCACCGCCATGTAAGAAGTGCCTTTCACATTCCACCATGATTGTGAGGCCTCCCCAGCCACATGGAACCATAAGTCCATCAAACCTCTTTCTTTTGTAAATTGCTCAGTCTCAGTTATATCTTAATCAGCAGTGTGAAAATGGACTAATACACTGGTCCACTTGGCAAAGGGCCACCAAGAGAGGGGGTCTAGTCCTCTGCTGGTGGAGTCCAGACACCCAAGGCTCTGTGAAGCAAGGCCATGGTGGGGCAGGAGGGGCAAATTACACCAGAAGGTAATCCTTCTCCACATAGGGAGGTGGCACACATGAAACCCGGCCATCGTGGGCCAGGCTGGGAACTGGCTGTGCCGTAAAACTGGTGCATCAACATCAGCTATTTTTGAGGAAAGGAGATAAAATGGCAGCCAAGGATGAGCAAGCTCATGGGGACTGTGCTTCTGCTGCAATGGCTGCAGCTGTCCCCTTTCTCCCACATCTGCCCAGGTGATCACCGAGAAAGGGATCCAGGAGGTGACATCGTGGGAACTCCCTGCCGGGGCCGTGGATGGGGCACAGTTAAAGAAGGTGCAGCCATCGTAACTGAAGGCCCTTAAAGACGTGCCACCCAGCTTTGTGAATCACATGATCCTCTTCCCTGAGCAGAACCCGCCAGCACTGTCCCTTCAGAGACAAGGCTCCATAGGCAGCATCCAGGGGTCCCTGCTGAAGCGGCTGGCAGTGGGGAGGAAGGTTTCGGACTCAAGAAGGCCCGCAGCTGAAATGATGGCTGAAGTTAGCCTCATCTGCCTCATCTCCACATACCATGGCACTGCCCACACCTGCACCCCCGACAAGGCTGGCAGCTGGGGGTGGCCTGGGATGAGATCCCAAGATGCAAACTTCCATCCTCTGGGAGTGCCACTGGTCTGTAGTGGTTTTGTTTGTTTGTTTTGTTTTGTTTTTAACAAAGTCTCACTCTGTCACCCAGGCTGGAGTGCAGTGGCATGATCTCAGCTCACTGCAATCTCTGCCTCCCAGGTTCAAGTGATTCTCATGCCTCAGCCTCCCAAGTAGCTGGAATTACAGGCGCCCACCACCATGCCCAGGTAATTTTTGTATTTTTAGTAGAAATGGGGTTTTGCCATGTTGGCCAGGTTGATCTTGAACTCCTGATCTCAAGTGATCTGTCTGCCTCGACCTCCCAAAGTGCTGAGATTACAGGCGTGAGCCACCGTGCCCGGCCCTGTAGTGGTTTAAAGATGGAAAACAATTTCCATCCATGGGGACTGACTATATGGATTATGCTTTATCTCTTCAGGAGAATGATGCCCAACTTTAAAAAGGGGTGTGACTAGAGGTCTGGATGGAGAAAAAGATCTACAATGTAAGGGAAAAACATTCCTCCATAAGAGGTACAGGAAGATCCCATTGGCTAAGAATAATAAAGCCTGTGCATGAATAAAACATGCCTGGAGTGATTACTCAAAGAGGGAAGCTTTTCGTTTTATTGTGTATCCTTCTGTGCTGTTTAAATTTTTACCTTGTGTATATATTATTTTTAATGTATGCATGTATTTAGTTTTAGAGATGAGGTCTTGCTGTGTCACCCAGGCTGGGGTGCAGTGGCACGATCATAGTTCACTGCAGCCTCGAAATCCTGGGTTCAAGCAATCCTCCTGCCTCAGCCTTCTGAGTAGCTGGGACTACAAGCATGTACCACTGCACCCAGCTTTATTTTTTATAACAGTGTGTAGCAGAAGATATTAGAGCTGACCAAATATCCATGCACTTCACATTTCCCAGCCTCCCCTGAAACTAACTTGTCTCTGTGTTGACTGGTTCTGGCTGGCAGACTGTGGGTGAAACTGAGGAACATCTGTCCAGTAGAGGCAGTGGAAAGTCTCTGTGTGGAACCCCTAGCACTCACTTTCAAGGCTCCAGATGGGGCAGCTGTTAGATGGAGGAGGGTGGCCCAATCTGATTGGACTTCAGGTGAGTGACAGATGAACCTCTGCTGTATTTAGCTACTTAGGGTTTGGGGCAAATGTGTTACTGCAGCAGGGCCCAGCCTAGACTGACTAACACAATGCACACAGACTTGATAGTGCCATTCCAGGATGCTGGCACTAAGGTCCCCACCACGATGGCACCAGCCTAGAGGGTCTGTGGAACCCACAGCTCCCAGCCTGGGCCCAGGTGAACTTTCTTTGTCCACTGAGGAGTTTACAAAGTGGTCCAGGAGAACAGAGGCGTCGGTCTCATGCACAGCAGGGAGCCAGGCACTGGCCGGCTCTGGGGATGGGACAAAGCCAGCCACAGTCGACCACAATGGGCCGTGTGATGGAGGAATGTCTTGCGGCCTTTCTGTAGCTCAGCGCTGCCACTGGCATTCCCCTTCCCAGGGGTGGGGACCGGCCGCATTAGAGGACCACGCCCTTCCGGAGGGAGGGAAGCCCCAGTCCACAGAAGGGCGAGCCGGTCACTGGGCCCAGATGCTCACTCACCACAAACTGACTGTTGACCTTCTCGAGGATCTGCTTCTCATTGAGGGCCATGGACTCCCCTTTCCTCTTTTTGATCCTCTTCTTCTCCAAGCGCTTGCAGGCATACATTTTACCCGTGGCCCGAACCTGGCAGGCACAGACCTGCAGTGCAAGAAAGAAACCAGGGTGGCAGGAGCACCGTGGAGGCCTGCCCCGAGCTCCTCCAGGGCGGGGACCACAGGCCTCCCAGGTAGAGAATGGATGGGGTCAGAGCCGGCCCTGCCTGGCTTCATGAGTGCTCCAGGCTCCCAGGACCCAGTGATGCCTGGCCTGGGGCCCACAGCTGTCCTGGGCCCTTGCCCTCCCTCCTCCTCTCCTTCAAGGATTCCCAGCCCTGGAAGGGGCAGAATGAGCCACTCACACCAAGGCTTAGATAACTGACTGGGGCCCCAAGTACCGTTCCATTCCCAGGGCAACAGGATTTTCTCCTACCGGCTGCCGGTAGAGAAGTTTGTTTTGGGAGGCAGTGATAGGAGATCCTCAAGAACACTGACTTCATAATCCAGATAAGCGGGAACCAAAGCATTTGGGCTTAAGTCTTAGCTCTGCCTCACATTGTCTGCGCGCCCTTGGCTGGGTCACCTAACCATTCTGGACCTCAGCTTTCCTCATCTCTAAAATGGGAATAACAAGGCTTGCCTCACATGCTGGGAAGATCGGGTAATGTACAACGAAATCTCGAATCTTGCATGACAGCGTCATCCAGGCACTGAGTGGCCAAGGTTGCCCAGCCTCCTCACGCCCTCACATCTCCTCCCCACACACGACCAGGGCTGCCCATTTGTCCTCTGCAGGCTGGATCCTGCCTGAGGCTGGCAGGAGAGCACGTCTGTCTCACCTGCCCAGCTCCACAACCTCTTTCCACCATAGACACACCTGATAGCCCCAAGGCCACTGACTCTCTCCCACCCTCACTGCCCCCGGGGCCCACATTGAGCCACTGGTGCCCCCGGGGGACCCGTGGGCCAACCCTTTAGGTTGATTTAGAAGGGACAGGAAAGGTGACTTGAATGTAAGAACTTTCAATTAAAAACGTGAATGTTCACTCACCTCCCCGAAGCCCCCTTTTCCTAGCACTCGATACTGCCTGAAAGTGTTTTTGGTCACCGGTTGCCTGGAAGAAAGAAGAATCCCACACTGGTCTCATGGTGCCAAGACTCAGAATCCACAGGAAACAGTGGCACATTGAGAGCAGCTGGGGTGGGGTATAATTCCAGGAGCCCCACAGCAGCCCCAGGGACCCCCCAGGAATCATCGCTGGAGACTGGACCTTCGAGGACTTAGTCTGAAGCTGAGTGTTCAAATCCCAAGCCCCCTGGCCCCCAGCCCCCAGCCCCCTGCAAGCTGGGGGATGCACAAGCCTCGCTTGCTCAGAAAGCTTGAAAAACCTGAGTGCAGAGGTGCTTGACCACACTCTCCATGTGGTTCTCCTCTCTCTGCAAATCATGCGGCGAAACTCAGAAGGAAGCTGTGCCTTCTGTGCAGGAAGGGGTGGGGGCCAGGAGCCACAGAGGACCAGCGTCCCACAAAGGACGCGAAGGAGGTCACAGCCCTCCCTACACCTGTGCATCTCAGTCTGCCCAGCAGGATGACAGTGCTTCCTGTCCTGGGCATGGCTTATTCCTTCCTGAGGGCACTCCTGCTGCTGGCCCAGAAGACCCGGCCTCAGGAGGGGGCAGAGGCTGCTGGTCTTCAAATCGTGTCCTGGGGATCTTTACCATTGGTTCCCAACCTTTCCACCACTGAGGACCCTTTATTGTATTTCCCACATAGATGAGGAACATGAGAAGATCCTGCCTGCCAAGATCGGATTGGAAGTAATGATCACCTCGCGTCTTCCAACTCCTCGTTTTAATGAGCCAAAGCCATTTATGACATTGAATCAGACAGAACTTCTGATCATGAGGCATGATGGCACTTTTTGGACTAAGCAAAGACATGGTCCTATCTAGTTGCCATAAAGGACATCACGGTGCAGAGGGCTTGTGGTTTGCATTGCTGGTCTGTTTGGCTACAAATAATCAGCTTAAAACGTGAAAATTGGCTCTTGGCTCTCCAAGACTAAACTCCTGCTCCTAAATTCCTCAAAAGTCCCGACCAGGGCAGGGGTTGGATCGAGCAGAACTGGGCCAAAGAACTGGGTCAGCTGAGGATGACCAGGGAGCCTTCAGTCACCCAGCAGCTCTTGAACGAATGAGTCTTCCCTGGAAATCACATCTGTGGCACCACAGCCGCACTCTGAGGAAGGCCCTGAAAAGCCAGGGTACTCTCTGGCACCCCATCTTGAATTTGCGTGCCATGGCTCACTTCTCCCTTCACCAGTGCTTCCTCAGGACACAGGGCCCAAACCCCACCGAAGCAGAGCTGCCCCTCTGCGGGTATCCCGCTCTTCTGCACAGGAGCGGCTGGACAGCCAAAGGGAAGAGCTGCCACACGCCTGCCTCGACCACGTGGCCCTGGGAAGCCTTCCCTACAGCCGCCCCCGGAAACCACATGAAGGCGGCCCGCCTAACAGTTTACGATGCATGGAGGAGAAACGGTTGGTTGACATCTCCGCAGAACTCCTCTGCTGGGGGAAATGAGTGGAATGCAAGCTCCCAGGAATTTCTTGGTTAACCTTGGGAGGAAAAAAACCCTTGACTATTTCAGCAGTACAGCACCAACCAGGCAGGATCTTGTGCAGGGTGCTATCTGATATGTAGGGCATTCCTAGGCCAGGGTCCTGCCCTACAGGCTCCAAAAACTTAATGCCTTCTTTGCAATCAGGCCACAGAGTAAAAAGGATAATTTCTCCATTTCATGTGTTTGGTGCAGATAAGAAAAAGGAAAGCCAGTGACCACCGACAAAGGCTGCTATGGGAACTGGAGTGCTGGGTGGACCAAGGCCCAAGGACTTGGGAGGGGGCCTCTGGGTTCAGGTTCCAGCCTTGCCAGGCCCTTGCTGAGTGGCCCAAGGCTGCTCCAACTCCTCTGAGGAAAATGATCATGAGAAGGCCTTACATCCAGTGGAGGGCTCTTTGTAAACTGGTGATGTGTCAGATGTCATTATTTGAACTCCTAGGAATAAAGGGCATGCCCCCCTCTGGGGGTCTCTATAGTAACAATACCTACTGCTCCAAGCACACATGGGGGCTTCTATAATCCTCACACAAGCTCAGGGAGCAGGGATCATTATTGTCCCCATTCTGCAGATGAGAACGCTGAGGCTTCAAGAGGTGAAATGAGTTGCCCGAGGCCCTAGCTGGTAGCGGTGGGCTGGAGTTGGGGTCTAGGCAGCCCATGCTCTGTATCCTGACCCCACACTGCCACTCTGGGAAGGTGGACACAGATTGGGGTTGTGTGTTGCACAGCCCAGGGCTCCAGAACCGGGCGTGGGCATGGCGAACACAGCTCCACTAGACTGCCCTGTAATTGGCAGAATCAGGACTGATCCTCCAGCAAGAGTTGGCTGTGCCTCCCAGTATCAGACCTGGTGAAGTGGGACTAATGGCAGTGATGCTGTTGATGGCGGTGATGCTGATGATGGCAGTGAGGCTGATGATGGCAGTGAGGCTGATGATGGCAGTGATGCTGACGGTGGCGATGATACTGATGATAGCAGTAATGCTGTTGATGGCAGTGGGATATTGATAACAGCAGTGATGCTGATGATGGCAGTGATGCTGATGATGGTGGTGATGCTGTTGATGGTGGTGATGCTGATGATGGTGGTGATGCCGCTGATGGTGGTAATACTGATGATGGCAGTGATGTTGACGATGGTGGTGATACTAATGATGGTGGTGATGCTGTTGATGGCACTGGGATATTGATAACAGCAGTGATGCTGATGATGGAGGTGATACTGATGATAGCAGTGATGCTGATGATGGCAGTGATGCTGATGATGGTGATGATGCTGATGATGGTGGTGATGCTGATGATGGCGGTGATACTGAGGATGGTGGTGATACTGATGATGGCGGTGATGCTGCTGATGGCTGTGATGCTGATGATGGCGGTGATGCTGATGATGGTGGTGATGCTGATGATGGCGGTGATGCTGATGATGGCAGTGATGCTGCTGATGGTGGTGACGCTGTTGATGGCAGTGATGCTGATGATGGTGGTGATGCTGATGATGGTGATGATGCTGATGATGGTGGTGATGTTGATGAAGGCAGTGATGCTGTTGATGGCAGTGATGCTGTTGATGGCGATGATGCTGAAGATGGTGGTTGATGCTGATGATGGTGATGATGCTGATGATGGTGGTGATGTTGATGAAGGCAGTGATGCTGTTGATGGCGGTGATACTGATGATGGCGGTGATGCTGATGATGGCGGTGGGATATTGATAACAGCAGTGATGCTGATGATGGCAGTGATACTGATGATAGCAGTGATGCTGATGATGGCGGTGATGCTGATGATGGTGATGATGGCAGTGATATTGATGATGGTGGTGATGCTGCTGATGGCTGTGATGCTGCTGATGGCTGTGATGCTGTTGATGGTGGTGATGTTGATGGCGGTGATGCTGTTTATGGCAGTGATGCTGTTGATGGTGGTGGGATATTGATAACAGCAGTGATGCTGATGATGGTGGTGATGCTGTTGATGGCAGTGATGCTGTTGATGGCAATGATACTGATGATGGTGGTGATGCTGATGATGGTGATGATGCTGATGATGGTGGTGATGTTGATGAAGGTGGTGATGCTGTTGATGGCGGTATACTGATGATGATGGTGATACTGATGATGGCGGTGATGCTGATGATGGCGGTGGGATATTGATGCAGTGATGCTGATGATGGTGGTGATGGTGATGATGGTGGTGATGGATGCAACAACTGCATTCAGCAGTTTACTTCCTGTGGCCAAATGGCTGAGCTTTGCGGAACACCTGCCTTGTTCCAGCAGGTGTTGTGCTTATCTTATCTCCTCCTCAGCCCAAGCCCACAATGCAGGCACAATCATCCACATTTTACAAATGAGGACACTGAGGTGTAGAGTCGTGAGTGACCCTTTCTGAGGACCCTCCTTGGGAAGAGGCAGAGGCGGGACTCGGACCCAGGCTGGGGGCTCTGGTGCCCTCAGTAGATGTCTAGGCCAATCCTTTGCCTCTCAAGCTTTCCTGGAGTCATGATGTGCCTGTGCAGGGTGGACAGCGGCCACTAAGGAGACTATCTCTGGTCACGCTGTCATCCCCACCAGTCAGGTGGAGAGAAACCACCCATCCATGGCCGCAGAGCCAAGGGTTTTCTGCTGGATTTCTGGAAGCAGGCAGGGAAGGGCTGTGAGTGGGGTTCAGAAGGGCTCCTGGCCTGCAGCTTCCTGAGTGTCTACGGGGGACACAGCCAGCTGTGGGGCTGGCAGGCAGCAGTGGATGGCTCCTTTCTCACTGGATGCCCCCAGATGGCTGTGCATGCCAGGCCTCTGGGGACAGGGACTCTGGGCTGTGGGAGGGGAGGCTCCCACCCTCATCTACCAGCTCGGCCCGGCATGGATTTTACACAGGCATCGCCCCGCTCTGCAAATCCTGGGCCAGTGAAGGTAGCAGAGCACTGCGCTGGGGGCTCAGGGCCGGGGCCTCGTCGGCAGCACTGCTGGCTTGCTGGGAAGCTAAGTCAGGTCCTATGTTCTGCTTCCTCATCTGTCACAGAGGGACACATCTGCCCAAGTCACAGCCACGCATGGGCGAGTACTTTGAAGAGAATTAGACAGCAAGCACACAAGAAAAGACACTTGGTCTCCCCCATTATTAGAGAGACAAGAAAATAAGCAACAAGGAAGCGCCCTGCTCACTCACGGGATAGGAAAAGACGAGAACAGCATTGATGAAGCTGAGGAGCAGGCACTCGGGCACTGTGGCACTGGAGGTCAGGGGCAGCTGTTTTGGACAGCAGCTTAACAGCACTCACGGTTTAAAATCAGGTGCCTTCTGACCCAGAAATTCCTCTGCTAGGAATTTCTCTGGATGTACTTGCAGAAGTACTTAAAGATTTATGTACAAAGCTATTTATTATTTAGGGAGGGCTCCACACAGAAAAATGGAGAACCAACTCAATATCCATCAACAGGGCACTGGATTAAATCAAGGATGTGCAACTATTCCAAGGAATATGGCAGCTCTTTATTTGCTGACAAAGACAGTGAAGTAAAAAAAGTAAGAACGAGATGCTGTTTACATTTGCGTGAATGTGTGTTTGTGTGTGTGTGTGTGTGTGTGTGTGTGTATGTGTGTGTGCTTGAATAAGCATACAGCATTTCTAGAATACACAACTTAATTAACAGGGGGAGTCGGGTTAATTTTGTTTTAACCATGAGCCCACGGGAGGTAACTGATTTTTATATGAATTCTCAGATGAAAAATGTGTACCCTCTGCCTCCCTGATCTGTATGGGGTGTGGTGGACTCACCTTTCCAACCACTTCCACTGGAGAAAGCGGTCAAAAAACATGCTGTCCAGATATTCGTGGAATGGTTCTCCCCTCAGGTACTCGTGGACAGACCTAGTGCAGATGGAACAAGAGGATGAACATTTTATAATCCCGATCTTCAAGCAGGGGGGCAAAGCTGTGTCCAGCTTTGGAAATGCAAGTAAACAGGGCCTCTCAACCCATGCAGATGCAGCACGTCTGGCCAGAGGTCCTGCCATTCTACTGAGGGTTGTATGAAATTGGTTGGTCCTGCCAACACTTGTTGGGTACCTGCCAAGTGTTGGGCACTGTTCTAGGCCCTGGGATATAGCTGGGAGCAAGGGGTTGGCATTGTATGTGGGACACAAACAGTGAATAGCAAACATGAAATAAATGATCCCAGAGGTATGTCATCATGAATGAGTTTGGGGGGACTGGAAGGGTAGAGGGGTCTCTCTAAAAAGTGACCTTAAGCTGAGAACAGACGAAGACTTAATGAGGGGCTGGGAATCAGGGGTGGTGGGTGGTTGGGGGAAGGGTGGGGCCACAGCCCCTCAGAACCGCAGCTCTGGATCTGGTCTTGGACTAGCAAAGCCACTGGGAGTTTTTTTATGCATGCATTGGAATTCACTGGTCACCTGCTGTGGGCCAGGTGCCAGGCCGAGCCCTGGGATGCTGTGGATCTCTATGGGTCTTAGGCCATCAGGGCAGGTTCTGAAACTGTCTGCAGGCAGCTTCTTTCCTTTAGAAAGTGGCCACACTGAGTAATCTAGCACAGGCACTTGGAGCCTGGGGAAGGGAGGGGACTATGGCAGGTGGGGCACGTCAGAGTCTGTGTCCTGCCAAACCTGAAAGCCATCGTTGGGAGCCAAGATGGCCATTCCCTCAGGGTCAGAGTCACCAACCAAGACCCCACCCACTGTTGGATCTGATTCCTGGGCAGCTCCAAGAGAGCAGCAACCAAGCTTGCTCTGCCCACCAGGGCCTCTCTCCAGCACCTAACCCACTGCTTGGTCCCAGGACGGCCCTCCCAGCTCCCCTCAAAGTGCATGCAGGTTGCTGTTTTTCTTGTAAAAACTCCATGAAAGCCAGGATTGGGTTCTTGTTCACCTTGGTATCCCCCAGCACCCAGCACAGTGCCAGGTACACAGTAGGTACTCAATTGATGTCTGTGGTGCTGAATAAGGGCACACAAAAAGCCCCTAAGATCATCCAACTATGTGGGGTAACCTGGCTTTGGAGAACTTTCATGAGCCTGTGTGTGTGTATGTGTGTGTGTGTGTGCTTGCGTGTGTCAGCAAGTGACTTGTGTGTGCTCCTCAGTGCTCATGCCTTCAGAGTGTGTGTGTGCAGGATGGGGTGGGGGTTTAGTTGGTGCTCTGCTGGCAGCATGGCCATCGACTTGTGTCACCTCCTGCACGGCAGACGTGCCACCTGCAGACAAGGTGATGGGGTTTGGCTGAGAAGCTCCCCCTGCATCAGTAGCACTGGCTCGGGTTGGTGGCAGTGGTGGGGGTTGAGGACCCTGGGAAAGACTTCCAAACCACCCAGACAGGGTCAAATGTTTGCACATTCCTCTGTCTCAACAGCCTGGAGAGCCACTTGCTTTCAATACCCTTTGCAGCAGATGTTTTCTTTGGACTTGGCACCTTGATATCTTTTTCTCTTCGTGGGAAGTATACAAACAGTTGGTATAACTTGGCTGAAGCTGTCAGGCATGGAAGACCTGCCTCAGTGCCCTGTATGGTCAGGTGGAGAGCTGCGGCATCCCATCTCTGGGCAGCCCGGGGAGGACAGGCCAGGTGACTACGGCACTTACTGTGCACAGGCAGAAAAGAGTTCTTTGCACGGCTTCTGTAGGAGCTTCTCCTCCGTCTGGGAGACCAGGTCTTGGCCAACTTGGGCTATGAAAACAGGGGACTGGAAGAAGGAAGGGAAGGGAGGTGGTCAGTGAGGAGCCAGCAGCAGTGCGGCCGGGTTTGCCCACAGGTGTTGGGCCAAGAACCAGCCACGCTCCAGGTGCTGGTACATCTGGCAGCCCGTCTGTGCCCCAGTGTGTGACCTGCTGCCCCCTCCAGGCTGCACCTGGCTCAGGGCTACCTGGACACTGGTGGTTTGGGGAGGTGGCTGAGCTGGAAGGTGGTGAATGAGCCTAGGTTCAGGATGAGACTTCTGACTGTGTCACTTACAGGCTGTGTGACCTCATGGAGGTCACTTGGCTTCTCTGAGCCTCATTCCTCATCTGCAAAACATTGATAATGACAGTCCCCATGGCCTGGGCATGTAGTCAGAGCTGACAAGGTGTGCAAATGCTCCCAACCATAAGGGGCTGTGCAGCGTGACCCAGCTCATCACTGAGCCCCCAGCAGGCTTGGTGACGCCCCTTGGCCATGCTGGGCTTCTTTCCTCCGAGGGCAAAAGAGAAGATGAACACCTGCCCAGCCTCGAGGTTCATGTGTGAAAGGGTTTGGATCAGGCCAAGGTGGACAGGAAGGCTCAGGAGGGAGGAGGGTGGTGAGGAGGGGAGGGGAGCTATAGCCCCGGAGCTGCAGGCTTGGGTTTGAATCCCAGATCTGTGACTCGCAGCTGTGGCCTTGGTCTTAACTGCTCAGCCTCACTCTTGTCAGGAAGACAATCAGGAATAGGAGTTTCTCTTGGAGCAAATCAATAAAAGCTTCAGGTAAGGCATTTGGCCCAGATCTGGCAGTAGTAGCAAGCACGTAATAAATGTCACCACCGTTGTTTCTTTATCTTTCTAGGTTAAGCTGCTGGCCTGAGTATTTTAAATTTGAAAGGACATTTCAGAGAGTTGCTGTGTCCTACCCAGGAGTGGCGGCCGCATCTGGAAGGCAGCTCCACCCAGGGCAGGCCTTACCCACCCCCTCCCCTCCTCCCACCATTCACCCTCTGCCAGCTGTTCCCAGGGGCTGACTCACCAGCTGGGCTTTGAGATGGGTTTTTAATAAATTAAAGAGATAATTGAGAAAATTGCTGGGAGTGGACTCAGAAAGATGGGGTGTGGACACAGCTCTCTCCCAAAAGGATGCTGAAATCTGAAAGCCTTGCCTCCTCTTCCCTATGGGGCTGATTTGCTAAGAGTCCACTGGATGGTTTCTGGGCGGGGGTGTCAATCCCTGGGGGTGGAGGGGACGCCCGAGGCAGCAGCTGGCCTGTCCTTGGTGAATGGAATCAGTGGCTTGTTTTCTGTTCCCCACGGTTCTGAATGTCCAAATCCCTTCCTTCCTTCTTTATTTCTTTTCTAGGTCCAGCCCTCTCTGCAGGCTCACCCCTGCCCTCAGGGTCTCCCAGCTGAGCCAGGCCTGAGAGGCTTCAGCTTCTTGGGGGGCAGCCTGCAGTGTGGATGCGAGCTGCTGTGACAGTAAACACCACTTACCCAAGTGCAGGCCAAGCCATTCCCACCAAACAGCAGTCTCAGAGCACATTTCCCAGTTACCAACAGCAGCCTGGGTAGTGGCTGCTGTCTCCCACCTGCCTTCCCACTCTGCCCCAGGAGACACAGAAGAGCAACCCACAGAGCACGGGTCACAACTTTTGCAGAAAAGATCCTCGATGTCATGGGAGGAGCCCCAGGCCAAGAGCCAGGAGCCTGAGCTCTGGCCCGGCCTCTGACCTTGGCCATTTTGTGCCTCCGTCTCACCCTCTGAAACAGGAAGGAGCTGCTCCAGAGATGCCTGAAGGGTCCTTTGAGATTTGGGAGTCGACAACTGGGGGCTTGTGCCTCTAAGACTTGGAGAACTTTCTTGGAAATTCTGGCAGCTGAGTCTCTTGGGAACCAGTACCTCCAGGCTACTTCAGAGCAACTGAATATTAGCACAAATCCCGAGGCCCTGGGCAAATCTGCTTCAGGAAGGAGAGAGCCGATGGCTTGGCACCCTTAGTCCAGGAGGGCCCAAGGCCTGGCACGGAGCTGGTGCTGGTTGTCTGTTCGTGAGCAAGACGATACAATGTGTTGTGCCAGGATATGACCTTGAGCCTGGTGCGAGTCAGCAAGGACCAGATAGAGATGCCAGCAGGGTGGGCCATGGGGAGAAACAGAATGGTCAGAAGGGGGACCTGAGTTGCCCACCTGTGTGCACTCTGCAGGGTTCTGCCTTTGTTTCCACCTAGGAAGGACCCACCCTTACCCACCACAGGCACAGCCTGGTGCTGGGCAGGGGTAGAATTAAAAGATGAAGATGAAGCCAGGCAGGACTCAGTGGCTCATGCCTGTAATGCCAGCACTTTGGGAGGCCAAGGCAGGAGGATTGCTTGAGGCCAAGAGTTTGAGACCAGCCTGGGAAACATAGTGACAGCCTATCTCTACTAAAAATAAAAAAAGAAATTAGCCAAACATGGTGGCTTGCCTGTAGTCTCGGCTACTTGGGAGGCTGAGGCGGGAGGATTCCTTGAACCCAAGAGGTCGAGGCTGCAGTGAGTCATGATCACACCACTGCACTACAGCCTAGGCAACACGGTGAGACCCTGTCTCAAAAGAAAAAAGAAAAAAAAAAAAGAAAGAAAAAGAAAAAAAAGAAAAAAGAGATGGAGCTAGTGTGGTTTTGACCTCAAAATACTTTTTCTCCAGTAAGACAGAAATGATATATTATAAGGTATAATATCCCAACAGAAAAGTTCTTATGCCTCTCGGTTGTACTGTACATGGTGATGTACAAAATGGGTTGGTTGAAATTCAATGGCTTTCAAACCTTCTTTCTTCTTGTTTTTTTTTTTTGTTTGTTTGTTTGTTTTAGTAGCAAACTTTTCTCCTCCAAATGAAATTTATCCACAGACCCAATATTTAAAACCTATAAAAATAACTTAATTGGTAACAATAGCTTACATATACTGAAGGCTAACTCTAGTTAGGTCCTGGGCTAAACACATTGCTTCATTAATTCACTGAATCATATCCTGAGGTGGCTATTATTATAGTGTCCATTTTGCAGATGAGGAAACCGAGGTCCAGAAAGGTTAAGCAATTTTCTCAGGGTCACTCAGCCAGTAAGTGCCTGAGAGGGGATTTGAACCTAGGTTGGGTGTCTAATGAGTGAGATCTGGCTGGAGGGAGTGGGCTGTCTGGGCCACCTGTGCCCCACTCTCACCTTATCCCCTCAGGACCCATAAGGTCTGACCCTAGCCCCCGGTACTCTGCAGAGCTCAGCATGAGGACCAGGGTGCTGTTTGGTCCCATAGCAGAGGCAAGTGATGCAGCTCGAGACAATGAGCCCCACGGCTCAGAGAAGGGAGGGGTCATTGTGAGCTGGGGTCATCTGGGAAAGGCTTTATAGAAGACGGAATAAGGGGCAAAGCAGAATTTGACCCTCCTACCTGCAGGCAGGGACAGCCAACTGAACTCCCTTCTCAGCAGATGGGAGAAGGGGATTGTCCAGGGTCTAGAGGTGACCCAACTGTGTACATGAAGTCACACCACTCTCATACTTTGGATTGGCTGGCAGGGGAGCTCTGCCCAAGGGCAAAGCCCTAACAAGGGAGTTAATGAGTGGGTAATAATGTCTGGCTTTATAACCACTGGCTCGACTTGAAGAGATTAAACAATTCCAACCCAACCCCCTTTCAAGTGCCTCCAGGGAGTGACACCTTTGCCAGTAAGATGGGAATAAGAAGCTGCTGGCCATTGCGTCTGAAACTAAAGCCCAAACCTGCCAGAAGGGTAAGAAGCGAGTAGTTGTAGTCGGACATTTATTATTTGCATCAATGGAACCAGAGGATGTCTGGTCCTTCCCTGGAAGTCACTTACAAAGAGAGACTCTTTAAGAAGGCCCTCCGCTGGCTGCGTGTCAGATCGGATACACCGTGTAAGAAACAAGGCACCCAGAAGCTCAGAGGGCTCTGGGGTTCTGAGTAACCTCAGCTCAGCACCGGGATCCATCCACTGGGTCTTTCAAGGCAGGAGAATTCCATGCAGTTTCAGATGCCTGGCTGGTGGGCGGTGGGCTGGAGAAGGGAGAGGGGGGAACCCTACAGGCCGGGTGGGTTCTGGAGAGAAATGTTACCCTCACTCCACTGAGGACTCAGGAGTGTCAGGAGAGCTATGGCTGGGCAGCACTCTAGCTCTTCCTGCAGGGATGTCCCTCTGGGATGGAGCTGATGGTCAGGGGTGCCACGCTTCCCCCATCAAAGATGCCCCTTGAATGTCTAACCATACAGAAATCCAAGCGTGAGGGCCTCAAGGCCTGTAGATACCTGCAGAGGTGAAGGCAGCCAGGTTGGAAGGGGTCTTGGTGGTGCTCGTTGGTAAAATTGCCCCAGGGGTCCGGGACCCCCTCAGGTCACCAGGTGGTCTCCTTAAACAGCTCTAGCTGCAGACCTCGACTTTAACACAACAGTGAATTTGGGCACCAAGGTTCCTTTGAAAGGATCAAGTTAACTGGAAGGAGCAGGGGAGTTTCTCTGCTTGAAGTCCCCGCCATGAATGCCTGCCCCTTGTGGCCTTGCACAGCTGAAGCTACACAGTGGTCAGCCTCAGCCTGGCCCTGCCAGAGTCCACTCTGATGACAGTCAGGGTGACACCCAGCTATCCCTGAGCAGGGCTCTGTAATCATCTCTCTGGGACAGCTGAAGACACCAAGATACGCCCTGGGGACACAGCTGTGTAGCCTGGGGTGCTGGCAGGAGACATCTCTCCCCTCTGGCTGGATGAGAAAGGCCTTGCCTGCCATGAGGAACTGCGGGCTGTGAGAACCCCTCTGGCAATCACTCCCCAGCGCTGAGCTCCCCACCCACTTCTTTGGTGAAGGACTCTCCCCTTCTGGTCCCCCCTGAAGCTGGGGAGGGACAGAGGTAACCTTGAAGCTGGGGGCACTCTGCCTGCTCTGTGAGCTGGTTCTTCTGTATAAAAGCCCCCTTCACCTGGAGGTAAAAGAACCTGCCCTGCCTCTCTCTTGGGATGGGAAATTGACCTTGAATCCTGCACTGGAGGAACCTGGGGCCGCACTGGGCCAGGGGAGCCAAGGCTGCCTGCTATTCCAGCGGGCAGATCGGACAGAGCTCGTGCTGGTTTGGAACTCCCCTCGGGACCCCCGATGACTCACTCCTTCTTACCACCTCTTCCCTATGGCCCAGACTCGCTCTCTGCTCTATGCCACTGGTTCTGGGGATCCGGGCAGTTCCTGATATCTGTGATGACCAGAATGTACCTCTTCAGGTAGCAAGAGATGAAACTTGCCTGGGATGTTTTTCTGGGCACCACAGGGCACGGAGAAAAGCTCTTCCCATCACTTGGAACATAAGTAGGGCAGACCCCCCACCGAAACGGATGAAGTACGCCTAGGGTGACTTCGCACCTTCACTCCTCTCTAAGCCTCTCCCCTCCTTTTTGTCCTCATCTCATGCATCCTCTGCTGCTGTGACCCTAAACCGTATCATGCCGCGTAGGTCGCCTCTCTCATCTTCTGTTCCATCAGAGCAGAAACCTCTGGGATATTCAGGCATGGTGTGGATGATGTATTGCTGACCACTAACGATTCAATGCACGGGAGGCCTTGGAATTTTCAATGATGAGACTGTTGGGGTGGCAGTGTGGTTGGAGAGAAGAACTAGGGGCCTGTCCTGAAGCTGCATTTGTACAGCAATGGGTTTAGAGTGAATGGGGTGACTTGCTGGCTAATCCCTTGCCCCCAGCACCCCTTGGTACAGCAAATGCTCATTGCCGCACCCCTCCCAGGTCAACTGCCGCTTCACAGGCGCCATCTGTGCTTAACCTGAAGCAGGAATGATCTGGAGTATTTCAGACACTGAGGCAGGCTGGGGAGGAGGGGTGCTGAGGAGGAAGGCAGGGGCCAGGCCTGGGCATGAAGCCACCCCAGTGGGCACCACACTCAGCACTGAATCCGGGAAGCACGTGTGGATCACCCACCACACCCGAGGCTGATGCTCAGACACCCACCCTCAGTGGCATTACAGAGGTAGGGACCCAAGCACAAGGGCAGGCGACAGCCCAACCCCAGTTCTGCCTCCACGCATTCAGCCAAGGCCCATGAAGCAGGCCGTCCACAAGGTGGTGCCATTGCTTCCCTATGCTCCTTCACCCCAACGGCCTGCCAGCCTTCTGGTCCCCAAAGACTTGGGAGGCCAGGTGGGCACACCTGGAATAATTACCAACTGACTATAATCTCAGACCAGAGGAGTACGGCCTCTGCAACAACAACTGAGGGGAAAAAGGGGATCAATTCAGCCAGGTGCGGTGGCTCACGCCTGTAATCCTAGCACTTCGGCAGGCCGAGGTGTGTGGATCACTTGAGGTCAGGAGTTCGAGTCCAGCCTGGCCAACATGGTGAAACCCCATCTCTACTAAAAATACAAAAGTTAGCTGGGCATGGTGGCATGCGCCTGTAGTCCCAGCTACTCAGGAGGCTGAGGCACGAGAATCGCTTGAACCCAGGAGGCGGAGGTTGCAGTGAGCCGAGATCACTGAGCCACTGCACTCCAACCTGGGCAACAGAGTGAGAAGCAGTCTCAAATTAAAAAAAAAAAAAAGAGAGAGAGAGAGCGATCAATTCGAGAGGGAGCCCTAGAGAGGTCATACAGGCCTGGACCTTGAAGGAGAGAGAAGCTGGACTGCAGGGCCAGCGCCTGGAGGACAGAGTCAGCACTGAACAGAAAGGGAGATGCTGTTCGGAGTCAGAGGGACTAGTGAAGATCATGGGAAATAAGCAGGAACGGCTGGCAGGAATGCTGCCGTAGCTTGAGGCTGACCCCCTCCTGGGGCAGCTATCAGTGGCTGAGTTATCAGCCCCGAGGATGGCGTCGCCAAGGCGGCTGCACCTGCTCTCCCGGCACTGCTCCCTGCCTCTGCACCATGAATGACTGACGTGAGGAAGGGACATCATTTCCTGCATCAGTGCGAAACTCCAGATGTTTGAGGCTCTGGTTCCCAAAGCATCTCCCTGTATTAACATCCCTTGTTTCAAGTGTCAGGGTGGAGATGGAATCAGTTGTACTTGGCTGGTGCCCTTGGAGGCACCCAGGGATGAAGCGGGACTGAAAGACCATGAAATCAACTCAGAGCTACACCCAGAGGCCTCCCCAGAGCCACCGATAATCCTTTGCCCCGCGTCACCCTGGGAACTGTCCAGAAACACAGGCCTGATACTCGTTCAGAGATTCAGGAGTGAGACGGCGGAGGAGGTGGAGATCAGAGGACCCTCCAGGAAAGACCCCTCAGGGCTCAGCCCTTCAACCCACTCATGGCACAGATGGGGAAACTGAGAGAAGGGGTCCCCTGCAAGTCACTTGCTGGCCCATGGCGGGGCCAGGATTGGCACCTCTGACTGGGAGGCATGGATCTGAGTGGTATAAGCCCTTAACCAGGTATCCTGAGCCAGCCCTCTAGGAAGGACATGGCTTTGGCCTCCTTGGCCCCAGTCAAAACCAGCTGGCCCCCATTTCACAGCTGGGAACACTCACATCTAGCAATCTCAGCCGTGGCGTCTCTGCCACCCACTGCCTCCTCTCCATCCCCAGCTGACTACCCTGGTTTGGAGAATTCTCTTCTCTTGTTTGGACTATTGAGGAGGCTCCTCACAGGTCTCTGCTACTCTTTGCTCTTTCATTTGACACAATGGTCCCCAAAGGAGTTTTTCTGCACCACACAGCATCAGCGGCCCCCAATGCCTATAGGACCAAGTCTAGTGGCTTCTTAGACCTGGCCCCCAACACCCTGCCCGACCTGCTTCCCCTTTTCTTCCCCTGCTCTCCAGTGCTCTGGCCCCACACTGGCTGTTTCCTGGGCGAGCTCCAGCTTTCTGGCTACTGGACCTTTGCTTGGTCCCTTCGTTCCTTCCCACCCCTTCATGGCATGTCCAAACCCCACCCAGTTCTTTAGGACCTGCTTCTGACATAACCACATCTAAGATGATCCTCCCAGCAGGCAGGACCGTTCTTCCAGCCTCACCTCCTGGAGAAGGCTGCTACGATCATTCTCATCATCACTGCCATCACTGCCATTTCTTTTTTCTTTTTCTTTTTTTTTTTTTTTTTTTTTTGAGACAGAGTCTCACTCTGTCACCCAGGCTGGAGTGCAGTGGCACAATCTTGGCTCACTGCAAGCTCCACCTCCCAGGTTCAAGTTATTCTCATGCCTCAGCCTTCTGAGTAGCTGGGATTACAGGCACGCCCCACAACACCTGACTAATTTTTGTATTTTTAGTAGAGACGGTGTTTCACCATGTTGGCCAGGCTGGTCTCAAACTCCTGGCCTCAAGTGATCCACCTGCCTCAGCCTCCCAAAGTGCTGGGATTACAGGTATGCGTCACCACACCCGGCCATCATTGCCTTTTCTTGAGCACCCACTTATGATATGCCAGGTCCTAGGAGCTTTATGTGGAGTAACCTTGTTTGATCTTCTTAAGATAGGTTTTATTATTCTTACTGTCCTCACTTCACAGGCGCAGAAATAGGCTCAGAAGTTAAGTAACTTGCTCAAGGGCACATAGTTGGCCTGGGAGCAAAGACAGGATTCAAACCTAGGGAATCTGGCCAGAGAACCTTATCCCTGAGCACCAGCATGTACTCCAAGGATGCCACATTCCTTCCTAGACAGTGTGCAGGAGGATGTGGTGTTGAGGAACAAGCCCTCCCTGGAGGCCCATGGGGGCTGGATAAGGAGGTGCGGTGGACTCTGTGTGTTTTGACCAATGGTGTTTGTATAGTGCTGTCATGTGTCTCTCTCTCTCACACACACACACACGCTAACGTCCAACATATGCTTCACTTCAGTAGAGGAAAACATCCCACTGAGGAGCTCCGCGCTCATTAGCCATGGTTCCGTCAGTGGACAAAAGGTCGGCCCGGGAGACTGTCCACTCTATCTCCAGACGCAAGCACTTAGGGCTTAATGATGTGTATATTTTCATATGTGGGCAGCTGACATTCCCCATGTAAACTATTTGCAATTTCCCAACGTGGACAGGCTCAGCTTTCAGGAAGGCTGAGCAGGAGAGAGAGACTCTCTGGAAGAAAGGGGCTCCCAGGGGTCCCCTTCCTTCCACACAAGGGGGCTGCCCTGTTCTGCTGTCATGGGGTGGAGGTCATTTCTTGGGAGGCCACCCTCATTTCTCCTCCGGGGCGGGAACAGAGGAGGGGCACTCCCACAACCATACCCTGGCCGCCCCTTGACCCTCCTCGAGGGGATCTGCGTCAGCTACGGGAAGCCTGGCCTGGGCGGGGGCAGGGGTGGGAGTCGGGTCTTTAGCAGGAGCCAGGGCTGGAGGCTGCTGTGGGCGCCTGAGGGACGGGCCGGCCTAACAGTCACGGCCCCTGAGAGAGGCAGGCGTTGTGCTGGGCCTTGATGTGGGTTTTCTCATAAATTTTTACTCCTGTTGCTCTCCAGAACAACACTGTGAGGTGGGGGCTTACTGTTCCGGGGTCACAGATGTGGAAACAGAGCCCTAGAGAGCTCTGTGAAAGGAGGAATGTGGTCTCATTCCTGCTTATCAGGATGGAATGCAGCACGGCACCAGGTGTGCTGTGAGGGTTCCGCAAATGCCCGCAGACGGAACGCTTAGCAAGTAGCAGACCTGAGACGCAAATCCAGGCCTGCCCAGTTCCAAACCCTGCAATCTCTCCACTCTGCTTTGCTGAATGAACTGATGATGTTCCTGGCACATAGTAGGTGCTCAATATGCTTGTTGGATAAGTGTGTGTGTGTGTGCACGCGCCTGTGTGCATGAGTGTGAACGTTCACAGCAGGAAAGAAGGAGATAGAGAATAGCAGGTCTGTCCACCAGAAGGTCCTTTATGGGGTCATCTGCTCTGCCTCCTGCCTTTGTAACATGCTGGGCCAATCACAGTGCTAAGGAATTTTCTTAATTAAAACCAGATGGAGGGGCCGTGGCCATCTCAGGAAGAAACTGTAGGATAGGGTTGCTGGGTGGGGGAGAAGTGCCCTGGTTCGGGGGTTCCCAGCCTAGGTACCGCCGTGTCGGTCTCATGGTTTCATTTGACCATAGGAGAGAACGCCCTCCTCCTCATCTCTGCAGTAAATTCCCTCTTTGTTTGAGCAACTGGGAGGAAAGTATCTGCCACTTGCTGCCAAGAATCCAGACGAATTCACCATCTGTAAAATCAGGGGCTTAGGCCAGGTGAGCAGGAGGCCTCCAAGTGCTCTTCACACGGCCAAGAGCTCCCCTCGTCTCGCCGAGCTCCGATTCCCTGAGCTCACTCAGCCCTGCTCACCCAGCTGCAGCGACGGGGTCTGGGGTGGGGAAAGCAGAGGGTGGTGGGGCGAATGGGGGCTGTTCCAACCCTAAACCCTGGCTTGCAATTAAACATGCTCATACGGTCACAACCAGAGAAAAAGGTTTGCTGAGCAGCAGGCGCAGAGAGCATTTCCTCACTTGAGGGTTGATTTAAGGCCTGGCTGACAGGAAGAAAAAGCACCATTCTTCCACCTTTTTAATCAAAACCTTCAGGGCCATGTGGAAAAGCCACTGCCACACACCCTCACGTCCGTCTGGAGTGGTTCCTTTCTCTGTCCATGGCCAGGCAGGAGACGTGATCCACAAGCCCCAGACAAGAACAGACCAAAGGAAAGAAGGCAGGGTTTGGTTTTCGGGGTCACTGGGGAGAAAAATAAATCAGTCCGGCCACACGCTCACGAGCTGTGCGGGCTCGTGGCCTGTCCCTCCCTCCACCCTGGGCCTGATGCCAACATCCAGCAGCCCTCGGCCCAAGCACGCCCAGCTCTTCACCGGGGTGTCCTCGTGGTCAGCCCAGGCGATGGACTGCACGGCCCGGGCACCGTGCCAGGCACAGCCCTGCCAGGCAGAGACACACCGGACCGGCAGCCTGTGGGTAGAGGTCCTTGTGATCGAGGCTGGAAGGCTCTCACTGTGCCTCTTTTGAGTTCAAAGGAAGGTGATGCTCACCGTTTCCCATGAAGGTGGGCACAGCCTCCAATCAGAAGCGGATCTGAGGCCGGGCGCAGTGGCTCACGCCTGGAATCCCAGCACTTTGGGAGGCCGAGGGAGGTGGATCACCTGAGGTCAGGAGTTCGAGACCAGCCTGGCCAACATGATGAAACCCCGTCTCTACTAAAAATACAAAAATTAGCCAGGCGTGGTGGTGTATGCCTATAGTCCCAGCTATGCAGGAGGCTGAGGCGAGAGGATTGCTTGACTCCAGGAGGTGGAGGTTGCTGTGAGCCGAGATCGCACCACTGGACCCCAGACTGGGCGACAGAGCAAGACTCTATCTCAAAAAAAAAAAAAAAAAAAAAAAAAAGAAGCAGATCTGCAATGAAGCTGAGGAGGCCGAAGCTTTAGGGTTTTGTTTGTTTGTTTGTTAATTGAGACGGAGTAGTCCTTTATTTGTAGTCCTGGGAGCTACAGAATGCTCTATCTTGGGAGACAGAGCATTTCTACAGAAGCACTTCCGGGAAATTGAGGTCACAGATGAAAAGGATATGAATCTCCAAGCCCTCAGTAATTTGTTGTGATTTCTTTTCTCCTTCTCAATATTCACTTTTGTACCTAACCTCCTATTCTTTTTCTTAAAAAGCATGCTCAGCAAGTTATTTAAGCTTCAGTCCCCCCTCAAAGAAACTCTGGATCTTCCCTTGTCTCCAACTCTCAAAGGGGCCTCTCCAGGGCCCTTCCAGAGGCCATGATGCCTTTAGGAAGATGGCATCCAGTCTGCCATTTTTATCTTTCCTTGGTGAACAGTCCAAAGACCTAGAGTCTAAGGGGTCTCTGGGCTCTCTGGAGTCTTGTGTGTCTGGCGGAGGAGAAAGTGGGAGTGACACCATGACACAGTGTTCAGAAGTAACCAGCATCCACGAAAGGCCTGTGACTCCATCATGGTGCAGACACACACCACCACTCTTGCAACCTCCTTAATTCTTTGGCTGAGGATCTCTTGTACCTCTTTGGTGGTGACCATGAGGGTAGCTGGGTTTTCCACCAGGCCAGGAAGAGACTTCAAGGCATGGGAGCTGTCTTTGTGAGCAGAGGTGGAGGTGGGGCCACTGCTCCAGTGACCAGTCGGAAAGCTTCTTCAGCTGGGGTCCATCAGCCATACGGGTTCCCTGAGTGCCCATTCTGTGCCCAGGCCATGAGGTCCACCCTAAGGACCCCAGAGACCAACTCTGTTGGCCAATGGCAGGAGTTCAAGGTCAGCAAGGACTGCAGGCTGTAGAGTGCAGGTCACAGCCCCTCAGCACCTAGGAGAGAGCGCTCACAGAGGTGGCCTCTTTAGACACAGGTGGCTCCACGGCTGTGGAGAGGTTTGATCATGGCCCAAAGGGTAAAGGGGGTTTAGCCAGGCAATAGGGAGGACCCTTCTATCCTCCAGCTCATGCCATTTGTGCGCTAGGAACTCTTCCAAGACTAGAGCTCTGGATGAATTCACTTTTCCTAATGGCAGAACTGACACTTTTCTAGACCCCTTTCAGATGGTAGGGTTGCACTGAGGATCACAGGCAGACAGCAGGCTCAGGGCTATGAGCAACCAAGTGAGGGCCGTGTGGCTGGGAAGTGCTGGGAGCAAGCCTTGCCTTGGGGCTGCAAAGCGTCGGGGGTGGTTCCAGCCCCTTCACAGTGCCCTGCTGACCTGGTCAGCCTGAGACCCAGCGTGTCATGTTCTCTGGGCCAACAAAGTAGAAAAACCCAGCCCTTCAGAAATAGCTGCAGCCCTTCAAGAAAAATAAAATGGACTGGGTTTGAAAGACCCTGACCCACATTTCCTTTGCTATTCCAGTGGCTTCACAGAAATAAGGAAGAAGTGCGCTTAGGGGTCGGGAAGCGAGGGAAGATATCTTTAAACGCTGGCAGAATTTAACTGGGGGCCCTGAGAGCTGGGCAACTTTAATGAGAAGGAAAGGAAAATACACAGTGACCCTGACCCAGACCCCGACCCTTTACGTCAAAAGCAAAAGACGATAATTAACAAAATGCAATGTGCCCGGACGTGGAGTGAGAGGCCAGCTGAGCTCTGTCAATTTGATAATCCCTGGTCGTGACCCGCAGGCCCAAAGTGTGCAACAGGAGATGACGCACTGTTTACACAGGCCGCGCACGCGGGGGCTCGCGGGACCCGGCGCAGCTGCAGGAGCAGCAGCAGGAGTGGGATTCTTCCTGGCCAGTGGTTTGCATGCAGCCAGCTCCGCTCAGGCCAATGCAACCACATGCAGGTCACTGACACATGGAGCCCAGGCCCTGAGGTGCTGGGGATGTTCACGGTGGGGAAACGGTGGGGAGTGTCCCTCATTCTTTGTGCGTGATAGGCGAGGGCAGGGCCCGCCAACTTTCCTTCTTCCAGAACACCCACCACCCTCCTCAATCCGAAATCATGTTGGATTTTTCTCCAGTGAAGACTTCATCCCTTCGGGCTGCAAAATAAAGGGGTTGGGGGGCAGGGGGCAGGAATCTCCTACGAGCCAGGAAATTCAAGAGAACCTGCCCCTCACCTCAGCCACGTGATGCCACTTCTCTGCCCAAGGTCCACGGATGGGGAGGGCCTGCCAAGCCACAGGGACCAGGATCACTGCCACCCAGGACAGAGTTGGGGGTGCCCTCAGGAAGCCTGTGGCTGAGTCTTCTGTCTGCCGCCACTCCAAAAGAGAGGCATTCTGGACAGGAAACACTATGCACACACATTAAGGACAGGGTCAGAGGCAGAGCCAGCTCTGCCAGCATCAAAGGAACCTCCAATTTTCTGACCTGGATGGTCATGAGAAAGGAAAAAGGACCTAGATGGGCCTGCCCTGGCCCACTGTGAGGAGCTCCAGCAAGGCACATCAGCCTCAAGGGCGTCAGGAGGCGCCAAGATGAAATCAGGCTGTGGGCAAAGACAATTTGTTTTCCAGGAAAGGTTGGTGAGGGGTGGGGTGTGTCTATTTGAAGGACAATTACACAGTCATGAAATATGCCGCGCAGGAGACTGTGACGTGAGAAGATGCTAAGGACACAGCGCAGAGTGGAAGCCGAGGCCCAGGTTGGGGGTCAGGAGCTGGGCTGGGCCCCGGAGGGCGCTGGCATGCACAGCCTCTGGACGTCAGCCCGACACCGCCTCCGGGGCTTGCTCATTCCCCGGCCTTGCTGCTTGCCCCCTGCTACACCTGGGAAGCTGATTCAGTGGGAACTTTTGTCTTTGGTTAACTTTCAAGAAGACAACGCAGAGGAAGAGAAAGATCACAGGCTCCAGCATCGGACAGGCCAGCTTACATTCCACTCTTTTCTTGCTCTTTTTCTTTCATTGTGGTAAAATAGACATAGCATAAACTTCACCATTTCAACCATTTTAAAGTGTACAATTCAGTGGCATTCATTACGTTCATCATGGCAACCATCACCTCTATCTTGTTCCAAAAATATTTATCATCCCAACAGACACTCTGTACCTGTTAAGCAGCAACTCCCTACTCCCTCCCTCCCACGTGCCCCCTGGTAGATGCTAACTTACTTTCTGCCTCTATGGATTTGTCTATTCTAGATACCTCATAGAAATGGAATCACACAATATGTGGCCTTTTATGTCTGGCTTCTTTCAGTTCACATAATGTTTTCAAGGTTCATCCACATTGGGGCATGTATTAGCGCTTCATTCCTTTATATGGTTGAACACTGCAGTGTAGTGATAGACCACTTTTGCTTATCCATTCATCCGTTGATGGATACTTTGGTTGTTGCCATTTTTTGGCCATTGTGATAATGCTGCTATAAATATTTGCACACTAGTATCTGTTTGCATCTGTGTTTTCTGCCTTTTTTTTTTTTTTTTTTTTTTGAGACAGGGTTTTGCTCTGTCACCCAGGATAGAGAGCAGTGGTGCAATCATAGCTCACACTGCAGCCTTGAACTCCAGAGCTCAGGTGATTCTCCCACCTCAGCTTCCTGTGTAGCAAGGACTACAGGCATGCGCCACCATACCCACCTAATTAATTTTTTTTTTTTTTTTTTTTTTTGAGATGGAGTTTCACTCTTGTTGCCTAGGCTGGAGTGCAATGATGCAATCTGGGCTCACCACAACCTCTGCCTCCTGGGTTCGAGCGATTCTCCTGCTTCACCCTCCCGAGTAGCTGGGAATACAGGCATCCACCACCACGCCCGGTTAATTTCGTATTTTTAATAGAGATGGGGTTTCTCCATGTTGGTCAGGCTGGTCTTGAACTCCCGACCTCAGCTGATTTGCCCGCCTTGGCCTCCCAAAGTGCTGGAATTACAGGCGTGAGCCACCACACCCAGCCCCCCAAGTTTTCTTTTCTTTGTAGAGATGGGGGTCTCGCTGTGTTGCCCAGGTAGGTCTCAAACTCCTGGCCTCAAGTAATCCTCCTGCCTTGGCCTCCCAAAGTGTTGAGATTACAGGCATGAGCCACCATGCCCAGCCTCCCTGTTTTCAATTCCCCTGTTTTACCATTATGAGCTAAAGAACTCTGACTGCCTGGGTAAAACAAGGACAATAGTGTCTACTACATAGGATAGTCATGAAGATAGAATGCACTAAAGCTATAAAGCATGTCGCATACAGTAGGTGCTAAATTAATGCTATTTTCTCTCACCTCTTCCACTAAAACCCAGAGAGTTAATGACTTAGTGCTTAACTAGTAGAACTTCCGGCAACAGCCAACTTCTCTGCTTTGCACAGACATTACGAATGTCTCAGCATTTAGACACTTACTGGCTTAAAGAAAAAGCACCTCAGAGGAATTGAAACCCAGCTGCCGGCCATCCCCAGTGGGAGAAGGAAAACCAAGTCAGTAAGCATCCCTTTTGAGGCCTCCTCTCCTTGTTTCTAGCACAGAGTTATAGAAAGCCCCACAAGGAAGATTCCAGTCTCCTCTTCCAAGCTGGGCCTCTCGGGGCCTCAGTTTCTTTATCTAGGAAATGAGGAGTTTAGCTCAGCTCCATGGTGCTTAAACTGGGATCCACAGAACCCTAAATGTTCTCCTCAAAGTCAGAGCCTGGGGAAGGGGAAGGGGAAGCGGAAGGGAGGAAAAAGAGAAGTCCAGCCCCCAGCTTTGTCAACCACAGATCTTTTTATCTGTTTGCACGCTGGGAATCTGCAGATAAAACTGCGTGCGGGGCCCAGAACTGGGCAGCCCCTGAGATTTCCCTGGGCGCCCATCCTGAGTGAGCCTCCACTTCTTGTTATTTTATATGGCTGTGATGAGGACTTAGCAAAACATGGAATATGAAGTTCTAGGCTACAGTAGTAGCTCAATAAATGCTAGCTGTCCCAAGACAGCTCATGAGCACACATGTGGCTTGATTTGTGAATTCCTCTCTCTGCTGCTCCCAGAAGTGGAAGTGGAAGAGGCCCAACCCCTGTCCCTCACTACTGTTGCTTGAGAAAACTCCTGGAAGTCCCTTTCTCAAGTTTTCTTTTCAATCCTCTTCCGCCCTCCAGCCTGTACGCAAGGCTGTGACAGGAAGCTGGAAATGCTGGTAGATGGCCCAGCAGGGGCAGCTGCCCAGCCAGACCCTCTGCTCAAGTGAAGGTGGAGTCTGAGCTCACTAGATTAATTGACAACAGGATGACCTGTTCCGGGGACTGGGAAATGAGGGCCGGGCAATCTCAGTAGAGATGAAGAGCCGGGTCCAGGGCCAGTGTCTGGGACCCCAAGCCCCAGGGAGAATGGGACAGGTACTTGGAAGGGAGCCATTTGCCCAAGCTTCCCATATTTCACACCCTTGGTTGCCCTGGAGATCATGAATTGGTTGGATGATCAGGCAGACTCTAAGCAGGACCAGGGCCATGGACCCCAGGAAGGGAGATCAGGAATGAGCCTGACTCCCAGTCCAGTGCTCTTTGCCCTAGGTCATGCTGTCTCTAACAAAAACAAGCCAGCATTTCCATTTCCATAACGCATCATAGCTAGGAAGCAGAGAGTTAGCCCAGCATCTTCTAAAGATGATGAGAGGTCTTAGGAAGTACAGGGACACAATTAGATAATATTGAATCACTCGGTGAAAAAGTGATTCTCTTTGGATCTCCTGCAAGCCTTCCATCATGAAGTAGAAAGTCGCAGGCAGTGCTACCGTCCTGTCATCAGGGCTCTCACATTCACTAATCTCCTTTAAAATGACAAGGACAAAGCCTTCAGGCTCAGAACCTCAGGCAGACAATAGAGTATCTAGCTTGGATTTAATCTTAATTTTTCCAGTTACCTTTATGTATGACAAATCAATACTGGTTCTCCAGGCATGTTCCTGGTACAAGGTTTCCTTTTAAAACGCATCTATTTTAAGTTAAAAGATAAGTTGATTTAAAGAAAATCGTTGTATAGGTAACTGTTAAGGGTAGTCTGCAAACATGGCCAAAACCACGCAAGTGCTAGAGAATGACTGATGGCCACAAGCACAGGTAGGCGCCATTTTTATCAGCCCCATACTCAGTTGGGGAAACTGAGGCTCCAAGGATGCAGAGCTGGAAAGTGGCAGGACTGGGGTTGCATGAGGTCCTGGGGACAAGGATGAAGCTGACTGCCTGTGCCAGAGGCCGAGGAGCCGTGGCCCAGCCTGCGTGGGTTTGTTCGGCTTCCTGACGCTGGTGCCTGGGTGGGGGTGGGGAGCCAGAGGAGGGAATTTGGAGTCGTTATTATTTCCTTTCATTCAAGCTCTTGACTTTATAAAATGTGGATGTTTTCCAGAGAGCCCAACAAGCACTACGAATAGATTTCGTTTGTGTGGAAACAGGCTGATGGGTAACTTCCCCCTTCACAAGAACCAACTTCCCTGTCTTACCCTATCATTGTTTATTGAAACAAAGAGGCAGCCCTGCATCTATGGAGGGCCCAGAGAACAATATCCTGCCTGCAGACCTTTGGCAAGAAATGCGCTCTAAGAGCTGCCTGCACAACGGCCTTCCCAGTACCCCACAGAAGGACGCCATACCAGTTCCCCAGAAGCCTGCCCCAACCCACCTGTCCACCCCCTTGTCCGGGAAGAACCCACGCAGGCCCTTTCAGCAGGACCAGGACTGGGTTTGAGCTTCCCCTAGAATCCACTGATAGTCCCTAACAAAGCCACATCAAAACTGGCACCCCCCTTGCCAGACCTTAGTAATTGCGGTGGGGCACTGCAACCATGGAGATCAGCACTGTTGCTCACCGGCCCAATTAAAATGAGCCGCAGCAAAATGTCCTACAAGTAACACTGCCAAAGCAGGTCACGCAGGCGCTTCCCCATTCTGGACCAGCCTCTTCTCTTCCCAAATCTCAGTTACCTGATCTGTAAAATGGGTACACTAATACCCATCTTGGGGAGCTGCCAGGAAGTTCCAGGAGCAAGTCTGTAAGAGGCCCGTGCAGTCCTAGGAATGGAAGGGCTCAAAGCCCCTGGGATGTTGTCATGTCAACCAGGGGATAAGGGGCTGAATGTCCATGAAGGACCAGGCCTGGCCCCCTGGCCCTGATCTTTCCAACAGGCAGTGGGGCTCTCGTTCTTCAAAGGAAGACCGGGTCATGGGGCTAAATGTACATTAGGATTTCTTTACTTTGTTTCCATACACACCCTTTCCCTTCAAAAACTGAGGCCTTCTTACAAGGACAGGTAAGACAAAATGAAAACAAGTTATTTAAAAACAAGTAACAAAAATGAAGGCTGAATGTCATCAAAACGAAAAACCTTTGTGATTCAAAGGACGCTATCAAGAAAGTGAAAAGACAACCCACAGAATGGGAGAAAATATGTGTAAGTCATATACTGATAAGGACCTTGTATCCTGAACATATGAAGAACTCTTATGACTTGACATTAAAGACAAACAACCCAATTCAAAAATGAACAAAGAATCTGAATAGACATTTCCCACAGAAGTTACACAAGTGGCCAAAAAGCACAAGAAAGGGTGTTCAACATTATTAATTATTAGGGAAGTATGAATCAGAATCACATCAAGACACCACTTCACACCCACTAAGATGGATAAAATAAAAAACACAGAAAATAGCAAGTGTTGATGAGGTTTTGGCAAAACTGGAACCCTGCTGGTGGGAATTTAAAATGGTACAGTGCTTTGAAGAACAGCCCAGCAGTTCCTCAAAAGTTTAAACATAGAGTTACCACATGACCCAGCAATTCTACTCCTATGTATATACCCCAATGAAACATGTCTACACAAAAACTTGTACCTGCATTTTCACAGCATTATTATTCCACAAGAGCAAAAATGTAGAAACAAAAAATAGAAGCAGGTTGGACACGGTGGCTCGTGCCTGTAATCCCAGCACTTTGGAAAACTAAGGAGGGTGGATCACTTGAGGCCAGGAGTTCGAGACCAGCCTGGCCAAAGTGGCGAAAACCCCATCTCTAATAACAATACAAAAATTAGCCAGGCATGGTGATGGGCATCTGTAATCCCAGCTACTTGGGAGGCGGTGGCAGGAGGATCACTTGAACCCGGGGGGTGGAGGTTACAGTGAGCCGAGATCCCGCCATTGTACTCCAGCCTGGGCAACAAGAGCGAAACTCCATCTCAACAACAACAACAACAACAAAAAGGTAGAAATAACACAAGTGTCCATCAAATGATGAGCAGATAACTAAATAAATGTGTTGTATCTTTACAATGGAATATCATTCAGCCATAAAAAGGAGTGAAGTGCTGATACATGTTACAATGTGGATGAATCTTAAAAACATTATGCTACAAAAGAAACCAGTCGGCTGGTGCGGTGGCTCACGTCTGTAATCCTAGCACTTTGGGAGGCTGAGGCGGGTGGATCACGAGGTCAGGAGATCGAGACCATCCTGGCTAACACGGTGAAACCCCGTCTCTACTAAAAATACAAAAATTAGCAGGGCGTGGTGGCAGGCACCTGTAGTCCCAGCTACTCGGGAGGCTGAGGCAGGAGAATGGCGTGAACCCGGGAGGCGGAGCTTGCAGTGAGCCGAGATCACACCACTGCACTCCAGCCTGGGGGACAGAGCGAGACTCCGTCTCAAAAAAAAAAGAAGCCAGTCACAGATGGCCACATATTATATGATATTCCATTTATATGAAATGTCTGAAATAGGCCTGGAGACAGAAAGTAGATTAGTGGCTGTCAGGGCCTGGGAGGAAAGGGGAACAGGGAGTGACTGCTAACAGGTACAACAGTTTCTTCTTGGGGTGATAAAATGCCCTGGAATCAGAAAGCAGTGATGGTTATAAGATTTTGAATCTTTTTAAAACCATAGAATTGTACTTTAAAAGAATTAGTTCTATGGTATGAGAATTATACCAATAGATCTCAAAAAAATTGGTATTTTTGTTTTGTTTTGTTTTTTGTTTTGAAATGGAGTCTTGCTCTGTCACCCAGGCTGGAGTGCAGTGGCACGACCTTGGCTCACTGCAACCTCCCCGTCCCTGGTTCAAGCGATTCTTGTACCTCAGCCTCTGGAGTAGCTGGGATTACAGGTGTGGGCCACCATGCCCAGCTGATTTTTTGTATTTTTAGTGGAGACAGGGTTTCGCCATGTTGGCCAGGCTGGTCTCGAACCCCTGACCTCAGGTGATCCGCCTGCCTCAGCCTCCCAAAGTGCTGGGATTACAGGTGTGAGACACTGCACCCGGCCATAAAATTGGTATTTCAAAAAGTCATCTGTAATGCTGGATGAAATATAATTCTGTTTTCACTTATTATTATTATTACAATGGGAACATTTCCTGGGCCACCTCAGCTCGGAGTGACCCTCCCCTCTCCTGAATACCTGTCACCTGTATCACTTCTGGGCTGTAGAACTGGAGGGTAGAAGGTGAGCTGCTCAGCTCTCTTCAGAGCCCAGCACACACTCAGATCCAACTGTGGCCCGCTGGCCAGCTTCTGTGAGCTGACAAACCCGAGACAATCCCTAAGACAAGCCACGCTCACGGCTGTCTAATCAGCACCAGAGATGAGCCTGCCACGTGATGTTTTTAACCTGGGGCTCGAGGGATGGGAATGTACGCAGGGAGCCTTACTGGTGTGCTCACCTAATATTCCAGATGCTCCTCTGCCTTTCCCAGCCTCCCCACTGGCCATGGACTGCGAGAGGAAGTGATGAGTGTTGCTTCTGGGTCAAGCACTTAAAAGCTTCTGTGCCTCCTTCATCCCTCTCTTCCTCTGTGGCACTGACCATGGGACAACACACTCCAGATGGTGGGGCCACAGGAGCAGCCAGGATCCCTGAGTCACCCAGGGAGGACCCAGAAGAGCTGATGACCTAACCAGATGATGCGTGAGAAAGAAATGAACCTTTGCTGGGAGGAGCCCCTGAGATTTGGGGGTTTGTTTGTTGTGGCAGCTAGTATAAATCATCCTGACTGGCTCACTGCCTCTGTCCAGCCCTCTGCAGCTGGAGGCCCTCCCGACCCTTCCTTGGCCTCTCGCACTCCACAGCTGGCAGTTCGACATCTGAACGATTTCCTCATTCAACAGCCTGACTTTGAAGGCACGGAGAAGGTGGGGAAAGGCAGATGACAAGCACTGCTGCTGGGCACTTAAGATGCCCCAGCTACCATGCTCAGTACTTGCTGCTTTTATTTATGATCCTCATCATGGCCCACACCCTTGACAGATGAGGAAACTGAGGCACTGAGAGGTTAAGCAACTTTCCCAAACCCATGCAGCCCAAAGAGGTGACATCTGGCTTTGAACCCAGGTCTACCTGACTCTAAAGCTCACGTCCTTCTCAGCACTCTGCTGCCCTTCTGTGAGCTCTCCAACAGCTTTCAACCCCTTCCAAGCCCACCCTTGGCTGTTGCCCTGTAACACCCCCAAAGCAAAGCTGGCCTTGTATGGGCGACTGATGCAGGATTCGAGGCAGGGTCTACGGAGTGGGGTTTGCCTCTTGAGATAAAAACTTCAGGCACGGGTTTGTAGGGCGTCCTCCGTGGTGAGGGAGAACGGAGCTCAAGGCATAGGCATTGCTTAGGCAGGGGCTTTCTATCCTGGCTTCCAGCAATTTTAAGATGGCAGACACCTCAGGATGTGAGCTCGCCAAGCGTGGCTCCCCAGAGACATGAGACAGGAGAGCTGACGGGCCCATGGAGGGCAGCTTCCAGAGCTCCCCTCAGTGTTTCATTCCAACCAACTCACATTGATCGAGAACCATGTGTCCAGCGTCATGCTGGGGCGGGGACACAGAGAGCAGATGCCACTGTCTCCATCCAAAATGAATTCCCCTGCCTCTGCCGAGAGCAGGTGGACCTTCCCACGGCCCTCATCCTGTGCTCTGTCTTTCCTGGGGACACCCCCATACACCCAGAGACTCAAGACAAAAGCCCAAGGGCATCCTCCTTCTGCCGTTTCGCAAGGCCCTTTGTTCCTCCCCATCCCCAAGGCTGCTGGCCCAGCTTGGGGACCTGGGGCTGTTCCCCAGATGGCCTCTTGCCTCCAGTCCTTCCTCATCCCCCTTATTCCTCCTCCATGTGGTCAGGGAGATCGTCCTAAAATACAAGTGGCACTCGAAGCACTGGCAACTCCACACTGCTGCCACCTCAACATGGCTTCCCAGGGCCTACAGCTCAGAGGGGCCCCCTCCCCATTCCCACCCCCACAGCACTGCCCATCCTGTGCGCTTTCCTACCTCTGTGCCAAGGTTTCTCAACCTCAGCCCTATTGACATTTTGCCCCCAGGTAACTCTGGGTAGGAAGCTGCCATGTGCACTCTAGAATGTTCAACGGCATCCATGGCCTCTACGCATCAGATGCTAGGAGCACTTCCCTCCCCCACAATTCTGCCAATTACAAGTATCTCCAGATAGCCCCAAATGCCCACTGCACTGCACCCATGAAGGCCGCTCCTCCTTCCCCTTCTTTTGTGTCCAGCTTCCTCCTCCACATCCTTTAAGATCTGATTCAGCAGCATCACCTCCTGGAAGCGTCCTCTAGCTCACCTGACCCCACACTTCCCTGAGCACAGCTCCACCACTGCTCCCATCGTGGGGCATTTGGTTAATCTGCTTATGTGTTGGCCCTACTCTGAAGGTGGGCTCCTCAGAATCCCCATCATGGGGCACAGAATCACAACAATGGAACAGTGTGCTCAGAGACCACCCAGGTGAGGCCAACGGACTCTGACAAGAGGCAGAAGAGGCTCTGTGCAGCTGGGGATGTTGGAGATGACTGCAGACAGTGGTGCCTGACACAAGTGTCCTCAATACATGCAGGGATACAGAAGCGAGAAAGACAGAGTAGGGGACAGCGCCTTCATAAAGGGCCTTCTGGGGCACAGCCTGAACAAAGGCCACAAGGTATGGACATCCAGGTGAGCCTAGGAAATGGTGTGGCCACAGTCCAGTGTGAAGCCACAGGAGAGGTCCCAGGAAAGGATGCTGGAGCAGAAGGAGGTGTGGGCGTGAGGCTCTTGGATGTGTTCTGTAGCCCAAAGTGTGCTCAGCAGAATGGAAAATTGAAAAAAAATTATGGTCAATAACTTTGAGAAATGCTTTGGTAACAGTTAAAGAGGTTTCTTTCTTGCAGGACTTCTCAGAGCCTTGAATATGCTCACATGCTGAGTGAATCTACCGGGGGAGACATGGTATTACAGTGCTGCCCACGTGTAATTGACCACTGAGGGTTCTTTTTCACAGAGCTTCTCCACTGGCCACTCTCCTATGGTCTACCTTTTGGGAAGCACTGCTCAGAGCTGAGACACACAAGCTACATACTGAGGAGGGGTCCCAAGGCAAGGACAATCTGGGCTTGGGGACAGTGGCTTTGCAGTTGGTCAAAGTCTTCTGAGCCAGTGCTGGGGCCTCAGTCACTCGCTCAGCTCCTCAGCCAGCACCTTGCTTCGCTGCATCTGGGGCACTGGGGCACGTGAGAGGTAAATGAGGCTCCAGAGCAAGCTGTTATGGGAAGAACTGGGAAAGCAGTGCAAAGTTTATTGTAGGGAAACAGCTGACCCAAGGCATGGATCAACCACCTCCCCTGGAGGCCTCCCTGGCCGTAACATATGGTGTGGCTTAAATTTTTTAAATTGAGGAGAACTTAAGGGAAAAAATGCTGGCAGGCTCTGAGGCACTTGTAAAACCGTCTGAGCTGATGGGGGTGTCTGGGCCCCATCCCTCCAGGAGATGGAGGCAAGGCTGAGCAGAGCTAGGGAGGTCTGGAGAGCTCAGGTCAGGGGCTGCCAGCAGGGGCTTCTGGACAAGGTTGGCCACGGGGCAACCCGGTGGCAGCCCTCAGTGGCTGCCCCAGTGCCTGCCTGTACCCTGTTCTTGGCTAAGCCACAAGAGCCTATCCAGACAGCAAGGTCAGGCAAAGGGAGCACTCCGCCCTCACTGCAGATCAGAGCCAGGCCACAGACAGTGGCAGGACAGTGAAGCCGGGTGAGGAGACTACACCCAGGGGAAACACTCAGGGCTCTAGAATCACCCAGACTTGGGTTCAAATTCTAGCTCCGCCACTCACTAGTTGTGTGACTTGGGATGTGACAGCTCCCCTGAGCCTCTCCTTCCTTATCGGTAAGATGGAACAAATATAATCTGCATCCCACAGTGACAGCAAGGACTATAGACAGTGGTGCCTGACACAAGGAGTCCTCAATACATTCTAGTTGCCATTGTTTGGGGGGGACACATGTGACTGGGTAGCCCTATGGGGGCACAGATGAAGCGCTGGACTGGGCCAAGCTGAGCCACCGTGGGAAGATGCCTCTGCAGAGGGTAGCTGAAGACCCCTTCAGCAGAGTGGCCTCTCACGCTATTCAGCTCTGTGGCCTCAGTGGCCTGTCTGTAAATAGGGCAATCTCGTGGATACGCGAATCATCAGAGACATCTCGGAGGCATGTGGCACACCATAGGAGCCCAGCCAGGGAGCTGTCATCATTATGCCCTCTAGGGTGCATGCACCCCTTTAAGCTCAGGGCATGTGTTTATGCCCAGAGTGTCCACACTATCTTGAGTGGTGGCCAGGAGATCAAAAATGTATCTAGCCAGAGCCCCACCAATATGACATCGGCTGCGACTGGGTGAACAGGGACCCTGCTGAGAACGTCTCCTCGTCTGTGTCCACCTGAGAACCTCACAGACAGCAACAGGCCCATATCTGGAGCATAGCAAGGCCCCCAAGGTGGGGGCAGCTGTGCCTACCCAGGGCCACACCTTGTCCAGAGCAAACTAGCCCTATTCTATGCCTAGAAGTGTTTTATAAACATAAATTCTGTCATTTCTGAAAAGTGCAAAAGGGCTGGGGGTGTTTGCAGTTCACAGAAAGAGAAGTGCATGGATTATGATGGATGCAGCAGAGAAACAGCAAGGGGAGGCAACAAGGTGATGGCGACTGTGTGCGCATTAGGAATGCCGTCTAGCAGGCTGTCCAGAGTGGGGCGTGACAAAGGGCAACACTTCTGGGCGTGAGGCTGGTCTCACCCTGCAAGGGCAATGGCCACTACCAACTGCTGATGCTGGAGAAGAACGAGGGCTACATTTGGTGCAAGAGGTGCAGGAGGTTGAGGGGACTGATGGCCAAGACCTTCCACAGGCTGTGGTGACCTCAGTCCACTGGCAGCCTGGGATGGGCACCAGGAGGTATACTCTTCCGGGGAGCTGGTTGGCCCACAGGGTCCTGAGCAGGGTGAAGCCACCACTGGCCCCGGGGGATGGGACACACGCAAAGCTATTCCCACACAGGTCCCATCTCAGGCTCTCAACACCTCCGGGAGGTGAGTCTGACAGGAAGGCCACTTTTAAGAAAGGGAAACAGAGGCCCAGGGAGGGAATGTGGCTTGACCAAGTGGGCAGAACCACTGACACTAGAACACTAAATGGGTTGAGAACACACTTCTGTGAAGGTGAGTCAAGAGGAAGCAGATCTTGGAGAACCGAGGCTGCTGGACCCTGAGGACAATGGTACCCCGATGCTTCAACTATCCAGTGGGTGGCCCCGAGGTGGGGTCGGGGTGGCCCCTGACCCTTCAGAATACTCCAGAATATGTTTCAGAATTCTCTTCATTCTTTGATGTCGTTGGGCACCCCCTTTCCCTCCCAGTCAACCCCCAACACTTCCCCTCCACGCTGACCTCTCAGAACTGCCCTGCTAAGCCCTTCCTTCTGGGCACTTCTCCTGAACTTGGCCAGGCCTCCATCTGCCCTACCACAAATGGTTGGGTGTGGGCACACAGCAGCATGGTGACCCTTGAAGGGGCTGGGCCCCAAGAAGCAGGCATCCCGCCCCTACTCCAGTCCTGGCCTAGACCATCCCCATCTTGGCCCTGCCAGGCTTGGGCACTCTCTGGGGGAGGATGGGAACTGTGATCTCAGGAGGTCAACAACAGCCACCAGCCCAGCACTTAACAGCTCCCCATGTGGCCTGGCACAGACTTAGGGGCTCCTATTTTTGCATAAGGCCTCCTGTGCCACCTGCTGTGGGGTTTGGAAGACTCCTTACCTTTGGGGTGAGGTACTTGGTCATAATTTCCTTCCCTTTCTCTCCCAGTTTTTCATCTGGAGTAACTTCATATTCTGCCTAAAACAGAAGGAGAAAAAAGAACAATAACAGGTTTGCTCATGAGCTTCTTATAGTTACAGAACCTCACAGCCCCTGGAGGAAATCCCCTAGAGGCCACCTGACCAACCCCCTTCTCCTGCAGGTCAGGAAACCGGGGGGGAAGACCTGGCCACGGAGCCCCGATGTTTAGTCCAAACTACTTTGCCCTCTCTCACAGATGCTGGGTCTCAGGATGGCGGTGCTCCATGCAGACTGCACATCAGAATCAGCAGGGAGCCCTGAGCAAACACTGATGCTAGGCCCCACCCTAGACCCATGAAACCAGGCTTTCCAGTGGGCCATGAGGGCTGGCACCTGGGCAGCCGGGGTTGAAGACCACTGACTTAGATGAATCAAAGGAAACTACCAGAAAAATAACAGCCCACCAGACTGGAAGGCTGCCGAGAAGCTGCCTTAGGTCACTCAGACCTTGTAAGCTGTGTGATCGTAGACAATTTGCTTAACCCTTCTATAAAACGCAGATGGTACCAGCACCTAGGTATACACTGATTATACAGACGGAAGTGATCAAGCTCTTGGCCTGGGGCCTGGCCCATCATAAATAATAATAAACAGTTGCTATAGTTACCGCCATTGTGATTATTACACCTTGCAAGGATAAACAATAATGTGGATGCCTGGTCTTTTCCAGCTTTTCAGTTTACAAAGTGAACATACACAGGTTTTTTAAGATGTTCTTATCTGAACCTCGAAAGAGCCAGGGCAGTGACGCAGGAGAACAGGGGCTGCCATCCCAACCCCTCGTCTGTAGGTGGAGATCCCGAGGGCCGGCGGTGGGAAGGGACTTGCATAGGGTCATGCAGCGGGAGGTGGCAGGGCTGGGACTCGAACCTCCAAGCGCAGGGCTTCTCCTCAACCACACCACAGAATTTAGGACTCTGATAACTAGCCAAGCCAGGGGGCCCAAGCTCTAAAGATGGGAGGTCTCCAAAAAACAGACTTTTTAATTTCCCTGAATCCCAGAGGGGCTCCTTCGCTCACATCTGACGCACTCGCCACATGGATAAAGGGCCTCGAGTCAATAAAAAGCCTGAGTAAGCGGCCCTTTCTCATTTAGACAAAAGAGCTAATTGCAAATTGTTTATAACCATTTCAAAATCCACCACCCAAGGATTTGTCAGCCTCTGTCCAAAAGTACAGCTATTTCAAAAGAGGAAGGAAATGACACCAGCATAGACGGACCCGAACTCCTCCCCAGGCGTCCCACCATGCAGTCAGATGCCCAGCCGGCCCTCAGGGAAACTTCACACCTCAGTGTCTAGGGTCCGATTCCTCCCAGGCCAGCCAAAGGGAGCACGCAGGCGGCACTCGCAGTGACCACAGAGGCAGCCAGGCTCGTTTCCAACCACAGTGAGCGAGTGTCCTTGTCTTGCCCTCTCTCTTCTAATGGAGAGCCAAGATCCAATGATTTTCTCCCATGAAGAAACATGAACACTACAATCATTTAGATCACAGGGAGATAGGGCAGTGGTTCTGTAAGGAATCCCACCCCTCATTTTATAGGGCTGGACACAGAGGCTCAGAGAAGTCAGGGACTTGCCCAAGGTCCAAGGTCACAGCTGCTGGACTGGCGCGCTGGCCTCTGGATTCCCACTGCGCCGCGTGGGCAGAGCCTCTCCCCAGAGGTCAACTCCTCTTCCACATCAAGATGAGCCTTGAGGGACTGGGCACTTCTTGATGATTTGACTCGAGAGATGAATTCCTGAGATGCTTTAAGGTGGCTCTTTCTTCTTGACTTTTTCCTGTTATTTTCTTCCTCTGTGCCCCCTGTCGCTCTCCTAAACCTGAGTGCACATGTGTGCACACACACGTGCCCACAGACACAGATACACACACCCACACACACACCCACACACCCAAACATACACGTGCCCACACACACACAGATACACACCCACACACAGACACACACACACCCAAACATACACGTGCCCCCACACACACAGATACACACCCACACACACCCACACACACGTGCCCACAGACACAGATACACACACCCACACACACACCCACACACACACCCACACACCCAAACATACACGTGCCCACACACAGACACACACCCACACACAGACACACACACACCCAAACATACACGTGCCCCCACACACAGATACACACCCACACACACCCACACACACGTGCCCACAGACACGCAGATACACACACCCACACACATCCACACACGTGCCCACTAAGCAGATACACACACCCATACACGTACCCACACACCCCCACACACATGCCCACACACAGACACAGATACACACACCGACACCCACACACACCCACACACCCACATGCCCACACACAGACACACAGATACACACACCCACGTGCCCACACAGACACACAGATACACACCCACACACACGCCCACACACACACAGATACATCCACACACAGACACCCACACACCCACACCCACACGTACCCACACACAGATACACACCCCCATACACAGACACCCACACACACACTCAAACCCACACACAGACACACATACCCACAGATACCCACACACACACACACACCCCCCACACAGACGCAGACACACACAGATACCCACACACACCCACAGACACACACACACAACCACACACCCACAGATACCCATCCACACAAACACACCCGCACCCCCCCAGACCCAGACACACACACACATACCCACACACACCTACACACAGACACCCACACACAAACACCACACACCCACAGATACCCATCCACACAAACACACCCGCACCCCTACACACACACATACAGACACCCACACACAGACACACACCCCATATGGAGTGCTGATTCCAGGCTCACCCTACATGGCAGGGTATTATTATTATATCTACATGGTAGGTATTATTAGTCCCGATTTGCAGATGAAGAAACTAAGGGTCTAAGAGGTTCCAATACAGCACAGCTAGCAAGCGACGGGGCAGCAGTGGCGTCTCCAAAGGGGCTGAGCACTCTAGAGCCAGCTGCCTGCTGTTTTCCAGAATGAGAAGCACCCAGGGTCCTGCTGCCCCTGGACAGCCCGCCGTTGGTCCGGCACCGTGGGAATGTAGCTAGACTGCTCTGCAGGACGCAGGCCCTGGGCAAATGGCCGGCCATCATTTGGGGTAACTCTATACCATCCAGAACACTAGATTTGCACTGTACGAAAATACATCTGTGAAGGTGGCTCTATTTAACCAAATGGAGGCCTGGGGCTCACTAATCAGCCTCAATAACCAGCTAAAAATACTCTTGCTGTGGGTACTAAAACCCACGTTAAAAAAATAACATCCCTTTCAGGTCACCTGCCTCCCGGCAGAGGCCCCGCCGGTGGATGGGCACGCAGGTCCACAGGGCGGCAGAGGGAGCACGCGGGGACAGGCCTCCCCTGCCGGGATCAAAAGGCCTTTCTCAAAGAGTCCGTGCCAGGCCACCACTTGAAGAGCATTTGTGTTGGGAGGTGGAAAACGGATGGAAGGCCTCCAGCTGGGCTTTTCGCACTGATTAAGACACCTAGTGACAGGCCATGTCTCCACAGTGGCCCCCTGAGGGGAGTCCTGAGAGGCCACCTACAGAGGAAAGGTACCATGGTGGCTCCCCTGGATGGGCCGAGCTCAAGGCAGATCACACTCCACACGGCTGGGGCCACCCTGGAAACCACTGCCCTGAGAACACCCTTGCCCAGCTGGTGGGAGAAAGCTTAAACCAGCTTAACCAGCAAACGTAAGCAGCAAGTAAGAGTGTGCCAACAACCCAGAATTTTACAATTAGATGTAGCTTGGGAAATAGCAGCCAATGATTTCAATGAAAAGAAAGGTAAACTGTATGCAAAGAGTGCCCTCGTGACCTCCATCTGCAAGAGAGTCCCTTCCAACCAGAGAGAGAGAGATGGGCCTTGTCCCCTCCCCGAAACACAGGCACCTCTGCTGTTCTGTTCATTTAAAGCTCTCTTAGCCAGGGGCGGTGGTTCACACCTGTAATCCCAGCACTTTGGGAGGCCGAGGCGGGCGGATCACCTGACGTCAGGAGTTCGAGACCAGCCTGCCCAACATAGTGAAACCCCGTCTCCACTAAAAATACAAAAAATTAGCCAAGCATGGTGGCAGGTGCCTGTAATCCCAGCTACTTGGGAGGCTGAGGCAGGAGAATCGATTGAACTCGGGAGGCAGAGGTTGCAGTAAGCTGAGATTGTGCCATTGCACTCCAGCCTGGAGCTCTCCCTGCCCAGAACTCAGGTCTAACAGCCACGGTGCCAGGGAGCACCCATGACAATCCATAATCCAGATACGTGCCAGGTGCCAACAGGGAAGACACCACTGAATGAGCCTTCTCCCTGCATTGTGATTTATGCCAAACACAGGGGTGGCCTTTGCGGGGAGATGCTGCTCTAACACAAAATGCAGACTATTACATTGAGCTTAAGGAACAAAGAATTATTTCTACATCTGTGCCTTCCAAAGAGTGGAAACATCTATGTGCATCTTAGTTTATAGCCCTAATACTTCATTCTCTTGGCCTGCCCTAATTGCATCATCAATCTCAGAATCTGCCAGGAAAAATATGTCCTGGCTATGAAGACACATTTCCTTCAGATGCTTTTAAGAACCTGCCACGTTTTCAAAGAAGCCGGCCCTAGGTTTAGAAAGGGCAGTCTGGGCTGAATTCCTCCTGGCCTTAGACTAACTTTAGATGTCACCTCCTTCTCCCAGGAGACCTTCTTCTGCCCTAACAGGAAGATGAAGTCAGAGATGCCATGAGGTCTTGCCACCTCCAGCTTCTGTAATTATTGATGTGGTCAGCTTTTCCAGAGTCCTTGAGGCAGGGACAAGTGACACGCCTGGTCAGCACAATGCTCACCATGCACCCCGCTGGAGAAACACCTGCATCCACCCCCACGGCCCCAGCTTCTCGTGTGTGCTGACCACGTGGGCCGCCCCTCCAGAGCCCCTCTAGCCCTCTCCCACCCTGCTGTGGGGGTGGAGTGGTGGGGTGGTTTTCTGCTGGCTCCGTCCCCGCCTGGGCACCGCAGGCTCCCGGACCCTCTTCTCCAGACCCGACTCCTGTGGGCAGTCTTCTCCCACGATCCCGCGTCAGTCCCTTCCCTTGGCCCTGCAGGTTGCGGGGTGGTGGAGGCTCAGGGGTGTTGCATCAGCAGCTACTGATTTCCCTCCCACGCTTTGTAAATAGGCCCTCATTAAACTCCTCCATTCACACATGGGGCCGGCCATCTGTTTTCTGCCAGGACCTGGCTGATGCCCTGCACGGTGCTTCAGATGGGTGGGCACTGGCCTTGCTTCCTTTCTGCTCCCCAGTGAGAATGGCGAGCAGTGCATGATGGGGGTGTCCCCCAGGGGCCCCAGGGTCAGACGTACCTGGTCAACCCCAGAGCTTGTGCCCGCCTGGGCAAAGTGTTCTCTAGTCTCTGGCTCCGGCTCCCATCTGAGCGGCCCTCTCAGGCCTCAGTCAAGAGGGATTCACTGGCCCAACTTAGGGCAATAGATGGGATGGAACCTGAGAAGGGAGGGAAGAATGGACTCCTGTCCACATTGGGTGGAGAATGAAAGTGGTAGGAGCAACTCCAGATTTCCTGAGGTACCACAGCCACCAGCTTGTGAATTGTGGCCTGGCCAGAGTCAAACACTGAAGAGAAGGCAGGAGGGAAGGGGGGCTGCATCTCTCCACGTGGTGGAGGGGACAGGCTCGCCTCTCTCAGAGGGAGGGGACAGGCTCGCCCATCTCAGGGGAAGTGATAAGCACCCCAGTGGCAGAGGGTGACATGGTTTAGCTGTGTCCCCACCCAAATCTCATCATGAATTGTATCTCTCACAATTTTCTTGTGTTGTGGGAAGGACCCGGTGGTGGGAGGTAATTGAATCATGAGGGTGGGTCTTTCTGGTACTGTTCTCGGGATAGTGAATAAGTCTCACGAGATCTGATATTTTGTTTGTTTTTTGAGATTTTGAGATGGAGTCTCACTCTGTTGCCCAGGCTGGAATGCAGTGGTGCAATCTCGGCTCACTGCAACCTCTGCCTCCTGGGTTCAAGTGATTCTCCTGTCTCAGCCTCCCAAGTAGCTGGGACTACAGGCGCACGCCACCATGCCCAGCTAATTTTTGTATTTTTAGTAGAGATGGGGTTTCACCATATTGGCCAGGCTGGTCCCGAACTCCTAACCTCAAATGATCTGCCCATCTTGGCCTCCCAAAGTGCTGGGATTACAGGATTACAGGCTGAGCCACTGCACCTGGCCCGATCTGATGGTTTTATAAAGGGCAGTTCTGCTGCACACGCTCTCTTCTCTTGTCTCCCGCCATGTGAGACGTGCCTTTCACCTTCCATCATGACTGTGAGGCATCCCTAGCCACATGGAACTGTGAGTCCGTTAAACCTCTTTCTTTTGTAAACTGCCCAGTCTTGGGTATGTCTTTAAAAGCGGCCTGAAAACGGACTAATACAGACGGGCTGTGCCATCCTGCTTCCTGTCTGCCCCATCACTTTTCTCCTAAGAGCTCCACCCATCCTCACCCCCACCAGCTGCTTTTCCTCCTTCCCTCTCAGAATTGTTTCTCTGTCTCTGCATCCAACCAAGGATCTAAAGGCTACCAGGAAAGGTCTTTAACTTTCCCCATTACTCTTTTTGTTCTAAGTGAAAACAATCCCAGCCTAACCTAGTTCAACAAAACTGTAAGCTCCTGGCTCCTGGAATCTGAGGATGAGCTGAACAAACAAATTGTGGGGAAATCAGAAAAGCAGCTGGGCCAAGAGCCCAGAGACCAGGGACACAAGCACTTCTGTAGCCCCCATGATCTGTGTGTTGGGTGTGTGTGTGTGTGTGTGTGTGTGTGTGTGTGTGTTGCTCATGATCTCTGGGTGCTGACTGGCTTGTTCCAGTGTAGGAAACATGGCAGTCCACAGTTCCCAGGGTTTTTATGTTAAGCTTTCTCTAGCAGGGAAGAACTTCCCCTTGAGGCCATCAATTCCAGGGAAAGGACTCGTTGGCCTGCCTTGGCTCACAGACCCCCTCCTGCTCCAGTCAACTGCAGCTTGGGGGTGACATCATTAAGAACATGGCAGCTTCTAGGACAGCCATGTTATTTGGGAATGCGGGTGGGGCACCCAGGAGACTGGATGATCCCACAGATGTGCACTATATAAACCCATTTTAGAAGTGGCACTTTTTCAAGACAGCCCTGCTCCCGGGGTCTGGCTTCCTAGATGTTCTGACTGTCTCTATGTGCACCTGAAAAACTATAAGCACCCTCCACTCTTCCCATTTTGGGGGATCACACCAGTGAGAGAAAGACAAAGACAAATACTGGATTCTCATAAACAAGAGAAGCAGAATACTTAGCCCCCAGTGAGGCAGAGTGGATCATTTCACAATAAAATTTCAAATGGTCAGGCACATCTAAAGCCAGGTGATAGCCCACTAATTTTATTTCATCACCTAGAGTCTAGGCTACTTAGCAGATAGGAATGCCTCTTAGCATTTCCTATATGAGATTTCATTTGTTGTAACCTCATATTTGTAGTCGCCTGCCTCCAAGGTGGCCTTCAATAATCCTTGCCTCATTACTCATGCTCTAGGAAAGTCTCTTTCCATATGAAACAGGGCTAACCAGTGCCACCAGTATGATATTAGGGAAATGGTGTAGATGCTCTAAGGCTAGGTCATAGAGGGCACTGCAGCTCCTACCATGTTCTCTTGGATTGCTTGCTCTGGAGAAAGCCAGCCATGTTGTGAGGACACTCAAGCAATCCCATGGAGAGGCTCCCTCCTGCCAACAGCCAGCACCAACCTGCCAGGCATGTGAATAACTGTGGATGCAGATCCTCCAGCTACGGTCAAGCCTTCAGATGACTGCAGCCCAGCCAACTTCTTAATATCTCACCTCATGAGAGACCTTGAGCCAACAGCACATCGCAAAGCCATGCCCAAATTCCTGACCCACAAAACCATCACCTAATAAAGGTTGACTGTTGTTTCAAGCCACTATATTTTGAGGTGAACTAATACTGTGTGGGCCTCAGTGGCTCATGCCTGTAATCCCAGCACTTTGGGAAGCCAAGACAGGCAGATCACTTGAGGTCAGGAGCTCAAGACCAGCCTGGCCAACCTGGTGAAACACTATCTCTACCAAAAATACAAAAATTAGCTGGGCATAGTGGCGCACACCTGTAATCCCAGCTACTAGGATGGCTGAGGCACGAGAATCACTTGAACCCAGGAGGTGGAGGTTACAGTGAGCTGAGGTCACACCACTGTACTGCAGCCTGGGCAAAAGAGTGAGACTCTGTCTCAAAAAAGAACAACAACAAAAAACCCAAAGCTAATACTGAACAAATATTTTAACTTGTAGCTGGTGTTGCTTAATTCACTGCAAAATTTTCCTTGGCCAGGTACAGTGCCTCATGCCTGTAATCCAGCATGATTCCACTTTGGGAAGCCAAGGTGGAAGCATCACTTGAGGCCAGAAGTTCAAGACCAGCCTAGGCAATACAGAGAGACCCCATCTCTAAAAAAAAAAAAATTTAATTAGCCAGGCATGGTGGCCTGCGCCTGTAGTCCCAGCTATTCAGGAGGCTGAGGTGGGAGGATTCGCTTTGGGCCTAAGAGTTTGAGGCTACGGTAAGCTATAATCATACCACCGCACTCCAGCCTGGGCAATAGAGTGAGATTCCACCTCCTAGAAAAAAAAAATCTTCTTTATTTTTTTAATCTTTCATTTAACCAGAAAGCAAGCTGCACAAGGGCAGGAACTTAGTTCTCCTGTTCATTGTGTTCTCCCAACTGCTAGAACAGAGCCTGGCACACAGGAGCCACCCCATAAATGTGCCCTGGGTGAATCTGGTTCCATATCTGCCAAACATCCCTCAATCCCAAAGAGAAGAGACCTGAACCCATTAAGTCTCACCCAAGTGTGGAGATAAGATGGTTTCAAATGAGCCAGCATGTGGTCAAGGCTCCCAGGGAACAGGTTAGAGAGAAGTCCATCAGTCTCCAAGATGCCACAGACTCTTTGCCCTGTGGGGGCTGACACTAGCCTAGACCCTCTTCAATCCCCTGACCAGCTGGGCAAACTCTTTGCCCTTTAGAGACCAGACCTAGTCATGGCTTAGGTCACTGACTCCATTTCTTGCTGAGAGGACAGGTGGCAGTGGCAGGAGAAAAGTCTTTCTCAGGTTCCTGGAAGACCCTTGATAACCAACACCAAAGGCCAAACTCCCCCTGCAGTCTAGTAAATGACGCGCAAACAGTTCTGCTGCCCAGAAAATCACCTGGGCCGTCATTAAAAAACAGCTGCAGCCTTCCACTTGACTTGAGAAATGTGGACATTAAGACTGCACAGAAGGCCGGGCACGGTGGCTCACGTCTGTAATCCCAGCACTTTGAGAGGCTGAGGCAGGCGGATCACTTGAGGTCAGGAATTCAGGACCAGACCAGCCAACATGGCGAAACCCCATCTCTATTAAAAATACAAAATTAGCTGGGTGTGGTGGTGCGCACCTGTAATCCCTGCTACTCAGAAGGCTGAGGCAGGAGGATCACTTGAACCCAAGAGGCGGAGGCTGTAGTGAGCTGAGATCGCACCACTGCACTCCAGCCTGGGCAACACAGTGAGACTCTGTCTCAAATTAAAAAAAAAAAAATACTGTGCAGGAGAGGAGCCTTTCCCAGGGACTACATCAGAGTCCAACGAGGACAGGTTATTTTTAAAAGCTCCACTTGGTAGAAATTCAACAGAGAGATGGGAATGGCGTGGATGGCGCTGGCCGAGTCAGGCAGCACCCGGGGCGCTACTGCAACACCAAGGACCCCGCCACCTCCTCCCTCCTCTGGGTTCCAGTCAGGATGGAAGAAAAAACGGATTTTAGACGAGAAGTTACGCCAGCCCTGGAAAACTCAATAAAGTCTCCGTGCGTAAAAGAGGTGTTCCAGAGGCTGGTCATTTGACGTCAAGATGGGCGATGAAAAAGTCTCGCTAATTCCCAGGGATGCAGATGAAAACGCAGAAGGGAGCGGGTCGGCCCCTCGTGAGTGGCAGCTTCATTAGGGTAGATGTGAAGAGCATTTGACGTGCTGACACAGGAGCCAGACTCACATTTCCTTTCCAAAAAACAGCTCTTGGTACAGGCCCAGAGAGAGGGAACGATGGCACGACCAGAATGAAAATGGGCATCCATTGGATTTTTTTCCCCCCTTTTCAAACTGACTGTAAGTGTCTAACAAAACACGTGGCTGGAAAATTCCACCGACTCCTAGGCTTAGCCTCACTCTGCTCTGCCTCATCAACTCTCTAGATGGCTCCCAAAGCTGCTGCTGCCTCCTCTTTTCCAAATGGGGAGCAGCCCTTGGTCCGGGGCATCTTTTGTCCTCACGCTTCTCCATCCACGTGGATTTGTTTCCTTGGTGAGCTCCTCCAGCCCAGGGCTCTCTAAACACCAGCTATATATGTGTTGACAACTCCAAGGCTGGGCATGGAGGCTCATGCCTGTAATCCCACCACTTTGGGAGGCCAAAGCAGGCAGATCACTTGAGCCCAGGAATTTGAGACCAGCCATGGCAACATGGCAAAACTCTGTCTCTACAAAGAATACAAAAATTAGCTGGGCGTGGTGGTGTGTACCTGTAGTCCCAGCTACTTGGGAGGCTGAGGCAGGAGGATCACCTGAGCTCGGGAGGCAGAGGTTGCAGTGACCTGAGATCACACCACTGCACTCTAGCCTGGGTGACCGAGTAAGACTCTCAAAAATAAAAATTAAAAAAAAAAAAAGTTGACAACTCCCAATTTTCCATTTCCAGCCCAGATCTTTCTCATGAAGCCTGGCTTGAACACCCATCTCCCCTGGAGCTTCGCCACTCAAGGATCTGGTGGACATCCCAAGGCGCGTGTGCCTAAAACGGAGCTCTTGATTTTCCCCACAAGGTGACCCTCCTGCAGCCTCATCCTTACTCCATCTTTCCATTTGTTCAGGTCAAAACTTTGAAGTCTTCCTTAACTCTTCTCTCATCCCCAATCCATCAGAGAATACACCTTCCACACAAGTCTCAAATCCAACCACTTCTCACCACCGCCAGGGGCTACTAAGATGGCTTGAGCCACCAGCTGCTCTCACCTGGACTGCTGCAACAGCCTCCTAGCAGATCTCCCTGCTCCCACCTCAGCCCCTCAAAGCCTGCTCCCAACATGGAAGCCAGAGGGATTCTTGAAAAACCTAAGTCACAGATGGGCATGGTGGTGCACACCCGTATTTGCAGCTACTTAGGAGGCCAAGGTAGGAAGATCACTTGAGTCCAGGAGGTTGAGACTGCAATGAGCTACGAACCCACCCCTGCACTCCAGCCTGGATGACAGAGTGAGACCCTGTCTCATAAATAAAATAAAATAAAATAAAATAAAACCCCAAGTCAGACCATGCCACTGCTCTGCTAAAAACCCTCCAGTGGCTCCCCCATTTCACCCAAAGTCAAAGTTCTCTGATGGCACAAAGTTTTACATGATCACCTCCTCTCCTACCCCCTCTGCCCCTCCTCCCTCCCCTCCAACTGCGGACACTCGTGCCTTCAGGCCTTTGTGCTGGCTGTTCCCTGCCTGTAACACCCTTTCACCACATATTCACTTGGCTAACTCCTCCAACGACTTCCTGGTCCTCAGTCAAATGTCGCCTTTTCAAAGACTCCAATGCTGACCATCCTACTTCATGATACAACCAGCCTCCCCATATCCAAACTCCCAACCTCCTTTAACCTGCTCCAGTTGTTTTTCCATCCCAGTTCTCACCTTCGAACATTCCATGTCATTGGCTTATGATGCTCATGGTCTCAGAGGCAGCATGATGCAGAGGAAGGAGCCTGGACTGGGAGCCAGGAGACCTGGGTTCTGGGCCTACCTCTGCCCCTCACATGCTCTTTGACTCTAGGCAAGCCACCAACCTCCACTGGGCCCAATCTGAGCATCACTCAACTGTTACGTGTGGCACTGTGGGCTGAGGATTCACAGACCATGGGCCACGTCTGTGCCACAAAGAGGCTCTGGCTAGTGGAGGAACAGGCACACAGACCCCTCAATGGCTAGGTTCACTGAGCCTCAGTGCTATTCCAGACATGGTTGTGAGCGGTAAGAACTCATGTAGTCTCTACCTAACACCTCGCCCATCATCAGATACAGCTATATCCCCACTTACAGATGAAGACACGAAGTACACGAGGGGTTAAACACCTGCCCATGGTCTCACCAACAGATGGTGGCAGAGCCATTTTGTCTTGGCATCCTATCTCTGGAGGCTGCACTCTGCATCATGCACCTCTGCCAGCACGGGGCAGCAGTGTGGCTCAGGTGCATGTGAGAAGCAAGCACCCACAGCAGAGGGGCACAGCAGGAGAGAGAGGAAGAGGGAGATCGGGAGGGCCTCTGAGAACAGGGGACAGAAGGACAAGTAGGCATTTGCCAGGCAAATGGGACTGTGGGGAGGATTTCAGGCAGGGAGGCCTGAGGGAGCTAGGGCCAAGAGGCTTGAACTGTCCTGGCAAGTCAGAAACGCCAGAAGTGGGTGGTCGGGCCAGAACACAGAGCTGAAGAAAGACTCCGGGAAGGCCAACGGTGAAAAGGTGGGCAGGAGCTGATGCTGGAAGATCTGGTAAGTCAGCCTCGGAACCTGGACTTTATCCTAGATGTCATTACTTCCCAACCCTGGATACACATTAAACCCCTGGGAGCTTTGAAAAATGCCAATAGGTGCTAGAATCGATGGCCTAGTGGTAATAACCCTTGTGCCAAACTGTGGCCTGCAACTGCTATGTCCCAGTAAAAGGAATCACAGCTCCTCTGAGAAACAATGGATCTAGTACAAGATGAGCCCAGAACCCTGCGTCATATCAGACAGCAAGGAGACTACTGATAACTGCTGGAGCCCAGCCAGGGACTCAGAAGCCAACCTGGAGAGGCCCCCACTAGCCACTGATGAGACGATGAGCATCAGTCAGGATAATGACTACAGTGCAACAATACACACGCAACATGTTTAAAACCACAAGTTAAAAATAGTTACTGCTACTGGAGGATGGTAGTGAACCAGTTTGGTATTTTAGAAACATTAATGCGAGAAAAGAATCAACCATTTCCTCTATGAACTTTACCACTGGGTCACCACATGGTCATCAAAAGGAAGTGCCTCTGTTGGCAAATGAAGAAGGAATGGCAGAATTAGAATGTTGCCATGTTGCAAGCCCTTGTTAATTAACAGATTCAGGTACAGACTAGCAATAGCTGCTACCATTTCAAAAAGAAAGACAACCAGATGGTGTATGTCCCCTGATGGAAGAACATGAAACCACTGAGGAAGTCGAATCCCACTCCACCCTGCAAAAACGGAAACCGAATTTGGTCAAGTTTCTAGATCCAACTAGCAACGTATAAGAAATATAAAGGAGCCAGGCCAGGCGCGGTGGCTCACGCCTGTGGTTCCAGCACTTTGGGAGGCCGAGGTGGGTGGATCACGAGGTCAGGAGATCGAGACCATCCTGGCTAACACGGTGAGACCCCATCTCTACTAAAAATACAAAAAATTAGCCGGGTGTAGTGGCGGGCGCCTGTAGGCCCAGCTACTCGGGAGGCTGAGGCAGGAGAATGGTGTGAACCTGGGAGGCGGAGCTTGCAGTCTGCTGAGATCGCACCACTGTACTCCAGCCTGGGCAACAGAGCGAGACTCCATCTCAAAAACAAAAAAAAAAGAAAGAAATATAGAGGAGCCTGTTAAATGACATTTAGGGATAAGAATACAAAATTCAGACTGTGGGAAGCTCTTCTGTAGGAACAACAAATGTATTACAAAGGGGGATGGATGGTTATGGGGGAGCCTAGAGTCAAGAAAACATCAACAGATCACAACGTGTGGACCTTAGCCAGACCAGTTCAAACAAATACACATAAAATGTATGAGAACACTGGAAATCTGAATACTAACATTTGATGATAGGAAAGAATTTTTTAAGCTGTGATAGTACTATTTTTTAAAGAGCTCTTATTCAGAGATACATAATGAAAAGTTCACAGATGAGATAATATGTGAAAATTGCTACAAAGTGTTACAGAGTAAAGGATGGAGGAATGGATGAAAGAAGATTGGCCATGAGTTCATAATTGTGGGTTCATAAAGGTGGGGTGAAGGGTGCCTGGGGGTTCATTACACTATTCTGTCGACTTTTACTTTTTATAGCTTGAAATTTTCCATAATAAAAAGTTATTAAAATACTAGGCCCCACCTCCAGAGATTCAAATTAATTGGTCTGGGCTTCAGCTCAGGCTCTGGTGTGTTTTTAAGGCTCCCCAGGTGTTTCTAACGCCCAGCTAAGATTGAAAACTACTGTAATCACTCACACAAGAGGCGCCAAGAGCCTGCCCGAAGCCCAAGGCAGAGCCTCCCCTAAGCCCAAGGCAGAGCCTCCCCTAAGCCCAAGGCAGAGCCTGCAGAGGGGAGGGAGCTGGCCTGGGCAGGGTCAAGGAGCCAAGCACATGAGCCTGATCAGGTTGGGGAAGGACGAGGAGGGGAAGGCATCAAAGAGTGCAAAGATTTCAGGCTCGGGTGACTATAGGGTGCTGGTCACTGGAACAGGTAATGTCTCAGGGCTGGTAGCTTTGGGGTCCTGGGAGAAAGTCCTGAGTGCATTTGGGACTTACTGACTTTAAGGGGGCCTTTGTGACTTCAGTGGAGATGTCCAGTGGGCAATTTGGTTTGTGGGTCTAGAGATGCACATCGAGATCTTGAAGCAGATACAGAGACTTGAAACCCTAAAGGGTTGTCCCCCAAACTGAGATAGAGGTCGGGATGGCTGCAGCCAATGGTGGCATGAGGGCCCTTCAGGAAACAGCAGCCTCTCGGCCCCTGCACCTGGCGGGGAGGGGAGGGGCCTGGATGACTTCACACCCTTCATGACCGCTCTCCACTCCTCTTCCTTCCCTCTTGTCCTCCTTCCTCGGATAGAAACCCAAGGGCAGTTGGCTGAACCGAGGTGCCCAGGCTCCCCGGGCAGGTGCAGAGGAACTCCTGACTATTCCCACAACCTGTCTTAAAAGCCCATGCAATCAATCAGCATTTGTTAAACAAAGAATAACAAGCACATGTGAAGGAAGACTCCATGGTGTCAGGCATGTCATCCATGCCAGAGCCCAGTGGAGCCATTGGTGTCAGACCGGCTTGACAGCCATGTGCTTCATTTGACATGTATTGAGTGCCCATAGATTCTGGGCACTGTGTGAGGCAGGTATGAACAGGAAGCCCAGGGTCCTGCCCTCAGGGAGCTTGCATTCTAATGGGGAAGCAGACAATAAACAATTGTACAAACAGACAAAAGCTTTGGAATTCTATAAAATGGGTTCTCAGCTGGAGGAAGGGGCCTTGAGATCCAAGAGCTAGGCCTAACTTCCCCAGGCACTGCCTCCCATAATAACCCAGGCTTCCAGAATCAAAGAGCTGATAGGGCTCCACTTTATAGCAATAGCAACTAAGGTCCAGAGGGGAGGGGGCCCACCCAAGGTCACCCAAGGTCACCCATGTGTTTAGATCCTCAGACAATTTTGCATTCCTAATCAAAGTCTGTAGTGGGAGTTTTGTAAGCAGTGAGTTTATTCCTCAGTCTTCTAACCCATGAGATCTATTTTTTCCTTTGAGCCAAAACAATCACTGATCACAGAGGACCACAGGACCATCCCTCAGGAGCAGGAACTTACCACGGAGTCCAGGAACTGAATGTAACACTCCAGCCCAGGCCTGGTTTCACAAAACTGCCGGAAAAGCAGCCTCCCGATTGGCTGCTTGTCACATAAACTGCAGTAATCTCTGTCTGGAGACAAGAAAAGAAGAATGTGATGAGACCCAGGAGAAGGCCAGGCAGGGCCTTCCTGTCATTCCCACACCTGGGCTCAGAGCCCTAGATGGATGGAGGAAGGTGACTGGCAAACTCTCAGAACGCCTTCTTCATTTCATGGTCTTCACAGACTCAGAGAGACGTCAGTGTAGAAGAAGGCACCAGTGATGACCCAGCCTCTACTCCCCACCCCACACCCCCAGTCCAATGCTCTGATTTCTGTATGGACATGCCAGCAGTTCTGGGGACTGTGATTCCATCTCCTTGGTGGCCATTAAGCACATCACATTCTCTGATTACAGTGACTGGATAAGGGTGGCAGGCCTGTAATGTAAGCCAGTCGAATCAGAGTGGACTGCAGACTCCCTGGGAACACTGGAGCAGAGGTGCTCTCTTCCTCTGGAGGTCATGGTGAGTGGGTGTGAAGCCAGGTGCTGCAGCAGTGTTCTTGACACTGCAAGAAAAGCCGCGATGAGGATGAGCCTGACACATCAAGGAGGTGAGAGCTGGGAAATTAGAAGAAGTAGAGTTGGTGCCCTGGTGATGTCATGAATCTCTGGATCAAACCATGCCTGTAGCTCAAACCATATCTGAAAAGCTGATTTATGAGACAACACATTCTCCTTGTTTAGGGCAGTTTGAACACTTTTAGAAATTACTTCTAATTCAAAGCATCCTAATGGATACAGTTTTTAAAAATCATTTTTGCCCAACTGGAGAAAAGCCCAGTCTTAGGATGCTTCAAATTATGAAAACCCTGACTTTTCCAGTTAGGCACTAAAGGCACAGAGACAGGAAGTCACCCGCGCTTACCCACTCAATAGCCAAGAGGGTTCTGAAGAGGAAATACTGCAAGACTCCCACCAAGAGGCCCAGAGACCATGGTGTTAGCCAACAATTTGCTGTGTTACTTCAAGCAATTCACTTGCCCTCTCTGGGCCTCTGTGTTCTCCTCTGAAAACAAGAAGGGCATGCTGGAGTTGGGATGGGGGCCCTTTCCCTTTTGGTTCTTCCTGCAGTGATGCTAAAGCCTCTCCAAGAAGTTCTCTCTGGCCAGGAAGATACTCGAAGGAACCACTGAAACATGCTGTCTCAGGCTCTCTGGAGCACGGAACACTAGGCCATCGATGTTGCAGCTGCACGGGACACAGTCGGATGAGTTCGTGGGAAACAGGGAAGAGGGCGATAGAGCCTGGGAAGGACAGCAACTTGCAGGGAAGGGATGACTATAGTCTACCTGGTGTAGAGGAGCTAAGACACCATCCCCCCTAGAAAGGATTTCTCTTGAGATACGCCAGGCAACAAGGGGATATGAACACAACCACTGCGCTGGCACACTTTGATTCTTAGTCTCAAAATGCTTATCCACAGGATGTAAAGCTATGGCTTGCCGGGAGGGAGGATCTCGTGGTAGCTGTGAGTGTCAGTGTGGGCTCTGGAGCTAAACTGCCTTGGTTTGAATCCCAGCCCATCGCTCACTGCCTGTGTAACCTGGGGCAACAGGCTTGACACTGCCCCTCAGTTGTCTAGTCTGTAAACTGCGGACGGTAAGCAGACCTAACTCCTAGGACCGTCCCGAAGAATGAATAAGACAATACATAGAAACCACTCAGACCAGATGCTGGCACATTAATAAACCCCATTTCTCATCGTTATGGATGTGATAATTTGGTCTGTTCCATCTCCCTTTCCTTTAGGGAACCTCCTTTCTCCCAGTCTGCACCAATTCAACCCAAGCCTCTGAATCTAAAAGGGGAGCTGACGCCTCCCATGCTACGGAGACAGGCACGTGACTCAGTCACAGCCAATCAAAAGGCCTCTGTCTCCTGGCCACAGTGCTACGGTCACGGATGGACACGTCACTTAGTCACAGCCAATCAGAGGCCTCTCTCTCTGGCCATAATGACAGGTTCAAGGGTGGCCATGCCTCAGTTCTAGCCAATCAGGTCAGGGCCTGTGATCCGTGGGGGCCCCGGAGTCCTCCCAGGGCTTTTGCCAGAACTTCCAGGAAAGACACTGTCTGTTCCCTGGGATGCCAGCAGGGTTCTTGGGGATGACTGGTCAGCCGAGGGCTGCTGAGACCGCCTTCCCCCCACGCAGCGAGAGCCCACGGAGGCGCAGCCCGCACACAAGCGGAGATGAGCGGAGAGAGGAGCCCTGAAGGCAGCCCGCCCTCCCGGGCATTTATTCACCACACGGGGACACGGCCTCAGCACTCCGCTGTCTGCCTCCTGGAACGGAAAGAGCCGCGGCCAGGCCCCCTTCTTTCATGGGTAACCTACCTGAGGGCAAGGTTTTTTTGGGAGGAATTCGCCCGGTCTAAGTAGCGTATGTTGAAGAAGGCACTCTAAAACGTTTCATTCTCTCCCGAGTGAGTATTTGGATCAGCATGGATGAGCAACCTGCCAAGTCCCCTCTTGGCCCACTCTCAAATGGTTTTGTGGCTCCAACTAGCCCTGGACTGCAGCCTAAACTCTGCCCTTCAGCCGTGGGCGCAGTCTCCACCGCTCCCAGCACAGATGGTTCACAAATAGCCACTCCAACAAGCATTTAGCCTCAGTGTGTGCCAGGTTCTGACGGGGAGGGGTACCTAGGGATGTGGTCCCAGCCCGCAGGGAGCTTGGACTCAGATTGGAGAGGTCAGCAGGAGTGTGTGTGGGTGAACAGACAAGATCTCAAATGACAGTAATAAAATGTCAAGCTAGATGAGTGTGATCATCAGCCACAGTAGGGAACCTGGTCTCAGCGGCCTGTGACAGGTCTGCAGCCTGCACCTGTTAGCACAATGCCCTGCAGATACAGCCTGCATTCCCGTTGCCTCCCACTCAACACAATCCCCCAAGGGGAGGAAAACAAATCTTTGCATCCTTTCCCAATCAGTTTTTCCCAGCACAAACACAGAACCAAAGTAAATTACCTTGTGTCAAATTCCATTTTTATTCAATTATGGGAGAGAGCACCATGCTGCTTATGTGATTTAAGCAAGGTACCCCTCTACCCCCACCTTTTCCAAAAGCAGTTTTGAGATTTCATGTGCCATATTGTGATCCCTTAAGGGTTCATTTGACAGATTTTTTTTTCTCTCCATATGGCATTTGCTGTCAGTATGGAAACAAGGCCGTTATAAACTCCCAGCACAGTAAACACCATGCGATTCCAACACAAGCTGTCAGCACCTCAGTTCCGAGCCTCTCCCAGCTGTAGAGAGGATCCCAGGCAAAAAAACTACTCGTTGGAAGCCTAGAGAGAAATAAAAGGACCAGTAATGATCTTTTTAGATTTCTTTCTTCACCTCAAATCAAGATCAATGGGTTCATTTTCTGAGCAAGCACACACACAAAAACAAAATCATCCCTAGTGCAACATTTACAGTTCCTATAGAAATGGATAAGGAGGCCACAGAAGGAAGAATACGAATTTGGGAATGATCAAGGTGACAGGAGGAGGCGCAAATCAAAGTTCTTGATGTATCAAGAGCAAACCCGAGGTATAGGTTGCTTCTGGAAAGTCAATGACATTGAAGTTGGAAGCATGAGAAGTTCTACGATACATGCTTGGAGTGGACCCTTTCGGATCTGTTTCAACAGAAGCTGGCAATGTTGTTGAAATCCAGCTTGGAAGGGGGCCTGCCCACAATCTTTCTCCAAAGTGTGGTCTGTTGGGGTTGGTGAGGAGAAACACCTAGGACAAGGGCAGAAGACTTTTCTCTCTGTCTCCAAATCTATCTTTAGGGGTGGGAGAACACTGGGATGCTGTACACACAGGCACACACACACTGTCCACACACACGCACGCACATACACACACGCACGCGCATGCGCACTTGCTCTTCTAGAACATGGAACTCCTGCTTTCCATGTGCCTCATTGATCTTTTCCTCCAAGCCAGAAAGAGGCTGCTTTATGTAAGACATTTGGGAGTAGTGGCCAGGCACGGTGGCTTACGCCTGTAATCCCATCACTTTGAGAGGCCGAGGCGGGTGGATCACCTGAGGTCAGGAGTTCAAGACCAGCCTGGCTAACATAGTGAAACCCTGTCTCTACTAAAAATACAAAATAATTAGCCAGGCGTGGTGGCAGGCACCTGTAATCCCAGCTACTTGGGAGGCTGAGGCAGAAGAATGGCTTGAACCTGGGAGGTGGAGGTTGCAGTGAGCCAAGATCGTGCCATTGTACTCCAGCCTGGGCAACAAGAGTGAAACTGTGTCTCAAAAAAAAAAAAAAAAAAAAGGCATTAGGGAGTAGGGTATGGGGAGCTCCTCGGCCCCTAAGTATCCACAAATCATCCAGCCATTCTAACTTTGCTATTTTGGGTCCTTCATTCACTCAACAAACTCTCTTCTGAGGTCTCCTGCTTTTTGATACTAGAAGTTTCCTTTGATGTTAAGGGTATCTTCTTGAACTCAACACGTGGGGATATGTGGGTGGGTCAGTGGGAAGGGACACATCTTATACCCACTGGCCGGTTACTGATCCAGCAACAGGCTTGGAATTAACAGCTGGCCAAGAATGGAGGACATCATCTCTGTGATGTGACATTTGGAAGAGGAAGGTGACTGGGAAAGGGGAAGGGTCTAGAAAGCCCATCATAAGCTGCAGGGCACTGAGCTGTGCCCTTGACTAAGGAGCAGAGCACCCTGGGAGGGGCTAGGCCTACTTATGCACACAGGAGGGTGCTGGGAGATACACTGGGAAGGCAAGCTGGACTCACACAGGAAAGGGCTGGACTCTCAGGCCAGGAGTCTGGAATGGATTCAGTGTCTCACTGGTAAATCAATAATTTAGAGCAAAAATGATTCACGTGCAGTCCACAGAAAAGGGGACAAAAATGGGGTGGCGGCAAGTCTGAGACATTTACAGAGGAAGTCATTGGTTTGGGAGCTATTGTGGCCTGTGGGCTCAGGCCCCAGCTTTTGGGCAGGGAGGCTACCAGCTCCTGCGGCTGGGATCCTGCTTTGGTGAGCAGCTGGACTGAACTGGCTTCAAGAAAACGACATGTGTTGTTTGTTTCTTCAAGGGATTGACACTCCCCACCTCCCCGGCATGCCCACAGCTGGCCTGGGAAGGCGGGATTGCCACACCTTCCTGCAACACACTGAATTCCAGCCTTGCGCTCAGACAGAACCATGTCTACCCAGCAGGCAGTCCCTTTAGCAAGGTACCAGACACTTGCTTAGTCCTTGTCCTTAGCAGTTTGCTCACTGGCCAGTGTGAGAGGGAGGCACATTCATGGATAACACTGGAAAGAGAAGCCACATAACAATGTCTATGTAACAAAACTGCATAAGTCAATTGGGAAGTGTCCTGGAAGGTGTCGTGGCAGAGGGGGCAAGACATCCTCTCATGATGCTGGGTCAGTTTCAGGGGTGGTGGCCATGGAGAGCACACTAGAATATGGGAATGAGCAGACAATGCAGGCAGGGGGAGAAGCTGAGTCCAGGTGAAGAAGAGGGAAAAAGGTCAAAGCCAGAGAGAATGGGGCTTGAGGCTGGGAGGAGGGGCAAGGAGAAGCTACAGTGGGGAGGTGAAACCTCCAGGTGAGATGCCAGGAGGACCTGCAGGGTGTGCTGAAGTGTGGGAGAAGGTGAATTAGGACAAGAATTCTGGGCTAGGTCTGAGACCACCATAGGATGTCACTGAGTGGATCTTCAAGACTGTCCTAAAGAAAACAGACAGAAAGTGGTAGGTCACTCAGGGATGGGAGGTGAGGCGTGAAGGGGCGAGAACCAGCAAGTAGTGTTAAGTGAGTGGCCAGCAAGTGTATTAGGCCATTCTTGCATTGCTATAAATACCTGAGCCTGGTTAATTTATTAGAAAACACGTTTAATTGGCTCATGGTTCTACAGGCTGTACAGGAAGCATAGCACTGGCATCTGCTTCAGGGGAGGCCTCAGGAAGCTTACAATCGTGGTAGAAGGTGAAGCAGGAGCAGGCATGTCACATGGCCAGAGGAGAGTTGAAGGGGAGGTGCCACACTGCAACAACCAGATCTCACAAGAACTCACTATCACCAACAATGCCCTCATGACCCAAACACCTCCCACCAGGCTCCACCTCAACATTAGGGATTACATCTCAACATGAGACTTAGGCAGGGACAAATATCCAAACTGTACCAGCAAGTACACTTCCTTGGTAATGAATGTAACTGGCTGAAAATCCACATGCTAAGACACATGCACATACAATAAGCAACACACGTCTTGGGGGCCTGGGCACAGCCAACTCACTTCCAACTCTGCCCTTCCCAGGACAGGGCTCACACTTGCCAAGTTGTCAGCCAACAGAGGGTACGTCAACCAACAGAGGGCACAGCAAGCCAAGGGGCCCCTGTCCTCACCACCTTCACCTGGTGAGGTTTGGGTGCTTGGGAGAGACCTCGCTTGCCTCTTAGCCTATTCTCATTGTAAGCCACTAAAGATACCACACCCCAGGCCTGTTGCCAAGGACACCACAGTGGATGAGCACTGGGCAGGGGTCGGTCTCAGCTCTGCCATCAATTCTCTGTGTAACCTTGGACAAGTCACTTCCCCTTTCTTGGTCTCAGTTTCCTCATCCATAAAATAAGGGGGTTCGAATAATAACCTCTAAGCCCCTTCTCAACCTGCAAACCTTCTTGGCATGCCAGCTTCACAAATGCAGATGATTACAGGGACTTAGACCAGATTCCAAGATCAACCTTGGAGGTCAGTTTCAACCAGGATTCCAAAAACTGTTTCCATCCAACCTCAATAGGGATTCCTGATCTCGCATCTCACCCCCTGGTTCTAAGGCAAGGGTAGGCAAACTTTTCTGTAAAGGGCTAGTGGGAGATATTTACTACTAGCCATATGGTAGTAGTTTGAGGGCCATATGGTCTCTTTCACAACGATTCAGCTCGCTGTTGTAGTGAAAGCCTCCGCAGACTACGCAGGCACACTCGTATTATTGCACTTCACTTTATTGTCTTTTGCAGATATTGCATTTTTTATATGAATTGAAGGTTTGTGGCAACCCCGTGTCGAGCAAGTCTATCCGCACCATTTTCATTTCCCCAACAGCATGTGCGAACTTCCTGTCTGTGTCACATTTCAGTAACTCTCAAAATATTCCACCTGGGAGCCTACTGAAAATGCAGATTCTCATTCCCCCCACCCCACTTCAGACCTACTATATTAGTCTGTTCTCATGCTGCTAATAAAGACATACCTGACTGGGTAATTTATAAAGGAAAGAGGTTCACTTGACTCACAGTTCCACGTGACTGGGGAGGCCTCACAATCATGACAGAAGAGCAAGGGACGTCTTACATGGTGGCAGGCAAGACAGAGCGTTTGCAAGGGAACTCCCCTTTATAAAACCATTAGATCTTGTGAGACTTATTCACTATCATGAGAACAGCATGGGAAAGACCCATCCCCATGATTCAATTACCTCCCAACAGGTCCCTCCCACACATGTGGGAATTATGGGAGCTACAATTCAACATGAGATTTAGGTGGGGACATAGCCAAACCATATCACCTACTGACTGAATCAGAATTCCACTGGTAGGGCCCAGAAATCTGTGTTTTAACATACTCTCCAGTTTAAAGCAGTGCTTTTCCAGCTATCTATGGAAAAGAACCAGTTTTTTAAATTTCCAATCCATCACGGACTGATACTTTTGTAAATCTCCATTGTTCCCAACTTTCCACGTGAGTCTGACAACAGCCAACTGCTTTATCACCTGTTCCACAAGATGAGTCCACTGATCACACACCTGGATGCTACAGCCACAACGAATTGCTATGAGTGTTTCTAAGCATCTCTGTACTTATCACAGACCAGTAAAATCAGTCCACGAACCACACTTTGAACTGCTCTAGAAACACAAGGTCTTGTATTCCTTTCTTTGGAGAGTCATCCCTTCCCCTATAATAATTCTTTGGGTGAGGCCAACACCAAGCTCGGAGATGAGCACAGGGCCCAGGCCTTACCAATCTGAGTCTTTACTTGAACATTTTTTGGCACTCTAAGGAAAGTTACTTTTTCTTTATTTGAAGCCTTTAACTCTTAGGACCATGTAAGCCTGGAGTTGCTGGTGGCTATCTTGTGGCCATATAGAAAGAACCTGTCAGAGAATGAAATCAAAACTGTAGAAAGTAGAATAATAAATAGTGTCCTGATGATGTTTGAGACCTGGATCCAGCCATACCTGAAGCTATGAGATTTACCCCTGGACTTTTCAGTCACATAAACCAACAGACTTCCTCTAACCCTTAAGTTAGTTTGAGTTGGGTTTCAGTCCCTTGCAATTTATTGGTGCTGAGTAATAAGCCTTCAGATATAATGAGTATCTGGAAGACTCAAAATGAAAACCTATATGCAAAGGCTTTGCAGTAAAGTGCTACACTGTCAGGACACCACAGCAAGATGGGGCAGTACTATTAAAGAACTTCTGTCCTCAGCCTCCACCACGAAGTTGGATCCTCATGAATATTCTAGAATGCCTATATCTATAGCTGATTAGTACATAGTTCAGAAACACCAAAGCACTACCACGCTGCCTGGATCCTAAAGGCAAGCAGGGTTGCCTTGCTTGGGTGAGGACTTCTTCAGAGCTAGCACAGGGTGGCGAACAAGCACAGGCTTGGGTCTGAATCCTACCTCCATCCCCTAGCTCAGAGGTTTTCAGCAGCGGGAAATTTTGGCAATGTCTGTAGACATTTTGTGTTATCACAACTGTGAGGTTACTACTGATTAGTGGGTGGAGGCCAGGGATGTGCTAAATACCCCACAATGCACAGGACAGCTCCCTGCCACACATAATTATTCTGCTCCAAATGGCAATAGTGTCTCCACAGTGGAGCAACTCTGGATGGCTGTGTGGTCTTGGGCAAGTCCCTTTACCTGAGGCCATCAGAGTTAGCTGGTTGCTGCCGGGGATTGGCAACAACGCATGTGAGCACCTGGCCCAGCCTCAGCACACAGTAGGTGCCACAGAAACAGCAGCCACTGGACAGATCCTATCTCCTCTATCAGACTCAGGAAATGATGGGTTTTACTTCTCCGATGACTGAGAAAGGAGATAGGAGGTAGCTGGTGAAAAAGGAACCTTGACTCTCCATTAGCACCAAAGCAGGCAGGAGTTCCCCACTGTCACCGAGCCCTTCGGCCCTGAGCTCCGGGAGGGCAGGGCAGGGCAGGGCCATGCCAGCCTGCTTGCTCTTCCTTCAAGGCTCCTTCTCGGAAGCAGGCCACATGTGTCCCACCAGCACATGCCCGAGGTTCAAATCTCATAACCCAGTCAATTCCTTCAAGACTCATACCCCCAGCGGACTGAGAAACAGGAATGATATTGATAGTTAAGATAAATAAATGCTGTCACTGTTTTCATTCTTTTCGAGTGACATGAAATGGGAACATACTTTCTTAATTAAGAGCCTGCAGTATGTGGACTCTTGGAGGGCAACCAGAGTTTCCCAATAGGAGGTGGCGAGGACACAGGCAGTGAGGGCGGCCCAGCTTCCCTCGGATGGCCACGGGGCCCGAGCACAGCCAGGCCCTCCCACCGGGCTAGGGGAGAGTGGGCGGCCATCCCTGGGGACGGGGAGCGGGGAGAAGCTGCAGCCCGGGTGCGGGGAGGGCTGTCCACCCCACTGAAACCTGCTTGGGACTGTGTGCATTGTTGCCCCAGGCACTCCTAGAGCTCGGGCCAAGGAAAACACACGTTCAATTTCAGAAGTAAGAGCAAGGACGGAACGCGGCTTCCTGAGGAAATGGAAATGCTAACACTGGGGCTCTTGGAAATGAAACCACATGTTGATTGTAAAGGTTGTGAGGCTGGAGTGGGGCGGGGGGGTGGAAGGAGGGGGGTGTCCAAAGGGATGCCTGGAACCATCTCTCCACCAACTGAAGGTTTATTTTATTTTATTTAACTTCATTTTCCCAAAATACCAGGTTACGGGGGGCTGTGGCAGAGAAGGGGGTCCCTGATAGATCCTAATGCAATTTAGGAAATGGACATGGGGAGAGAGGATCAGACAGAGGCTGCCAGCCCTCTACTCTGCCGTATTTCAGGTTTGAAACAATAAACAGAGAAGTGATTCGAAAACAGCTTTCTCTTAAAAATTCCTGCCAAAGCTGGAAAAAACAATCGGGCGTTTGCTCCGAGGAAAAAGCTCTCTGACGTTTGAAAGGCGAGATGGCATCACGGATAACAGCAGAGCTTCCCAGCCCGCCCCTTGGAAGGCGCAGGAGAGGAAAAAGGAAACATTTGGTATGTGGTTAGCAACAGCTGAGTGGCCTTCTATTACTTCAAGAAAGATGTTTTTGTGTGAATAAAAAATGACATATGGTGTGTCACACAAACACACCCAAACCAAGCCCTGCCATCTTCCTGTGCCATTCGTCCCTCTCGTTCTGGGCTCTAGTTTTACGGAATGTCTTGTGCTTGTCACATGTTTCTGTGGGATCGAAATTATTAAGCCCAAGTCTCACAAAGTTTGGTGGCACTTGGAGAAGCCACATGTGAAACCACTGAATCGCAGGGTGTCTGGGCCTGGGCTGCCAGGCAGGGGAAGTGTGGCGGGGACAGTGGGGAGGAAAGAAGGCTCTAGGCTGTGGGTCTGTGGAAGGAAGAAAAGGGTGGGTGGAAGGGTGCTTGTGCGGGCCCCTGCCTCTCTGATGAGGGTCCAGGTCTCTGGCTTGAACCCATCAGATGCAGTCAGGGAGGTATCCAGGAGTCTGGGGAAGGGCTGGGGGCTGAGATGGACAGGACATGGACTATACCATCACCATGAGCAGTAATGGAGCTGCCAGAGTCCGGCAGTGACCTCTATCACCAAGGACAAAAAAGGCAAACAATTTAGATATCTCCTTGCAGTGGGAATGGGCAAAGAACTGGCTGGGTAAACGGAGGGTCAGGGGTGGGGGTGGACTGAGGGAACGGCAGGACCACTTGGCAGGTAGATCCTGATGCTGGACAGGCAGTCGCTGGAAGGGGCCTGGCATATCGGAAAGAAGGTCCAAAGCACTGTGCTCTGAGCCCTCTCCTCTGCCCGGAAGCCCGGCAGGCTGACTGCAACCTCCACTTTTGTGCTAGCCTGGGGACACCAAAGAGGCGTCCGCAGAAAAGGCACCTGGCGCATCAGCAGTGCTGGTGCTTTAAGAGCCGGGGCAAAAAGGAAACACACCCATGCGTGACCTGTGGTTGTTTCTATTTTTCCATATTTTTGAGTTTTTACAAATGAGGGGAAAACAGCTCTCCTAAAAGCACAGCTGCAAAATCACTGAGATCAGGAAGAGCCTGGAAAGCAAAGAACTGTGACTGCCAGACAGCTCTCCTTTCCGTGCGGGGCCTGGGGAATGCGCAGCTGCTCAGAAGAACTTCGGGTTTGTTTTACCCTGCGTGGCCTGTGGCGGGACCTTCCAGTGAGCCGGGACGGGGCACCTGGGACAGCCTTGGTCAGTGATGACCACTGTTTGTGTCTTGAACACCCAGGGCCTTTCCTCACCTGTGCTCCGCCTAAAAGCACCTGGGACACCATCCACTTAGAAGGACATTCTTTCTACAACCTTTTTTCTCCTTGTAAAGAAATTTCATCCAGATACATGCAGTTTTAGAAAGTGAAACTCCTAGGCCACACCCAGACCGACTGCATCAAATCTCCAGGGCGTCAGTATTTTCTTAAAAAGCTCCCTAGGTGATTCCAACACTGCATTAACTGTAAGGTCCAGTTCACCATTTTATCCCCACCACCTGGATCAGTGCCCGGCCCAGGCAGGAGCACAGGTGTTTATCTAAAATGAATGAATGATTGAACAAACCAACAAACAGATCACTGTGACAGGGAGGCCACACGCTTCCAAACTGGGGAGTATATATCTCCAGCCCACGTTCTCCTGATGCTCTGCCAGAAGTGAAGGCCTCCCTGAACCAAGTAGATGATGAGGGCTGTGCCTAAGGTGGCTTCTGTCCAAGGCAACGAAAGGGTCAGCATGGCTCCCTGGGCTCAGGTCCCTGGGCGGAGGCAAGGCTGGGCCAGGCTGCCTGCTGCTCAGAGCTGCAGCACAGTAAGCCCAGAGCCCCCAGAAGTGAGGCGGTCTGAGCCCAGGGGCCCTGCCTGGCATGCCCCTTTCGAGAAAGCACATCGGTGCATGGGACTGGGGCTAGGAGATTGGGCTTTGTGTCCAGCTCCACGTCTGACCCTGCATGACCTCTGACCCATCATTCTTCTCTCTGGACCTTGGTTTCCCCTTTTACAAAATAGGGCTGATGAACAAGGGGGGCTTAAATGCCTCCCATTTCGGTAGCTTCACAGTGGGGCTGTGAGCCTGGTGGGAATGGAGACATCACAGGGCATGGGGCCTTTCTCCAGCGTCAGAGCCCCAAGGAGGGTTCACCACTGCTGGGGATCTTTAAACCCACCCAGCTGCCATCCCCCGCCCCCAGCACCACCCCGCACCTGCGACGTGGCAATACGGCTGGAGCAACACAAGCATGAGTTTAAAGGCAGCATTTCGCAGAGGCCTGGGGCTCTGAGGGGCGCCAAGGAGCCCTGGCTTTCATTTCAGGAAATCTGGGAGTCTTTACTTCCGCTCAGTGCCTCAGTCTCTCCCAAGTGCATTTCAGGTTGACTTCACATGGCAATGCCCAGCCCATCCTTCCTGCACGCTGCCCTGGCCTGCCAGGGAGGACTGGGGGCCCATCTTGCCTTCCAGGGCCCGGGGTCTGGCTTCCCCTGGAGCTATGAGCTAATCAAGCAAAAGCCACGGAGGGCCGGGCCAGGAAACGGCTGGGCAAGCCAGGGACCAAGGCAAATAGCAGCTTCCAGGCAGACCTGGCTCTTCCTGCCCTGGCCCTGCCGAGGCGCCTGGCTTCTTCCTGGGCCACTGGCCGGGGTCTAGCGAGGATCACGGCTGTGCTGGCCAAAAGCAGCTGGAGAAATGAATGCCTCGGAAGGTGGAGGCAACTGATGGTCTCCTGAAAGTCCTGATGTCTCAGGGTCCCAAGACCCCCAGCCACCCTTAATCCTCCCAACATGATCCCCATCAAGGGCTCAGCCAGCCCTGGCGTGTGCACTCACAGGGACAGGAAGCACTTCACCTGCAGAGCATCCAATACTCTTTATCAACACCATGCTGTGAGGCCATTCCCATTTTGAGACCAAGCCTGTCTTTCTGTTATACTGCCCTTTGGCTGTCATTCTTGGGATGTAGAGGACAAATGTTTGAAAGCAATTATTCTGTGCTCTTAGAGTCTTAGATACAGCTCCGATTCTCCCAGCCAACCATGTGACCACACCCCAACCCTGTCTGCCCAAGAACAGGGCGCAGTGGGTTTAACTCGCTGGGACCCAATCTGGGTCTTTGGTGATTAAATGTCAAATGACATCAACTCTTGCCAAGCCTCCTTCCATCTTTGCTCAGCTTGGCCCCAGACTCAAGAAGGGCTAGGCTTCGTGTCCTGAAGGAGGAAGAGATGGGTGTTTCACAGGCACACGAGCTCACCAATGCCCACACTCCAGATGAGAGATGGGGGAGAGGCACATTGCTTCAGCAGAATCTAACACAGGGAAGGCTAGAGCTTAGCAGAATTCTAGCTCGTGGTGTCGGGATTTTCGACACGGATCTTTAGAGTTTGGTAGAGCTGGTTTTCAGAAAGACATGAGCTTTGGTTCAGACACTGGCCTTTCCACTTTGCCACCTGATGTATTATAATAACAATAATGGAAACAATAGCAACTGACATGAATGAGGTGCTTCCTGCGTACCAGGCACAATGCTAGGCACACTACATGCATGTCTCATGCAATCCTCACAACAGCCTTCCAGAACAGGTGCTATCATCAGCCCACATTTTAGATGCCTAAAATCGAGACACTGAGAAGGAAATGGCACAAGGTCACAGGCTAGCAAGAGGCAGAGCTGGGATGTGAACTCAGCTCTTGCTGACAGCAGAACAATTATTCTGCATCTTTTAACTTTTAAGGGATCCATGGCAGCAGCAGACAAAGACTCGGGACCCTGAGAGGTGGATGACATCACATCAGTGGCACCATCTGGCAACCTCTAGGGGTCCACGGTGGGGAGGAGGCACCCCTGTCACCTAGATGTACCAATGACCTATTGGTCAATCAATTTCCTCAGGTCCAGGGGTGCTCCAGCCTCCAGGATAGAAAGACATGGGAAAGCTGTGGCAGCTTTGGGGCTGGCTATCAACTGGGCCTCAACATCTAGTGGCTGGGCCAGGAGAATGATCTGGAATGCCCTTTCTTCCGTTGCTCTTCCCAAAAAGAAAAGCTGAGCCGAGTAGCTGCCCCCCTCCTGCCCTGAGTTCCTTCAGTTCTGTGAGCTGCACCACATGTGTGATCATGTAACTGATGTGCTGTCTCACACCTTCGCTGGCTATCCTGAGAGCTGGCCTTGCCTCCCCAACTAAGCTGTAAATTCTCTCTCTCCTCCGCCACCCCCTTTGCCTCCCCTGTAGAGCCCAGGACAGTCTGGACACTTATGAGGTCACCAATAAATATGCAATTGATGAAAGCAGGAGCAGCCATGAGAAAGCTATTCACCAGGATCCTGTTTACACTCCTTTTGTCAAAACAAATCCGTTGCTCCTTAAGGGTGTGTCTTAAAGTCCCCGGGGTCCAGAAGTAAATGCTTGGCTTTAATAGGGTGTTGGAATTGCATTTCACAGCACATTCCTGTGCTGAGACCTACACCAGGGCAAGTCCTTAAGCCAACAGGACAGAAGCCCAAATGGGGTGGACCCGACTTGGAGCAGTCAGGGACCAGGTCGCTTAGTTCCCTGCACATGTTGGCACCCAGCATAGAACCTGGCACAGAGCCGGGGTGCAATAACGTTTGACCAGTGAATGAATGAATGAATTCATGACCCAACACATCAACTGCAGCTGATGGCTGCATCATAACATACTTGTTTCCAAATTTCTCCCTGTGCTGGCCCAGGCTGTGAACTGCTACACAGGAAGCGGAGTGCCTTGTCTGCACTGACATCCTCATCCTTTATGGCCCAATAACGCCAGAGCCTAAGAAAGGGTGTGTTGAGGGGAACATAGTCATAGAGCTTGTAGAAAACCGAAAGGAAAGCTAGTCTGATGGCCTCATCTTCCTGGTGGGGAAACTGAGGCCGGGTAGGGGAAGGCTTTTGTCTTGTTCATCACCCCAGGGCATGCTTAGCCTCCTGCCTAGCTGCTCTAAGCCCTACATCATTATGAACAGCGTGGGGAGGTCCTTTATTAAAATTCAAAGACCCTCACCGAAGGGTCCCACCCAAGCCTGGCATACAGACCCTTATTCAGGTCTTTCCAAACCCCCTCCCAGGACCTGGCATTTTAACCGCCATGAAGCATAGCTGCTTCTGTCAGCCTGAAGGCCTGTGATCGATGCCACACAGGTGTTTCATATAAATCTTCAAGGGCTGTCTCTGCAGAGAGCCAAGTAGACGTTTTTTAATCATCAAGAGGGGGAAAAAAGCAACATGCCTCATGCATTTTCATTTTTATCTAAGTAAAAGAGCACAATCAATTTGTCAGCATGCAATACCACTGCTTGCCAAATACCACTTATTTTAAACTAAAGCTTTCTCAGCTATACAAATACAGAATACAAGCATGGAGAACCTAAAACATGTGCGTTTCTCTCCTTCTTTCTTTCTTTTTAAAGAGTCCCACATATTTCATAACTGTCTAGACCTTGTAAGCTCTGTCTCAGCCTGGGGCGCTGCTGCTCCGTGTTAATGCTTTTCTCTTCCCTCCAACTGCCAGGCTTGAAACAGGTCTGTAACTGACGCTAAACCTGATAGGTAGCTCCTCAGTTACTCAGCACAAGAGAGATAACTGGGAAAAAGAAAAAAAAATAATTAGGATGATCAAAGAATATGATTGTGGTGAAACCCTTATTTCTAACTGGTCTAAAAATGTAACCCATAACAGCTGTTTTAAATTACTCCTTGCCAAGAACAACATTCAGATGATTGAAAAATTCCAAACTGGAACCTCTTATGCTTACTTATTTTTCCTTCTGCGCACCTGCATGGAGAAAAGCTTTGCTCAGAAAATACAGTCACAGAGACAGGCAAACTTTAAACTCCTCATATGCAGTATGCTGCCTTTGAAAGCCCTTCAAGGATGCCTTCATGGGGGCCCGGGGTTCTGAAAGGTCAGACCGTAACTGCATTTTGTACTAGATAAGTCAGGGCCAGCTAAAGTGGGCAGCTGGGGTACAGCAGGAGGGAGGCAGAGACCCTTCCTTGCAGACAGCCTTACTTGGGGGCAGCAGCTGACAAACACGGACCTACAAGCAGCTGCAACCAAATTCAGAAAGTATATGGCATGGCCCAAGCAACCACCACCAGGACAGAGATTCAGTTCCTCCCAAAGGTGGCTTCTTAAAAAATTTCCATTCTGGAAGCAAAGCTCACAGATGTCCTTCAATCTTGGGGTTAAGCCCTGGGAGCCAAAAGGATACCCTGAACCTCTGGTCCAGCCCAAAGCAGTTGCAGAGCTCCACCCCCAAGGGAACCCCTCCAGACCCAGCTGCCTTCTGGCTATTGGTGTCTCAGTTCCCAGCCCCCTTAGATTCACATCCAGGTTTGCTCAGCTCATTGGGCTGGGGTTGGATCTGCAAGGCTGGCTCCCTCTCCCTCCCTTTCTTTAAGATGGATTTACTGAACCCTGCTTTGCGCCCTACACTGTGCTAGGCCCAGAGAATCCGAGGATCAGCAGAAATACCCGCCACCCCTGCCCAAGGATCTTGGTCTAGCTCCGGACTCTTCTTCCTTGATGCTGACCTAGATGTCCTCCAGGAGGAGGTAGTGAAGAGGGAGAGGCGTGAACCCATGCATAGTCCTCCTGGACGCATATCCCAGCTCCACCTCTGGGACAGAAACACTAGCTGTCACCCAATAGCTGTTCATCATGTTTTCTATAGTAATAGATCTCCCATTTTTAGCTCCAAAAGAAAGACTTCCCTGCCACCTCTGCAGCTAGGGGTGGCTAGGTGACCAAATTTTGACCAATGGAATGTGAACAGAAACAACAGATCCAAGTTAGTTCTGAGTAACACCCTTAAAGAGAAAAGGTGTGCCCCTTCTTCCCCTCCCAGCTTCCCTCTTCCCAGAGGCTAGAATGTAAACACAGTGGGCACCATCTTGGCCCATGTCAACGAGGGCAACATTGTAAGGCCAGAAAAAGACTGGGAACTGGGTGACCATGCAGACAGAGTTTCCATAGCAGCCCTAGTAGACCCCAACCCCAGCACTGTTCCATGAGGGACAAACCGGCTTCCACCTTGTTTAGGCCAATGTTAGTCTAGGTCTTTGCTACAGCAGCTGAACCTATACTCTGCCTTCTACAACCACGTACTAGCTGCATGACCTTTTCTCAGATTTACTTCCCTGGTCCTAGAATAGAAATAATAATAGTATGACCTATCTAGAAGGTACAGATCAATCAAGGCACTTAGCACAGCTCCTGGTGCAAGGTTCGTCCTCAGAAACTACTGTTTGTTGTTTTTTTTTTTTTTTGAGACAGTTTCACTCTTGTCGCCGAGGCTGGAGTGCAGTGATGCAATCTTGGCTCACCGCAACCTCTGCTTCCTGGGTTCAAGCGATTCTCCTGCCTCAGCCTCCCGAGTAGCTGGGATTACAGGCGTCTGCCACCACTCCCAGATAATTTTTTGTATTTTTAGTAGAGACAGGGTTTCACCATGTTGGCCAGGCTGGTCTTGAACTCCTGACTTCAGGTGATCCACCCGCCTCAGCCTCCCAAAGTGCTGGGATTACAGGCATGAGCCACCATGCCCAGTCAAAAAATACTCTATCCACTAACATCCTTGCCAAAATCCCCTATACCCACCTTCTTCACTTGCCAACCAGGAAAGAGTGTGAGCATAGGCTGCCAATAAGGGGTTAAATGGAACTGAGTGTTCACCAGCTTAGTCTCATCTACTAAATCTGGATGAGTTTCAGATGCTCCTTTGCCGTGGCTTGGGAGATACAGATGTTGCTTCAAACACAATGTACCCACCTGATCTTCAGTCTGACCCATGGGGCTATAATAAGGCTCCAAGGGTCCCATGCTTCTTGGGCAGCCCCAGCACTCAGCAAAGAGAGGAGTTTCCCAGAGGAATTAAGGTCCCCAAATCTCAAAAGCACGTGTTCGTATCTCAAGGTGGTGACCTGAAATGCAGAATGTTCTTCTTCCCTGTGAGACACTATTTAGTCTTCCTTCCCTGCGATATCCTGGATAAACCACATTGAAAGGACATTTTATGAAGAGTTATAGTTTAGATGCAGGAAGGCTCTGAAGTCAACAGAATGGTCTCTGCTGTCTATTACATAAAACAAACACCCTGGTTCCAGGAACTCGAGGCAACACATTAGGAATCACATTTGTTTTCCCAAGATGGAAGAGTTGCGCAAGACTGCCCTTGTCCTAGCCACATCAGGCCATTCAGACTCAAGTGTCCTGGGGTTCCCCAAAGGCACAGGCAAAGGGTGATCCTAAACTGGCCATGCCAGCACCTGGGATGACACTGACTTACTTACAAGGGACAGGAAGTTTGGTGGTGAGCATGAGCTTAATGCTCCAGGCACACCTCCAGCCAATCTTTGACCCCAGGCTATGGCTTTATCTAAATGATTAAACACCAGATTGTTACAGGGTTACTACCGGCTTCCTAAGAACTGACTTTATTCTTTAAAATATTATTCCTTCTTGTAGTAGCATCACCTCCAATAATCACTGAGTATGGAGGTGGGACAGCTTGCAGCTGGTGAGCACACTTCCTAAGGTCAAGGCTGCCTTTCAATTCTTTTTTTTTTTTTTTTTTTTTTTTTTTTTTGAGATAGAGTCTCGCTCTGTCACCCAGGCTGGAGTGCAGTGGTGCGACCTCGGCTCACTGCAACCTCCACCTCCCAGGTTCAGGCAATTCTCCTGCCTCAGCCTCCCGAGCAGCTGTAATTACAGGTGCACGCCACTACGCCTGGCTAATTTTTGTATTTTTAGTAAAGACAGGGTTTCGCCATGTTGGCCAGGCTGGTCTCGAACTCCTGACCTCAAGTGATCTGCCCGCCTCAGCCTCCCAAAGTCCTGGGATTACAGGCATGAACCACCGCACCCAGCCTTTCAATTCTGAACCCCCTCTGCGCCTCCCCCACTGCCGGGCACCCAGCATAGGCCCCTAGCCAGGATTCCTCTCACGTCTCCTCAGTGGCGTGCAGCACAGCTGTCCTTTGAAATCCGCTTGGCTGATTGCTTAATTAACTTCTTCCCTCACCTTCAACATAGAATTGGAGCACAAGTCCTGGTCTGTCTTATCCATGGTTGTGTGCCCCAGTGCAGAGAACAAGGCCTACTACGCGGCAGGTTCTCGGAAGTGAATGGATGAATGAATGAATGGTGGTCAGGGCTTGCTGAGTAAGAGAATGGTTGAATCATGATGGCCTCGAGGCCTCCCCATCTAGGCAGTCAGAAAGCAGCGAAGACCACCAGACATCCAAGTGGGGTGGGGCTTCTGCTCATGTTCCCGCACCAGGCGCCCAGACACTCCCAAGTGTTTAGCACCTGCCATGAGCCGCACCTCTGATGCGCCATTCTCTGCCTTCATTCCACTGTAGAGTGGACAGCACTGCCCGGTCCTGCTGGACAGAAAACCAGGGCACAGCCAGTTTAAGGTCTGTGCATTGCCCAAGGTCACAGTGCATCAGCGGAGGAGCTGGGATCTGCGTCCAGGTCTTTTTGGCTCCAAAGCCCACAGTACTCCCAGGGAGCCAGAGCCCACCTAGCCAGGAGACCTTCCCAGAGGCACCTGCTGTCCCAAAGAGACTCATCCTTGGGAATCAGAGGGAGGGAAAGGCAGCGACTAACACTTCCCTCAAGAGGAAACCACCGTTTCCCACCAGAGAAGCAGCGGCCACAGGCTCAGAACGCTCAGGGCCTCGGGCAGGAAGGGAGCTGTGTTCCCAGGGTTCCCAGCATCCCCACAGGGCCTGGGAACAGAGCATGACCCAGAGCAAAGGGCCCCGGGCCGGGTGTGGAAGAGGAGGAGGGAGGAGGGAGGAAGAGGACGGACAGACCATCTTCTCCTAACTTAGCCTCAAACACTTGACCATGGAGCTGCGAGAGGGGCTCCTCCCACTCACACAGTCTCCTCCCACTCACAAGTCTCTTCCCACTCACACAGGCTCCTGCCTCTCACACAGGCTCCTCCCACTCATACAGACTTTTCCCACTCACACAGGCTCCTTCCACTCACACAGGCTCTTCCCACTCACACAGGCTCCTCCCACTCACAAGGCTCCTCCCTCTCGCACAGGCTCCTCCCACTCACACAGACTCCTCCCACTCACACAGGCTCCTCCCACTCACACAGACTCTTCCCACTCACAAGGGCTGTGGCCTGAGCTCTGAGAAGCCACCCACTAAGCGCCTCCAGAATCCCACCCAGCCCCGTGTGCCATTCCAAGGCACAACTAAAGAGAAGCCAAAGGCACACTACACACCCAAGAAATGGACACAAGCTCTGGCTCTGCTTTGGGGCAGGGCTGGGCACTGTGGTCTACAGAGAGGAAACATGAGAAACAGGAAGTTCTACCCAAAGAGCAGAGTCCTTCAGCCTCCTTCAGCCTCAGCCTCCCTCAACTTCCTTCACCCCCTCAGACTCTTCAGCCTCCCTCCCTGCCTCCCTCAGATTCCCTCGGCCTCCTCAGCCTCCCCCTATCTCCTCAACCTCCCTCCACCTCCCTCAGTCTCCCTCCACCTCCCTCTACCTCCCTCAGCTTCCCTCCACCTCCTCAGCCTCCTCAGCCTCCCTCCGCCTCCTCAGCCTCCCCAGCCTCCTCAAGCCCCCTCAGCCTCCTCAATCTCCTCAACCTCCCTTCAGCCTGCTAGCCAGGTACCCACTACGACCTCACTCAGGACCTGAATTTGCCCCGGACTCTGCATGGGACTTGCTGCATGAACCCACACCTCCCCCCCGGGAACATCACTGTCACTCCAGAAACACAGGGATGGCAGAAACTTGAATGTTCTAAGTGTGGCAATGCACATTCCCCCGAACACCTGCATCCAGGGTGTGAACCAAAGAGGGGACAGATACCGGATGAGGAAGGCAAGCGAATTTATACAAAGGCCACTGTGTGAGATGCAGTCCCAACTTAGTTCATCTTAACAAAAATTACCCTCCCACAGCAGCCAGGGCCACAGCATCTGGGGCAGCTGCCACATGCAGTGGTCCCCTCTGCAGGTCTTTGCTCTGAGGAAGGCTTCGTGGGTGCTCAGCTCGATTTCTGGCCTTTGTTGCCTGGCCCTGCCCACCTGGGATCCCATTCCCTTCCACACGAATGACCTGGAAACACAACCTGCTTTGCTGCATCAACCCACAGCTGCCTTGCTGGGCCACGCAGGACCCGGAGGCTCCCCTCTTGCCATAACCATGGAGAGAAAGTGGCTCCTGGAAAACAGCTACAGCTCATCTGAGTTACTGGTGTGGATTACATGTGGGGTTCCCTGAAATAGGCCCCCGTAAGGGCATGTACTGCCCCCAAGCCCTCTCGTGTGTACACACATCTCCTCCAGGAAGCCTTCCTGGATTGCCCCAGCCCCACCCCTGGCCTCTGGCACAGTCTCTCCAAATGGCTCCTCTGATGCACAGCACCAGCAACCCCCCTGGTGTGACCTAGGGGACTCCAAACAGTGGAGGGGGCTCAGGGTGTGTTATGAACTGAACTGTGTTGTCCCCAAATTCATATGTTGAAGCCCTAACCCCCAATGTGACTATATTTGGGGGTGGGGCTTTGGGGAGGTAATTAAGGTTAAATGAATTCTTCAGGGTGGGGCCCTAACTGATAGGGCTGGTGTCCTTAGGAGGAGAGGAAGAGACACCAGAGAGCTCAGAGGAAAGGCCGGGCAAGGACATAACAGGAAGACAGTGGATCTACAAACCAGCAAGGGCAGAAGCCAGCCCTGAGGCACCTGGATCTTGAACTGTGGCCCCCAGAACTGTGAGGAAAGAAATACCTGTTGTCTAAGCCGCCCACTCTGTGGTATTTTGTCATAGCAGCCTGAGCAGACTAATACAAAGTGGATGATCCAAAGAGCAAGGCTTGAGGCTCAGTGCTGCCATTTACAAGCTTGGTGACCTCTGAGGAATCCCTGGGCCTTAGTTTCCTGGTCTCTAAAATGGGGCTGCTGACTCTGCCCTGCCTGCCTCCCTGAGAGGCCTGTGGAAGAGGAGCAGATGAGGGCACAGACAGGACCATGATTTGGGAGATGGAAATGCACCATGCACGCCTCAATTCCTGGGGGCAAGGGGACCAGGACCAGGAGAAGGCGGCCAGGCTGCCGGGTGGAGGGCCTGGGTGGAGGCATGAGATGGATACAGGTCCAATCCTGGCACCACCACTCAGCATCTGGGCAATGCCAGTCAAATCACATGGTCAGAGCAGCTACTATTTGCAGAGCATTTGCTACACCCCGGGCATAATCACTCTGTGCCCTTGGCTGAGTAATGGGAGGGACTCCTGTTCCTCATGGGTGACTGTCAGACAACATCCGAGCTAGGACCAGCCATGCATGCTGCGTGGACACCCCAAAACACTGCCACCCTTGCCCTCACCTACCTGTGGCTCAGGGACTCTCACTCGTGCTCCAGGAACTCAGGCAAGCTGGCCCCTTTCTCCCTCCCCACTGCACAATGGGGAAACCAGCCGGGGCCTTAGAAACAAGGGGCCAAGCCATTTCGGGCCATCCGTGATTCCATCCAAGGCTCACATACTTTCCATACTGAGGCCTCTCCCCTTTGGGTGTGATTGATGCAGCCACCCCGAGAGGACCAGGATCTGCTCAGCAGACGCTGCCCACCCCTGGCTTGGGAGGCTGCCGCTGCACCTTGTCCAAAACTCAGTCCCTGTGGGGTCAAGGCATCCGAGTCAGGAAGCGTGCCCCACCACCCACCCCCACCCTGCCAATGGCATGGCTAATGTTGGAGAAGACCAGAGACATAAAGGGGGCACAAAGGGAGGGAGACTTAACTACGTGGCCAAGAATGCAGGCAGCAGAACAAGAAGTGGGGAGTGAACCTGGGGACAGCCCTCTTGCATGGAAAGAAGCTCATGCAAAGCTGTCAATGGTGGGGCCAGCAGGCCTGAGTGTGAGCCGCTATTGCTATTGTTGAATGGACTTCAGTCAGAATTTCCCTGGCACCTGGATGCAGGCCTCTGGAAGGCAACCAAGCCAACAACAATCCAGACTAATGCTTCCCCCACTCCACTCCCCAGGAGCAGGCAGCAGGAGGCAACCAGGAAGGCACGCACCAGGATGGAACGATATCCACCAGGGTTACCCGCGTCTCATTATCAGCCACAGCCTTTCCAAACATCTCCCTGACCCCCGCTCCCATGAGGGGCTTTACCACAGGTGCCTCAGCTTCCACTTCCCTGGGAACAGAACTGCAGACACAACACAGGCCCTTTGGAAGGCACCTTCTCTAGTGCTGAGGGAATTTGCCTAGAGCAAGGGAAGGCCACAGCCCACCCTACCCCCCATTTGTGACTTTATCTTTGGAGCATAAACAAGCTTCATCTGCACTTACAGTTATTCCTTACCCAGCCCTGCTCTGTCATTAAAATGAGAAAAAACACCATTTCCAGATCACTTTCATTACTTTGATAGGGCAAGGCATCTGGCATCACTTCACTTCGCTTGGGCTCCAGGGTCCAGTTGGCCCCCAGCCACCTTCACACCTCACTTTGTTAAGAATTTTTTCTTCCCTAGCATGGGCCTCACACACATGCTGTTCTTTGGTGGGCAAAGACATTCCCTGCCTTCTTTGACAATGCCATAGAGGTAGCATGAGATAGCTCAGCACTGGTCAGTTGCTAAAGAGAGGGCTGGCACAGCAAATTTTAGTAAAGCAAAGCCTTTATCGTTTTATCAGTTTTGAGAAGGGTTCCTATATGAGAATACAAAGCCTCCTGTAGATTGCATTGAAAACTTGTGAGAAAAGGGATCGGTAGTGGCTTGGGCTGAGCCTGCTAGAGACTGAAGCATACAGAAGGGCTGCAGTTCTGTTTTGTTGTTGTTGTTGTTCATCTTCTCTATTCTTGGCATCTCCTTGTGGATGGTTCTGGGGCACACATGGGGTTAAAGGGCAGAAGAGGAACTGGAAGAGCCCAAAGCCTGTGTAAAGTTGGATTTAGGTAATGCTGGATATAGAAATCCAGGCACAGTAAAGGGGCTGATCTTATTGGGCATCAAGAAGATAGACAAACAAGACTCTAGCTAGCCCAAACTCAGAAATCAGACAGGATGCCAGAAATCAAGAAAGCATGAGCCACGAACATGGTAAAAACATAAAATTCTGGGACTAGAGACTGATTCTATAAAGTCTTTGAATTATTTCTTATAAGTCCAAGGTGATTGTGATTCTACTCTATGCTCCAGATTCCCTGATGGACCACTAACATTCAACTTAACTAAGGAAGAAGGTCTAAGCAAATGAACTGTCATTATATATTTTGTAAATTGCCCTCCACACCCTGAGAATTTGTTTTGTCTAAGAATATCAAATAATGAAATACTCTGCCTGACAGAATGTGCTCTTATCTATGTCCTTTAGTCTGAATACAGCATTTACTCTTGCTAGTCCCTGGTTTCATAGAGCTGGGTTGTAATACCATTGTTGTTCATTAGGTGTCGCTGTCTAATGCAATGTATGCATGACCCAGTCTTGATCCTCCAGATCAGGGTTCTTAGGCCTGCAGAATGTATTATTATCTTACTTTATCAGCTCTCTAGATTTAAAAGTTTCTATCTTGAGTTATCTTAGAGTGAAAAAATAACTATATAGCATCGGTTGTTTCTCAGGGCTCAGGAAATGCTATTTAAGTTTCACTGTTTCTGTTGTCCTTTTCTTCCCTCTACTGCAGTGACTCTGAAACTTTATGGACTCAGGACACCTTGATACCTCTACAAATTATTATAGATCCCAAAGGAGTTTTGTTGTTGTTGTTGTTGTTGTTGTGATAGAGTCTTGCTCTGTCACCCAAGCTGTTGGAGTGCAGTGGCTCAATCTCAGCTCATTGCAACCTCTGCCTCCCAGATTCAAGCAATTCTCCTGCCTCAGCCTCCTGAGTAGCTGAGATTACAGGTGCATGCCACCACACTTGGCTAATTTTTGTATTTTTAATAGAGACAGGGGTTTCGCCATGTTGGTCAGGCTGGTCTCAAACTCCTGACCTCATGATCCACCCACCTTGGCCTCCCAAAGTGCTGGGATAACAGGCGTGAGCCACCACACCTAGCCAGGAGCTTTTATTTATGTGGGTTATACCTTTTAATATTTTCCACATTGGAAAACAGAACTACCACATGACCCAGCAAGCCCTCTTTGGATATATACCCAAAGGAAATAAAATAAGCACCTCGTAGAGATACCTGTACTCATATGTTCATTGCAGCATTATTTATACTAGCAGTATTATTTATACTAGCCAATATATAGAAACAATCTAAGTGTTCATCAACAGATGAAAAAATAATGAAATTGTGATATACTGTTGGCATTCCTTATCCATGGATTCTGCATCTGTGGATTCAACTAACTATGGATCAAAAATATTTGACAGGAAATGGATTGTTGTGTCTGCACTGAACATGTACAGACTTTGTATTTTTTTGTCATTATTCCCTAAACAATACAGTATAACAACTATTTATATAGCATTTACATTGAACTAGGTATTAGAAGTAATCTAGAGATGATTTAAAGTATACAGGAGAATTACATTGGTTATATGCAAATATACTATTTTATATCAGGGACTCGAGCATTCATGGATTTTGGCATTCTCGGGGAGTCCTAGAGCCAGTCCCCGATGGATACCAAAATCCATGCATTCTCAACTCCCATAGTTGGCCCTACAGAACCTGAGTATATGAAAAGTCAGCCTTTCCAATACTCAGGGTTTTGTATCCCTTGAATACTGTATTTTCAATCCATGTTTGGTTGAAAAAAATCCTCATAAAGGTGGACCTACACAGTTCAAACCTGTGCTCTTCAAGGATCAACTGTACAATGGAATATTATTCAGCCTTAAAAATGGAGGAGATGGGCTGGGTGCAGCTGCAATCCCAGCACTTTGGAAGGCCAAGGTGGGAGGATCACTTGAGCCTAGGAGTTTGAGACCAATCTGGGCAACATGGCAAAACCCCGTCTCTACAAAAAATACAAAAATTAGCCAGGCATGGCGGTGTACACCTGTAGCCCCAGATACTCAGGAGGCTGAGGTGGGAGGGTCAATTGAGCCTGGAAGGTCGAGGCTGCAGTGAGGCATGATTGCGCCACTGCACTCCAGCCTGAGTGACAGAGCAAGACCTTGTCTCAAAAAAAAAAAAAAAAAAAAAAAAGGAGATGTAGGGCACAAAGTTGCAGTTATGTAGGATAAGTCTAGAGATCTAATGTACACTATGAGAATATGAGAACTATAGTTAATAATATCGTACTGTACACTGGAAATCTGCTAAGAGAGTAGATTTTAGGTACTCTTAACCTTTCTGCCCCACTCCACGGACAAAGGTAACTATGAGAGGTGATGCATGTATTAATTTGCTTGACTGTAGCAATCATTTCACTAAGTACATATATAGCAAAACATCATGTTATCTACCTTATAGACATTTTTTTAAATAAAGAAACCCTTGAGATCACATGTATTTCAGAATTCAGAACTTATCAGATTTTAGAAATATAATCTATATATGTCATATATATCAAACATCCCCAAAATCAACATAGTAATATTTCTACAGAAAAATGAATGAAGTCACACTAATAAAGTATAAGTCACCTCAAAAAAAAAAAAAAAAAAAAGAAAGAAAAAATGGATTGCCCTTGGTGGGGTGGCTGCCATTTTGTTTCCCTCATATACTGGGTACTTCCAGGACAAAAGTGATGTGGGGAAAAAAGACATTTCCAAACAGCACCTGCAGCATCAATCTAAAAATAAAACCAGTAGCAGTGATGTCATTGCTAAAAATAATGCTTAGATGTACAATGACATTGTCAGGTAGCTGGTCTGGGACCTCTGGGGCCCCAGCACCTTTGGACACCTCTGCTGAGCTGACTGCTTTCTGAGTGCGTCAAATTCTCCCCACCTCACTCCACCCAGCCTTTGCTGCCAGAGGCCGCAGCTGAACCTACTGAATCCAAAGAAAAGGGCTGGCTGTTCATAGGGAAAGCCTGGATTTAGAGCTTTCACCAAAGAATATGGACTTTCTATTTCAAGAACAGAATGTCTAACAGTGTTGCCAAGGAGAGGCTCTCCAGGACCTGTTTCAATGGTAAGTATTGAGCCTACTGTAATTAGTATATTAATAGCAGTTTGATTTCTAACACCCTATGAAACATCTCTCTAAACTTCCTTCCAAGACTATTTACTTGGAGGTAATTACAGAACAAAGGCAGATGCCTGGCTGAGGACATCAGAAGCCATCTCTCCCCATCTCTGCCTCCAACCAGGTGGAGTAAGTCTCCTGAGCAAGCAAATGGAGAAACAGGGGCTGTATCCCACCCCTGGCTCCCATTTCAGCCCGAACATTCTTTCCATGGTCTAGCATCCCAATTCCCAAAAAGTGAAAAGGGCATTTCATACCCACATGAACCCAAATCCCAGCAGAGAGGGCTTCTTCACATGAACAAGATTTGATCTCTGAACCAGTCCCCGGAACAACATTGGCAACCCAGAAGGCTCCACTGATTTTAAAGAACTCTCCAAACTTTTGATATTTCTGGCAACTGGCCAGCATACCCTCCTGAGATAAGAAGTGAAAAGCAAACCCAGGTCCTCAGGGGAGAGAGAGGGAGGACGGAGCCCGGGTGGCCCACAGTGCCCAGGTCCTACTCTTGCCCGTAAGCTGCACAGAACTTGGGCCTGGTCACCACCATACGGGGCTCTGCTGAGCTTAAATGACACCAATCCAGGATTCGGGTGGAAAGTGGGCTCTTGCTCTAATTGCACCAGAGGATGGCAGGTGGTGGAATGAGACTGGTTTGTACCAAGAGTGACTCTTGTCTTTTCAGAAGGGTTGATGAGATGGTGGGCAGGGGCTGCCTTGGGCAGGTGACATAATCGCTGCAACTTTCCCCTCCAATTAAACACCAAATAAATGTGTTGAAGAAACCAAAACAGACCCAGGAGCTTATTGGGGCCACTCCAGAGGCAAGTCTGGTTAGAGGAGGCTTTTTCTTACCCACTCAACTGCAGTCTCCTTTACAGCTTCAACGAGAAGCAGTTCGATCTGCTGTAAGCACCTTGAGGGCAGGATGTTTGTCCTCCATTCACATATGCTGAGCACACAGTGGGCAGCCTCCCTAATAACCAGGGCCAGCCAATGAGATGCAAGAATAACTTGTTAGCTTTCCCTTCCAGAAAAGCTCCTTCAAGGGGCTCACACATTGGGAGATATGTACTTTTACCCTTTCCCTCTTATCTTTTTCTACTTCTTTGGAACAAGAATATTGTGGCTGGAGCTCTATCTGCCATCTTGGATCATGAGACACCTAGTGGAATCGAGAGATAAAAGCAGCCTAGGACCCTGATGACACAGAAGAGCCAACGCATGGCCTAACTCAAGATTTTATTTATATGAGGAAAAAGTGTTTAAGTCACTATAATTCAAACCATCCAGCCAATAATTATGGGTATCTGACCCATGGGACATTCTACCTTACCACCCAAACTTCCCTTGCTAAAGCCTACCACTCAGTTGAGGCCACCTCCCCTAGGAAGCTTTCCTGGATTACACTCTGCAGAGGGAAGGATCACTTTTTAATTTGATCAATTGCCATATAGCATAGTGGCTAAGAGTTCAGGATCAGGAGTTGACAGACCTGGATCCAAATTCAAGTTCCCTCACTTACTAGTCATGTGACCTTGGATGAATCATTTCACTTCTTTGAACTTTATGAGCTTTTATCAGCTGTCAGTTGGGACTACCATCTGACACTACCATTATCCAGGGTTCCCAAGGACTGGATGAGAACAGAGGTAAAGCCCCTGGCAACCAATCAACACAAAATACACCTGAACTTATTTTTTCCAGATACCAGTCATTCATGAGCTGCTGTCATGGTTTTTACCTACCACCTATAATAGTGTCTTAGTCCATCCTCACTCTGCTTGATAAAGACATACCCGAGACTGGGTAATTTATAAGGAAAAAGAGGTTTAATGGACTCACAGTTCCACATGGCCAGGGAAGCCTCACAATCATGGCAGAAGAGGAAAGGCACATCTTACATGGCGGCCGGCAAGAGAGAATGAGAGCCAAGTGAAAGGGGTTTTCCCTTATAAAACCATCAGATCTGGTGAGGCTTATTCACTACCACAAGAACAGTAATGGAGAAACCACCCCCATGATTCAACTATCTCCCATCAGGTCCCTCCCACAACATGTGGGAATTATGGGAGCTACGATTCAAGACGAGACTTGGGTGGGGACACAGAGCCAAACCATATCAAAGAGTTACCACCATTACAGTATTTACTCAATATCTTTCTTTAACTTAGGTTGTAATTAACTGCCCCTCCTGTCTTTTTCCAACTTAGTCTTTCTAAGTAATAACATAGTGGAATTACTGTTGCAGTGGCTGGATTTTTTTAATGACATACATTAAAATAAATGCATAACACATTCCATCCACTTCCTAACATGATTCTGACATATTTAGGAACAAAATGCAGATGTCTCTTCCATTCCCTACTGACTAGGCTCCCTGAGGGTGGGGCCTGGGTTGCACTTATCTCTGTGATTAGCCCAGTATCTGCAACACAGACGGAGCCCATTGAATATCTGCCTAATGGGTGGGCAAACATTCTCCCACAGCCCCATCAGAGACCTGGACAGCAGGCCCAGCCAAATTCCATTCCAGCACATTCTGAGGGCTGTCCAAATTCTTCTGCTGTGCTGCGTGCATGTTCTATCAAACATTACACACTGGAAGTAGACTGTCAACAGAGGAGTCTGCAATTGTTTCCACAAACGTGTCCATGAAACTCAAACAGCTTTTGCTGTAATGGGATTTGATCCACTCCATGGCAGCCTGGCAAGATCTGAACTGACCAGTGAAACGTGGCAGGGACTTCACAAAAAAGGGGTTCTTCTCTGCGCTGGACAAATAAAACCTTCTGAAAGAGGGTTGCACCACTTCGACAGCTGAAAAGATTCTTGTGAAATGTTTCCATCGGGAAACGCAAAGCAAGAGGTGGTGACATTCTGAAAACACCAGATTCCAAATAAAATGTGAGCTGTGACAAAGATGCTGCAGGATCCAGCCTCGGTGTCAGAGACACTTTTGAGCAATGGAAAAGTTTTGATGGAAAATTGTGCACTTGGTCTGCTAAGAAGTAAGCAAGCAAAATGTTTCTTGGCAATACATTAAATGTTTTATTTGGCAAGTTCATGCCAACTCAGACTTGAAGGTAACTTACTTCTCCCACCACCTCTCCCTCCCATGGCTAAATGCCGCACTGAAAAAATAAGACAGGTGTAGGCGGTAGCTGCTTGGGACCAGAGACTCCAGGACCCACATGTGAAAGGGGCTGGAGCTGGAGGGTCCCATCAGAGATGGCAGCCGGCACTGGCAACAGGCCCATCTGGCAGTCATGGGCTGGGCCTCCAGCCCCGTCCCAGCCTGCATCCTTACCCCATCCTGTGGCACATTCTGGCCATGAGCTGGTCACACCTGTGGTTAAGCTGTCGTGGCTCAGGCTTTGCCTATAAGTGGGTGACCGAGGCAATTTCTCAGAGCCTGGTCCGTAAAACAAGAATGAAAACTTGGGCTCAGGGAGTGTGAAAAGCGCTTTGCAAGCTGCACAGCAGCCCACACCTTCCACAGGGAGTGAAGACAGGCACACTCGCAGCAATAGCCATGGCAGGTGCCCACGTATGAGCAACCACCAAAGGCAGGTGGTGGTTCTGAGGATGATAGGAGGCCTTCCTCCTCTTCCTTCCTCAAGCGTAGGAAGTGGTGGCCACTGAATCAGTCCTGGATGGGAGATCCGGCTTTCACCATTCAGACTTAGCTGGGAAAAAAGCTGGCTGCAGGCTAATGACCCCAGAAAGGGCTGTCACCAGGCCTACAGAGAGGCAGACCCAATGCCCACCCCTCAAGACCATCTCGAGGCCTGGTGAGCCATGTTCCCCACCCGAAGGCCCCAGGCCCTGAGTGCACAGGCCCTCCCCTCCCACACAGGTCTTGGCTGGTGCCCATGGAGACCCCCTGGGGAGGCGTTATTTATTTGTCCCACAGTACAGGCGGGTAACTGCCTCCAAAGGCGTGAGGGCTTGCCCAAGGACATCTAATGAGTAAGTGGAGGGGCAAGGAACTGAACCCATGCCTGCTTCCAAGGTACTGCTTTCCTTCCAGAACCACTGGGCAGAGTCAGACACAGAGCTGGACACAGCATCACTACGGCCACCTCTCAAAGCCATGCCTCTGCCTTCAGCGGCTGTCCTCCCTCTCTGCTTTTTTGTGACAATGAAGCTGAGGAAACCCAGGCTTGACCGACTGCAAATCCTGCCTCTCAGCCCCTCCCTGCCTCCCTCCCATGCTGACCACGGCACCTTCCTTCCTCCTGCCTCTTCTCCAGCAGGTCACTGGCCACGAGTTCTTCCCTGAAACAACAAATCCACAGTGTTTAACCTCTCCCCACTGGGAGCTCATTCTTTGAAATTCTGTGTTATGATGGCCACGGTGGGTGGGAGGAGGGCGGAGGGTGACGGAAGATTGCCTAACTCTCATTTCTTGCCAACATCTTAAAAAGATGTCTCCTGCTGCTGGCCAGGACTTCAAGAGCGGCCCTCCTGTGGTGGTCGAGGATATGAGCAGAGCGGCCCTGTCGTCTGGCCACCCCCAGCACTCCTATTTATACCTCTTAATGGAGCGAACTCCTTTTTTGGACAAGGATGGAGAAGAGCAAAGCAACAGCGCTGGCCTCCTGGTGCTCAAACTTGGGACACCTGGTCCCCCCAAAGCACTCACTGGTGGCCCGCCTCAGCATGCTCTTGGCTGGTTCCTCCAGAATGGGGAGCTGCCAGCTGTGCCCGCCCAGCAAGCCCTGGCCTCTTCCAGGCTGGTTGTAGCACAGCCCATTCCCTGAGCCACATAGCATCGTCCTGCCTGAGTAGACCCACCTTCTAGAGCCCTGGAAGAAGGACATGCCCATTGCTGCCCAGCACACTGGACCACCAGAACCCATTCTGTTCTCATTCCTCAAGGTCTACAGGGCAGGTGCCCATATGTCCATTCTCCAGAGAGGAGGAACAAGGCTCAGACCTGCCTGCTTCCTAGGCCGAGCAGGGAGCTTCTTCTCCCCTTCGTTTCTAACGCACTGACTTATTCATTGCCTGCTTACTTCCCAAAACGATCCACAGCATCTTCCAATAAAGGCACATGTTCAATTGTTCCATAAAAGACAAAGAACAGGAAACAAACAGCAAAAGAGGGAGGGGAAAATCAAATGAGCTCCCCCGATGACATCAGATGAAAGAGAGCTTTGCTTTTGACATCAAACTGAGCTATGGGCTTCCCAGCAGTTTGAAGAAAGAGGGATGCATGTGGGTGGCCAGCAGTAGAAAGAAACTCAAAGCCAGGCCCCTGGACTCCTCATTAAGCCAACACACATAGCAAGCACCTACGGTGTGCAGCCACTGTGCTACACACTGGGGCACTGGCGACTGAGACACGGCCCTGTCCTTGAGGGAGACAGAAGGGCTAGAACAACAATGGCGGATGAGAGAAGCCCACTTATGGGAGGTCACTCTGCCCCTCCTTTGTGGAGAAGGAAAGGTTGGGGGGTGGTCACTGGAGGAGAAAGGGACAAGTGGTGGCAGCCTCGGCATTCACCCCACTGCAACCATGGCAGGTGAGGCTCCCTTCTCTGCCTACCAAGCTGTCCCTGCCCCCCAGGGAAGACTCAGGTCCCAGGAGAGCTCTTCCTTAATTCAGAGATGACTATCTGAAGCAAGGCAGACACGCCTACTGGTCCAGCAAGGGCCATGCTTCTCATGCACGATGTGCGGGGGCCGGGAACCAGGCCTGGCTTAAGGCCCAGGGCTGGTAAGTGGGGACTGTGGTAGAATTCAGGCCATCTGGTTCCAGCCTGGGACACTCTCCACAACACCCCATTGCCGTCCCGGCCTTGTCTCCAGGTCAGAGTCATTTCCCTTGATATCTGTTGAGGTGGAAGGGACCTAAGACAGCCAACACCTTGCCTTCAGGATACTTACAGTCTGGTGATGGGCGTGCACACACACACGTGCACGTGCATGCACACACAAACACGCACATACTTGCAAACATGCACGGACACATACAAACTTGCATGTATACACACGCACACACATGCACACTCGCAAACACACATGGGCACAAACTTGCATGTACACACACGCACACACATGCACACTCACAAATATACGGACACATACAAACTTGCATGTATACACACACATGCACACTTGCAAACATACACGGACACATACAAACTTGCATGTGCACACACACACACTGCACACACACACATACATGAAATACTGTGGTGTTTCATGAAGGCCTGGCTGAGGACAATCTGTGTCCCATCAATAAGAGAGAATCCCTGCAGACTCTTGTGGAAGGCCGAGAGGCAACAGAGTGCATGAGCCCAGGCCCTCTCAGATAAACCAGGTGCCGGCCACACCTCAGCCCTCAGGACTGAGCAGTCTAAGGAAATGGTTCCCAGAAATCGTAACCATATCTTGATGCCTGGGTGGAGAAAATGAACTCAAAACACAGCAAATCAGTCTAATCTCCGTAAGACTTACTTCCGTCAGTTCCTAGGAGAAAGATTCTATGCAATACCCTCCACACGGGCCCGAGAGGAGGCCTGTCCAGCTCTGCCCTCAGAGGGGACCACTGTTGGAGGAAACTAACAAGAAAGGCCAGCTCAATCTGCTCAGCTTTCTGATCAACTGGTTCCTCCCGTTGCCTCTGCCGGAGCCTGGGGGACCCGGTGAGCAGGGAGGACTCCAGTCCCTGTATGGTCTTCCTGGGAGGCCCAGGAGCCAGCCAGCCAGCCCTCTCTGATGGCATTCTGATGGCCAGCCAGGTGGCACGTGCAGCTGGCAGAAGGCACCCAGCTTGCAGCTCCAGCCCACATGTCCCAGAGAGACCTCAGGCCACTCCCAGAGCAGCCGGCACTGACGGGCTCCAGGAACAGGCCTGAGGCATCACTGCAGCATCCCCCAAGCAGGAAGCCAGCTTCGGCATGAGTGGATTTAATCTCTATAAACCTGGCCCCATGGGGCTTTTTCTTTCCTGACCCAGTAAATGATAAATCTGACCTAGGAGATCATGGTCAGTAAATAACTGAAGCAAATGCCGAAACCCTGTAGACTGTGGAGGTGTGAAGACAGGGCTGCCAGGCTAGGGGGTGAGCTATACCTGCTCCAGGGAGGAGCTACCCCTAGGGCTGCACGGGCATGCTCCGGGGGACCTCTCCTCGGCCCCGCTGCGGCGATGCTGCCTCATCATTCATTCCTCCTTCCCCTTCCTCACTGATTCCCTTGCTTGCTCACTGGTTTTGTACACACTTCTGGGCTCCCGCAGAGCCCAGGCATTGTAACAGGGGTTAGGCTTACAAAGGTGGAGGAGGCACACGCACCTTCTAGGAAAACAGACACCTGAAGCCTAGTCCTGCTCCCCATGGCAAGGGTTCCTTGGGAATGTTTGGTGGGGACACATGTGGAATGCTCTAGGGCCTTGGGGGAGGGGGTGGGTGGTTATTTGGGACAGGGATCCACTGACATTGGAGGTAAAGCTTGGCCAGGTGGAGAGGACAGAGGATGCAGCTGTACCAAAGACCTAGAAGCAAGAAGAAAATCTGTTTTTTTCTGTTTATGCAGTTCAGAGAGGTTTAAAAAAAAAAAAAAAGTCAAACAGCTCCTAAATAGAAGAGCAGAGATTTGACACCATAACTTGGAAAACACGCTATTACCCACCATGCTGCTGCTGGGTTTCCCCAAGGGCCTGAAGTCTGCTGGCAGGGTGGGGTGGAGGGGAAGTATATGGTGAAGGAACCATAGGCAGTGGACAGACCCTTGATATCTGCTAGGAGTGTCAAGTTTCACGACTTCAGAGAAGTCAAGAATCTTCTGAGTGTTAAGAACAGCAAGCAAGAAAGTCATAATAAATGGGAAGGAAGAAAAAAGATACCAGCTAGAAACAGAGGACCAAAGAAGAGGCTACTGCACCAGTCCATGCAGGAAGACAAGTACCAAGGATGGAGAAGAGGGGACAGATCCAACCCATGGGCGAATTCTGAAGTTTCTACCCGGTGAGGCTAGGAAGCCCCTGTGGGAAACAGGGATCCAGGTAACAGATGAGTGGGAAGTTAACACTGCAGCTGGATTGCGGGGCTGGGAACCACTCCTCTCATGCTAAAGCCAAATGAGCACAAAACCTGCTGACCTGCCAAACCCCAAGAAAGTGAGTCTGTGGCCGGGCGCGGTGGCTCACGCCTGTAATCCCAGCACTTTGGGAGGCCGAGGCGGGCGGATCATGAGGTCAGGAGATCGAGACCATCCTGGCTAACACGGTGAAATCCCGTCTCTACTAAAAATACAAAAAAGTAGCCAGGCGTGGTTGTGGGCGCCTGTAGTCTCAGCTACTCGGGAGGCTGAGGCAGGAGAATTGCTTGAACCCAGGAGGTGGAGGTTGCAGTGAGCCGAGATGGCGCCACTGCACTCCAGCCTGGGAGACAGAGCGAGATTCCATCTCAGAAAAAAAGAAAAAGAAAGGAAGGAGCGAGGGAGGGAGGGAGGGAGGAAAAGGAAGGAAGGAAGGAAGGAAGGAAGGAAGGAAGGAAGGAAGGAAGGAAGGAAGGAAGGAAGGGTGGGTCTTGTGGCTGGCTGGCCAAGGGAGGAGGGCAGGGGACTGCCAGGGGTGGGAAGCTCCCTCTGCACCCCACACGCACATTCTGACCCCCATCAGCTCAGGTTATGAGAACTTCTCACCAACATAAGCCGCACCTGGAATATGCCTGAGCTGATCTCTCGGGCTAGACGGCCCCACGCACAGCACAGGCAAAGAGACAGCCAGTGTGACATTCATGCCCATCTGCCACCTTCCAAAAGGCCCTGCAGGGGGAGGGGAAAGAGAGGACAGACAGCAGGGGAGCGAGAAACCATCCCCAAAAAGAGCAGGGAAGGGACAGGTGGGCAGCGGGAACAGCTGCCGGCTTGGAGAGCTCTGACAGGTGGTGCTGAAAGACATCCTGCGACCGGGCGTCACAAAGAAAAACCTACTCTGAACTATCGCAAGGACAGAAAACCAAACACCGCATGTTCTCACTCATAGGTGGGAATTGAACAATGAGATCACTTGGACACAGGATGGGGAACATCACACACCAGGACCTGTCGTGGGGTGGGGGAAGCGGGGAGGGATAGCATTAGGAGATATACCTAATGTAAATGACGAGTTAATGGGTGCAGCACACCAACATGGCACATGTATACGTATGTAACAAACCCACACGTTGTGCACATGTACCCTAGAACTTAAAGTATAATCAAAAATAAATATAAAATAAAAATACTGAAAAAAAATAAAATAAAATAACTGCTGCATAGGCCAAAAAAATAAAAAATAAAAAAGGATCTGTTACCCCCCGCCAAAAAAAAAAGAAAAAGAAAAAAGAAAAACCTGCTCTGGCCTGACACTGCAGGAGAGAGAAGCTCCAGCCGCTCCTGCCTCCTGTGGCATTACCTGAGCCTTAGCGCTACCGTCATCAGAAGTGGAGGCTGTTTATGGTACATCCCAAGTCCTGGGCTGGATACTTGAGAAACGCCGTACACAGTGGGTTAATAAGAATTTGGAGAAGGAGGAACTGCATCTCATATAGCCTGGAAGCCCGCCTGCTCTGTCCATGGCTTCCCTTTGCTCTCTGCTCTCTCCCTGAGGATGACTGCAGACAGCGGCTATCAGAGATGAACATTCAATGGATCCCTACTATCTGCGGGGCAAGGACCTCACCTTTCAGACAGGAGGCATGGCTGGTGTCCCGGGCCCAACCCAGCCTCCCCTGACCTTCTGCCTCATGACCTCTGCATAGAGCCCACCAAAGCAGAATACACCTCCTCTCCCAAACATGCCCATATTGTTCCACGTCCACGGGGAAGCCATGGCCAATATGGAGGAAATCCACAGCCAGCATGGCCTCGACTCAGGCCCAGGTGTGAATCCAGGCTCCACTTCCTTCAGAGATCTGTGCCTGTGAGCAACTTACCAACCTCTCTGAGTCTCTGCATCGTCATCCCTAAAATAGGGGTGGGGAAGGCAGCACCTGCCCCACAGGGCTTTGTAGTGATTGGACGAGTGTGTGTCTGCAAAGCACATAGCCTGGTGCCTGGCCCACAGTAAGCATCCAGGAAATGTTTGCTGGTTGGATAACGCTGAACCTGCTGACCCAAAAGTGTTCTCTCTCTCTCTCTCTCTCTCATCTGTTCACTTGGCACCTTCCCTGCCACACAGATGTCTCTGTCCCCCTTCCCCACCCCGCCCTTGGGCTCTTAGTACTGAAGATGGACCTTGGCAGCCACCCGCCTTGCACACTTGCACAGGGCTGTCACCCAGTGTCACGTGTTGGCTTTCTGCTGTCTTCCCAACTAGAGACAGCTTCCTAAGGATCTCAGCTGATCCCACATCCCTCCCCCAGCCCCACACTGGGACCCTCCACAGGATCTTGCCCAGGGTGAAAGCTGAATAGGGGCTCATGGCTGGGATTGGCTATCACCCCACATGTCTGCCATGGCTGAGGACCCTCCTGCCTGGAGGCAGAAGGATGAATGAGATGAGGGCGTTGGGGGGTGCCTTTCAGGACCTCTAAGTCTGCCGAGAGTCAGTAAATAAAGATCTGAGGGGCAGGAATGGGGCTCAGGGCAAAGGGGTTACATAAAGGCCATAAATGTAGCCCAGCCTGCGCTGCCAAGAGCCACTTCTGAAAGCCGCTCCCCACCACCTGGCAGCACCCTGGCTCCCTGGCCTGGAAGAAGGAAGAGGGGCTTAACAGATAAATGAATGAATGAACGAACAGATAAACTTAAGCTGGCGGGACCTGGCAACCACCAAGCAGGCAGAACCAAGAAGCAAAGCTCTGCACCGCACGGGACGGTTGATGACAACCACGATGATGAACGGCTGTGAGGATGAAGAGGAAGACGGGAAAGCAGATGCTGCATGAGCACTTGCTGCAGGCCAGACCCTACGCAGCCCTCCCCATGCAGATCTTCACTCAATCCTTGCAACACTCCAGTTCCCATTTTGCAGATAAGGAAACTGAGGTTCAGGGAAATCTAATCACTTGCTCAAAGTCACAACCAGTAAGGAATAGAGCCTGGATGAAAACCAGGTCCCTCTGACACTGGAGCTCATGTTCCTCACTGCTGTCTCCGTCCCAATCCAGCAGCACCGGTTTGGTTTAGCAGCTCAATGGCTTTGTCCCAACTGACCCGCCACATGCCTCAGGATGTTCCAGCTGTTCAGCACTCCAAGGCTGTGGACACCCAAGCCTGATGACGGAGTCTTCTGGCAAAGCCATTCTCAGTGGCTTGCTCTGCCCCAAGCTGGGCTCAGCCAAGGCCTTTAGCAGAGCCGTGCCTGTGCCCATCTCGCCTGACCAGTCGAACTCCGGCAGCCAGACAGGGCTGACATGACAGCTGTGCCGGTGGGATGTACTCCCCATAACTCTCCCACGCCTCCCATTGAGGTCGGATAGGGGCCTGCAAGGGGAGAGAAAAGTGGGGTCACTGCCCTTGGCGGGAGGTGCAACTAGGAATCTCTCTCTAAACCGTTTCTGATAAAAGCGGCTACTTCGGAACTGACATGCGACAGCTGTTCTCAGTCCACATTTCCAGGACTCTTAAAAGAACTCAGAGAGAAAAATAAGACCCATCAGCAATCAGTCTAACACTTGGGAAGATTGAGTGTTTTTCCATCTCCAGGGGAGAACAAAATATCTAAACAAGATTCTACAAGTGCCTGGTACAGGGTAGACACTCATGCTGGGTGCTGGCAAAACACAGTCAGGCAGACCCAGGCTCTACTCTCACAGAGCCCACAGCCAAACAGAAGACAAAGGTGAGTCATCAGACAACCACAGTGGGGCCAGTGGCAGCATGAGGGTGGGGAGCAAACCCTGACTAGGTGAGGTCACCAGGGAGGGCTTCCTGGAGGAGGTGACCTATGAAGCAGGGGACTAAGGTTGAGTTGATTACCAAGCAGGGTTAGGGAAGTGTATCCAGCAGAGGGAACAGCCCAGGCAAAGGCCTGGAGAAAAGAAGAAACATGAAGGAATGGCTAAGTCAGGAGATGAGCGGCAGGGGTGAAGCTGAAGCAGTCAGCAAGGGCGGAGAGGCCGGGCCTGGTCAGCTTCAGCAAGACCTCTGGACTCTGTCCTGACAGCAGTGGAAAGCTACTGAAGCAGGTGGTGGCGAGAGCAGACTGACATTTCAGAAAGAGCCTCCTGGCTGCTGCATGGAGCTTGGTTGGAAGTAGGTGCGCCTGGAGGGAGCAAGGAGCTGACACAGGAGTTCAGGCAGGGACAAGGATCAAGTGGAAATGGTGGAGATGGGGCGAGAGGGGCAGACTAGGAGATACTGTGGAGGCCGAGGCATCGGGACCTGGAGAGGGACTGGACACTGCACTGGGCCAGGTGCCACACGGCAGGGCAGAGGGGAGGGGCAGCTCTGGGCAGCTAGAGGAAGCTGGTGATGTTCACCAGGATCAGAGACAGAACAGCTTTACGAGAAAGGGTCACAGTTCCCCCAAGAAGACAGGAAAACTACTCTGGCCATTTGTCCAACCAAAGGCTCACACACCCACATCAAAACTGGCCAGCAATTTGCACAGCACTTTGCAAAGCACTCTCTGCCAGAAACACCTTTGGCCACTCCATCTGCTAAGGTGAGGAATACTGAGTCCCCATTTTAAAGACGAGCAAATCAAGGTTAAGTGGCTTTCCCAAGGCCACAGGACCAAGTGGTAACACAAGAAACTGGGTCTTCTGCCTCCCAGTCCAAGGGGGATTCTACAACCCACAGGTTTCCATTTTAAATGATATCTGATGTCTGGGCAAGGAAGATGATAGTCGAGGCTGGTACAATTCTCTCCCTAGAAGCAGAACAAACTACAAAAGGGCAACAGACCAAAGTGTTAACAGTGTTTATCCTTATCTCATTGGCAGTTTTTATTTTCCCCTTTTAAAATTGTTTTGGAAATTGCAACCATTGACATATATTATTTTTGTAATGAGAAAAGGAATTAAAAGTAAGTTTTGGGGCTGGGCATGGTGGCTGACACCTGTAATCCCAGCCACTTTGGGAGGCTGAGGTGGGCAGATTACTTGAGGCCAAGAGTTCAAGACCAGCCTGGCCAATATGGCAAAGCCCTGTCTCTATTAAAAATACAAAATTTAGCTGGGCGTGGTGGCGCACACCTGTAATCCCAGCTACTTGGGAGGCTGAGGCATGAGAATCATTTGAACCCAGGAGGCGGGGGTTGCAGTGAGTGAGACTGCATCACTGCACTCCAGAATGGGTGACGGAGTGAGACTCTGTCTCAAAAAACAAAACAAAACAAAACAAACAAACAAACAAAAAAACCACACTTTAAAGATGGTTCAGCATCAATCGTCAAACAGGAAAGAAAAAAAACAAAGCAGTACTCAAAATGCTTCAGGATTTTACATCTTCCTTTCTACTGCTGGCTGGAAACGGCCACAGCTAGCAGCCAACAGTAGCTCATGCCCCTAGCTCTTTGGAGGGTAATTTTGTGTTGTTCTTTGGTTGTTGGTTTTGTTTTTGTTTAATAGAGACAGAGTTTCACTCCCATCGCCCAGGTTGGAGTGCAATGGTGTGATCACAGCTCACTGCAACCTCTGCCTCCCTGGCTCATGCAATTTCTCCTGCCTCAACCTCCCAAGTAGCTGGAACTACAGGCTCACACTGCCAAGCCTGACTAATTTTTTGTATTTTTAGTAGAGACTAGGTTTCGCCATGTTGCCCAGGCTGATCTTGAACTCTGAGCTCAAGCGATCCACATGCCTCTGCCTCCCAAAGTGCTGGGATTATAGGAGTGAGCCACCGAGCCTAGCTAGTTTTTGTTTTTGAATTTGGAAGTTTATATTGGCCCCAAATATCCTACAACCCATGGCTTTTCTTCCCTGCAACCCCCCACTCCTGCCTTTCGGGTACTAGCTCTGGGGTGTTCAGAACAAGGGGGTTTAATACACCCAGGCAGACGTGGAGGGGAGACAGGAGTTGCAGCTTTGCTGGGCCCTGCTGCCAAGGTACTGCTGAATGGCCTGAGCTCTGGCAAATAAATTCCGTAAACAGAGTCTAGGCAGAGACCATTAAAAGTGTTTTCCTAGCATCTCTTTATGGGGCAGAACGCTGTCACGCTCAGGCTGCTGCAGGGTGGCTGGGCTCTTGTGTTGGCTTGAGGTCCCCCGCACAAACGAGCTTGTTTTTCCCATTTTCAGTGAGGGGCCTTAAAATAGACAGAAAAATCCTTCTCACACCTGCTGACTGCAGTGAACCGAGGCAGGCAAGCCAGGCAGAGGCCGCTCGCCAAACATCATCCACTTTGTCCATCCCCATCACATTTCAGGTTAATGGTGTCTGTGGATGCAAGTGCAAAGCTGGAAATGAAAAGAACATTCCAGAGGAAGCAAACAGCACTGTACAGGCTGCTGTGTTCTGGCCTTCAAAAAGACAGTGGACTTTCTTACTTTGAGCCATAGATCAAAATGTCACAATGAAGTACAAAGATGTTCATTTGAACATTAATTGTAATGGCAAAAACTAGGTGGAAAAAACCCAAATAGTAGAATATATACATGTGATAGTTATGAGAACTTTACAAATCACATTTATTCTGGGTTCACATTTATTCATTTGAAAATAAGCAAGGGCTTATTTTCAAGATCGCTTAAAGGAAGAATTCACCAACAGGAAGTAAGCCATAGGTTGGGAGAGACCGGGGGCCTGGGTGGATGCTGGGTTGAGGGTACTAGGTGAGCTCCCAATGGCCCAGTATGTCATTTCACCTGCAGGAGGGCAGCCCATGAGATGGGAAGTTTTGCACTTTGCTCACTGATGTATCCACCATGCCTGACACTCACTAAATATGCATCAAATGGAAAAATGTACATCACATTTATGAAGATTTTAATGACAAGGGAAAACATTTTTGATACTATGTTAAGAAAAGAGGTAAGAAACAAAACCACATGTATATGTATGGGGAAAAAAGCTAGAAGAAATTACATGAAGGCGTTAACTATGGCTCTGTCTGAGATGTAAAATTAGCGGTGACTTTCTTTCCTTATAATTTTCTGTGTTTTTTAGCAAAATAATTTACCAATTACTATGACTTAACCAATAACAAACAGGGAGATTGAAAAAGCTGCAACATGGCCTGGAAAACAATTGCTCCTCCCACAGACATTCCTGTGGTCCACTGGGGAAGTGAGCAGCCTGGGACTGCAGTGGTTAACTCCCCACCAGGCTCAGGAGAGAAGGAGTGTCCACCCTCAGACCCGGTGGGAATCAGGATCCCTGACCCCTCTACCTTTAACTCCACCAGACCACATGAGCACGTGAATATGTTATGGGTTCAACTGGATCCCCTAAAGAAGATACACTGAAGTCCTAATCCCCATTACCTCAGAACGTGACCTTATTTGGAAAGAGCGTTGCTACAGAGATAATCAAGTTAAAATGAGGTCATTAGGGTGGGCCCTAATCCAATATGAGTGGTGTCCTCATGAAAAAGGGGAAACTTGGCCAGGTGTGGTGGCTCACGCCTGTACTCCCAATACTATGGGAGGCCAAGGCAGGAGGATCTCCTGAGATCAGGAGTTCAAAACCAGCCTGGCAACCTGGTGAAACCCCGTCTCTACTAAAAATATAAAAAAAATTAGCCGGGCACAGTGGCGGGTGCCTGTAATCCCAGCTACTCGAGAGGCTGAGGCAGGAGAATTGCTTGAACCCGGGAGGTGGAGGTTGCAGTGAGCTGAGATCGTGCCATTGCACTCCAGCCTGGGCAACAAGAGCAAAACTCTGTCTCAAAAAAAAAGAGAAAAAAGTGGGGGGGAAACTTAGAGACAGACATTCACACAGGTAGAAGACCGAGTGAAGGTGAAGACAGGGATAGGGCTGATGAGTCTACAGCCACAGAACACCAAATAATGACAGCAAACCCACAGAAGCCACGGGAGAGGCCTGAAACAGCTTCTCCCTCCCAGCCTTCAGAACGAACCAAACCTGCTGACACCCTGATCTTGGACTTCCAGCCTCCAGAACTGTGAGACAATAAACTGCTGCTGCTTAAGCCACCTGGTCTCTGGTATTTCACTATGGCAACCTCAGGAAAAACTAACGCAGTAGGGGAGAGAGCCTGCCTTGGAGTCAAATCATGGGAAGACCCTGGCAAGACCTTGTTTCTCTGGGACTCAGTTCACTTATCTGGAAATGGGAGACCTGGCCTAGAACAGTGCGTTTCAAACTCAAATTTAGCCCTAGAATGAAATCTGACACGGAAGCCCAAATATAAAAGGTAAAATAAAGCCCAATTGGGTAAAAGCCTGGTCTAGATCACACACTCTCCCTGCAGAGCAGTCTTTGAAAACCACAACTCCAGGTGATCTGTAAAATCCCTGCCACCACTCCATTCTAAGACTGTCCAAACAAGAAACCCACGGACAGTATCGCTGGGCATCTTGCATGTGCCTGAGCTCGTGCCTTCTCTTTCAAGGAGCTTCCGGCCGTAGTGGGGAGGTGAGACTAACACCGCAAAGACAGCGGGGCCACCCTTCCCTCCTGAGAGCTCCAGCTGCGGACAGGTCACCTGATGTTCCAAACCCGACACATCTAAATTTATTTCGCCCTCCAAGGACAAGCAGATGCTGTGCCTTATCACAGCACGGCTAGGTGGCAGAACGACAGACATGACGCGCCCTTATCACCCCAAGGACAGCAATGACGTCTGCAGAGACTTGGTTTCCCTGACGATGAAATCAAGAGCTCACGTGCCAGCCAGGCAGGCCTGAAGGGGACTGGGTCACCAAGACGTGTGAGATTCTGATCATCCTCTCAGGGGCCCCAGACTCATCAGGGGGCACAAAGCTAACAAGGAAAGGGGGAAACAGTGTCACCATTCCCTCTGCCCCACTGTGGAATCAGGCAGGGTATTTGGTCTTTATTCATTTGATTTTTAATTAGACAAAGAACATGCCAATTCATTCTTTTTTTAAAAAAAAAACAATCTTACAGATAAAGCCAGTGTCCCCTCTGACCTTCACGCCTTCCCTGGGGGTAACCATTGTTAGGACTCGGGGCTGCAGGCTTCTAGATGACACACGTCCTTTCAAGGAAACACACTGGGCCAGAGCAGGGGCCTGGGCAGAGTGTGATGCTTCCAGCTTCCCTGGGCAAACTGTGGAGCCGTGGGGAGGAAGGAAGGCTGAGGACTGCAGGAATCAGGGCAGGCTTCCAAGAAGAGGAAGCTGGAGGCAGTGCTCTAGGAAGAGGAGGATTCCGATGACTCCAAGGCAACAGTCTCTGGGACACTGAACCCACTTCACCTCAGCACAAAAACAGCTGGCCTCATCCATCATGTGTAGCCGATTCAGCTTCTCTGGGAAACTCCAAAACCCTCTCAAAGGGTCCTCAACCTCTGCCCTCAAACCACTATCGCCGTGAGGATGACGATGACAATGACGATGCTGATGACAATGATGGCCTGTGTGCAACACTCTGCTGGCCTTCCCAGAGGCTCTACCAGGTTGGTGTTAGTGTCTCCAGTTTATACACAAATAAACTGCAAACTAGAGAAAGTAAGCTACTTGCTCAAAGTCACAGGGCTGGCAGCAGCAGCACCACCACTTCATCTTGATGACAGTGACAGAGATCCTTCCAGGAGCCCTCGCTGCTGGACAAGGGTGGCCTGTGACACAAGTCCGGTGACTGCAGCAATGCCTAGCACAGAGGAGGAGCTTAACAAGTATCTGTTAGCCAGTGTCTGGTTTAAAGAACATGCGCAGGCTGGGCGCAGTGGCTCACGCCTGTAATCCCAGCACTTGGGGAGGCCAAGGCAGGTGGATCACATGAGGTCAGGAGTTCGAGACCAGCCTGGCCAACATGGTGAAACCCTGTCTCTACTAAAAACACAAAATTAGCTAGGCGTGGTGGCAGGTACCTGTAGTCCCAGCTACTTGGGAGACTGAGGCAGAAGAATTGCTTGAATCTGGGAGGCAGAGGTTGCAATGAGCCAAGATTACACCACTGCACTCCAGCCTGGGGGACAGAGTGAGACTCCATCTCAAAAAAACAAAAAAGGGAACATGGCAGTTGGGCAGAGTGGCTCACACCTGCAGTCTCAGCTACTCAGAAGGTTGATATAGGAACATTACTTGAGCCCTGCCTAGGCAACATAGTGGGATTCTGTCTCAAAAAATAAATATCAGAGAAAGATAAAGAAGGAAAGGAGGAAAGAAAGAAAGAGGAGGTGGGGGGAGAGGGAGAGGGGGAGAGAGAGAGAGAGAGAGAGAGAGAGAGAGAGAGAGAGAGAGAGAGGCAAGGCAGGCAGGGCAAAGCAGGCAGGCAGGCAATGTTGGGTGAATAACCAAGTACTAGACTACTTCAAGGAAATCTTCACACTATGAAGATGATTTTTTTTCCCCCATGTTAAAAGATTCTACATTTTCCTCTAGGAATCCCCCACAGCCTGGGACTTCTGCTCCTGGAAACAGTTAAGGCTTTGGCAAGAGGCTCTCCCACAAGGCAATTCGATCTCCCCTGTCTGTCTGTGAGGGTTCGGGGCACTGCTGTGGCACGCCAGACGCAGCAGCTACTTTCTGTGAACAGCCTCCTCATAAATGTCAGTCCTGTTGGGGGGTGGGGAGGGGGCCTTGATTTATTATATAGCTTTTGGACAGTTCCTACAGAAATATTGCCAAACAGTGGAATAATCAACTCTTTCACTCAAGCCCCCTCAGACTTTTTTTAATGAAAGAATAAAGTACGCAATGAGCCTGAGCTAAATAAATAAAAATGCCACACTTTTGCCCAACAGACCTTTCTGCGTCACTGAGAAATATTTGCAGACCTCAACAATCTTTTATCTTCGTGATGACATTCCAGCCTTCCAAGTTTCGGACATCCTAAGAAATTCTTTGATTTGGGCTCTCTAATGATCTCCCATGAACAATTATCCCATTAACTAATAAAGTCACTATTTGATGTTTCACTGAGCAGACGTTAGAGAACCCCTTCTTCCTCTCATGGTCTGTCTGCCCTGTGCCAGTTCTGTTGAAAATCCGTTAGTTCATACGTGGGGCTCACACTGGAAGCAGAGAGATGGGTGGCAAGGAATCTCTCTCTCTCTTTTTCTTTTTTTTAGAGGGTCTCGCTCTGTCACCTAGGCTGGAGCGGTGCAGCAGCACATTCATAGCTCACTGTATCCTCGGACTCCTGGGTTTGAGCAATCCTCCTGCCTCCGCCCCTCAAAGCACTGGGGTTCCAGGCTTGCGCCGCTGCAGCTGGCCTAGGAATCTGTCTCAATGCTCAGGCCTGCACCGCTGCACCTGGCCTAGGAATCTGTCTCAGTGCTCATGGCTGCCACTCACAGTCCTGGCTTCCAGGTTGAAGAGAAGGCAACATCCATCCACCCACTCATGCTGCTACAGCAATGGAGACGCCCAGATGGAGAGCCTGTGGTCCAGGCCCTCAGGGAGCTCGCAGAGAGATCCTTTAAGCCAGGAGGGACGCCACTTCCTCCAGGGAAGTGGGGATAGATCTTTGCCTTGGTTCTGCAGCTCAGCAACCTGCTCCATACCCTGTGGAACTTTCTTGATTTGTCATCTCATCTTAATTTCAGTTGGTCTCCCATGCTCCTTGGTGGATGAGCTCCAGGAGATCAGCGATCCGCTCAGCTCCCCCGTGGACAGCATGTTTTCAGTGCTCACTAAACATGCATTGAATAAGCAGAGGAACTCGCTGCACACACTTACAAGATACAAGAGAGACAGAAACGTCCACCCCTTTGAGCACCTAAGTAGTCTCCCTGCCTTGAGTACTGGCTGGGGCCCTGCCCACACGTTTATGCAGCAATATGCTCATGGGGAGTTGCAAGGTGTCACTCCAGACCAGGGACCTGGCTCTCCTGGGCGGGTCACTCTCCCCTTGAAGCCTGTTTACTCCACCACCAATGGGTGGTGGACAAGATGCTCTCCAGTCCCCTGAGCTAAGGATTCTGTGAAAACCTGACATCACTGTGATCATGACTCCGACTACAGCTTCAGAGGAAACCAACCTGCCCCAGGAGCCACCAGCTTCCCCTCCCCACTTAGTGGCTGTGAGACTGTGGCTGAGTCATGTACCATGCTGAGCTGCCTCATCCAGATGGTGAGGATGGTGGGCAGGGGGAGGGGTGGGTTACAGCAGATGCTACCTACAGTGCCTCCTAAGGCCAGACTTTAATTACTTTAAGTGTAAACTACTGGCTAAGGTTAAATGGGTACAGCAAACACATGTCACCAATTTTTTTAGAAGAGCTCTAATTTCAAATATTTCACCTCATTCATTCCTTCATTCACCCAGTATTAATGAACCCCTATTATGTGCCAGACACTGTTCTCATAGTGAAACAGGCAAGACACAGTTGCAATTAACATAGAACATCTAGTACAGTGTGGGAGACAGAAAATACACAAGTAAACGAAAAGATGGCTTCAGACGGAGTTATGGGTAAGAACATTAAATAAACAGCACTATGGGAAAGGATGCAATTAGAAGGAGGGTATGGTTCCTTTTTAGAAGGCTTCTCTATGGAGATGATATTTGGACTGAGACCTTAAAGTCCCCTGGAAGAAAAAGTGTGAGGAAGAACATTCCGGGTAGAGAGAACAGGTGCAAAGGCTCTGGGCTGGAGACAAGCGTGTGTTATTCAAAGGACAAAAGGGAGACCAGCTTGTGAATGGAGGAGGAGGGAAGGATCCAAGATGAAGGTGAGGGCCAGCTCACATAGGGCAGCACAGGCAGGGCACTGCCAAAAGGACCATGGATAGGATTTAGAGAGTCCATGGACTGGGGTGGAGAAAAATGTCATCTTTCTTTTCACCAACCTCTAACTGAAAATTTGCACTTCCTTCAATTATGAATGTAGACAACAACCTACAATGATGTCAGCAGTGCCGGGGACTTGTCACCGGCAGAAATCAAAGATCCATTCCTATCAGTTGTTGCAGATATCTGAAAAGCTCACTCAGGTTCATGACAAGTTCAAAATTACAATAGCTGGCCGGGTGCAGTGGCTCACGCCTGTAATCCCAGCATTTCAGGAGGCTGAGGAGGGAGGATCACTTGAGCTCAGGAGTTTGAGACCAGCCTGGGCAACATGGCAAAATCCCGTCTCTACAAAAAATACAAAAATTAGCTGGGCATGGTAGTGCACGTTTGTAGTCCCAGCTACTCAGGAGGCTGAGGTGGGAGGATAGCTTGAGCCCAGGAAGCAGAGGTTGCACTGAACCAAGATCACGCCACTGCACTCTAGCCTGAGCGACAGAGTCAAACTCTGAGGCAAAAAAAAAAAAAAAAATCAAAATTACAATAGCTATTAGACCCACAGTTAGACCTTATAAAGTATTAACAAAGAAGCACATATATTTCTGTATCATAAATTTTAGAAGTATGTAGTAAGTATATTTAAAAAGGATCAGTTTCCTCTGTAACCCTATGTATTCTATTTTATCTATAAAAGCATTCTTCTGATAAGGGGTCTACAGGCTTCACCTTAGGGCAAAGTGCTTACAAGCCACAGTAAGGAGTCTGGGTTTTACTGAGTGGAATGGAGAGCTGTTGGGTTGGTTTCAGCAGGAGAATGATTTCACAGGGTCCAGTTTTCATTTTTCAAAAATCACCCTGGCTGCTAGGTAGAGATGGTCTATGACTGTCCAGGGCAGGGCTGAAGGCAGAAGGCCAGGGCTTTAACAGACCACCGTTCGGGGCCATCCAGACATGGCGGCATCCTGGGGTCCTCATGGGTTCTGCCCTCAGCTCTGATCAAGAGCCTTCTCATGGCACCACCTCACACCCTAAAGGGGCCCTGTCCCCTTGGCACAAAGCCTGTCCCAGGACATCCTCCCAAAGAACTTCAGAAAGTGAGCTCATGTGTCCACAAGAAAAATAAATGCGGTATTGGCCACTGTTTGGTTTGTGTATTGGTCTAGGAAAGAAATGAGAATTTTATTTTAAAAAGCCTTCCAGCAGGACCCCAGCAGAGACTGGGCAAACACCTCAGCGACGGACTGTAAACAGTGGGAAGGCCCAGACCCTGGCCCCGTGGCCACGAGCTGCAGCCCCACGGCTCACGTCAGCCTTCCTGCCCTTCCCGGGCCTCTCTCCCACGGCACTCACACACAGAGCCTTTTCAATACCCTCCGGCAGAACAGAAGAATCCATTTCCACACGCCAGCACGCACGTTCCTCACACCATCCCAGGGGAGTGGGCCCTGCCAAGAGGCCAGTTTATGGACCTAGAAGGACAGACAGGGCTGGGGCCCATGGTCGCGGCGGGGGGGTGGTCCATGGACAGAAAAAAGCTCAGAGCCAAATCCTGTGCTCCCAGGTCCCCCACAGTGGAAGTGAATGAGGTGGGGCCAGGCAGACTGGAAGCTGAGGGACACTCAGGTGCTCCCAGGGCAATGCCTGGAAGCTTATGGGGAGGAGGCCTAGAGTGAGGAAATCAACCTCCGCCTCCCAAGTTGAAGCGATTTTCCTGCCTCAGCCTCCTGAGTAGCTGGGATTACAGGCACCCACCACCATGCCTGGCTAATTTTTGTGTTTTTAGTAGAGGTAGGGTTTCCCCGTGTTGGCCAGGCTGGTCTCTAACTCCTGACTTCAGGTAATCTGCCTGCTTCAGCCTCCCAAAGTGCTGGGATTACAGGCATGAGCCATCACACCCATCCTAGATCTAAGAGTCTTAATTTGGGAGGAGGGGGCTGGGAGGGACACCAGGCCTTGGCAGGGCTAGTTAATCTCAAAGTATGAGAAGCTGTGTCTCAGGGGAGAGGTGGAAAGCCAGGGTGCACTGGCTCTTTGAATCTAGGAATAGGTTGGCACTGAACCTAGTCCTAGACTATGGACTGAATGTCCGCATCCTCCCTGCAACACACATGTTGAAACCTAACCCCCAGCGTGACGTTATTTGGAGGTAACGCCTTTGGGAGGTGATTTGGTCATGAGGGTGGAACCATCATGAATAGGATTAGTGCTCTTATAAAAAGAGACAAGAGCTCTCTCTCTCTCTCTCTCTCTCTCTCTCTCCCTCCCTCCCTCCCCCGCCCCACCATGCAAGGATACAAGAAGACAGCCAACTGTAAACCAGGAAAAACTGATGAGGACATCAGATCTGCTGGCATTTTCATCTTGGACTTCCCCACCTCCAGAACAATGAGAGATAAATGTCTGTTGTTTAAGCCACCTAGTCTGTGGGTATTTGTTAAAGCAGCCCATGCTAAGACATAGGTTACATGAAGGAGAAAAAGGCGGCGCAGTGGCTCACACCTGTAATCCCAACACTTTGAGAGACCAAGATGGGCTGATCACTTGAGGCCAGGAGTTTGAAACCAGCCTGGCCAACATGGCAAAACCCTGTCTCTACTAAAAATACAAAAATTAGCTGGGCGTGATGGCAGGTACCTGTAATCCCAGCTACTTGGGAGTCTGAGGCACAAGAATTGCTTGAACCCAGGAGGCAGAGGTTACAGTGAGCCAAGATCACGCCACTGCACTCCAGCCTGAGCAACAGAGCAAGACTCCATCTCAAAAAAAAAAAAAAAAAAAAAAAGTAGGTGTCTGCGTTGCTGGCGTGTGAACCATAGCAGAAACGGGACAGTTCTACAGTAACCAGCTATGCCAGCAAAAGCTTTTCTGCAGGGGGAAGGAGGTTTTTTTTGTTTTTGTTTTTGTTTTTTGAGACAGAGTTTCACTCTAGTTCCCCAAGCTGCAGTGCAATGGCGCAATCTTGGCTCACTGCAACCTCTGCCTCCCAGGTTCAAGTGATTCTCCTGCCTCAGCCTCCCGAGTAGCTGGGATTACAGGCATGCGCCACCACGCCCAGCTAATTTTGTATTTCTAGTAGAGATGGGGCTTCTCCATGTTGGTCAGGCTGGTCTTGAGGGAAGGAGCTTTTTAGTCTGCACCCACTGGCATTGTGGGTTGCAAGTTTGTCTAGTATCCACTCTGGGATATAAAAAAGAAACCCAGGAAGCTCACTGCTGTGTCGTCCCTCATGGCTCGAGGTCCCCAGCCAGTCTGCCTTCTTCTCTCCCGGCTTTCAAAATCTTATGTTTGTTTTATACATAATGTCCAGGGTTTTTGACTGTCCTTAGCGGGAAGGACAGGAAACACCGCATCTACTCCCTCTTGTCTGGAACCATAAATCCTATATTTCATATTTTCATCTTTTATATTTTTGAGAAACACATGAATAAAATATAGCAAAATGTTAAGATTTCTCTCATCTGGATGGCAGATACATGAATGCTCAGTATCTGGCTCTCAATGCTCTTCTTCTATTTATTAGAAACACTTCATAAGTTGAGTGGTCACTTACACCTCATTTATTCTTTCCTTCCCTCGTTCATCCAACTAACATCTATTGTGCCCCTCCTGTGAGGCAGGCACCAACTACGCAGTGGTGAATTTTAACAATCCAGTTCCTCCCCAAAGAGCCCTGAGGAAGGGTGCTCTGGCAGAAGAGGACAGGTGCTCTGAGAGACTCTGGTCTGGAGCTCATTTAAATTCAGGAGTCAAAAGAGGCTTCTCTGAGGAAGTGGCCTTCACATCTGGCTGTGCCCCATAGCACTCCTGGCATCACCACCTGCAGACAGTTTAGCCAGGGCCGGGAAGCACCGCCCTGCCAGGTGAGCGTGGCTGTGCGCAGGTGCCCGCTTCTCACATTGCTCCCCTTGGAGATGCTTTCCTCCTGTTGTAAGCTCTCACCTCCAACTCAACACCCCAGAAAGGTCTCTCCGAGCAGCCCTGTGGCCCTGTGGATGAGTGCAAGACGTTCCCTGGGGCCACAGTGAATGGGTTGTGAGGTAACATCCCTCTTTTGGGAGAAGCTGGGCTCAGCATCCAGGAATGGCTTTCTGGCAGCCAGCAGACCCAGGATGAAAATGACAGAGAAGGCTTGGCTCACCAGAAAGGGGGTACTTGCTGGGCACACATGGGTGAGTTGCAACCATGGCAACTAAGGTCTCCTCCCCAGTCCCACAACAGGCCCTATTCTCTCTGAGCCAAAATTAGCATGAAGAACAAAATGGTCCCCCATGAGGAAATGGCTAGTCACCAGAGGGGTTCTCCCTGGCTCCCCTCTCTGAAGGCCCCCTGCAAAGTCTCAGTGGTCAAATCCTCCCCAGTAAGCTACAGCCCCAGGAACACAGCCCCTCTTCTCTTCCACCCGACCTCGACTGCCTCCAGCAGAAAAGCTGATCATCAAGGGTGCACACGGCATCCACGGCACCGTGGTGTCTGTGGGAACTCCGGAAAGCACGCCAGTGTGCAGAGGGGCATGGGCCCCTGGTCTCCCGACGAGGGCACCAGCTAAGCCCTTTACACACATGGTCTCATCTCACCCACTCCACCACCCTATGACTGGGTTCACAGACAGTGTTACAGCTGGGGAAACAGGCTCAGCAGGATAAAGTAACTTGTCATGTGGCCAGCAGAGAGGGCAGGATCTGAACCCATGTCTGCCTGGACCCAGAGCCCCCAATCCCTCAGGCCAGCAGCATTCTCGGCCCGAGAACACCATGGGGATTCTGATGTGCCTGGGATTTTAGGGATGGAAGGTGGGTCTTAAGGACGTTTCCTGACCCTTCAGGATCCCACCTTGCTTCACCTGCTCATGTCTGCCGTCGTGGGGCGGGGCACAGATGGCCTCCTATCACCTATAAACATGGAGTGTGGACTGAGTGGCCCAGGGCCAGGACGGAGCAAGCCTGGGGGTGGCAGGTAAGTCCCCCCGGCCCTGGAAACTGGTGGGGACAGACCGTGAAGAGGCCATTTAGAAAAGCTGAATAAATGGCTACATGTGGCCTTGAATTCCAGGGCAGGCACGGGGCAGCTCACCCGAGGCCCTGGGCAGAAGTCCCCAGAAAAGCTGGGCCTATGGAGTTCTGGGCAGCACCACCCCGTGCCCAGCCTTCAGTGGACTTGAGTCTTCTTAAACGTGTTCAGCACGTCCATGACCTCTGACAATAATAAGCGGATGGGGAGCCCTCAGGCAGTGATGGGGAAGGACCCACCCCAGGGCACAGAGGGGAGAAGGGCCGGGACCCCAAACACTCTGGAGTGGGGCCTCACATCATGCCTGTCCCCTGGGCGCTCTCGCCCAGGCACCCAGGCCTCCTCACCACAGCCGTGTCCTGCGTGGGACCAGGCACAGACCCACTTGGTTGGCTGCTCTTGGAGGTGCCTGGTGTGTGTGTGCTGGATACAGGGGGCTAAGCTGTGCCACTGAGCCCAGTGGCTCCTCAGGAGCACTGACATCCCCAGCAAGTGGAAAGGGGAGCCCTACCTCCCCCACCTCACCCCACATCCCCCACCCCACCTGACTCTCAGCTCCCAAAGCCTGGGCTGCCCCCTGAGGGCAGGACCCACAGGCTCCAGGAAGAAAGGGGAGAAGTTATGAGCGGTGGCTCTGTGTTGGGCCTGGCCCACCTCCACCACCCTCCCATCAGCTGTGTGACTTTGGGCCGTTACAGAACCACTCTGTGCCTCAGTTTCCCCATCTGAAAGGTGAAGTGAAATATTAAATAATAGCACCTGCCTCAAAGGATAACTGGGAGGAGGTCACTCTGCCCGGCACATGCCATATATTCAATGAATACTGGTTGCCTGTTTATGTTGATTAGCAAAAAGGTCAGCCTGGAGCCCCTACCTGGAAGCACAATACTGTGTCCACTGATTGGCATTTGCCTCACTGCACAGACAGCTTGGCGGCTCACCCATTTGCCTTAATGCACAAACGGCTTGGCGGATCACCTGCTACTCACTCCCCGCACAGCCCCCAGGCAGGACAGCTTACCTATGGTCCTTCGGAGGTCTTCACACTGGCTAATGTGAGGGAACTTCAGGATTTCTTTCCACTTCTTGCTTTTCCCTTTGCGCTTTCCTCCGCCCCCTGCAGAGATGGGGAAAAAGATGCCTGGCTGAGGCTCCAGAGCCTGCGGCGTCCCCGCAGTGAGCCTGCCCACCAGCCTCCTGGGCTGAGAGACAGAGGGACGGGCTGTAGGCCAAGCCAGTGACACACCCCCAGCCCAAGACACACACAAACACACACACTCTTCCTCCCAGGTGGGCTGTGAGCCCCAGTATCCCGCACAGTCCTGCCTGACCCCGGCCCCCTAGCAGTGAGGCCTAGGGCTCCCCTGCACCCCACCCACACCAGGCATCCCCCACGGCTGTTCCCCTAGACTAGACCACAGCCTTCCCACAGCAGGGGCCAGGCCTGCCACGTCTGAACATCCCCTTTAGCTTGGGGCATCCCTGTGGGGCAGAGGCACAGGCAGGTGCCCATGGCCCCTCATGGCCCTCGTTTTGTCCTCTTGCTTTCTGTGGAGAGTCTCCTTCCCCAGCTGGAGGCTAGATGTTGGGGGACAAGAACTTCAGTTTCCACTTGTCAAGTACCGCCTTCTTCTTGCTCCTCACAAACCCCAGAGTCTCCGAGGCTGGAAGGAAGGAGGGACTCCTGAGGGGCCCGCCCTGCCTCACATCCTCCCCAGTGCACACGAGTACTGAGCACGTGGACATGATGAACATGCACACGCACAATGAATGTGCACTAGTAATGAACACATGTAATGAACAGTCACGTGTAACGTGCAGAACCACATGAGGCGCACACAGGTGTTCCCGTCATCCTTGCACTCCTGGTCCAAGGGATGATGGACAGGTGTCAGGGTGCACAGGCGCAAACAGCGATGGGGTGAAGCTCTGGGCCTCAGTGTCCCTGAGCCCACCAGCATCTGGGCCTTGGACCTGAAGGCACTGCTGTGCCATGTGGCCAGAGGGCTCCTGGGGACCAAGGTGCCGTCACCCACTCTCCACCCTTACAGTGGCGCTTAGCCACCATCTGTCCATGACTCACCACAGGTCATGGAGCCCTTTGTGCCCCTTGGTTATCAGGATTTTATGTAGCTCGTCTGCTTGCTCCGGGTGGGTATGCAGCCCCTCCACTCTGTCACCCTCCCAGGAACCAGCTGGGCAGGACAAGGCCCCTTCTGCACACCAGCAACCCAGGGGAGCCCAGTGGCACTCAGCTCCAGCCCTCTCCCAGCCAGCCCAACCTGTCCTCCACCTTGCTCTGGCCCTGTGGCCATCCCCTGCTGCCTAGGCAAGCCTGGACAAGCACCCGCCCTCTCTGAGTCCTCATCCATGAAGTGGAGACAGTAAGGCCTTCCTCCCAAAGCTGAAAGGAGGGAAAACAAGGTAGCATGTGTTTAAAAGTAGGCACAGAACTGGGGATTCTTAACTGTCATCCAAGCTATCCTGGAAAGCAAGGTCATAGCCCTGATTAGCCAGTGCACCTGCCTCTGAGAATGGGACCAGAACTCTGCTCCTGCTCCAGGAAGCAGGAGAGAGTGCTGATGGGGAGGAGTCTCTCTCCTCTCCTCTCATTGCATCTTCAACCCAACTCCCTCCTCTCCAACTAGCCCAGTGTCCTCCTCTCAAATCTCCACAGACGGCCAAGGCCTCACACTCCGAGGGACAGAAGGAATGCGTATTGGGCACCTGCCGTGGTGAGGCGGCACCTGCCGTGGTGAGGCTCCACCTGTACATTATCTTGTTTAATCCTCAGAATGACTCTTTGAGGAAGAAATCACCCATGCCACGCTCACTCTTTCTGCCAACGGGGGCCACACACACAAGTGCACACACATTTCATGTACATATAAACATACACGCGCATACTGCTCAGCCATGCACTGGCCCTGCCCGGGGCCAAGCCCCTCACCTGCAGGCTTCACCCTTACTCTACAAGGCAGGAACTTTTTTTTTTCTTTTTTTGAGACAGAGTCTCACTCTGTCACCCAGGATGGAGTGCAATGGCACGATCTCGGTTCACTGCAACCTCTGCCTCTCCCGGGTTCAAGCGATCCTCCTGCCTCAGCCTCCCGAGTAGCTGGGAATACAGATGTGCACCACCGCACCCGGCTAATTTTTCATATTTTCAGTAGAGACAGGGTTTCACCATGTTGGCCAGGCCGGTCTCAAACTCCTGACCTCAAGTGATCCGCCTGCCTTGGCCTCCCAAAGTGCTGGGATTACAGGCATGAGCCACTGCACCTGGCCGGCAGGAACTATGATATACCCAGTTGACAGATGAGGAAATCAAGGCATGGGGGAAAGGTAGCAAGTCACCTGTGGCCCCGTGGCTCATAATTGGCAGAGCCAAGACCCCAGCCTGAGCAGAATCCAGACCCTGGGCCCTGGCTCTTGCTATTCTCTCTGTAAACCACCATTTTGGGTGCCCTGAATACAAGAGAAATTCTCAGAGGATCAAAGAGAAAGCTGGTGTCAGACTTCAGGAGTGACGCGGCAGCCATGACGGGAGCAGGAGCAAGGATCTAGCTGGGGACCCAGCCTGTGAGCTCCCAGAAAAGCTGCAAGCCAGACCGGAGGCCCGCAGGGTCACCAGTGTGACCCTTAGGTGGCTTGTTTGTCTGCTTGCTTGTTCACTGAACCAGTTGCCAACATTGAAAAATTAGGAGATTCCCAGGAGCTCAGATGAGGACACAAAGGCACAAGAATGATATAATGGACTCAGGGGACTTGGGGGAAGGGGAGGAGGGAGGTGAGGGATAAAAGACTACACACTAGCTACAGTGTACCTCGCTCAGATGACGTGTGCACCAAAATCTCAGAAATCACCACTAAAGAACATTCCATGCAACCAAACACCACCTGTTCCCCCAAAACTATTGAAATAAATAAAAATGAGGAGATTTCACATCGAAATCCAGACCTTGGACGTCTCTCCCACAGCCAGGCACCCCACATGGCAAGAATCAGCCGGAGCTGGGCAGCAGCTGCCCGGGGGACAGCACATGTGGCCTCCAGACAAGCCAATCCTCATCTAGCCGCAGCCCTCATTCAGGCAGCCTAGAGGTTCTTCTGTGCACGCCCAGATAGGGCCACCCTCTCAAGAAATCAGCCTAAACCCTAGCTCAGCAGAGTCTGATGTCCCCATCCCAGCAGCTGCAAGGCCTGGGAGGGTCGTTAGAACTCGACGGGTCCATCCCCTGCTCCCCATTCCTCTCGCACACTACTGATTCTCAGACCTGGCAGGCATGAAGCACCATTTTTTGCATATGGCAAAATATGCATAACATAAAATGTACCAGTTTAACCATTATTTAGGTGAACGAGTCAGCTGCATTAAGGACGTTCCCATTGCTGTGGAACCATCACCACCTTCCATCTCCAGGACTCTTTCATCATCCCAAACTGAAACTCTGAACCCATTAAACATTAACTCCCATTCCCTCCTTCCTCCTAGCTCCCGGCAACCTCTCTCCTACACTCCATGTCTGTGATTGTGACTACTCTAGATACCTCGTATAAGGGAATCATACATGTTCTTTTGTGTCTGTTCTTTCACTTAGCGTAATGTCCTCGAGCTTCGCCCATGTTGGAGCATGTGTCAGAACTTCATTTGTTTTGAAGGCTGAATAATATTCTGTTGTATGGGTATACAACTTTTTGTTTATCATTCATTTGTGGATAGACACATGGGCTGTTTCTACCTTTTAGCTATTACGTATAACGCTGCTATGGATATTTGCAAACAAGTATCTGTTCAAGTCCCTGCTTTCCATTCTTTTGGGTATATACTCAGGAGGGAAATTGCTGGATTATATGGTATATATGTTTAAGTTTTGGGGGAACTGATGAAGCACTCTTGACAATACAGATTGCTAGGCTGTACCCCAATCCTCTGTGATTGGACCCCAGGAATGTGACTTCTTAAAAGGATCCCCAGGTGACTCTCAGGCAGCCAGTCTATGGAACCCAGGAGTCTATTTTATACATGCACACTTATAGATTTATTCATTAAGAAAGTTAACATAGGTTCACTGATTCGTTCAACCAATATGTGTTGAGCACATACTAAGCGGCAGGCCCTCTGCAGGTGCCGGACACAGTGTCGCTAGCAGGGAAGACAGACACATCCAACGCGTTACCTCAGTGGTTCCCAACCCCAGCGACGGCCTCCCAGGGAACATTTGGCAATGTCTGGAGACATTTTTAATTGTCACCACTGGGTGGAGAGGTGCTACTGGCAGCTAGTGGGTGCAGGCCAAGGATGTGGTTAAATATTGCGCTGTGCACAGGACAGACCCCTGGAACAAAGCATGGTTGGCTCTAAAATGTCAAGGGTTGGGACAAGATGTGGTGGCTCATGCCTGTAATCCCAGCACTTTGGGAGGCCAAGATGGGGGGATTGCTTGAGCCCAGGAGTTTAGACCAGCTTAGGCAACATAGCAAGACTCCGTCTCTATTAAAAATAAAAATAAAATAAGTAGCTGGGCGTGGTGGCGCACAGGAGGATTGCTTGGGCCCAGAAGTTCAAGGCTGCAGTGAGCTATGATCATGCCACTGCACTCTAGCCTGGGTGCAGAGCAAGACCCCATCTCAAAAGAAAAAGTAAGTCAAGGGTAGGGATGTGGAAAAAATGCTGCTTTACTTAATGACCATTTTACCAACATTTAGGAAAAGAACAGGGGTTGGGGGAGATCTGTTAGTGATGGGGCAGCTGTGGTGGGGTTGGAGGCGGTGGGAAAGGTAAGCCACTTGGAGGCAGCCCCAAGCCGAGGGTGCAGACTCTCCAGCTACGGCCTGGGCTCACTTTCCTCCTCAACCCTATTTCCTCAGCTTCCAGAATAGGGCAGGGGGACTGTGGTGGGCAGGATAACGCCCTCAGGGATGCCCTAATCCCTAGAACCTGTGAATACGTTAGGTTCCATGACAAATGAGCATTAAGTTTGTGGATGAGATTATGGATAATGATAGGGACATAATCCTGGATTATCCAGGTGGGCCCACTGTCACCAACAGGGTCCTAAAATGTGGAAGAGGGAGAAAGAGCAACCAGTGTCAGAGTGATGCAATGTGACGAAGACTCACCAGCCATTGGCTGGCTTGGAAGATGGGAAGGGGCCACGAGCCAAGGCATGCAGGCCAGGAAGGATTCTCCCCGGAGCCCCCAGAGGGAACACAGCCCTGCTGATGCCTTGACTTTAACTCACTGAGAGTGCGTCAGACTTCCGATCTCCAGAACGGTAAGATACTAAATGTGTGGTGTTTTAATCCACTTAGCTTGTGGCAATCTGTTACAGCAGCAACAGGAAGCTAATACGAGGATGTTCTCAGCAGGGGATCCCCCTAAATGACAGCAGACCCCAGAATGGCCTCTCACCCCATATCTGGCTTCCAGTTCCTCTAAAAGTGCCATGAAATAAACCCAACCTTCCTGACTCAGATGGGCTGGGAGAAGGTTTCACTTCTTAACAACAAACAAAACCTGCCTCAGAGAAGGCACCACGTCTAGACAAATGTTTGGCTCTCAAGCTGCTGCGGGGTTGTGAAGCTGCATATTTGATAACTGAAGTATTGGCACTGTTTATTATTTCATAGGACTTGATTGTTTCTCTGTATCCTGAGAGGGGGCAGGGCCCAGCCATGCCACTGTAAAAATTCCTCCTGTGACCTGGCCCTACGGCCCCCGCTGCCCTAGGCCCACCTCACTGCTGGGGAGGGGTGTTAGGCCTACAAGGGGCTGGGGCCATCACCTCCCACCTCCCCCGTGCTCAGGTCCCAGCAGCAGGAATGGCCAGTTCCCAGGCCTGACCACCCATAGGCTCAGCCCGTTCTCCTTGGTCCCATTCAGGGCCTCGGTGACTGTCTTCCTAAGCTTTATTTCCCTCCCTGCCTCTGCTCTCAGGGCCTTTACACTCACTGTTCATTCTGCCAGGAGCACCTTCTTCCTACCTTTCCGAATGTTTCTCACCCACACTTCCAGTCTTAGCCTGAATTCTACCTTCCTGGAGGTCTCCTCTGAGCTCGGTTGTGAAGCAGGCCCATTCTCCACGTGCCATGGAAGTGTGTAGGAAGCACTGGTCGGTCAGTCTGTCTGTCTCTGTGTTGAACTGCACATCAGCTTACAGATCCATTCTCTCAACGCATGCAGCACATTTTCATGGACTCATTCAACCTCTACGTGCCAAGTGACTGCTGGACTCCCAGACCCAGCCCACAGCTCTCATCACCACCTGAAATCTTCCCACTTATTTGTTTCCTTGCCCGTCATCAGTCTCCCCTGTGCTGATAGCGGACCCGTGGTGTCAGGGACCTGGGTTTCTTTGTTCTCTGTCACCTTCTTCTTGGTCCACTGTAGAAGCCCAAACAGTATCTGCTGAGTGAATGCAAGTGTCATGCTTTACATCCAGCCACCTGGCCACCTGGCAGCCCCTCCAATCCCTGTATACATCATTGTTCCCCCACTCCGACCCTACAGGCATGGCTTTCTCTGCCAGGAATGCTTGTTCTTCAAGCTCCAGCTCTAGTGTCCCTTCTCATGCTGCCCTGAAAAGGCAGAGCCCCCTGTCTGGATCACATCCTCTCCCAGCTCAGGTCAGACCTGCTCCCGGGAAGGAGGCGGGTGCAGCTAATTCTTGTTTAATTGCAAGCTTCCATTAAGTTACTTGGCTGACTGGGTAAAGGCATGAATGCTTGCAGGAATAAATGACAACCTCCCTCCCTGCCAGCCTTCTGGGCTGAGCACTGACCTGGGCACTGTACATTTGGCCCTCATTCAGGAGGTACTGACCCTATTCACAGATGAGAAAGCTGAGGCTCAGGGAGAGGAATTAATGGAGCCAGGGAATAAGCCACACACCCAGGCGGGAGCACAATCTTCTGCTGGCACTGGCTCACCGCTATTTCCTGTCCCGAGGAGCCTCCGGCTTTATTTGCTTTCCCAAAGGATCCTCTGCTGTTCAGGGTTTACCTTCCAGGTACCCGTAATGAGTCAGGGAAGAGGACATGGTCCCTGACCTCATCCAGCTCATTCCATGCATCAAAGAGCAAAGATGAGCAAGACAGCTGGGGTTGTAGCCAGGCAGGTAGGAGAGGTTGCATGGAGAAGGGTTGCCCCGCCAGGCAAGGGAAAATGGCAGTGACCGAGGCCCAGGGCCGATCAGGGGGGCTCCCGCTCTGGGGAAGGCACCAGAGGACCAAGGTGGCCTCGGATCGGAAGGAGTCCAAGACAAAACCTGGAGAAAGGCGGACAACAGCAAGATGGCGTGTCCCCTGATTCATGGCTCGGGCTGCCACTGGCCCTTTAGAAGGGACAGACTCTAGGGAGGGCATTGCTTGTCCAATCCCACTCTCACTCCTGCTTTCTCCAGCCCTGGGGGCCCCCTCGGCTGCCAGCTGCCAGCGATGTCCTCCAGCAGGTGCCCTCCTGCCAGACTGGGGAAGTATGTTAAGGGGAAGGCAGGGCAGGAGGAAGGAGAGTGGCCAACAAAGGAGGGTGGGGGCCCCGCAGGAGGAGGGCATGTCCTATCAGGGAAAGGAGTGCCTGATGGAAGGCAGAAGCCAAGTAATAATAAAAAGCCACTGATTCTTAAGCACGGGCCAAGCACTTGTCACAGTGAGCTACTGAGAGACTAAAGCGTTTCTTTTGCTCCTGTGGCTAACCCAGGGAAGAATAACGGTATCATTCCACCCAAAAAACTGCCATGGGAGAAGAGGCTGTCTTGGTGGGGGAAGAAACTGGCTTGCTGTTATTCTTGTTGCCTTTGCTGTTTCTGAGAGTGGTGTTTGTGTTTTCAAGGCAGGGGCTGAAATGAACCGGTGTGGAGAACAGAAGGGAGAAGCTGAGGATGGGGGAGGTGCAGTGCTTGTGGGGAGGGCAGTGGGACGACCTGAGCTCCAGGAAGGCATTGTCCCTGTGGCAGTGTCAGCCCAGTGGGATGCGGCTGGGGTGCAGCGATGATGGATTCTGAGCAGTGAGCGGCCTACAGCCCCCAGAGCCCTGTGATCACCTGGCACAGTGGAGTGGAACTGCCAGCCCAGCCCCCTCCTCCAAAGGACACTGACAAAGCCCGCAATACTGGTGATGTGGACGGTCTAAGGTCTAACTTACTGGGTTCCTTTAAGCCCAACAGGTTCACATACCATCCTTGGGAGGGATGGGATAGACCTGTGCAAAACAACTGACCCTGGACTGCTTATATGGCCTTTGCTGTACCCTCAGAGTCAGGGAATTTGCACCAGTAACATGTCATCTAGTTCAATCCTCACATCACCCCCGTGACGTAGGTCCTAGTATTGAACCCGTTTGACAGATTCAGAAATAGAGTCCCAGAAAGGAAAGAACCTTGCCTCAATCAGGGAGTGTGTATCATAACCTGAACCAGGGCTCTGCTGTTCTGACTCTTAGTCTAATGTTCTTTTCCTCCCTGGTGACAAATGTGCAATCGATCAGAGAAAGGTTCCACGGGGGAAACTGAGGAAGGTTCCATGCATTTGTTGGAAGGAGCTTCCTTCTTGCCCTTAAGTCAGTGGTTCTCGGTGGTCCTTGGACCAGCAGCATCAGCATCGCTGGGAGCCAGTTAGAAATGCAGCTTCCTGGGCCCCACCCTGGACCTACAGAATCAGACACTCTGGGGATGGGCCAGCATCAGTAACTTAATGAGCTCTGCAGGTGATTCTGATGCACTCTCACTTTGAGAACCACTGCTGTAAGTCAAGAGAAAGTGCCTGGAAATCAGTGAGAAAAGGAATGACGGGACCACTCTTTCTAGGAATTTCTTCCTCTCTGACTTGTTATTTCTGCCCTGTCTACGTCTTCTAAAAAGGACCTGAAGAGACACACACACGCTTGGAAAAGTTGACTGAAAAATATTCCTCCCAGCTCCAGAATCTGGTGATCCTGGGCTCTGACTCTGACAAGGTCGCTGCGTCCTGCCTGACTTGAGTCAGGCATTCTTCTCACAGCAGGATGCCTGGCAGGCTTAAAGCCATTAATAGGGCCACTCACAGGGGCAGGGCAAACCGTATGAGGCCCCTCCTATACCGGAAAGCCTAAGGGAGACTGCAGGGAGAGCACTGCTCAGCTGCGGCCTTGAGGGGTCCGGGCCAATGAGACAGCCTCAGGGGCCGCTTCCCCCCAACTCTCCCCCAGGCCCTGATCATCTCCCTGTGAAGTTGGGCAGAAGTCACCTCAAGCCTCACACCTATTTTGGGCACACACACACACACACACACACACACACACACACACCCATCTACTGAATGCCTCTTTGCCTTCTGGTGACCCTTGGACCTTTATTGTTTACAGATCCCAGAGAAAAGAGAGTCATCCCTGGGGATGGGAAGGCAGGATCCGCAGTGGACCTGCCGTGCTTTCTGGACCCTGAATAAGTGGGGGCCTGTTTTCCCATGGGCCACACTCCTCTGGGGCAGACTCCTGGCATCTCCACAGATCAGGACACTCTCACGTCTTTGCATAGGCCCCAACTTGTCACTGTATAATAAAGAATCTGACTGGCTTTTGTCCCTGGTTCCTGAGAGGTAGTCTCTAAGTCCTTGGAATTTTCTGAGTAATAGGAGTGTCTTTTTCATTCATGGTAGGCCCCTGAAGCCATATCTGAGTTTACGCTAACAAGATGACTCATGAGGGGGGCTGGGCATGTCAGAGAGACCAGCCATGGGATTAGAAGGTTGAGGCTTTGGGCCACGTGGTATCACCCTGACTTCCAGGGAGGGACGGGGGGCCAGACACTGGGTTCGACCATGTGCCCAGTGATTCCATCAATCATGCCAAAATCATGATGCTCCAGTAAAAACTCCAGACACTGAGGCCTGGGTGAGCTTCCTGGTAATCACACACCAATGTGCCAGGAGGTGGCACATCCATGGCAGCTTCACATCTGGGACTCTCAGGCCTTGCCCTGGGCACCTCTCCCTGTCAAGGGTTTGGGTATCTTTTTGCAACAATAGAACTGTAATTGTCAGTGTAGCGCTGCACTGGGTTCTGCGAGGGAGTCTAGCGAATTATCCAACCTGAGAGCTTCAGGGGAATCCCTGAATCTGTTGCCGTGGTCAGAAGTGCCAGTGGCCTGGGGACCCCCACCCTTGTGGCAGGTGCCTGGAGTGAGGGTGGTCTTGTGAAGACTGTGCTCTTCATTTGTGATGTCTGCACTAATCCTGGGTAGTTAGAACTGTGTTGCAGCTGTTGAGGCTGCTATGTCTTCAGGAACCTTCAGCACCCTTCAGCCCAGCTCACTACCCATCTCCCAGAATCCTGATTCCAAAGGCTCAAGGAGCAAATCTGATTGGCCAACTCATCTTTTCTCTCCAGGCCACATGTCACAGGTGACTCTAGAGTTTGAAACAATTCAGTGGGTCTGGTCCTTGTATGGAGAGGGCAGGGTGACATGGCATGGCCAGCCCAGCTCTCAGCTCAGAGCAGAAGCCCCTGGGTTGGGGCCAGGCACAACCAGACGTAGCAGGAATGGGGCCACAGAAACTATCACCCCCATTTCCAGAATAGTCTGGGGGCACTGCTGGTTAAAGGCACAAGGACATGGGGTAGCGAGGGGCACAGGTTACAGAGACCCCAGGACTTCCCAGCAGAAACTGGCTTGTGGTTCAGAAAAGTCAGCATTATGCTAATGCAGGGGACCACATTTGTTAGAAACCCAAACTATGTCATGAAGCGGGGTCTTTCGACTATGAATTTGGAGGGGGAGGAAGGAAAGCCCTGAAAACCGGAGAAGCTGCTCTCAACGCAACTGAATCAGTCTGGGAGGGTCTCAGGTGTCGCAGTGACTGCATGTGGAAGGATCACTCTACCGCGTTCCCAGCCACAAAAGGCCGATGACTCATCTGCAGAGTGGAAGGCAGTGTCACAATTCTGCCTGTGATGTCTGCAGGACTAAAGACTCCATCCAGTTCTTTTCTACCCAGGTGGGCTTTCAGGACTCAGCTCCCACTGTGCTGCCAGCAGGGCTGGATTTCCAGAAAATATCACCGTGGGGAGGCTGTGGGTGTTCTCAGAGTCAGATCTGGCCTGGGCAAAGTGGAGGCGGCCAGCTGTTCTGATGAGAATGGGTTACCCCTGTGTCTACTGCCTCCTGTTCCTCCCTCCCCTCCACTGATGCTTATTTTCCATCCACCAGGGCTCTGCCACCTTTGCCACCCCCAGAGAGGCACCTCCAGCTGAAACTGATGAGGTGGGCATGTGGCTTCTCACTGATTCTAAGTCTCTTTTCATCCAGGCCCGAACAAGGCGAGATCCCAATTACAGGCCTGATCAGGGGCTGCGTCACCGAGTGACTCAAGCCTTTTCAGAAGCAACATGACTCCAGCCAAGTGTATTGAGGTGACCTCAGCCTGTAGGGTACTTTCTCCAACCCGATGCACTTGGCAACCACTGTGAAAGGGAGACAGGCCCCTGGTATGGGGCGGGGGTAGGAGAAAGCACCACCCCTCTGGCCTCAGTTTCTTCACCTGAGATCCAGGAGGGTTACACCAGGACAGGGCGCAGAGCCGCTTCTGTCAAGAGTTTTCTTGAAGATCCCCATAAGTGAGACAGACGATGGGGAGCCCACTGAGTGGGCAAGGCAGGGAAGGGATGGAGTGGGGCAGATACAGGCCAAGGGTCTCGTTCTGTCTCTATGGCTCTCACCTTCTGAGAACAGCCAGCCCCTGCCTGGGTCCCTGACTCGGTGCACCTTCTCTACACAGCCTTTCTGCACAATCTCCAGAATCATGGGGAATCCAGCCTCAGTCCTCATCCTGCCCTCGGTTCCTCCATTACTACGCTGCCCCAGAGTGCTGGAGCTGCGAGGTCAAGGTCTAGTGGCGTCAGGAGGAGACTGCTCCCAGTAACTATCCCCAGATTGAGAGGTTTAGAAGAAAACATGAAGGGCTGCCAAAATACCTGTGACCCAGAATCTCTCGAGATGGGGCTTGTGCAGTGCCTCTGGATGGCATGGGTCCACTGTTCCCTGGGGCAGGAAGCATCAGGAGCTTTTAGGCGCCATGGTCCTGCTGCCTTTGAGTGTATCCCGCACTTTCCTAGCTGAGCATAGGACCCCAGGTGGCAGGCAAGAGAGGGAAGTGGGGTGGTCTGGGGGGCACAGAGCCTCTCCCTGTCCAAGGGTGCATTCCGCGGCTGGCACCACCAGCTTCACCACTTGGTGGGGACTGGCTCTTTTCACATGAGGAGAACCACTTCAGAGACCTAAGGAATGGGCCGAGTTGTGCAGGATCCAGCCCCAGGTTCCATTCAAAGGGCTGACACTCTGATGTGGGCACAGCCAGGCCAGGGAGCAGCTGCCAGAACTGTCAGGCCAGGAGGCGGCGAGAGGGGCTGGAACCCTTTCTGGGCCTGCTGGCCGCCTGCCGCTCAGTCAGGGGCTTGCTATGCTCAAGGATTCCACCCAAAGTGGGGGCAAAAGCCACGGGGTAGATGCGAACCGGGGCATCATACACCCCAGCCCTCCCAGTGGCTCTGTCCTCTACAGGAGCGGAACTGGGGAGCAAAGACACAGTTCTCCTGACCCCAGAAAGTTCCCTGTGCCACAGTTCTCAGCTATGAGTGTCTGAAATGTCTTGGCTGGATGGTGTGAGGCGCGTGGGGCGGCCCGGGGCATCTGGGGCCTGCGGTCTGTGGGCAGGTGCCAGCACCTCCAGGCCCCTCCTCACGGCCACAACACAGTTGGGGTTTCCAAAGCAGAAAAACCTCAGCCTCAACCAGAGGGATCCCACAACCTCAAATGAGGAAAACCAAAACCAACACCAGGCTGGGTAACTGGTCGCCATGGGGATGGGGACAGGGCCCCTCCCAGCACATGGGGCCTGAGAGAGAGGAGCACTCTGGTGTGACCCAGGGGAGGTGGAGAGGCTGGGGACAGTCCCTCCCAGGAAACCCTTCCAGGGAGGGTGGTGCTGACACCAGGCCACCTCCCCCACAAAGGCTACCTCCCCTCCCTGACAGCTGCACTGTTCACCAGGACACAACCGTCCACTGCCTCATGACATCTTCACTGCAATGTAAGCGGGTGTCACTGCACTGCTATCTAAGCCTTGCTACATACCACCTGTGTGGCCTTGGTTAAGTCCCTCCGTGTTTTCTCCTGCAAACTGAGACACTGCTACCCACCTGGCATTGCTCTGTTAAGGATTAGCACCATATGCAAAATACCTAGCACCTCATAGGTGCCACTAAATGTAGCCATTGCCACCACCACTCATTACCACCATCATCACCACCACCCTCCCCATCACCACCACCACTGCCATTGCCACCACCATCATCACCACCACCATTACCACCATCCCCATCACCACTATTACCACCACCATCACCACCACCATTACCACCACCATCATCACTACCGTCACCACCACCACTACCATTACCACCACCATCATCATCACCATCACCACCACCACTACCATTACCACCACCATCACCACTACCATCATTACCATCATCACCATCACCACTACCATCATTACCATCACCACCATCACCACCACCACCACCATCACCACCACCATCATCATTACCACCACCACCATCACCACTGCCATTACCACTACCATCACCGTCACGACCACCATTACCACCACCATCAGCATCACCATCACCACAGCCACCAGCACCACCATTACCACCATCACTACCACCATCACCACTACTATCAGGCTCTGTGGGTGAGAGAACTGAGGACACAGAGCTGGCAAGGGACAAACAGCAGGTCTCAAGACTAGGTCCTCTGACATCTGACTCTAAGTTCAGCTATGTCTCTACCCTACTATGCCCTACATACACACACATACTCCCAGAGCTTCCACATCAGCATGATGCCAGCGTCTGTCCCGACATTGCCAGGGGTGCCACAGGAAGCAGGAAGTCTCACAGGGGCACCATGATTCGGCCCCTACTGCCTCCCTGACTTCACCTCCTCCCACTCTCACCTCTACTCACTCCATTCCAGCCACACTCTTCTCCTCAAACACCCCAGGCATGTTCCTGCCTGAGGATTTTTTCTGCAAAGGGCCAGATAGGGTCTCTGGGTCACAGAGACAGTATGTAGACAAATGAGCATGGCTGTATTCCCATAAAACTTCATTTACAAAAACAGGCAGTGGCCGGATTGGGCTCTCGAGGTGCAGCTGGTCTCATTCTCGCTGCTCTGGCTGCTCCAGCTGCTCCCTCTGCCTGGAACCCTCCTCCTGCTCCTTGGGAGAAAACAGCCTTGGGTTAACAGGTTTGGCCTCCTTGCAGCTTTTGCACAGCTCTCACGTTCTCCATGAGGCTGACCCTGATCGCCATTAAAAAATAATCATTTATTGAAATGAAATTCACTGAATATTAACCATTTTAAAGTGAATAATTTAGGCTGGCTGCAGAGGCTCACGCCTGTAATCCCAGCACTTTGGGAGGCCGAGGCGGGCGGATCACCACACGAGGTCAGGAGATCGAGACCATCCTGGCTAACACGGTGAAACCCCATCTCTACTAAAAATACAAAAACAAAAATTAGCAGCGGGTGGATGTAGTCCCAGCTACTCAGGAGGCTGAGGCAGGAGAATGGCGTGAACCCGGGAGGTGGAGCTTGCAGTGGAGCTGAGATCGCGCCACTCTACTCCAGCCTGGGCGACAGAGTGAGACTCCGTCTCAAAAAAAAAAAAAAAAAAATGAACAATTCAGTAGCATTCAGTACACTCACAGTGTTGAGCTTCCACCACCTCCGTTTAATTCCAAAACATTTAAAACATTTCTGTCACTAGGAAGGAAAATCCTCTACTCACTCTTTTTTTTTTTTGGAGACAGTCTTGCTCTGTCACCCAGGCTGGAGTGCAGTGGTAGAGCAATCTCAGTTCACTGCAACCTCCACTCACTGGGTTCAAGCAATTCTCCCACCTCAGCCTCCTGAGTAGCTGGGACTACAGGTGTGCACCACCACGCCCAGCTAATTTTTGTATTTTTAGTAGAGATGGGGTTTTGCCATGTTGCCAGGCTGATCTCAAACTCCTGAGCTCAAGTGATCCACCTGCCTTGGCCTCCCAAATTGCTGGGATTACAGGTGTAAGTCACCAAGCTAGGCCTCTACTCGCCCTTTTTAATTCTACAACCTGCCCCCACCCACTGCCCCCATCTCAGGACCCCTCTGCCTTTCTTTTACTGTTAATTTCTAATTCCCAGGCACACATCACCCTGCAGCAAGCGTTCTGCGTGGCCTTCTGAGTTATTCTGCTCATTGCTTCCTGCCAGGCTCTGTCTCATCTCCCGTTGGAATGCAGACTTCATGTGAGTGGGTATCCCTGTTTGGTTCCCTCCTGTCTCTCAGACACCTAGAACAGTGCTTGGACATAGCAAAAGCTCCATCAATCTCTGATGAATGGATGGATGGATAAACAGATGGGCGAGGCAGGACCGGAAGGGAAGAGATCATTTCCAAATGGACTTAGAAACAACAACAAATAAGCCACACTGCACACCATAATCTCTGAGCCTCCATTTTCTGCTCTGAAAAAGGGAATACAACCACCTTCCCAGCAAGGCGGAAGGTACACACAGCCCCTCCCCTGGGTGTGCCTCTTCCCATCTCACTCTGTCTGTTGACCCAGCCCTGGATCAAGAGTCCCTTCTTCTAGGGCAGTGTGGAAAGAGAAGGGGTTCTCATCAGACGGGGAGGGCTGGGCTGCTGACTCTTCTGTCCACAAGCTGAATAACCACAGGCCACTTCCCCAACCTCTCTGAACCACAGTTTCCCAATTGGCTTAATAACCAAATGCCCTTTATAAGGGTCGATTCGAAAATGTGCTTGAAGCCCTCGCACTGTGTGAGGCACGAGGTGGGCACTCATCCCATGTTAAGCCCTCTTGCTCTGTATCCCAACTCCCCAACCCCGCCCTGCCTGGGGCTTCCCTCCTTTTCCCTCTATCCCTCTACATCTCTTAGGAGAAAGCAGACCCCTAGTCCTCTTGCAACACTATTGATCTTCTTAAAAATGTCTTTTCCCAAGAAGTAGCAGAACTGGAAAAAAAAAGTTCTTTCCAAGCAAAATAATTTTTTAATGTATTTTTGTGCTCACGATGTTTTTGCCCACACTGGTTTTCACAGTTGAGAAAAGTCTGGCCACAAAAATGGACTTTTCACTACAAGAGTAATCCCCTTCTCTCAGCAAGGCCCAAATTTGGTCACTTTTGCCTCATAATGTTTTCTCTGGGTTGAAGGGGAAGAGAAAGCCAGGGGAAGGGAGATAAGTGGACACCTGAGAAATGCTCCTGGCAGTCGTAGGTCAGCCACTGCTGCAACTGTGGCAATTCTGTTGGAGAAATAAACAGGACTACTTGCTCAGGAAAAATACAATTTTTCATAGGATACTCATAAAAATATTTGCATTTTCCTGTGAGTACTAATTACTTCCGCTCTCCCCAGAATTTTTGCATCCCCTATTTCAAAGAAGCTAAACAAATGCTGTAGAGATCCTGGCCAATCAAAACCTGCTCAGCACTCAGGTACATTAATTACCATGTGGACATGACCGTGTACACACATGGTCTGGGAAGCCTGCGCCACGGAGACACTAGGACGAACCAGGCTGTGGCCTCCATGCTCCACCTCCACAGTCTCTGGGCCTCATGACCCTACAGTAAAGTAGATTTGTTTTGCAGAGGAGGAAACAAGCCCAGAGAGGACAGGGGTCTGGGCACACAGCTGCTGAGAGGCTGAGCTGGGATTTGAGCCTAAGAATGCCTAGTTCTTAACTCCCAGTCCACAAGGATGATGCTGGCTCAAGGGACAGGCAAGAGCTGGGTCCTAAGAACGTTCCCCCAAAGTCTGAAGCCACAGAAGCAAAAACCAGCACAGCACAGAGGCACCTGTAGAGAGGATTCCAACACAGAGATGAGGGTTCACATCTGGTCTCTGTCCATAGCTCTGTGACCCTGGGCAAGCTGCTTACCCTCTCTGAGCTTCAGATTGTTCAAGCGTAAAATGGGGAAACACCACCCTCTTAAGAAGGCTGCTAGGGCCAAAGTGAGATTGTGGTTAGCACTCAGTAAATGTGAGCTGTCGCCATTACTCTGCCCTGACTCTTGATCTCACATAGGGTCACAGGACCTGGGGGTTGAAAGGACCCTTCCTTGTCCTTGATTCAACCTCCCTCAACACTCCCATTGGACCCTGCATTCCCAGCATGCTTCCCTCCCACCAAGGCCTTACTGAGCTCGGCTCTGCCTCCCCCAGAGTTCTTCCATCCACTGTGCAGACTCATATCGAGGACCTACTTGGTGCTTGGCACGTGGCCCCTGCCCTACAAGAGCTCACAGGCTCGTGGGCGGCACTGACCCATGCCAGGTGACAATACTAGAGGAAGAGGGGCTGAGGGGGCACAGGGGAGGCACAATCAACCCTGCCTGTGGAATCAGGGAAGGCTTCCTGAAGGAGGTGACCCTTGGGCTGAACCCTCTCTTCTTAGAGACCACACGGTCCCTCACGCACCAGCCCTGCAGGGATGTGGCAAGAACTCCGAAGGTGGCCCCAGTTTCCATCTAGGCTCAAGAGCCCGGGCCCTGGGCACCAGCCCTCCCAGCCTCAGCACCAGCCTCCTCACTGGAGGGAGCTCCCAGACAGGCCCTGGGAAGATCTGCCTCCCTCAGGGAAGAGTCCTTTCCCTTCAGCTCCGTCTGGGAAGTGGGGAGAAAAGGGCCGGCAGGCCATCCTGCCAGCATTCCCCCAAATCCATACAGGGCTCCCCTGCCTCAGAACTGGACCTGCCCAGGATCTCAGGCTAACACTAAGATCCTCCTCCTGGCCCCCTGGAACCAGGAAGCAGCTGGCCTGGGGGTCAGGAGCGAGGGCAGGCCTGAGCATGGCAGCCACAGTGCCTGTGCAGCCATTGTCTCTAATCCTCAGAACGAGGCGTAAGAAAGCTCCCCCACCGCGTGGCACAGGAGAAGCCATTGAAGCTACGAAGACGCGGGCTGACCGGCCCAACGTCACCGGGAAGAAAAACACACGCCTCCTAACTTTGTCATCCCGACTGTGTTCACCTTTCCCTTCAAGCACTTGGGGCCAAGGGAAGCTCCATGGAGTGGGCTGCTCCTGGGGAGGAGTCAGGGGACCCAGAGAGGATTCTGAGGGGGCACACGCCTGGCCCATACGTCACAGATGACCCTACAGATGACTGTACCGAAGCAGCAGCGAGAGCCCTTGCCACACGCAGAGTTCTTCCCAGTCACTTCTACCATGAGCACACAATTTCGGCAGGGCTGCAGCATGACACCCATTTTGTAGATCAGGAAGCTGAGGCCGGGGCAGGGTGAGGCGTGCCTGGGGTGCGCAATCAGTGATGGGGGCCTGACCCTGATCCAGATCTGAACAGGAGCTGCTGTGGGCACAGCTCTAGTGCCCAAAGATAAACCCGGGCACTTATGTTCCTGCAAGGACCTGGGGAGCAGCCTTAGACCCAGCTCTGACCCTGCAGGTTCGGCCTACAAAGGCGCACTGGGCATACAGTGCAGACCCGCCATGGGTGCCCACTCCCAGGGGACCAAGGACGATGCCTGGAGAGGTGGGTGCTCAGATGGAGCCTCATAGAGGCAGGGTATAGGCTGGGGCCCCAGGTTCCCCATGACCCTTTCCCTCTGTCCTCTCCCCACCTCATTCCTGTGACACAACAGAGCAAGCTGGGGCAAGGCAGTGGGGCTTTAAAAGGCTTCCTAGAAAATGCTTCTTGAATTGTGAAATGGCCAAGGAGGGCTCTGTTGGCAAGATGAGGTTGTTACCCCTCAGAATTCAAAATCCAGTGTGTATGCAGAAAGGAGGGCTCGCCACCAGGAGACCAGAGTAGAGCATGGCTGCATGAGTTTCCTCTTGCTTCAGTAACAAGTTATTAACGGCACAAATGGAGTGCTATAGACACAAATGTATTATCCTACAGTTCTAGAAGTCAGAAGTCTGGAATCAGATTCACCGGGCTAAATCCAGGTGTCGGCAGGGCAGTGTGCCTTCTGGAGACTCCAGGGGAGAATCTACAGGCCACCTCTATTCCTTGGCTCAATTCATGGCCCTTCCTCCACCTTCAAAACCAGCAGTCGCTGGTCAGGTCTTTCTCAAGCTGCATCACTCTGAACTCCTTTTCACAGGCACAGTCCACTCTCCCTCTAATCAGGCCCACCTGATATCCCTGGATAACCTCTCCATCTCAACAGCCTTAACTTAATCACATCTGAAAAGGCCCTTTTATCAGGTAGGTAACATATTCACAAGTTGCAGGGATTCGGATACGACATCTTTAGGGGACCATGATTCAGCCTTAATCATGCAGTGATTAAGACTGCATGCTCCAGGGCCAGACTGCCTGGGTTTAAACCCAGGTATGTAATTTACTAGCTGTGTGACTCCAGGAAATTTACTCAACCTCTCTGTGCTTCAACTGGCTCCTCTGTAACCACATAGATATAGGCATCAATGAGCTGATGCACGTAAAGCATTTAGCATAGTTAAGAAAGTTCAGTGAATAAGGGCTGCAATTATCCCCTACTCTCCACCTAACTCAGAATGAATGACATCAGAGCTGAGAGGAACCTTGCTGATCACCCACGCCTGCTCCTCACTGACGGCTGGAGACACAGAGGCCCAGGGAGAAAAAGTGAGCCATCAAGGTCACACAGCATTTTTTTAGGCAACCCCCAGTACCCTATAACCATACCTAGTACAGACGAGCCCAAAGAAGCATCCCCCATGTCTCCCCAGTGCCCTGCACCCAGTAGACGCTAGAGGACACTGCACCCAGTGAGTCACCTGGAGGGAGAAGAGGGGAAGTGCTCCCCAGCAGAATGTCTGCAGGAAACACCTGCAGGTGCAGCGGCCCCGGCCAGATCCTCACACCCCACCCACCAGGCTCAGGGGCTCAGGCAGACGTGACACCTCTTTCCCCAGGAGAAGTCAGCAGAACAAATCTTGACTAGGGACACCAAAATCCATATTCGGGGCCAAGAGAAGGTGCTCTGCCCCGCAAGTGTCAGCCAGGACCCCGGCTTCCTTCCCTCGCTGTGTGATCTCAGTGTGGGTTTGGACACATCCCCACTCTGGGCTTCCATTTCACATCAGAAAACAGGACCTGGAATGGCTCAGTGGCTCTCAATCTGCAATCATGATCCAGGAGCCCCTGACCAAGTTTCAGAAAATCCTAGAAGAAGCGCACATGCGCCCCAAGCTGAAGCACACAGGAAGCTTGCTCATCCAGGCACTGAAGTTTATCGGTGTGTGCAGTTCAGGCTGAACAGACTCACACAGAGGTGTCTGCAATCAACAAAACGGGGGAAACAGTGACTCACCTCACACAGATGGCCTGTTAGCGGGCAAATTTCTCCACAAAAGGCGACAAGAATCACCACGGGTCCTTGGCAGAGCCTCAACTAGACTCTGCTGTTTCCAACCAGAGAGGACTGACTCATCCAAAAGGCTCCCCCCTCCCCCAAATCCAGCCCAGGCGGGCACTGCCCCAGTGGTTCAACTCCCTCACCATCACACAGTCCTCCAGCTGACACCCAGGACTCCCAGGGAGGCCTTCCAAGGGCTCAACACGGAGCCTTTCCATGGTCTCAGGGGTGGCTGAGAGCAGAGATACCGGAAGTACAGTGGTCAGGCCGTCACCTGCTTCCTCACTGGGAGTTATTTTCTGCCTCAGGGCCTTTGCATATGTCATTTCCTCTGCTAGATACACATTTCCAGAATCACTTTTTTGCAATGAAACATTTCAAGCTTACAGAATGGGAACAAAATTTCTTTAAACCTGCATACCCACAGGTTTTGTCAAAATAATTCCTCCATCCACTCTCCTGTTGAGAGACACGTAGGTTAGGTCTTCCAGGTTTTTACCTCTCAAATGACGTTGCTCTGGGCACTTACACGTGTCTCCCGGGGAGTGGCACTTTATTGCTGCCCCTACTTCACCCGGCCAAGTCCTCAGGTCTTAGGGTCTTGTCCTTCCCTGATCATCCCCAATCAATCAATCCAAGTCATACCCACACAGCTCTCTCCCACCACTCCTCAGTCAGTGTCTGGCTTTGAAAAAGCAGCTATCAAAATTTGTCAGCAAATTTTCACTTATGCCTTTATGGGGCTTCCACCCAAGAGGACAGAGACCACGTCCATTTTGCTCATCAGTGCCTAGGACATGTGCCTGGCACACAGCAGACCTCTGACATGTCTGTGAACGAGTGAATGCTTGAATAAGTGAGTGAGCAGAGGTGTCACCCCAGAAGCAGGTCATGTTGAGCCCATCTTCCCCCAGGTCTCTGAGACACACCTGACATGTCCTCTGCCGGCCCCTTGTTCTGTCAGCGAAGAGAGGAAAGGCAAGGGAGGGGACCACGGGTTCCCACAGCCTTGGAGGACCACGGGACTCTGGAGCTCAGAGCCCAGGGAGGTGGAAGGTCAGAGGCTCTAGGTCAAGTCCTCGCTGCCAACCACAAGGTGAAGCTCAGGAGACCTCATCTGGGCTTTCCTGCAGCTCCCCACAGCCAGACACCCAAGATTTTTCAGAAACAGGTGTCAGCAAAAGAAAAACTGCAGGGAGAGATGGAAAGAAGAGAAGGGAGGGGGTGGGAGAGGAGAGAGGGAAGGGAGAGATGAAAGAAAAACAGGTAGGGAAGAAGGAAGGGAAGAAAAGGAGGAAGAAAAGAGCAAGGGAGGGAGGGACAGAAGGAGGGAGTTGCCCAAACACCTCTCATTAAGCGAACAACTGCCTTTCTGCAAATGCCCTGCTGGTCCGCATCTGCGTGCACAGGGCAAGCATCTCTGGGTGGGGACTGCATGGGGTCGGTTCTCATGCCCTACCCCTAGACAGAGACAGGCACAGAGCCAGCCCTTGGTGGATGGCTGGTGAGCAGGCAGCGTGGTGCACTGGCGACAGTGTTGGGTGCTGGTTATAGACTCCCTAAATCGGGACTCAGGGGCCTGTGGGTGAGCTCAGCTGCTCGCTAGGTGGATGACCTTAGGCCAAAAGCTCTTTGAGCCTCAGTTTCTGCATCCACAAAATGGGAAGAAGAATGTCAATGTTGCCGCCTAGGGTTGTGAGGAATGACGGGGAAATGCACAGAAGCCCATGTGCAGTGAGCACTCAACAGACAGCAGCAAATTAGCCAGGCGCGATGGCACACGCCTGTAATCCCAGCTACTCAGGAGGCTGAGGCAGGGAGAATTGCTTGAACCCTAGGAGGCGGAGGTTGCAGTGAGCTGAGATCATGCCACTGCACTCCAGCCTGGGCAACAGAGCAAGACCCTGTCAAAAAAAAAAAAAAAAAAAAAAAAAGCAGCTCACACAGTTAGCATACTGCTGTTGCCCTGCTTTCCCCTCAAGGTTCCAGGTGGAGGTTTCCTTCCTCCACAGGCCACATCATCCCACTGCTCTGGTCCTTCAGCCAGGGCTGCTCAAAGCTGCCTCTTGGTCATGTCTCTAGATTTGTGCTGAGTCATTAAACACAGTCAAGATAAAGCCCAGGTTCTGAGTTTTCCAACATCCCCAGCACCAGGTAACACCACACCCTCCGCCTTCTGGATCCAGAAAGGCAGGTGAGTCAGCCCTCCCCAGATGATCCTGAAGACGCAGGGCCAGCACCACCCTGGCGCTTTAGGGTAGGCAAGGACCCTGAGTCTGGCTGTAGGGACACCATGCAGTGGGAGATGAGTGATCAAAGGAGCCCTAGTTGAGCCCCAAACCCAAGGGACGGCTGGGGTCCTTCACTTTCCCTCCCCCACCTTCCATGCCACACTGGATCCATCCCCAAGTCTGGGCTCTGCAGTGAAATCCATACCTGTCCCCCTCCCTATGGCCCCAGGGCTGCCACTGGACCAGGCCAGCATCCTCACCTGGACCAGCCTCCTCCCCTCCCACCTCCGTTCTTGCCCCTTTCAAACTATCTCCACCCAGCAGCCAGAGTTATGCAAACCCAAAGCAACTCATGGAATTCTCTCATTTGAAATCCTCTAATGACTTCCCAACAGGTTTAGAATCAAGTCCAAATGCCTCCCGTGACTCCCCCACAACCACTATGCCCCAGGCCCACACTCCACTCCAGACACTCTGAGCTCCTCCCGGCCCATGGAGACCCTTGCGGCTCATGCTCATCGCACAGCCTTCGCCCTGCTGGCTGTGCCCCTGCCTGACCATCCCTTTTCTGACAACTAGGTCTCAACTAATATGACCTCCACACACCCACACTTGGAGGCTCCCCAGGCCCCATCTAAGGTAACACCTCCACCTCCACTGAATCTATCTCATTCTCTTATCTAATCCTGCTACACCTCATCCACTACAGAGTACTCATCACTATCAGACGTTATTAGTTTACACATGTATAGATCGTCTGTTTACAGATATAACATGATCTCGTCCAACTAGCGTTTTACTCTCAATTCACCATCCTGCCCCCGGGGCAGACTCTGCATATGCCCTGGTCACTGCTGATCCTAGAACAATACCGGACACATGGCTCACCCTCCACGAGTGCACCTCTCTGCGCTCCTGCCCACTGTGCAACCTCACGAGGGTCACAGACCCTCTCTGAGCCTTGAGGTCCCGCCTCTCTAAAATGCAAGATATTCGATCCATCAACCTCTAAGCTGTCTTCCTTCAGGGATGGAGAAGGGGAGCAGGTGCTGTCACCAGCATCACCAGCACTACCTTTGCCCCAGTGACAGCGTGCATATACAGCAGTAGGGCAGAGGGTGATGTTGGTCACGTGGGGACAGAAGCTGCTCCAGAAGCCCCTGACAGAGAGGCCCCAGGGAACCCCAGGCCTCTGTGTGGAAGGAGCCTGCCAGGCCCCCACCCTCTCCTGTGGTTCCCAGGCTCTGCAGCCTCTGATCAAACACCTGGACAGTCCTGCTTTCTGGCCCCAAGAAGTATTTACATTTTGATTAAGTCTGGTTTGAAACCACCAGGTAGGCTGGCTTGAGGCCTGACAAACCCCAGCCAGTTGAACTGTAATAACAAGGTGCCCTGGGGAGCAGGTAGAAATGTGGGGCTGAGGGAGGAATCGCCACTCTCCAGAGGCCCCAGCCCCATCCTCCACCCTATGCAGCCTGCGAAGAAAAAGTACAACCAGCTCTTGTGATTAGAGGTGGTCACTGCTCCAGTGAGCCCCAAGGTTCTGCTCTGGAAATAAACAGCAGGGCAAGGAGCTCAGGGCACCACACCCAGATACGAGGAGCCTGCCCCCTGCCCTTGGGCTCCTCTGCCAGGTAGCATCACCCAGGAAGCAGGATGTAACCCTGTTTCAAGCTGGGGACTTGCACAAAGTCACATTTTTATCCTGGATATATTCTGAGGACTCTGCTAACAAGCTACCACTGTGAGGCCTCCACAGGCTGGGAAGAAGCCCAGTTATTCATTTTACTAGCTTCAAGTCTCCTTGAAAGTGGGATTCTGGAAGCAGTAAATGACACCTTAAAGGAATGTGGATTTCTGTGTCCAGAATAGCCACTGCCCCATCACCCACTCCCTGCCACCCCACCTGCAAGGGAAAAAGTCCAGGAAGCCAACGAATGCTTTAGAAATGCAGCGTTCCTTCATTGCTTGGTATTTTCATAAGAAATCAAGTCTCCTCAGCAGAAAGTGCAACTCTGCTTGTACCACCTGGCACTACAAAAGCAGAAAGATTTCATTAAGTGAATGAGCTCCAAAAAGATGGCAGTGGCTGCCGGGAATCCTGGAACTCAAGACAGGGTCCAGGCTCAATGAACAGGAGTCCCACAATTAGTTAGTAATGTCTGCCATTGGCCTGGCAGAGGAAAATGCTACCCACGATAAGTGTTTGCTGTTCAGGGATCAGAAAAGCAGCTAAAAGAGCACTTCCAGGAATTCAGAAAACCCACGGTTTGACTGGTAAGGAGGCGTGGTCAAAGTGACTCAAAAGGAGAGCCAGGGGCTTCTGGAAGACTAAAGAGAAAGCTGCTGGCAACTTCTTGGGCAGAGGACAAGACGCTCCTAGAAAGATCAAGTCACTTCCTCAGCAGCCATCGGATGGGGCGTGCTCTAGAGCCACCTCTGTGCTGTGGGTAACACCAAGCCTGGGCTTCCTTTCTTATAAAACAGGAGGAACAGTCCACACCCTGTGTACTTCGTGGGGCTGCTGTGAACACCCACTATGTGTGGAGACAGGGGAATAGGACTCAGCAGCGAGAATGAACCAAACACAACTGCACACAGCCACAGGCCCAAATCTCAAAGACAATGGTGAGTGAAAGGAGCCAGCCTCAAAAGGGCCAAGGCTGCGTGGCTCCTTTCACCCAGAGTTCAGAGGCAGGCAAGACTAACCCATGGCGTTAGAACCACCACAAGGTAGATGGGGCCTGGAAGGGGCTCCCGGAGGGTCCTGGGGTGTAGATGACGTGCTTCTTGACTAGGGTTCCACAGGGTATGCACTTCATCACTTTATGAAAAACCATCCAGCAGTATGTCTATGGGTTCTGCACTTTTTTTTTTTTCTTTTGGGACTGAGTCTCCCTCTATTGCTCAGGTTGGAGTGCAGTGGCACGATCTCGGCTCACTGCAACCTCTGCCTCCTGGGTTCAAGCGATTCTCCTGACTCAGCCTTCCAAGTAGCCGGGATTACAGGCGCCCGCCATCATGCCTAGCTTTTTTTGTTTTTTGTTTTTTTTGCATTTTAGTTGATACGGGGTTTTACCATGTTGGCCAGGCTGGTCTCAAACTCCTGACCTCAAGTGATCCACCTTCGGCCTCCCAAAGTGCTGGGATTACAGGCATGAGCCATTGTGCCCAGCCAGGTTCTGCACTTCTTTATGTAAACAGTACGACTTGATAAAAAGCAAACCCCATGGTCTGGAAGTCCTTTGTAAACCTCAAGGTCAAGATATTCATAGAAGGACTCACCTCTTAAAATACAAGTGCTACTGATCTCTTGGAAATGAAAGGCAGGTGAGATCATCTCCCAAAGTCCTAGTTCCGCCTGTGATTAGGGGGAACCTAGGTGAACCTTATTCTCTGTCCCAGATCTATGCATTTATAAGCTGGGCGACTATCTGGGGGAAAGAGGGGGCAACCTCTGTCCTTTCCCAATGGCACATTGATGTCTTTCATTAGACTGAGTTATCCCCTATGCCATCCACCACACCCCCAATATACAGACTGCTTACCCACTTCTCACACCTGCTCTTTTGCCTCATGGGAGATGCACTCTGGTCTGTGAGCAATGGATAGCAGTGTTGACCTTAGATTGAGGGTCAAACGTTGTGGCTAGTCCTTTAGAAGGTAACACATCAGTCTGCAAATAAACCCAATTTTGCATCCTGCAAAAAAGACGACTTATATTCTCCTTCCTTGCTGGCTCACTTCCTGCACACCTCTCCATTTTAAAAACATATTTGCCAACTCATAAAAACCTGTGGCACAGCGGCACCCAGGGTCATGAGACATGCAGATTTTTCCACTCAGCAGCGCATTTTTCTTTAGGGAGAACAACATTTTAAGTTTAAAGAAAAATCCCCACCAAGCCTTTTGCAGGGAATGCTTGATGCCAGGGAAGCTGAGTACACCAGGAAGAAAAGGCTGCTTCCCCTTAAGAACATCTGCTTAGGGAACATCACACACCGGGGCCTGTCGTGGGGTGGGGAAGGGGGAGGGCTAGCATTAGGAGATATACCTAATGTAAATGACGAGTTAACGGATGCAGCACACCAACATGGCACATGTATACATATGTAACAAACCTGCAGGTTGTGCACATGTACCCTAGAACTTAAAGTGTATTAAACACACACACACACACACACACACACACATCTGCTTAAATGAAGAGTCTGTGACACACTGCAGGGGGAGCCAAGAGCCCAGCACGCTACTCCAGGCTCAGTCACTATATGGTCAAGGGCACCTTCAACCCATTCCTTCTCTGCACTTCCTTCTTGCAGAAAATGAGGCCTTGCACTACAGCTGCAGTTCTCAAACTCTTTCAACAGGACCCTGCAGGATTCCCTAGGGACAACTCCCCCATCCCAGAACCACTAAAGTGAGGCACAACAGGTTTCTAAGACATTTAAGCAAGTTTGGAAACTACTGAGTTAGATGAACTTAAGGCTCCACAAAGGAAACCCAGGATTTTACTGTCTCTCCTGGTATGAAAGATAACTTTTTTTTTTTTTTTGAGCTGGAGTCTTGCTCCATCACCCAGGCTGGAGTGCAGTGGCGTGATCTCGGCTCACTGCAACCTCTGCCTCCCAGGTTTAAGCGATTTTCCTGCCTCAGCCTGGAATTACAGGTGCCCGCCACCCCGCCCGGCTAATTTTTTGCATTTTTAGTAGAGACGGGGTTTTGCCATGTTGGCCAGGCTGGTCTCAAACTCCTGACCTCAGGTGATCCACCCGCCTTGGCCTCCCAAAGTGCTTGGATTACAGAGGTGAGCCACTGCGCCTGGCCGAAAGATAATTTCAAGCCTCCTAGGCCTCTGTCAGAAACCTACTCCAATATTCATTTATTCATTCTGCTGGTCAATGAATACCTGCTATTCTTGGCACTGAAGATGAAAGAGGAGACAGGGCCTGGTCCCCGTCTCCCAGGGTGGTGGGAAGTGGATGTGCCAGCCTTTACTTTAATAAAAGGTGTGACTCAAGGAGGGTTGAATGTGCACACCGCAGGGAGCATGGGGAAAGTCTGCAGGGAGAGTCAGGGAGGCCCTGTGGCAGGCAGTGTTTGAGCAAAGGCTGAAGTTGGCCAGGAGTGGGGGATGTGGCTGGGGGGTAAATGGAATTCCTGGCAGAGGGAACAGCATGTGCAAAGGCTCAGTGAAGAGAAAGCAAAGCTGAACATGCCAGAGCATGAAAAGAACGAAGGGTGTCCAGGAAGTGCGGGGCTGGAACCATGGCAGGAAGAGTAAGAATGGGGTCCTGGGGGTGCACTGAAGAAGCTGATCTGACCACTCTTGATAACAGGATTTGGAGATTAAGGGAGGGGGTGTTGAGACAGGCTCCCAGGCCATTTGTGGATGCAGGGTGAAAAGGCAGAGCACATTCAGAGAGAACAAAAACAACACTAGCAATAAAACCTATCGAAAATGCTAAGTTTGAGATGCCGAGAACACCCTGGCAGAGTCAATGGCATCAAGAGAGATATGTGCACTGGAAGTGAGGGATTCACGGCCATCGGTGGGACCAGAAACAAAGCATTCAAGAGCACGGCACTAGAGTTGGCTCCTCTGCCCACCAGGGCTGTGACTGGGTAAGAAGCCTCAGGTCTCCACTCTGTTTCCTGTTAACCTGAATAATTCCCACTAGGTGTCAGCTCCCCAGAGGTAGGAACACATCTGCCTTATTAGGCACTTGGAATTGTGCCTTGTATATAGTAGGAGCCCAAAAATCTTGGTGAATGAGTGAATAAATGACCAAATAGTACTGACCTCAGAGAGCTGCATCATGAGGATTAAACAAGATATGTACAGTGCTGAGCATAGCACATGCATGCAGTAAGTGCTCAATAAATGTTAACTCTGAGTAGAGGCACTTCCCCCAGAATGCTGAGGCCTGAGTCCAGGGCTGTCAATATTTCAGGAAGAAACATAGCTAGAAAGACAAAGTGAGGTCCCAGTGAGGGTAGGGTCCTGAGCCCCAGCAATAAATGAATTTCAAGCAAAGACAGTGAGTCAATTTCAAATGCTGCTCAGAGATCATAAGGTTAGAACAAGAAGTTTCCATTGAGTTCAACCCAGAAGTCTGCTTAGTCTGTTTTGTGTTGCTATAACAGAATACCTGAGACTGGGTAATTTATAAACAACAGAGGTTTATTTATTTCATGGTTCTGGAGGCTGGGAAGTCCAAGAGCATGACTTCAGCATCTGGCAAGGGCCTTCGCGCTACATCACTCTGTGGTGGAAGGCAGAAGGGCAAGAGGGGGCAAGAGCAAGAGAGCAAGAGGGGGCCAAACAGGAGTAGGTTGTTATAACAACCTATTCTTGTCATAACAAACCCGCTCCTGAGTTGACAACATTAATCCATTCATAATGGCAGAGCCCTCATGGCCTAATCACCTCTTAACCAGTTCTACTTCATAGTATCATCGCAATGGCAATCACATTTTAACTGAGTATTGGCAGGGACATTCAAACCATAGCAAAGTCCTTTGCCAGAGCAGCCTGGTGGAGGATGGGAGAGACATCTGACCTCTGTACAGTGGGGAGGCCAGACTCTTCACCCATCTGCAGGCTGTCAGGGCTCCCATACAACAGAGGTGGTGATGACAATTATGGTGATAGTGATAATGGGAACAACTGCACTAACATTCGCCAAACTTTCTAAATGCCAGATCCTGTTCTAGGCCAACACTACAGCTTCATCACATTTCATTTTCTCACCATGACTTTGAAATTACACCCAAGAAAGAATGAGATCTCTCTGGTAGCTTCTATTTCCAAACCAACCCCATGGCAGGGTCTGGGCCCATACAACTCCCGACTCCTTCCTCCAGTCTCCATGCAGTGTCCCGAAGGAGGGAGCCCTTAATGACACCAAATCCCTTTGGAAGCTCCTCACTGAGGCTGCTCTCCTGGCTGGCCAGCTCCCAGAAGGCTCCTATCTTGGTGTGAGGGGAGCTGCCAGCTTCAGCTGTGGCCACCAGATACCAGGACAGAATCCAAGTTCTCACAGGTCAGGTGGCTGCCCACAGGGTGACCAGTATGTCTTTCTGCACAAGAGCACTGGGGGTGGGGCCCTGCGCTTGGACTCAGTCAGTCCTAGGCTCTGTCCACAGAACGTGCTGCTTGTGGACGAGTCACCTCACTTCTGGCAGCTTTAATTGACTTGTCTAGAAAATAAAGATTATATATACAACCCCCCTCAAGGGTTGTTCTATGAGGGCCGCAAAACTGATTTTAGGAGGAAAAACTCCATAATATGCCAAAGCCATGAGAGACGCTCATCAGAGTCTGTCAGCCATGGGAACCATTTCCTACCAGCAACCAGAATTAATGATGCACCATGACGTCCTCCACAGCAGCCTTCACTTTGACCAGTTGTTCCAGGACCTCCTCCAAGAAACCTTTTCTGCCACCCCTGCCTGCCCTCCCCAGCCACAACTAAACATCTCTTCTTCCATCTGCAGCAGAACTTTGTGGCAGACATTGAACAGTGCCTGTTCACCAGCCAGTGGTTCCTCTCCCTTTACTCCTGTGGACAGAGTCCACCTCAACTACAGAGTCAGAAAAAGCCAAATATTCACTTGTCCAGCCTACCTTGCAGTTAGGGCATTTGCTATGTGATCTGGTTCTGGCTAGTAGAACTGATGGAGGGTGTCTGCTGGGGAGCTTTAGGAAAGGTTCTTTTCCAAAAGTACCTTCTTCAGCTGAGCATCTAAATGGGACTAGACGTGACGCCTGGAACTGTCGCAGCCATTTTGTGACATGAAGGGACAAGCCCGAGAACCAAGCCAATATGTCGAGGATGCTGGTGGAGAAAAATAAGAAGAGCCTGGGTCCTTGATGGCACTGCTGAGCTGCCAAGCTCGTCCTGGGGCCACCTAGCTCCAGACTTCTTCTAATGTGGGATGATAAACATTTGCTATTGTTTAAACCATTTGTAATCAAGCCTTATTTCTTGAAGCCCAAATCATCCTGATGGGTTTTCTTTTTTTATTATTATTTTTAAAATATTTTTCCCATAAGTTATTGGGGTACAGGTGGTATGAGTAAGTTCTTTAGTGGTGATTTGTGAGATTCTGGCGCACCCATCACCCAAGCAGTATACGCTGCACCTTACTATTTTATGCCCCACCACCCCCCACCCTTCCCCACAAGTCCCTGAAGTCCATCGTATCATTCTTATGCCTTCGTGTCCTCATATCTCAGCTCCCACATATCAGTGAGAACATACGATGTTTGGTTTTCCATTCCTGAGTTACTTCACTTAGAGTAATAGTCTCCAATCTCATCCAGGTCGCTGCAAATGCCATTAATTCATGCCTTTTTATGGCTGAGTAGTATTCCATCATATATATATATATCTCAGTTTCTTTATCTACTCATTGATTGACAGGCATTTGGGATGGTTCCATGATTTTGCTGCTATAAATATGCGTGTGCAACTATCTTTTCCATATAATGACTTATTTTCCTCTGGGTAGATACCCAGGAGTGGGATTGCTGGATCAAATGGTAGTTCTACTTTTACTTCTTTAATGGACCTCCACATGGTTTTCCATAGTGGCTGTACTAGTTTACATTCCCACCAGCAATGCCTGATGGGTTTTCCACTTATTTATTCAGCTAATATCTATTGAGCGCCAACTGTGTCCTGACCAGTGTTGAGTCTAGGGCCCCACAAACAGGATATGTTCTCTGCCCTTAAGATGCCTGTGATCTGATGGAGGGACTGGTTGACTTTTTTTTTTTTTTTTTTTTTTTTGAGACTGAGTCTCGCTCTGTCGCCCAGGCTGGAGTGCGGTGGTGCGATCTCGGCTCACTGCAACCTCCGCCTCCCAGGTTCAAGCGATTCTCCTGCCTCAGCCTCCTGAGTAGCTGGGACTACAGGTGCATGCCACCACGCCCGGCTAATTTTTTGTATTTTTAGTAGAGACAGAGTTTCACCATGTTAGCCAGGATGGTCTCGATCTCCTGACCTCATGATCCACCCACCTCAGCCTCCCAAAGTGCTGGGATTACAGGCCTGAGCCACTGCACCCAGCCAGCCACCATGCCCTGCCCAGACTTTTTCTATAAAGAGGCTTTGTCTTTGCAGACCACATGGTCTCTGTCAAGACTACCCTGTTCTGCCATTGGAGAGCAAAACAGCCATAGGCAATATGTAAAAAATAGGCATGGCTCTGTTCCAAAAGAACTAAAGAACTTTATTTGTAAAAATAGAACTGGCCTAAGGGTCACAGTTTGCTGGCCCCTGTCCTAGAACCTCAGAAGTTCTAGAAATTATATGTCTCCCCCTGCCTCCCTCCTCCTTAGCCCTGCGAACCTGAGCAATGACCCTGGCCACACAGAGTCTAGACCCAAATCTCCTGACCACTGGCTCACACCTGATTCCTACTTATCTTGTGCCTGGGGTGAGTCTTGGCCCTTTCCTGAGAACAAGAGCATTTGGAGAGAAAAGCCCAGAGGTCCAGCTTGACAGGTGGCTGGCGGCAGGTTGGGTCAGGACAGTGCCTGCCTGGGAAATCTGCTTTTGGGATTCAACATTTCCCTGCAACCCAGCCCCTCACCCCAACTCCTAGGTCCTGGCAGAGGGCTGGGGGGACACGTCTAACCAACCGAGATGTGGTCCTCACCCGCAAGAGCACCTGCTGGGTTGGATCAGGCCTTGTGGACCCATTAAAAGTGGTTATAGTCTCACCTTACCAAGAAATTGAGACTAGGACAGGTTCTGAAATATGCTCGAGTGGCAGAGCAGAGATTTGAACTTGGGTCTGTGAAATGTTCTCATCACCACACATGCCTCTCACCCAGATCCAGGTACGCTTTCCTCCCTGCAGGAGGGGTCAGAGGCAAATACACATGCGTCTCCTCACACCATGAAAGTAAGTGGAGAAGCTGAGCCTCCCTCATTTCACAGCTCCTGGGTCTCTGTTTTTCCCCAACTCCACAAAGCAGAGGTGGGGGTGGAGGTTGAAAATGCTCAGCTCCCAGACCCCCGGGATTAGCAGGTGATTGTCAAGCATCTGAAAAGACACAGAGTGCTCTTGTCATTATTAGATCGTAATAGATTCATACTCACCCCCTCCATCTGAAGGCGTCTATTTCAGGTTTAACGTAACAATAGAGTATTGTTCCTACTCCAGACTCGGGTACCACCCCGAGGCGATGGCAGCACCCACCCAGCCCCACCCTGGCACTGACTGCTGCCTCGGGGCAGAGGCAGCACCACCCAGGCATCCAGGCCATCATCCACTCCCTCCTAGATTCCCAGCAAATCTCCTGGGCAGTGACGAGGAGGCCCAAGGTCTATCCGGAAGGAGGAATGTACAAAGAAGCCAATTTGCCTGATACTTGGTACCTGGCAATCCGCAGTCAACATAAACTATCCTCCCAATGCCCACGGCCAAAGGTCACCAGAGTGACAGACCCATGGCTGTGCACTGGGAGGTCAAAAGACAGACGAGGAACAACAATCACTTAATACACAGAGTGCTTGCTGTATACCCCATCTCTGCTCCTCAATTGTATTCAAGCTTTGCATTCAAGGTTTTACAACTATCCCATGGTAGAGCTTAGCATCTGTTAGCTAATGAAACAGACTGGGCGTCGCCAGAGAAAAGCACCCACTGGTCTCAAACTCCTGACCTCAAGTGATCCACCCACCTCAGCCTCCCAAAGTGCTGGAATCACAGGTGTGAGCCACGGCATCCAGCCACCTCAAGTCTCTTGTCTGTTAAATGGGAGATAAAAATATGTCCTCCACCTGTTTCACAAGAATGGGGTAAGATTCAAAGAGAGTAAGCCACTTCCTGGCTGCATAACCTTAAACAACAGCTTATACATAACTTCTTCAGGTCTTCGCTCTTTTATTTATAAGATGGGAAAATTCTTGTTCATACGGCTCCAGAATATGACAGGAGATGAAGCCACCAAATGCTGAGTGCAGTGCCTGGCCCAGAGCTTGAAGTTTCCCAGTATTCAATGATTAGAGGGTGCTTTGTAAAACATAAAGTCAACACGCAGTTGGCCTCCCATATCCACGGGCTCTGCATTTGTGGATTTAATCAACCATGGATTGAAAACATTCAGAAAAAAAAAAAAACTGTATCTGTACTGAATATGTATGGACTTTTTCTGTTGCCATTATTCCCTAAACAATACAGTATAGCAACTATTTACATAGCATTTACATTATATCTAGAGATGAGTTAAAATATACCAGAGGCTGTGTATAGGTTATATGCAAATATGACACCATTTTCTGTCAGGGACTTGTGCATCTGCAGATTTTGGTATCCTCAGGAGGTCCTGGAACCAATCCCTCACAGACACCTAGGAAAAACTATGATTGGAGAGCCTTGTCCCTCACCGCATCCCATCTAGCACACAGCAACCTTAAGTTTGTGTGCAATTTCAAATGTACTTAGGCCCTGAGGGTGAGAATTAGGTTTGGGGAGGTTTAGGGTATTGGGTTTTTTTAAATTATCTGAAAGACCCCAAAATAGCCACCTGCCCAAGGCAGCAACCCAGAAGCAATGAGCAGATGAACATGGGGGCTATCCCTGTGAAGCCGAGGCACCATGTGTTTGTGAAGGAAGAGGAAGAAAGGAGGATGAGGAGGAGAAGGAGGAATAGGAGGAGAAGGAGGAAGAGGAGGAGAAAGAGGAAGAGGAGGAGAAGGAGGAGGAAGAGGAAGAGGAGGGGAAGGAGGAATAGGAGGAGAAGGAGGAAGAGGAGGAGGAGGAATAGGAGAAGGAGGAAGAGGAGGAGGAGGAAGAGGAGGAGGAGGAAGAGGAGGAGGAAGAGGAGGAGAAGGAGGAAGATGAGGAGAGGGAGGAAGAGGAGAAGGAGGAAGAGGAGAAGGAGGAGGAAGAGGAGGAGAAGGAGGAAGAGGAGGAGGAGAAGGAGGAAGAGGAGGAGAAGAAGGAGGAAGAGGAGGAGAAGGAGGAAGAGGAGGAGAAGAAGGAGGAAGAGGAGGAGAAGGAGGAAGAGGAGGAGAAGGAGGAAAAAGAGGAGGAAAAGAAGGAGGAAGAAGAAGAGGAGGAGGAGGAAGAAGATGAGCAGAAGGAGGAGGAGGATGAGGAGGAAAAGGAGAAGAAGGAAGAGAATGAGGATAAAGAGGAGAATGAGGATAAGGAGCAGGATGAGGAGGAAGAGAAGAAGGAGGAGGATGAGGATAAGGAGGAGGATGAGGAAGAGGATGAAGAGGAAGAAGAGAAGAAGGAGGAGGATGAGGATAAGGAGGAGGATCAGGAAGAGGATGAGGAGGAAGAAGAGAAGGAGGAGGATGAGGAGGAAGAGGAGGAGGAAGAAGAGAAGGAGGAAGAGGAGGAAGAAGAGGAGGAGGAAGAGGAGGAGGAGGAGGAAGAGGAGGAGGAGGAAGAGGAGGAGGAGGAAGAGGAGGAGGAGGAAGAGGAGGAGGAGGAAGAGGAGGAGGAGGAGGCAGCAGCAGCAGTTCCTTCCTGGCTCCAGGAAGCAGCTCTGCACCCACCAGCGCCCGAGGCAGCCGTGGTCACACCATCACACCCAGCTCCAGACTGAACAAAGGATCCTGCCAGTGGCCACAGGGAGCCTGCACCCAGACCTGTTTTTCCAAGGATGCCAGGCTGAACGCCCAACCCTGGGTGTAGCTAAATGGGTCTAGCTGGGTGTAGCTTCACTGCATCTCCTGCCGAATTGGTGATACCGCAAATCCAAAGGAGCCCTGCTTCACCTCCAATGGCAGCTTTCAGAAAGTAGAAGGGATCAGTCTACACGAAACATGAAGATCATGGAGAAAAATGTACAACCAGCCAGATCACCCCATACCCTGCGGCTGGCTCTGGGGCCTCTAGCACATCCCCCATCCCAAATTCACCTACCAATCTAATGTCCGCTCATCCCTCAAGGACTGACTTGCAGAAGTCTTGCCCCTCTGCAAAGCCACCACTACAGAACAATCTGTCTGACCCTCCTGTTCTCCCACAATCCTCCTCACTCCATCCTGGGCTCATTCACTGAATAATCATGCTCCTGTCTCTGACTTGGACAGGCAGTGGCTTTGCTGCCAGGAACACAAGGATGGAAAGCAGCCCCTCCTTAGAGGAGCCCAGCCCAGAAGATGAGACAAACAAGGAAGAGATGATTATGTCTCAACACAGGGCTGTTGCAGGACCGATGTGAGCAGAAGGCTACACACACACAGAAGGGGAAACCCAGCCCAAGGAATCTAGAAGGCTCCCCGGAGGTGGGATGTCTCAGAGGGACTCGGAAGGACAAGTAGGTAGCCACCAAGCAGAAGAGGACAGGACAACATTCTAAGCAGAAAGGTTTCCAAGGGCTGTGTGAGTCCTTGGGAATGGCTGGATTGCGGGGTACCTGGGAAGGGAAGACAGTGCCTGCCTTCTAGAGGCAGAAGTGAGAACCACTTTGTGAAAAGGAAATGGTCAGATGCAGCTTTAAAATCGTCACGATGTCAGCAAAACCAGGAGGACAGCATTTTAGGGGCTATTGCAAAAGTCCGAGAGAAGAAATGAGACTGAACCAGAATAACAGCCGTAGAGGTTAGAGGTGACGGCCACAGGGAGAAGGGGACAGAGTTGTTTTTTGTTTTTTTTTTTTTTTTTGAGACGGAATCTCGCTCTGTCACTCAGGCTGGAATGCAGCGGCATGATCTCAGCTCATTGTAACCTCCGCCTCTCAGGTTCAAGCGATTCTCCTGCCTCAGCCTCTCGAGTCACCGGGACTACAGGCACCCGCCAACATGCCTGGCTAATTTTTGTATTTTTAGTAGAGACAGGGTTTCACCATGTTACCCAGGGTAGTCTCGAACTCCTGAGCTCAGGCAATCCACCCGCCTTGGCCTCCCAAAGTGCTGGGATTACAGGCTTGAGCCATCACGCCCAGCCGGGAACAGATAGTCTTCCAGGAGCTGTTCAGCAACTGGGGTCCTTATTACTCAACCTCCGCTACTAAGCAGCTGCTCCTTGCAAGTAGCCACCAGCTTTCCTAGTTCTGTACTCAGCCGGTAAGTACAGCTGACCATAAAGTTTTAAATACTATACATTTAAAACAGTGTGAGTTTTAAATAGTGTGTGTCAGGCGTATCCTGACACATAGGTGTTTGACCTCCCTAACCCTGATAGGAGCTGAACAAAGAACATGGTTATACAAACTGAAAAACCAAAGAACCACACCTAGGCTAACCCAACAAGATCAGAGGTAGCTCAGCCGGTGCCTAAAATAAAACAGCCTTCAGCAAACCACTGCTGGGCCAGGAGAGACTCGGGAAGCGGGAGGCCCGTGCACAAAGACCAAGGAGGCAAGAAGCCATGTTTCTCCGGGTTCACCACTCACCACTCATCTCTATCCAGGTGGCTGTGTGACTATGGCCAAGTCACCAACCCTCTCTGGGCCTCAGATCCTACATCCACCAGCTGGAAGTGAGGATCTGTGACATGCACATAGGCAGCCACCATCTTCTGACCCCCACAGTGGGAAGAGAGCCACAGGCAGGTCAGGTGCGGCCTCCTAGCCTGCCCAGAACACCGGTTCCCAAAAGCAAAGACATTAAGCACTTCCTGCCAAGGGAGGGAAATGCTTGTTTACAGCCCTTAGCTGGTCCAGTCCTAAGTCTTCAAAAGGGGAAGGAAAGGTGCCCAGAAATCCTTGATCACAATAACCAAAAGAGCTGCAGCCTCAACATGCCAGAATCTCTGGAGGAGTTTGAGCAGGGGCCACAGAGAAGTGGCTCTGGGCCCCCTTAGCACCCAAAACAAAACAAAACAAAAATCTTTATTCTCCCCATCCCCCAAAGCCTTTCTTTTTTAAATAAAAAAAAATCTTGAAAAATCACAGTTTCTGAAAATAAAATCTGCTCCCTTTTACCATATTTTCTCATGAAGTTAAAAATACAAGTGTTGGAGGGAAAAAAAAGTTTTGCTTAAGGTCAGAGGGGGAAAAGGCATGTTTTTTGAAATCTTGAAAAATAAACAGACTCAGCCCTCTTGTGCAGGCTCTCTGGGAATGTGACCTGAGTGCTGTTGGGGGTTGGAAAGCCTGGCTTACAGAAAAGTTCAAGGGCATACCCAAGGTGGGAGGTTAGTAGCTCAGACACCATGTTCCGCATTCGCCTCTGGATGACCAGCCAGCCGCCACTGGGACATGGGCATCCAGGAATGGAGTGGCTGAGGCCGGGTGGGTGAGGAACAGCAGGGAGGAGGAAGAGCAGCCGGCCTGCTGCCCTGGGAATCAACCACCCCCACTCCCCACACACACCTAAGCCAGTCCATGCTGAGGGATGCTTGTCCAACCAGACGCAGGGTGTGGGGTCACGTTCCAGCCAGCCAAGAGCCCACCATGTTGCTGCAGCAGTGACACAGTGAGGTACAGCAGAGATGTGGTCCACTCCAGGGCAGGGTCACAGACACGGGATGGTCCCTCAGCTTGGCCTATCTGCATCTCAGCAGTAGCTAAAGAACCCACAATAAAGCTTTGGGGAAACAGGGAAGCAGGGCTCGGAGGCCACCCAGTCGATACCTACTTGTTAAGCACCTACTATTTGCTAGACCCTGAACCAGACACTAGAACTACAACAAGCAAGACAGACAAGGTCCTGGCTGCCATGGAGCTTATGTTCGGGTGCTTGGAGCCCCTCCACTTTCTCCTCCCCCTGCACCCCTATGCCCTGTCCACAGACCTTCTGCCACTCCTGCCGGGTACTGATGTGTGTCGACGGTAAGCCACGGCCTTCCCCACCTCCATCAGGACTCATAAACTCCAGGGAGGCTCTGCAGGCAGAAAGGGTGGGGAGGGGAACAGAGCCCACACCACTGTCTCTAACATGAGGTGCAGCCCCAGAGGATGTGCCCAGTTTGATTACTGCACACCCACGGCCTCCCCGCTCTGGGCTAACCCTAAGAGCAGAGGACACAGGCACAGGCCGTTCTACCTGTGAGGACCGTCCAGTCCAGAGAGGGGGAACTAAAAGCAAAGGGTTAGGATGAACCCAGGGCCAGCAGGGAGGACGGGGAATGAGCAGGGCTTTGGGATCAGACAAGTGTTTGGATCTAAGCCTGCTTCCTGGCTGTGTCTACCTGGGCAACTCACTTCACCTGAAAGCCTCAGCGTCCTCTATGGTATGGGGGAGATGACTGTGCCAGCCTTGCACACACATCCCATGACCACATAGCCCCGGCGCTGGATACGGTGCAGTCATAGCCGTCCTCCTCTCTGCTTTGTGAGGTGTGGACAGCAGTGTGGGAGTGGGTGGGGGGCTGGACTTTGCCAGAGGAAGGCCAAAACAATTTAAGAGGTGAGATATCAGTTGAGCTAAGCCCCAGAGATGGAAATATAATTTCTACAAGAAAAAAAAGAAGAGAAAAGAATTCTAAGCCCAGAGTGAAAACAGGCATTTTTTTCCTTGAGGGCCTAATGACATTTCCTTATCCTGAAATGAAAGATTTGTGATGAATTATTAATAATGGACGGACAGATGTAGCTTTTCACTCCCTTCTTCCTCTCTTCCCTTTTTTCTTCCTTCCCTCCCTCCTTACCTTCTCCCTTCTTTCCTCCCTTCCTTCTTCCCTTCCTTCCTCCCTCCCTCTCTCCCTCCCTTCCTCCTTCCCTTCCTCCTCTCTCCCTTCCTCCCTCCCTCTCTCCCTCCCTTCCTTTCTTCCCTCTTTCTTCTCTCCCTCCCTTCCTCCTTCCCTTCCTCCTCTCTCCCTTCCTCCCTCCCTCTCTCCCTCCCTTCCTTTCTTCCCTCTCTCCCTGTTCTCTCCCTCCTTTCCTCCTGTCTCTCCCTCCCTTCTTCTCTCCTTCCCTCCCTTGCTTCCTTCCCTCCCTGCCTTCTCCATTCTTCCTTCCTTCTCTCCCTTCCTCTCTCCCTCCCTCCCTTCCTTTCTTCCTTCTTTCCTCCCTCCCTTCCCTCCTATTCTTCAATATAAATTTATTGAGCATGTGCTCTGTGCGAACACTGTTCTAGACACAGGGGACACATTAGTGAACAAGACAGACAGGACATCTCCTGGACCTTACATTTCATCCTCACAACTGCCCAGAGTCATCACCAATGCCATCTTACGGACAAGAAAAAGAGTTTTACCAGAAGCTTGTTATACACACTGAGCCTTTGATCCCAAACAGATAAAAACAATCGGCCTTCATCCCCTGACCCCTCACCTCCCCACCTTTTCCACCAAAACCTCTGCCTCCAGGCAAGGGAATGGGTGACCAGCCCCAAAGTGACCGCTTCCAAGGGGTGCCTGCATGGCGGGCTGCAACAGGGGAGGCGGGCTGACCGGAGACAACAAACTTCCCAGCCCTTCATTATTCCTGCCAGCCACTCCAGAACAACCTTTTCCCTTCAAATTATAGCAAATTGAAAAGCAGAGTCAACAGAGGCCCCCAAACTCCTGAGAGAATTGAACTTGCCCTGGTAGCTTAAGGAAGGCTGAGGGGGGCCCTGGGGCCCTCCAGACCCCCACGTGTGACTGTCTCTATATTGTACAACCAACAATTAGATGGTACTGAAAAATCCAATCACAGACTGTGGCAAGAATGAGTCAAAAAAACCTAACATACAAAAACACTCTTTTTCCCAAACAAGGGGGCAGATTTTGAGCCAACTTGTGCAGTGAAGATTTTACTTCAAAGGACTTAAAGCACTTTGGGAACTCAATTAATGAAAGGGATTACTGTAACAGTGAGCTCAAATTGCCCTGATGAAATAGTTAAGAGTTGTAGTGGTGGCTGCAGGGTACAGGGTGTTCATTACACTATCCTCTCTATTTTTTGAGTACATTTGAAACGCTTCATAATGAAAAGTTTTTAAAATCCTGATAAAGTAACATGACACCTAAAGGCTACAGAATACATAAAAATGAAAGTAAAACATTCACAGTGGGGTTAATAAAAATGAAAGTAAAACATTCACAGTGGGGTTAATAGAAAGAATAACCCCCTGGATTTGTGGGGTACTTTGCTCTGTACTTCCACATGCAGCATCTAATATGAGCTTGCAAGGAAAGGAGGGGTTATGAGCCCCATTTTGCAGACAGGGAAGCTGAGCCTTGCCCAAGGACGTTCTGCCAGGAAGTCATGAGGTGAGGACTTGACCTTGATCACAGGGGTCCTTCATCCCTCCCTACTCTGGCCAGGTCCCAGCCCCAGCACTCAGCGGCTCCCTGCTCCCAATTCCTACCTCCACGGATATGGCTTTTATAAAACAGGTTTTACTGTTGTTGTTAAAAGTTTTTGCCTGCCACCGCTCCTTTTACCGTGTCACCGCCCCATTTCTGCATCACCCAGTGCGGGCTTTTAAGAACTGCGCCCATGGTCCCCACAAGCAGAGTAGAGCTGATGGTTCACACAGCAACCATCTTCCCTGCTGTGCCTTTGGCCCCAAGGCTTGTTTGGCCAATGGACAGTCCTCAGTATAAAATGTTTCCAGTGGCATAAATCAAGGTGCAATGGAACACTTCCCCGGGACAGACTTAACTGTTACAAACCCTGATTTGCTTTTTCAGAAACTGTCTGGGCCAGGGCTGGCCACAGATTCCTCCAATCTCTGCCCCCAACCCAGGAATCGAGCCTTGGGGAGCCTGGCCCAGGGAGGTTTCTTCTTACCACCCACCCTCCCACTGTACTCAGGACCAACCCAGGAAATGCTTTAAGTGACAGTTTCTTTAACCTCTTTCATTAGAGACCCATTTGAGAAAACAGGAGTCCCTTAGTGCTCCCCCTACCTCCACCAAAGTCTGTCCTTGTCGCCCCTAGTACTGGTTGCCCCCAGCCTGAGGTGCGCTTAGAGATGCCAGCCAACGTGAACCCATGATGTATAGGTCTGATGACTTCACTCTAGACATGAGCCCTGAGACCTCCTCTCTTTGCATCCTCAGAACCTCTGTTATGTCTGAAACCTCATAACCTTTCATGAGGAACACATCGTACCTGTTCTGGGCTCCGGGAGTGTTGCAACAGCCCTTGGCCAAAAGCAACAGAGCTCAGAGCCAGATCCCCACGCAGACTGGCAAGTCCTCCAGGCAGCCCAGGATGGGGAGCTCGGATGCCTGTGCTCTGCAGAGCCCTGCCCAGGACCTCCCCTCCATTTCCACGAGAGGCCCCAGTGAGACATCCCTTTGCCAGGACGGCAGCCTTGCATCCAGCACTCACACTTGGGAGAGACACGTGGTGTCACTGGCAGCCCAGTACACAGGCTCAGGCCTGACCCTCCACCTCTGTCTGTTAGGCCCTTTCATCACCTCCTCATGCTTCCCACACCTCCAAATGGCTAACAACTCCCAATATTCACCCACTGACGACTGAGAGGCCACAGCAGCCTGTTCTGCGCCAAAGCCCCTGGACACAGAAGCTGAGGAGCACTTGAGATGTGGCTGGTGGGAGTTCAGAGGTGCTCTGAGGTAAGATAAACTGGATTGTAACTGCTTAGCATAGAAAAAGGAATGTAAAATATCTTGTTAATAATTTTCATATTGATGGTGTACTAAAATGATCATTTGTACATATCGGATTAAATAGCCGGGCTCAGTGGCTCACATTTGTAATCCCAGCACTTTGGGAGGTCAAGGTGAGAGAACTGTTTGAGACCAGCCCAGGCAACATTTCTACAAAAAAGAAAAGGATTTTTATATTAATGATATACTAAAATGATAACCATTTGCAGATACTGGATTAAATAAAATATATTATTAAAATATTATTAAAATAATATCAGTTGTTCCTCTTTTACTTTTCTAAAGGTGGCTACTAGAATTTTTTCTACTTCATAAGAGGCTCACGTTTATTTCCACTGGACAGCGCTGGCCTAGACAGTGGCTCTGACATACACCATCTGGGCCCAAACCTCAGCTTCCTTGACTGGTTGTTTGATGTTGGGCAGGTTTCATTTCCTACCTGTACCCAGCTTCCTCCTCATCTGCCCACAGGGGATCCGAGTACCGAAGTACACTGCCCAGAGCTGGGGAGGAATCAATGAGATCAGACAGATGTGCAGTTACCACAGTTCCTGGCTCTCGATCCATGTTGGCTGCTCTTGCTCATTCAACAGATACTTTCTATCTCCCTATGACATGCCAGGCTCTGGGGACACAAAGATGAACCTTGAAACATTCTCTTGCCAGAGTTATCCCCAATTTAGGCTTTGAAGGGCCAGGCTCACGTCTCAGCTTTGCTACTACCTATGTGACCTTGAGCAAGCCACATTTTGGGGAGTGGGGCTCATGGTCCCATCTGCAGGGTGACCCTTGATGACTCTGGGATCTCAGGGAAGCCATCAGCATTAGAAAGCAGAAGAAGGCAATGTTCCCAGAGGGCAGGTGTCTGAGCTAGCTCCACCCCAAGGCCTAGCCTCCAAGGGTACTTGCATTTTTGCCAGAGACACCATCAGCACTGGCCAGGGAATACAGAGCCCGGGCACGGGCAGGCGTTCCTGAAGCCTGGAACTCAAGGCCTCAGGAACGTGTATGTCTCACTCCTTCCCTGCAGCCTCACTCCTATGTCCTCATTTCCCAGCCTAGAAGAAGGACTTGCAGGGCTTGGAGGGGTGCAGGTTAGGGGACGAGGTGGGAATGGGGTGTGGATTCATTTTCACAGAAGCCTCAAAGTCAAATACTTCATCTCATCTCCAAATGTGACCATGTTGAGCTGCAGGGCTGGAGGACACTCCCGTCCCATCACAGGTCCACCCAGACTGAGCACACTATGAATTAATATTTCCTATAAATCCTAGCATTACCTTGTGACTAGACTAATTATATTGCTATGTTGTTTTTGGTTTAAAAAAAAAACACCATCCTGACAAAGGTTACCAGTTTAAAATACCATAATATTAATATTTATAGCTTTCTTAGGGCATTTTAATTGTTTTAATGAACTGGAAGCCTCAAAACAAAACCAAAAAACTGAAAGCAGGCCAGGCCCCTTATCAGCTCTGAAAGGCCCTGAGATGTGCCCCAACTCTGCAGCAGGACCAGGCCCCAGTGACACAGTAACTCAGGGCCTAGAGGAGGGACTGGATGGGCCAGCAGCCTGGAGAACTCCACAGCATCAACTGGGCGACTGTCACTCCTCCGGCCTCACCTAGTCCTGCTTTCTCACAAGGCCTCACCTTTAAGACAAGACATTCATGTTGGGCAGGAGAAAGCGCTCAAGAGCTTCTAGAAGCCTCCCGGAAGCCTCTGGGGCCCCCGCCAACCCTGGACTCTCCTGACAACTCCTGGGATCTCACCTCCACTCCAGGTAGTTCTGTGCCCAGCTGCTGACCACCAGAGCAGGAAGCTGTCACAGACCACCGGGGCCAACCCTTCAGGCTCTGGGGAGAAACCTGGACCCACAGGGGGCCTTGATCCATCTGCTCGATAGTCCATCTGCCCATGAGCCCATCCAGGGCCGCAGCACACGCCTCTCCTGCCCCAGCCGGAACCCGACCCTGGTCTAGGAGCTGAGGACACAGCAGTGCAGACACATCAGGTTGGTGAGGGAGACAGACAAGGAAAACAGACTGTTACAAGACAGCCTGGTGAGACGGGCTGCCAAGGAAAGGGGGAAAACTAGCAGGGGGAACAGCAGCACTGGGGCCAGAGAAGTGTCTCCCATCCCAGCAAGAGACAGCTCTGCTGCAGTCTGGAGCTCCAGGAGGAACTGGCCTGGTGAAGACCTGGGAGAATGGTCCAGGCTCAGAGAAAGGTTTGTGCAAATCTAGACTGTGAAAGAGACAGCCCAGTGCTCACTCACGATACTAAAGTAATTTAGGGCCCCAAAATGTGAGTGGGGGGAGGAGCAAGTGAAGTCAGTGGTTTGGAGAGTGCAGCTTGGGTCCGAACTCAAGGAAGAGGTGCTGTGTGAAAAGGCAAATCACAGCAGGGCACACTGGCATGGGGAGATCACACAGAAAGCGACAGTGGCCAGCAGAGCAAGAGACGCAGACCAAGGAGGGGAGGGCAAGGGACAGATGCCCAGGAGGGAGGTCACCAATGGCAATGAGAAACAGGATAGGCTCAACAGATGTCTCCAGGATTTCTGCTTGGGTGACAGGCCACTCAGGCTGTTGTCTGTGCAATGAGATCACGTCTTAGAAATAAGAGATTTAGTCTTTACCGAATCCATCTACAAAGCTAAGTAGCAGCCTGGTTCTCCATCACTGGTTCACAGCAGGGACATTCAGCCAGCTTCTCAGCCACCTCGGGGGATCGGATGACTTGATGGCCTGGCTCGGGGATGGCAGTGCTCAAGGGCACGCTTCCAAATGGGCAGGGGCCCAAGAGAAGAGGCGGCCAACCACCACCCCGGGAACCCAGGGCAACCTGCCAGCTTCAAAGGCTCAGCCGTGCTAAGACCCGAGGTCGGCCAGATCCCTCCCTGTGAAGAAGATGCCACCACAGGAGAGGCTGATTACAGAACAGTGGCTCAAATACAGGCTGTGTGGTCACAAGCATCCGCATACAAGCACCAGGGGTGAGCCGTGCACAGACATGGCCAAAATGAACGAGCCATCACCACTTCTGGGTGCTCGACACCTAATGGGAGCTCAAGAGCAGGGGAGAGGAACAGGAGAGCTCGGGGCAGAGACTGCCAACCCAGGGTAGTTAGTAAAGTAGGGTTAGGGGGGTCCCTGGCCAGACCCACAAGAACTGCTTTGGGAGCAGCCGGGAGGAGCAATTTTTTCCCAAGGAGGCAGTGAAGGCAGCATGTGCAGAGTCCCTGAGAGGAAGGTGAAGAGGTGTCCATGTGAGCAGAATGACCCAGCCCAAGCATGGAGGCAGCACATGGTGGCAAATCCATCTAGATGGAGAAGATCCTTGTGCTGGGGACAGAGTGAGAAAAGTCCTGAAAGCAATGGGCCGGCCCTGAGGCTTTACCCTGCAGAAAACGGGAAATCAGATGGGCGTGGTGGTTCATGCCTGTAATCCCAGTACTTTGGGAGGCCAAGGCGTGTGGATCATGAGGTCAGCAGTCTGAGACCAGCCTGACTAAAATGATGAAACCCCGTCTCTACTAAAAATACAAAAATTAGCTGGGCGTGGTGGCGCACGCCTGTAATCCCAGCTACTCAGGAGGGTGAGGAAGGAGAATTGCTTGAACCCGGGAGGCAGAGGTTGCAGTGAGCTGGGATTGGGCCACGGCACTCTGGCCTGGGTGACAGAGTGAGACTCTGTCTCAAAAAAAAAAAAAAAAGAAAAGGAGGGAGGGAGGGAAGGAAGGAAGGAAGGAAACAGGAAGTCATTGCCTCCAAAGCATTCTGGGAGAAAAATAATTTGGCAGTGCCTCAAAAAATTAAACACGGAATTACCATAGCATCTAGCAATTCCAATTCTAGGTATAGTCCCAAGAGAAGTGAAAACAAGGACTGGAACAGGTACTTATACACCAATATATTTCCATGCTGAGACCCCTAAAATAACAATAAAAGAATAAAACAGGTATCAACTATCCTACAAAGGCTGAGAGATGGGAGGACGAATGACAGCTGACCAGAGCCATCAGAACCACCTATGGAGGATGGCAGAGGGATGGATGGGTGGGCGCTGGCCTTGCTGGCTGGAGAGCCGACATTCACGTTCCTGCAGGTATTAAAACCAACAAGAAAAACTCCATTTGTGAGCTTGAGGCAACAAGTGTGACAGTGCACAGGCTCAGAGAATTGATTCCGTGTGTGTTACGGCACTAACTTTTTGTCACCATGGCCTCAGGACACTCAGACAAAGCATGTTTGGGATAATCCATTACTAAGCATAATTTGTCCCTGGACCAATTTTTGTTAAGTTGCTTTCCCCCTTTCCTGCAGCTGTTCTGCACGGCCAGGGAGAAGCCTCCAGAGATAAGGGTACTAAGGCCTCCAACTCCCTGGGCACAGAGCAGGGGACTTCCTGATGCTTATAGGTATAGCCCCAATACCACAGTTCTCTTGTATTCAGGGCTCTTCCCATTCTGGCCCCAGTGCAATACTCTGGGCACTGGGTTTGTAGGGTTCCTGAGGCAGGAATTCAAGGATGAAAAGAGCCAGTGTAGCCAGGTTGTAGGCATCATGCGCCCTCCTCCTCCACCACCACCCCACCCTCCAGCATGTGCAAACCAGGCGATAACTTCTCCAGAGACACAACAGAGACTTCACACTTTCCCAAAGCTGCTCTACTTTTCACATGATCCCCTAGAGAATGGAGTAGGCTCCTCGAGGGAGAGCACTCACTAGAACACCAGGCAGTTACTGGCACGCACATCAGTGCTGCTGCGTGGCTCTTCTTGCCCTGCAGCGTGGCTCTTCTTGCCCTGCAGCGTTGGAGCTGGCCTCGGCCACAAAGTGCCAGAGGGCTGCAGGCCACCGCCACTCACTCCTTGAGAACCACGGCACGTTTTGAAGGACACACCATCAACAGGAATGAGGAGCCCTTGCTGCTGTCACTGGAGTCAAGTTGGTCTTAACCATCCACTCCCACCCCCCTAGTAGCACCGAGCCCTCCTCCTTCCATCTTCTTTCATCAGAAAACTGGATCTTCCCACTTTCTCTCCCCCAGGATGCTGAGCTGCACAAGGGGAAGAACTATCCAGCTCATCTTTCTATCATAAGCACTGCACTCAGGGCTCAGCACCTGTGATAAGCAGAATTGTATGCCCCCAAATTCCTGTGTTGAAGTTCTAACCCCCAGCACCTCAGAACATGACTGTATTTGGAGAAATTTGAGGATAAGGCCTTTAAAGAGGAGATCATGCAAAAATGAGGCCATTCATTAGGCTGGGCCCCAGCCCAGTGTGACTGATATCTTTATAAAAGAGGTCAGGGGCCAGGCGCAGTGGCTCACGCCTGTAATCCCAGCACTTTGGGAGGCCAAGGCGGGTGGATCACGAGGTCAGGAGATCGAGACCATCCTGGCTAACATGGTGAAACCCCGTCTCTACTAAAAAAAATACAAAAAATTAGCTTGGCATGGTGGCACACGCCTGTAATCCCAGCTACTCGGGAGACAGAGGTGGGAGAATTGCTTGAACCCAGGAGTGAGAGGTTGCAGTGAGCCAAGACTGCACCACTGCACTCCAGCCTGGGCAACAGAGCGAGACTCCGTCTTGAAGAAAAAAGAAGAGGTCAGGACACAGAAAGACACCGGGGTGCAGGTGCATACAGGAAGGACCATGTGGGCTCAGAGCAAGGGGGCGGCCATCTCCTAGCCAAGGAGGGAGGGCTCCAGGGACCCCAATCCTGCTGGCACCTAGGCCTTGAACTTCCAGCCTCCAGACTGGGAGAAAATAACGTCTCATTGTTAAAGCCCCCAGCAAATGAATACAGAACCTAGGAAGGGGCAATGAATGAGTGATAGGTGGAAGGGCTAAGAAGAAAAGAGGAGGGAGAGGAAAGAGACGTGCTCAGATCTGTCTCTTCTGGACATCCGATCCCAGGCTGTCTCTTCAGTGGGCCCAAGTCCAACTAGCAGTCAGCTCAGAAATGATCCCTGAGGCATCGAAGCTTTCACAAGGAGGCCACAAAAGTCGGCTGCCTCTTTAAGACCTCCCTGTGGGACACAGCGACATTGGATAAGGGACTCGCCACACAGCTTGCCAGCCCTACAGAGAGTCAACGCATCTGCCATGGCTTCCCGAAGGCAGTTATGGAGAGAAAGAACTTGAGTGTTCCCCTTCTGCTTGTCCAGCACCCCAAGCAGAGGGGCGGCCTGCAGTGAGGTGCCAAGGCCAAGCTAGCCCTGAGAGAACAGGTGGAGACGGGCACATAGGAGCCATCGCTCAGGGCCATTAGACCGTCTCGGGAAGGGAGAGGCCACAGGAGAATTGGGGAAGCTTATCTAAAAACAACGATTCCTTGTCCCAAAGAATAACCACTTTGGAAAACAGGTTGTCAATTTCTGGAAAAGTTAAACCTATACCTACCATATGATCCAGATGTTCCTAAGTATTTACTCAAGAGAAAAGGAAATCTCTGTCCATAGAGAGACTAGAAACAACCCACCTGCGCAAACAGTTGAGTGGGTAAACAAACTGTGGTCTATCGATACAGTGGGTCACTACTCAATAAGAAAAAGGAATGAACTACTGATACGCCAACAGTGTAGATGAATCTCAAAATCTTCATGCTGAGTAAGTAAAGGCACATGAGAAAGGGTACTTGCTATATGATTCCATCTATAGACAAATCCAGAAAATACAAGCAAATCCAGAAAATACAAGCGAATCCAGAGCGACAGAAAGCAAGAACAGTGGCTGCTTAGGGTTCAGGGGACAGGAAGGGATGACAGGGCAGGATTATAAAGGGGCATGAGTAAACTTTCAGCAGTGATGGATAACTTGTTTGTGGTATGTAGATTCACACGGGTATGGATATATCCTAACTTCTCAAATCATATTCTTTAAATATGTGTGGCTTACTGTCTGTCAATTACACTCAATAAAGTGGTTTTGAAAGAGTACGGATTCCTGGGTCCCAGCCTGGAGAGTCAAGGTCTGTTGTGGCAGGGGTGTCGCAGAGAGCAGAAGAGGGGGAGAGGGGTGTAGCCTCCACTGGCACCCTGGAGCAGGTACAGAATGCATGCAGAGATCATGCCTCAACATCAACAATTATTCCTCCTGGGAAACTACAGACATCGTTATTTTTATTTTGACATCAGGAAACCCCTTCGCGTCCTCCACAACTAGTTTGGAGAGCCACTGGGAAGCAAGAAGTTCACGCAGTCAGCCAGGTGTTGGGTGCCTCCACCCAGCATGGTGGTCTGTGGGCTCTCTTGGGGGTCTGGCCGAAATGATCAAGGTGTCGGCACCCGACACACAAGGTGCGGCAGCACCCAGCAAGAGAATCCCAATCAGCCAACCTTCTGGATCCATGACCCACTGATGCTGCACTTGAAGACATGGAGGTTAAAGATTTGTTCACCAAATTAGGCTAAAACGTGGTCACATGATTCAGAGGTTTGGCCAAGGCATCGGATTTTCCCAAATCACAAAGGCAATGCATGGATATAGGGATATATTAACTTCATGTGCCAATATAAATTGGTACAGAAGTGATGTGTAACGTAATAATAATTGATCATGGTACGACCCTTGTGAACTGCAGGAAGCTATTCCTCTTTCACACAAGAGCCCTAGAGGAGAAGTTAAGACTTGAGTTCAGGTCCCGCTGTGGCAGGACTCCCAAAAGTCCATCCCCGCTTTGACTTTGACAGTTGAATTCCAACTTCTTGGAGTTTTCTACCTTACCCTCCCAGCTGTGTTGCTAAAATGTCAAAGGCAGCTTCAAGAAAACCAAAAACACTCTCTGATTTCACTTTTAAAACGTCAGTGTGGCAATTCCTAAGGGATCTAGAACTAGAAATACCATTTGACCCAGCCATCCCATTACTGGGTATATACCCAAAAGACTATAAATCATGCTGCTATAAAGACACATGCACACGTATGTTTATTGCGGCACTATTCACAATAGCAAAGACTTGGAACCAACCCAAATGTCCAACAATGATAGACTGGATTAAGAAAATGTGGCACATATACACCATGGAACACTATGCAGCCATAAAAAATGATGAGTTCATGTCCTTTGTAGGGACATGGATGAAATTGGAAATCATCATTCTCAGTAAACTATAGCAAGGACAAAAAACCAAACACCACGTGTTCTCATTCATAGGTGGGAATTGAACAATGAGAACACATAGACACAGGAAGGGGACTGTTGTGGGGTGGGAGGAGGGGGGAGGGATAGCATTAGGAGATATATCTAATGCTAAATGACGAGTTAATGGGTGCAGCACACCAGCATGGCACATGTATACATATGTAACTAACCTGCACATTGTGCACATGTACCCTAAAACTTAAAGTGTAATAAAAAAAAGAAAAACTCACCATTTACAACAGAGTCTGAGCTGCATGCCTTTACAATCAAAACCCAGCGTATCCCAGCTCTGAGGTATGAAACTTTAATCTGGCAAACAGAGGAGGAAGGACACTGAGACCTCCTTCAAACCCAAATGAGGGGGATTCTCAAAACCTCCTGAGGAGCTAGCACAGCTATGGAAAATCGGGTCACTGTCTGTGTTTGCAGTATTGCTTAGCGAGACGGTCCCCAAACTCCTGCGGCCCTCCCTTTCCTCACTGATGTTGAATTCGGAACACTAAGCGCATAACACTCATTTTTACACATGCTCAGCCCTCCCCTTCCTCCAAACGCTGCATTTTTCTTCCAATGAGTAATTTCTGAATGCCTTCCAAACGCACCCATCTAATTTTTTGGAGTCTCATTGGGGTCATCAGTCAGAAACAGCAGCAGCCAAAAGCACAGTATGTCATGACTTTAAAACCATTACTCTGTGTGTGTGTGTGTGTGTGTGTGTGTGTGTGTGCGAGAGAGAGAGAGAGAGAGAGAGAGCGTGCACACGCACAAGCATGCCTTAGAGAATTCAGACTGGACCCCAGTTCCAAAAATCATCATTTATCATAGGAAATAAAGGGTTCACTGTATGTTTTTCTTCCTCTGTATCAATTCTCCTTCATAGTAAAGTGTAATAAAGGAAACACAGAAGTGAGAGGACTGGCTGTCTCAGGAAGTGATAACAGCACCTGAGGCTTTCACCTGGAGGCCCGGTATCCAAGCCTGACCGAGGTCAAAGAGCCAAGGTGGTTCCTCTCTCTGGAGACCTGATCCCATTTCTAGTAGGTCAAGTCCAGGTCACTGCTTGGAGAGGAGAAACCCAAGATACTGATCAACCATGTGCCCTGACACTTTACTCCAGGCGCTTATCCCGTCTGAAACCTCACAGTCAGGAACTTCACTCTGGTGGTAATAAAACCATCACACTCATGAGGGTAGTAATAGAGGAGCCACCACCTACGAAGCTGAGCCCATGTGCCAGGAACCATGCTCCTGGGCCTGCATGCTCTCAATCTTCCCCAAACCCAGAGAGGCTGGGTCTATCATGAGCTCATTTTACAGGTGAGGAAGCTGAGTGCTTAGGAAGCTAGCTTGTGGCTAAACCATAATTCAAATCCCAGGTTCTTACTGCTTTGCAAAATTGCTGTCTCCAAGAAGGTTTAAACTAAAAGGGTCTTTGTTTGCACAGCAACTCTCTCATAACAATAGGTACTTACAGGCCACAAGTGCCCCAGGCCACCCAGTGAGAGGTGGAACCAAGGCTGGAACCCCTGGGTGCTGACTTCCCGATCAGTGTTCCACCCAGAGGGCGCCAGCTCTCTTAAAGGATGTGAAAGCCCCTCAGCTAAGGGGACAGAGAAACCGAAAACTCTAACTTCATTCAACAGGCAAAAATGAATGGACTCCCTTTGCCTCCAGCTGTGGGCAACAGTCTAGAGGGAGAAATACCCAGCCTGCACCTGCACCTCAAGAGGCACAGCAGCATCACTGAATGGAACAAACACCAAAGAACAGCCAAGTAAAGTCAACTGTCCAGAGCCTCCCAGGTTTCTGACGACCCAGCCACCCTATACAAGGCCAAGGTAACATGCAGAGTTCACTGGTTGGTCACCTTCTGAAGGAAGCACAGGTAAGTGCCCTACAGAAGCTGGGAATGGAAGCTAACGCCTGGGATCCCTCTGTACGCCTCTCGCCAGTGCGCTTTTCCTACAATGCCCACATGCAGCCCCACCCCTGAACACTTATCAGTCGCTAGCTCTATTTCCCAGTCTTGTCAGGGTCAGACATCTCAAAAACAAGTATGGTTTATGTTTCTGTACCATGAGGGAAACCACAGTCTCCCATGTCACCGGGTCAGTGTTCTAATCTCGGTGCTGGCCAGCACCCATGTCCCCTCCTCAGCGGCATGGGTGGGTTGGGACCAGTCTCCAATCAGATGCTGATGGCTAACCAAGCTTTGCTTCAAACCAAGCACCTCAGGGCTCTCTCACTTATGACACAAACCCAGCTCTAATGAGCTGAAGTTTAAAAGAATACATAGGCCAGGCGCGGTAGTTGACGCCTATAATCCGAGCACTGAAGTCCAGAGTTTGAGATCAGCCTGGCCAACATGGTGAAACCCTGTCTCTACTAAAAATACAAAAATTAGCCAGGTGTGGTGGCATGTGCCTGTAGTCCCAGCTACTTGGGAGGCTGAGGCAGGAGAATCATTTGAACCCAGGAGATGGAGGTTGCAGTGAGCTGAGACTGCACCACTGCACTCCAGCCTTGGTGACAGAGCGAGACTCCATCAAAAAAAAGAACACATAGGATTGAGGGAAGGAGACTGTGCAAAAATCTCAACAAGAAATAATAGTGACGGCACTGAAAAACCCCAGATACATGGCTCAGCCACTTAAACACCATTAACCAAATCACGAAACTAGGGTTGCAAAGTAGGTGACCCATGGGGACAAAGCTTGGGGAGATGAGTTCCCCTGTGGGTCAAAGCCGCGGCCCATCCACACTTGTGGCCTGAGGGTGCCAAATGTCTCAGCACCTTGGGAGGGCTTGAGAAAGCCTGGGCTGGAGCGTCTGAAGCTAGCACCCTGCCCCAGACATCCATTACACCATGAATAGATCATGGATGAGTTTATGTAGAATATGTTTTAAACGTCACACGTAGCCTGCAGCTCCTGAGCTCACCCTCTGCTGACCTGCTATCCCAAGGCAGGGCAGCAGAATCCCACAAAGCAGCTCCATCTGGAAAAGACCCCATCAAAGCCCCCTTTTAATGCAACCTGTGATGACCACAACCCCCGACACCACCAGCCTCAGAACAGGTGCCAGTGGACACATCTCAAAATCACCTGCTTTATGCCTACAGTGGAGCTGCCGAGGCACCTTCTGGAAATCCACATTCTGTCTACTCATGACCCCATGTAATCTCCTGCTATCCAAATGGGCCTCTCAATGAGGCTTAAGCCATCGCCGGTCTGGTTTTGTTCATATTCCGAGGCATGGAATACGACTGGCTTGTATGTGGTATCAAAGGGGACTATTATCTTTGGTTCCGTAAAAGAATCCTAGAAGGACTGGGGAGGACTTGGAAGGCGTCAGAGAGGGACTGCCACCTCCCTGCCAAGGGGCTAGCCAGCTTCTGCTTGAAGCCTGCTCAGAGCCAGAATCAACCCTCAGCCTGCGGAGTCCCCTCCACAACGGGCTGGCCTCCCTGTCCCTCCAGGTCTATCAATGCGAGAACAAGTGACACAGACAACTGTGAATATCTGACAGGTCAGGCCTTAAGGACCATGACACCTCCTCTGCTCCCCACTCCAGATTCTGTGGTATTTCCAATGCTCAGCTCATGGGTCAGGGCAAAACCTCTACTATGCAGGGCTCTGTGCTAGGCCCCGCCCAAGCTCTTCACAAACACTAGCACACTTAATGCTCGCAACGACCCCATGAAATAGAGATCTCATCCACTCAGTTTCTTGTTTCTTTCTTTCTTTCTTTTTTTTTTTTTTTTTTGAGATAGAATCTTGCTCTGTCATCCAGGCTGGAGTGCAACTGCATGATCTCGGCTCACTGCAACCTCCGCCTCCCAGGTTTAGGTGATTCTCCTACCTCAGCCTCCTGAGTAGCTGGGATTATAGTCACCCGCCATCATGCCTGGCTAATTTTTGTATTTTTGTAGAGACAGGGTTTCACCATGTTGGCCAGTCTGGTCTTGAACTCCTGACCTCAGGTGATCCGCCCACCTCAGCCTCCTAAAGTGCTGGGATTACAGGCGTGAGCCACCACGCCCGGCCTCATGCACTCAGCTTTACACATGAGAAAAGCTCTGAGTAACAAGTAACACATCCAAGCTCACACAGCTGGTGAGAGCAGAGGCCAGGGTGCAAACCCAGGACCGTCCCATTTAGCATCTATGCCCTGAGCTACCATGCGATTCAGCCGGCACAGGGTCCCATACAAGGCAGAAGTTCAGAACATTTGGAACCATCTCTGCTGAACGGGGCATCACCACTACATCTAGGAGGGCCGCGTCAGCCTACAGGGCCAGAAATCCAGGTTCTATTCCTAGCTCAAGGGGGCCCGCAGGAAGGCTCTTCCCAGCAGAGTCATGAGACTGTGGCAAGCCCACAAAACAGGGCCCCACAGACAAGGAATAAGAGTAGGCATCATGCCAAATGATTTCCACAGATGAACTCCTTCAGCCTCCCGAGTACCTACGAGGTTAGTGCTGTCTTCACAGATGAGGAAACACACACATATTAGGCAAGCAACTTCCCCAACGTCACACAGCTAATCAAAGTGCTGGAGCTGGGACTGGCAACTCCAGAGTCACGCTCCAGAGTCCACCTGCTGCTAAACCTCGTCACCAACCTAGTGCTCACACACCTGTTTTTCCCTGACGAGTCAAAGGCCCCACGTTCCCCTCTTCCATTGCCAAAGGTGGCGACAAAACCCCGCACACACCAGCCCAGCACTGATGGGGTGAGTCATTTACGAGCTCCGGACCATCCAAGGTCTTCAGGTTCAAGGAGCTGGTGACTCAGTGCAGCCACCCCGTCCAGGGCTCCAAATTCCTCTTTGTCAAGTGTGCAGATCTGTATATGCTAAATGTCTGTTTACTAGAGCTAAACAAAGAAGTCAATGCAGGCAAACAAAATCTGTAGGAAACACATTGTTTCAGCCAGTCTCTGGGACAGCAAACAATAGAAGGCAAAAGGCTATGCAGAGAACTTGGTAAAGAGAAACTGCCTTGGAGTTCCCAAACCTGCAGACCCTTGATTGTGTTGGCAGCTCGAGGGGATGAGAGAGCCTCTAAAGAGGCCAGGCGTGTCTGAGAGGGCCTCTCTGAATGACCAGCGCCCAAAGGGCGTGGAGGATGTGGCTGTACACGTGTGGCCCGGGCAGGTTTCCGGTGAACACTCCCTCCCTAACGGCGCCGGCGCCACCCCAGGTCCTGGTGCTATCTGACAGTGTGAGCTTACTTACGAAAGCCCGGTCTGCTATTCAGTCACTTCTAGGCGGGTCCTGTTATTATTATTAACAAAGATAAGATTACGACTAATAATAACACTCATGACATTTAAATGCATTTCATCCTATCGCTTCAGCCTTGCTCTCTGAGGTAGGGTAGAGTTCAAATTCCACATTTGTGTTCCGCCAGGGGCCCAGCATGCCAACTCACTCAAACACAGATGAAATTTCCAGAGCTTTCTTAAGAATGAAGTGAGTTTTTTTCCTTTGCACTAACGTGCCAAGCACACTGCAGTTTGAGCTGCTGGAAGGAAAATGCCTATTGTTACACCTACAAAACCCTACTTAACTCTCAGCTTCACACCTCTCAGGAGAAACTGCTGAAAATCTCCTAGAGACTGCCCCCCAGCTAATTTGTGCATTCCCCCAGCATTTGAGGGTCTTCTGCAGAGAGGGCTGTGGGCCGCATGACAGACCTGCACCTGCACAGAGCAGCTTATGGGCCTGTCATGGAGGTGAACAATTGTCCCCTGGTTTCTTAGGGGATTGGTTCTGGTGCCCCCCTCAGATGGCAAAGTCCATGGATGCTCAAGTCCCTGATATAAAATGGTGTAGTATTTGTATAAAGCCCATGCATATCCTCCTATACACTTTACATCATCTCTAGATTACTTCTAATACCTAATACAATGTAAGTGCTATGTGTATACAGTTGCTATAACGTATTGTTTAGGGAATAATGACAAGGAAAATGTTTGTACATGTTCAGTACAGACCCAAGCATCCTTTTATTTCTGAGTATTTTCAATCTGCGGTCAGTTGTATCCACAGATGTGAAAGTTGCAGATACAGAAGGCTGACTGGACATCAATGAAGGTACAATTACACATTTTGGTGACAAGTGGCAAAGAGATGAACAGAGGACTGTGATGAAGAATGGCAGGGCTGGCAGTGGGCTGCAAAGGAGCCCTGCTAGTTAGGATGCAAATAACAGGCCCCCAAGAAGGTAATATTTATGCCCAACCCTGAATGCCAATGAGCAGTGAAGGAATGTGGAGAGGAGAGCACGGGACTCTGGGCAGAGGGAACAGCAATAGGAAGGTACATTCAAGGTACTCCAAGGAGGCTGGAGGAGCAGACAAAGTGTGGGGGACTGGCACAAGGCCCCCTCCCTCCCAAAGGCCAACACCCCAGGCTTTGGAGCTGGCTGGCCCCCTCCAAGGTGGCTCTGAGAAAGAGGCTTGGAGAGCCAACTCAGCAACTTTTTTTTTTTTTTTTTTTTTTTAAGATGGAGTCTCACTCCATCTTGCAGGCTGGAGTGCAGTGGTGCGATCTCAGCTCACTGCAACCTCCGCCTTCTGGGTTCAAGCAATTCTCCTGCCTCAGCCTCCCAAGTAGCTGGGATTACAGGAGCACACCACCATGCCCGGCTAATTTTTTTGTATTTTTAGTAGAGACAGGGTTTTACCATGTTGGCCAGGCTGGTCTCAAACTCCTGACCTCAGGTGATCCACCCGCTTTGGCCTCCCAAAGTGCTAAGATTACAGGCGTGAACCACTGTGCCTGGCCATTATATCAGTCTTGACCCTAAACCTAACCCTGACTCCCCAGGATGAGAGCACGCAAAGCTCTCTGAACAGGGCCTACCCACGGAAGCCTCATAATGTGAGCCCATTACAGGGCTAACCACACGGGTGCTGCTACCCCAGGAACCCTCGGCTGCATGTTCAGGGACTATAGGACGTCCTCAGGAAACCCCTTCCATGGGTTTGGGGGCTCCCAACATCCACCTGTACCATTCTTGCTTCTCACGGGAAGTAGGCCACAACTATTGTCTATTGTTTGTTCTCCAGCAAGTCACCCTAACTGTCAGAGAAGAGGCTCGTGCTTCAACAAGCAGGGGGAACGCGTCAGGTCATCAAACTTCCTGTGAAAAGTCCCTCTTTGTTTAGAAAAGATGCTGGTTTGTTTCTATGTTTCTGTTAGAGAACAAACAGAAAGCTGCCTGGAAGAGTCTAGAATGAGGTAAGAGAGTTCCAGTCAGCCAGTGGCAGAGGCCCCCAAATCTACCCTGAGCAGAGAGCAGATGTCATCTGCCTGTGACAGGAAGCCCATGGGAAACAGATACCATCTCCCTCTGGGCCCCAAGGCCCATGGGGACTCCGCTGCAGGGTGAGGGCACCCCCTTTGTTATCTACTCACAAGTCACCCCAGAAGTGAGGACAGCTGGCTCCTGGGCCGTGGTGGATGATGGATGAATCCCACCTTGAGATCAAGGCCTGGAGACAGGGCCAGGGTAGCGTTTCTTAGGCACTAAAGAGGCAGCACCAGTCCAACCCTATTCATTACTAGCTCAGCCTTTCCTCAGTGTCCTGAGATGACGAGAATGATAGTGATGACATTGGGGACAGTGACGACAACTGCCATAACAACTACTGCAACAGCAAACACTTGGTCAGCATTTATCACCTGCCAAATCTCAACAACCCTATTATCGTACCCATTTTACAGATGAAAACACAGAGGCTCAGGGAAATTAAGCTGTCGGAGGTCACATCCTAATTGAATCTCAAAGGAGGTAAGGTTCAAATCCAGCCAGCCCAGCATTCTGGCATTTAACCACTAAATCACACCTCGTCTTGGGCAACAAAAGTAGCAAAAGGAAGGACTGGCGCAAACTGTGGCAGGTCCTCAGACATCAGGACCATCTGCTGAAACCAACGGGGCTGCCCAGGGGCAGAAGGAAGCTAAGCTGGGGCTTCTCCGGCAGTGAATTCTCTTTACACCGGAAAACACTGCATGCAAAAAAACAGAAAAACACTGCTTGGGCTTTGTTTTTAAAATAATCGAATTATGTGTACTCAATTTAACACAAAGCTTGTTCTAAAGTTGACTTTGTTCATTCCATTTTCCCATCTGCTGCTTTAGAAGTTGGTGATGGATAAACAACCAATACAGAAAATTTCTGCATCTAGGCGTGTGCATGGAGCTGTGGGTGAGGCCAGTGTCCACAACAGAGACAGTGAGTGCCAGCCGTCTCTACCTTGTTCCTTGCCATTTAGTGACACACCCTGCAAGTCCCAAACCCCAGTGGGCTCCAGAGAGGATGCTCACTGGGAATCAGCACAAACAAGGGAGACTCCGTCCTCCTCTTCCTCTTGTCCTCAGGAATTGTCTGCTTTTGTCCTTCTCCTCAGGGGACCCCATTTCCTATGAGGCAGCATGTAGGGTTTTGGACCTGGCTGGGCTGTGGGGGGTGGGGAGTGTGGAGGAGCTGGGGTGGAGAGGACCCATCTTCTGACATGGGAGCGCCTCCCTGTTCCATGTCATTGTTTGTGTGGCTGAGCCAGCATGAAACTCCCAACCAAAACCACAGCTTTGAAAACACGTGCAGAGGTCACCTAAGCTGCCTCCCGCCTTTCCTGGAGGACAGTTTGGGTCCACGAGCGGTGCTGGACCTCCTTGCTATAGAACCTAAGGCTGGTTCGGTGCTTTTATTGCCTATCTACCTGCCATGTCCTCAATCCCTAAAACAGGGCCCGTCCGCTGAGCCTCCAGCCCCTTGCCATCCTGTGGAGAGGGCTGCCCAACCCAGGGTGGGAATCCCTTGCCTGGCCACGGTGAGGAGTCTGCTGCCCAAGGCCCTGTTATGACCCCACAAGTATGACCCCAGCTCCCAGACGGGCAATCTGACAGCAGCAGGGGTCATCTAAAGCAGCGCCAGACAACAAAACACAGCTAGGCACGGTGGCTCACACCTGTAATCCCACACTTTGGGAGGCCAAGGTGGGAAGATCGCTTAAAGCAGGGAGTTTGAGACCAGCCTGGGCAACACAGGCAGACCCTGTCACTGCAAAAAGAATTTTTTTTTTTTGAGACAGAGTTTCGCTCTTGTTGCCCAGGCTGGAGTGCAATGGTGTGATCTCGGCTCGCTGCAACCTCCGCCTCGCAGGTTCAAGCAATTCTCCTTCCTCAGCATCCTGAGTAGCTGAGATTACAGGCGCCCGCCACCATGCCTGGCTAATTTTTGTATTTTTAGTAGAGATGGGGTTTCTCCATGTTGGTCAGGCTGGTTAGAACTCCCGACCTCAGGTGATCCGCGCACCTCGGCCTCCCAAAGTGCTGGGATTACAGGCATGAGTCACCGCTCCCAGCCCTACAAAAATAATTTTTTAATTAACTGGGCATGGTGGCACACGCCTGCAGTGCTAGCTACTCAGGAGGCTGAGGCAGAAGAATCACTTGAGCCCAGGAGTTCAAGGCTGCAGTGGGCTGTGATCACAGCACTGCACTCCAGCCTGGGCAACAGAGCAAGACCCTGTCTCCATAAAAAAAAAAAAAAAACTCTTCCCCCCCACCCACCCAACCCCAGCAAATGGCCAAATCCAAGCCTAGTGGGAAATCAGCAGAAGCAATAAGAAAAAGCAGTGAAAGCCTCCTTGACTCCATGAAGAATCCACCTTCCCCGCTTCCTCCTCCAGCCACAGGATTAGACAGCGGGTTCCCTTGGCCAGCCCCACCGGCTTCACTACTTAAACTTCCTCACCCTTGAAAACACCCAAGTTATGAAGGGAAGGAAAAGCCCATTGGAAGGTAGCTGGGTGTTTGGGAAGGGCTCTTCTTGATAACAACCAGCATCATTTCTTTTTTTTTTTGAGACGGAGTCTAGCTCTGTTGCCCAGGCTGGAGTGCAGCGGCGCCATCTCGGCTCACTGCTCACTGCAACCTCCACCTCCTGGGTTCAAGCGTTCTCCCGTCTCAGCCTCCCGAGTAGCTGGGATTACAAGCATGAGCACCATCATGCCTGGCTAATGCTTGTGTTTTTATAGATACTGGGTTTCACCATGTTGGCCAGGCTGGTCTCGAACTCCTGACCTCAGGTGATCTGCCCACCTCGGCCTCCCAAAGTGCTGCGATTACAGGTGTGAGCCTTCGCGCCCATCCAGCCAGCATCGTTCCTAAAATAGGTAAAGAAATCAGACTGCACAGTCCAGGCCTGCAGCTTCCTCCAGTAAACTCCCCAAGACAATGGGCACAACCTCAGGACAGCCTTCTGGGGGAGGCCACAGATGCCCTCTGTCTCCTGGTAGCCTTAGGTTCAGCTGAAGGGATGGGGGTCCTCAGAGAACCTCTCTGTTAGTGGGGCCCAAAGAGGGAACCGAGGCAGCTCAGTCCATGACAGCAGGACCCAACGCAGATCCCAGGGCCCGGACTTCAGCCCCAGGCAGGGACCCACTCCTGAGCAGCCATAGAGGTCTCCTGGCATTGAGTGCGGCTGAGAGGGCGTGTGGCCAGTGGTTCTGGACAAGAACCTGCAGGGCCCAGGGTTTCCCTGGAGGCTCCAAAATGCCTGGAAATATGCATACGCCCTTCCAGAGGAGGACTACTTGCTTTTAGTACAGTGGAGCCCAGGCACTCACTCCAATGGAGGTTGAGAACTCCGACTGTACTGATCAGCTCAGGCTGCCATAGACTGGGTGGCTGAAACAGCAGGAATTCATTGCCCGTGAGTCTAAAAGTTAGGAAGTCCAATATCTAGGTGCTGGCCCATTTGGTTCCTCAGTGCAGGCCACCTTCTTACTGCGTCCTCATGTGGTAGAGAGAGCGAGCTCTGGTCTCTCTTCTTCTTCTTCTAAAGGCACTAATCCCATCATGGAGGCCCCATCCTCATGACCTCATCTTAACCGACTCACCTCCCAGAGGCCCCACCTCACACTGGGGGTTAGGGCTTCAACAAATGAATTGTGTGGGCACAAAAACATTAGGCCCATAGCACCAACTTTAGGTCAACATCCTTGATCTGCCACTCACCTGCGGGGGGGCCTCAGCAAAGGCTTTCTCTACCCTGAGCCTCAGTTTCCCCATCTGTAAAAGAGGCTGGTAATACCTGACTCAGAAAGGAATTAACAAGATAAAAACTAACGAACAGAAAGCAAGGAGGACAGAGTCCAGCACCTGAGCAGGCCCCCAAAATTAAAGGCTGGTGGGGAGCACTTTGAGATAACAAACATGAACTTGATTCATGTGGGAAGGCTGCTGGGTTCCTGGCAATACAGGTTAAGATGAGGCAAGGCTGCTGCCTGTCCAAAGAGGCCGCTGTGAGCCCCAACCAGCTCAGCACGGAGTAACACAAAAGAATGAAAGCTGTCTCTGAGTCGGCCTTCCCAACAGGACACTGAGCTCCCAGGGACAGGTCTGTGCCTTGCTCTATGGACCTTAGTTTTCTGAACAAATGATTCTCATTGGTCAGATGACAGTGAGGCACGTCATGCCAAGGCTACTCAGGGCACCCTGGCCAGGAGGAAAAGGGAGTGGGCAGGGCATGTAGTGGGTAAGTGTGGTTTTAGTCCACCCAGGGTCCCTCCCACTGCTGAAGAATAGTCCTACCCCACTTACAATGCCAGGCTGCTGATCAGGGCCCTGCTACCCACACAGGACTCAGATCTCACGAAGCACAGAACGTGAACCCCTGTCCATGACGATCAATTTCAGATGTGTACACAAAACCCAAGCCCCGATGAGAATCATGCCTTGATGATGTTTGACATACAGCTGCTGGGAGAGGTGGTCTTTCTTGCTGAGGGATAGCTAACTTTAAGGACACACAGCCACTGGCCATCTTTATCGTCATGGGGAGAAGGATGAGCGGTAGTAGGAGAGAGAGGCCAACACTCAGAAAGCAGCAGAGCCAAGAGCTGTAGGAAGCAGGAGGCAGGAAACAGAGAAGGACAAACACCAGATGGTAGGACTTGAGCCCCACCCAGGACTCAACTTCCCAAGCACATGTGCCAACAAATGCCCTGGAGGTTTTTGTTTATTTGTTTTGCTTAAGCTAGTTGGAGTTGAGCTTCTGTCACCTGTAATGGAAAGAGATCTGCCTAATGACAGTCACCTTGCTGGAACTGAGCAGAACCAGGCTGCAAAATTACACAGAAACAAGTTGCAAATGTCAATGGAGAGCATTCAAGGTGGCATGCAAGCACGTGGCTCATTTTGATAACAAATATAGACTCTCTTGAGGAGCATCACATTTGAGAAAAGTCATGCTGAGAACCTCTCTCCAATCTGCCTCCTGCCTGCCATCTGTCTTCTCTTGCAGAATGTGTGTCAGGGAAAAGGAAAAGACCCACAATTAGTTATCAACAAGGTTTTATTTTTTTATTTTGTTTTATTATTATTATTATTATTTTGAGACGGAGTCTTGCTCTGTCACCCAGGCTGGAGTGCAGTGGCACGATCTCAGCTCACTGCAAGCTCTCCCTCCTGGGTTCATGCCATTCTCCTCCCTCAGTCTCCTGAGTAGCTGGGACTATACAGGCGCCCGCCACCACGCCCGGCTAATTTTTTTGTATTTTTTAAGTAGAGATGGGGTTTCACCATGTTAGCCAGTACGGTCTCGATCTTCTGACATCGTGATCAGCCCATCTCAGCTTCCCAAAGTGCTGGGATTACAGGCATGAGCCACTGCGCCTGGCCTCAACTAGGTTTTAATACTTGGAGGAGAGGGGAAGAGAAGAGAGGAGAGAAAAAGCTGAGAACATGATTGAAAAGAGACTTAACTTCTTCCTTGTCCAAGGACACTGAGACATTTAACTCAGAAAAGCCAAAGAATCATCCATCCCTGTTTGCCAAGCTGATGGGCCTGTATAACTGTATTCTGGAAGATGCCAAGAGATGTTTTACACATGCACACACACACAAGTGAGATTCCATGCTTAAATATTAACCAAAGTCTGTTAATACAATGAAAAAAAAATTTTTTTTCCACTGCAGGACTTCTCAGAGCCTTTGATATAAGAATGTACATTGTGGACTGGGCATGGTGGCTCACACCTGTAATCCCAGCACTTTGGGAGGCTAAGGCAGGCAGATCACTTGAAGTCAGGAGTTCGAGACCAGCCTGGCCAACATGGTGAAACCCCATCTCTACTAAAAATACAAAAACTAGCTGGGTGTGGTGTGCGCGCCTGTAATCCCAGCTACTGGGGAGGCTGAGGCAGGAGAATGGCTTGAACTCAGAAGACGGAGGTTGCAGTGAGCTGAGATCGCGCCACTGCACTCCAGCCTGGATGGCAGAGCAAGACTCCGTCTCAAAAAAAAAATGTACATTGTGAATCTCCAAGAGATATAGTAAGAAATATTTCCCAACAACTTTGACCATAGAACCCTTTTCCTCAGCTGTATCTATTAATATCTCCTGCAATGGGGTGCCATGGAATAATTTTTAGATGCATGTGTAATCAAAATTCCTTATTTACAGATGGAGAAAGCAATGCTCAGAAAATTACAGTTACTTGCTAAAGATCACAAAGCCAGCAAGTCAGTGGCATAGCTTGAGTAGGAACCCTGGTTCCTTGACTCCCTGTCCAATGCTACTCGAAGCTCCATCCCATTATAATGATTCCAAAATAATCTTAATCAGGCATCTCTTGGTCATTTCCTGAAGCCAAGGCAAAATAATATTAAAACCAAAGTTAGGCCAGGCACGGTGGCTCACGCCCAAATCCCAGCACTTTGGGAGGCTGAGGTGGGCGGATCATGAAGTCAGGAGTTCGAGATCAGCCTGGCCAACATGGTGAAACCCCATCTCTACTAAAAATATTTTTAAAAAATTAGCTGGGTGTGGTGGCGCACACCTGTAGTCCCAGCTACTCGGGGGGCTGAGGCAGGAGAATTGCTTGAATCTGGGAGGCGGAGGTTGTGCTGAGCCGAGATCACGCCACTGCACTCCAGCCTGGGCAACAGAGGGAGACTCCATCTCAAAAAAAAAAAAAAAAAAAAAAAAAAACCCAAAGTTAAAAACATTCATATATAATCTTCAGGCTGCACAGAACCCTATTTGGCTCTGACTTCAGAAACTCACACTTAGGCTGCTGTCAGGGGCACCACTTGTGCTTCTGAATTCTAAGAGAGTACTTCAGACCTATTTCCTGGTGGGCTGATTGGCTGCCAAGTGTCTCCATGTGTGAGGAAGAAAATCAGTAACTCACACACGTACATCTGACAACACAAAATAGGTACAGTATAAATGTACAGAATGAAAGTGAGTTTCCAAAAATAAAAATGTAAATGTATTAAAGCTTCAGGAAAAGAATCGTATCAACATCTCATTAGGTCAATTTTGACTTCATTGCCTCAAATACTGATATTTCCCATTTTTAAAGCAGACGGTCCTCTCCCTCTCCCTCTCCCTCTCCCTCTCCCCATGGTCTCCCTCTCCCTCTCTTTCCACAGTCTCCCTCTCATGCCGAGCCGAAGCTGGACTATACTGCTGCCATCTCGGCTCACTGCAACCTCCCTGCCTGATTCTCCGGCCTCAGCCTGCGGAGTGCCTGCAATTGCAGGCGCGCGCCGCCACGCCTGACTGGTTTTTGTATTTTTTTGGTGGAGACGGGGTTTCGCTGTGTTGGCCGGGCTGGTCTCCAGCTCCTAACCGCGAGTGATCCGCCAGCCTCGGCCTCCCGAGGTGCCGGGATTGCAGACAGAGTCTGGTTCACTCAGTGCTCAATGGCGCCCAGGCTGGAGTGCAGTGGCGTGATCTCGGCTCGCTACAACCTCCACCTCCCAGCCGCCTGCCTTGGCCTCCCAAAGTGCCGAGATTGCAGCCTCTGCCCGGCCGCCACCCCGTCTGGGAAGTGAGGAGCGTCTCTGCCTGGCCGCCCATCGTCTGGGATGTGAGGAGCCCCTCTGCCTGGCTGCCCAGTCTGGAAAGTGAGGAGCGTCTCTGCCCGGCCGCCATCCCATCTAGGAAGTGAGGAGCGCCTCTTCCCGGCCGCCATCCCATCTAGGAAGTGAGGAGCGTCTCTGCCCCGCCGCCCTGTCTGGGATGTGAGGAGCGCCTCTGCCCGGCCGCCACCCCGTCTGGGAGGTGAGGAGTGTCTCTGCCCGGCCGCCCCGTCTGATAAGTGAGGAGACCCTCCGCCCGGCAGCCGCCCCGTTTGAGAAGTGAGGAGCCTCTCCGCCCGGCAGCCGCCCCGTCTGAAAAGTGAGGAACCCCTCCGCCCGGCAGCCACCCAGTCTGGGAAGTGAGGAGCGTCTCCGCCCGGCCAGCCGCCCCGTCCGGGAGGGAGGTGGGGGGGTCAGCCCCCTGCCCGGCCAGCCGCCCCGTCCGGGAGGTGAGGGGTGCCTCTGCCCGGCCGCCCCTACTGGGAAGTGAGGAGCCCCTCTGCCCGGCCACCACCCCGTCTGGGAGGTGTGCCCAACAGCTCATTGAGAACGGGCCATGATGACAATGGCGGTTTTGTGGAATAGAAAGCGGGGAAAGGTGGGGAAAAGATTGAGAAATCGGATGGTTGCCGTGTCTGTGTAGAAAGAAGTAGACATGGGAGACTTTTCATTTTGTTCTGTACTAAGAAAAATTCTTCTGCCTTGGGATCCTGTTGATCTGTGACCTTACCCCCAACCCTGTGCTCTCTGAAACATGTGCTGTGTCCACTCAGAGTTAAATGGATTAAGGGCGGTGCAAGATGTGCTTTGTTAAACAGATGCTTGAAGGCAGCATGCTGGTTAAGAGTCATCACCACTCCCTAATCTCAAGTACCCAGGGACACAAACGCTGCGGAAGGCCGCAGGGTCCTCTGCCTAGGAAAACCAGAGACCTTTGTTCACTTGTTTACCTGCTGACCTTCCCTCCACTATTGTCCTATGACCCTGCCAAATCCCCCTCTGTGAGAAACACCCAAGAATGATCAATAAAAAAAAAAAAAGACCATGTCATCTGTGAATTAAAAAAAAAAAAAAAAAAAGCAGACGGTTAAATATGTTAAAGATTCAGAATCACAAATCAGATATTAATTGGCTTTTTAAAAAACTGACCTTGGCCGGTGCGGCGGCTCACGCCTGTAATCCCAGCACTTTGGGAGGCCGAGGCGGGTGGATCACGAGGTCAGGAGATCGAGACCATCCTGGCTAACACGATGAAACCCCATCTCTACTAAAAATACAAAAAAATTTAGCCGGGCATGATGGTGGGCACCTGTAGTCCCAGCTACTTGGGAGGCTGAGGCAGGAGAATGGCATGAACCCAGGAGACAGAGCTTGCAGTGAACGGAGATCGCTCCACTGCACTCCAGTCTGGGCAACAGAGGGAGACTCCGTCTCAAAAAAAAAAACAACTGATCTCAAGAGAATGTTATACCACATTATTTAGTGGAGAGAAGAGGCCAAGAACATGACAACTTATGTTCATAGAAAAAGCTGTTCGTGAATGCTTATAGTGGCTTTATTCATAATCGCCAAAAACTGGGCCCATGTTCTAGAGCTATGCTGTCCACTATGGTAGCCGCTAGCCATATGCAGCTATGTGAATTTAAATCTTAATTTATTAAAATTAAATGAAATTAAAAACTCAGTTCCTTGGTAGCACAAGCCACACTTCAAGCACTCAATGGCCACACATGGCTAGTAGCTACCATAATATACAGAACATTTCCATCATCACAGAAGGTTCCATTGGACAGCGCTGCTCTGAACTCTCTGACCCACTTCCCTGGTCACAGCTGGTTGGCCCAGGGCAGGCCACTTGACCCAAGGGCAGCCAACAATGACTGGTGTGCCTACCAGATGACTTAAATTGAGGGCTCTGTCCAAGAGAAAAGCAGTGACTAACTCACCAACCAATTTTTCTCTCTTTGGGGTGTCAACATTCAGTTAGCTGGTAGTGGGAACATATGAAGAGAAACACAATGAGCAGAAAGTATGATGCAGAAAAGGAAGCCACCAGTAGACAGAGCCAAGATGAAAGAGGGAGTGTTAGGCCGGGCGCAGTGGCTCACGCCTGTAATCCCAGCACTTTGGGAGGCTGAGGCGGGAGGATCATGAGGTCAGGAGATCGAGACCATCCTGGCTAACACGGTGAAACCCCGTCTCTACTAAAAATACAAAAAATTAGCCAGGCGCGGTGGTGGGCGCCTATAGTCCCAGCTACTCGGGAGGCTGAGGCAGGAGAATGGCGTGAACCTGGGAGACGGAGCTTGCAGTGAGCCGAGATAGCACCACTGCAGTCCGGCCTGGGCGAAAGAGCGAGACTCTGTCTCAAAAAAAAAAAAAAAAAGAAAAAGAAAGAGGGAGTGTCATGGAAAGAGGATGGAAGGAACCGCTATCACCTGGGAAGAGTGCCCTGTCACTGTTGCACCTGGGCCAGACTTCCAAATACCCTTCACCTGAGACTGGCTGCCAAAGCCAGCAAAGCCAGCTCTCCTGAGAAGGGGGCAGGCTGGAGTGCCAGGGAATTGACAAGACTCCCGCAGGAGCCCTCAGTCAATAACTGACAGGGGATGGATTCTAGAAACTAGGCTTCCTGCCTGATGACATACCCTTTACCAGCTACCTTCCTTTTCCTCTCCCCTCTCCACTCCCCTGCTGGAGGTGGGGGGAGTTTCCTGGCATTGACCCCCGGATAAACTACTTACACTCAAATCATTGCACCAGAGTCCACTTCTGGGGAACCTAAACTAAAACAGGCAAGGGAGGCAGAGTCTTTGTTCCTTGCAATTAAAACGCCAAGCCCATATTGCCTCTGATCAATGTGAGAGCCTAGAACATAATGAAAGATAATGAATGCTCATGCATCACTGTTGAGAATGCAAGACGGTACAGCTCTTTGGAAAGCAGCTTGCAGGTTTCTTATAAAATTAAACATACACCTACCATGTGACCCAGCAATCCCACTCCTACATATTTACCCAAGTGAAAAGAAAACTTGTGTTCAGAGAAAAAACTGTTCGTGAATGCTTATAGTGGCTTTATTCATAATCACCAAAAATTGGAAACAACCCAAACATCCTTCAATTGGGGAATAAACAAACCCTGAACTCTTGCTCAGAAATAAAGGGAAACTGATACACATAACAACACAGACAAATCTCAAATACATTATGCTAAGTGAAAGAAATCAGACTCAAAAGGCTACACTCGGTGTGATTCCATGTATATGACATTCTTGTAAAGACAAAAAGCAGACCAGTGGTTGCCAGGGGCTGGGGCTAGGAGTAGGAGGTAACTACAAGGGAGTCTGGGGGAGTTTCAGGGGGTGATGAAAGTACTCCTGATTGTGGTGGTAGTTACATGACACCATGTGTACTAACTACGTGGTGTACACAGTTACAACACGCAGAACTATGCACTTTTAAGAGGCAGATGTTACTGTATATAAATTACATTTTCACTAAATAAATGGGAAAAAAATAAAAGAGAATGAAGGCAACACTCTGAGCAAGGACCCCAAAACATGATCTTAGACTAGCTGTGCCAGAATCCTGTCCTTGTCACAGCCAGGGCATAGCCATAACTGAGGAGCTGCACACAAGTCGGAGGCACCCCATCCACAGCGCCTTTTCACCAGTGGGCTCAGCCACTTTGCCCCAGCACTTTTTTGGGGGTTGTTTTCTTTTGTTTAGACAGAGTCTCGCTCTGTTGCCCAAGCTGGAGTTCAATGGCATGATCTCGGCTCATTGTAGCCTCCACTTCCCAGGCTCAAATGATTCTCCTGCCTCAGCCTCCTGAGTAGCTGGGACTACAGGCATCCGCCACCACACCTGGCTAATTTTTGTATTTTTAGTAGAGACAGGGTTTCACCATGTTGGCCAGGCTGGTCTCAAACTCCTGGCCTGAAGTAATCCACCCACCTCCGCCTTCCAAAGTGGAGGATTATAGGTGTGAGCCACCGTACCCGGCCCCTGCCCCAGCACTTTTGAAATAGACATACTCCCTCCCACCTGCGATGGTGCCACCCTCACTGAGGCGTGCCACCAGGGAGTTATATCAGACAGGGGGGCCTATGGGAGAGAATGTTCTCTTTTCCATTTCAGAATCACTGCTTCCGTGTTTCCAGAAGCCACTTGGAAAACATGTCAAAATACCCAGCCTACAGGTGGAGAACACTGACCAAAGTTTCCATTAGAGAAATTAAAAATAAGAACACTCCCCAAAGAACTCAAGGGACAGCAGGAGGCTGTAACTGAAGTTAAAACGAAGGTAGCATCAGTGGATGAGTGGATTAACAAATTGTGGTACATCCATCCAATGGAATATTATTCAGCCACAAAAAGTAATGAATCACTGATGCAGGCTGCAACATGGATGAACCTTGAAAACACTATGCTACGTGAAATTAACCAGATACAAAAAGCCACATATTGTATTATTTCATTTACGTGAAATGTCCACAATAGATAAATCCAGAGACAACCCAGATTGGCGGTTGCCAGGGACCGTGGTAGGGGCAAGTGGGAAGTGATCGCTATTAGATCCAGGGTTTCTTTTTGGGGTGATGGTGATGAAAGTGTTTTGGAATTAGATAGTGGTGATGGTTGCACAACATTGTGAATGTACAAAGACTATTAAATTTACACTTTAAAGTGGAGAATATTATGGTACGTGAATTATCTCTCAATAAAAAGAGGGGGGATGTTCCAAAGCAAAATATTCATTACCAGAGACACAGTCACGACCTCAGAGATAGAATAAAGAGGCGACGGGTGAGGGGTGGGGTGCAATAGGGGTGAAGGGTGGGGTGCGATAGAGGTGAGGGGTGGGGTGCTGTGGCCCAGGGCCTCCCCTTCCCACTCCATGTACCCAGAGAGCAGCAGGAAATACTGTGTACAGGAGGCAGCAGGGCCTGGTTGTTACTCAGCTGTGTGAGCTCCAACAAGTTTCCTACATTCTCTGAACCCCAAGGAGCCTTTCTGCAAAGAGAAGAGTAGGCCTAGAGGATGGAGGATGAGGGACCAGGGGACAAGAAGTGGCTGGCGACTACCGGAGCCAGGACTCCAGACTCCCACCTGCTGGTTTCACGCCCCCTCCCAAGCTCCCAGGCTGGTGCTGTGAGGTGTGTGGGGGGGTCCGCCCAGAGGGAAAGGCAAATCTGGCCGGGAATGCAGAGTCTCCACAGGAGTCGAGGCCACTGAAGGGCAGCCCTGCAGGCAGCGAGAGGGTGGCTCTGGGAGGCTTTCCTGGGACAGTGTGCAGTGGAGGCTGGGCCAAGACTGGGATCCTCTCCTGACAGAGGACTGTCAATACCAAGTCTCGGTGTCTTCTATTTGCAAAGGGTTTCAAACTGGTTTGCTTGAATAACTATTTTACACAATGGTTGCAATAACTTCACAGTCATATCCAAGTTACTTACTAGGAAATGGAAGTTCAGCAAAGTGAGAGACTATATAGCCCAAGCCAGCTCCTGTGTCATTCCTCCAAGAAGCCTTCCCTGGCTGCCTCAAGTGGTTGTTCCCTGGGCCCAGAGCCCTCCCTGCATCCCAGCTTCTACAACCCGGTCAGCTCTCGAGGGCAAAGCCAGGCCTTGCTCGTCTGTGTACCTACGACTGCTAGCACAATCCATGATAAATGATGGCTCGAAGCAAGAGGGCTAACTCACCACCTTGTCCCTCAAGGAGCCCGTGTCTGGGAGAATGGGCAGAAAACACACCAGGACAGGGGGCAGCAGGCATGGCGGGAACGGCCAGAGGCTCTGGAGTCTGGTGAGGCTGAAGTCCCACCTTTACCCTGACCTTGCGCAGCCACAGAGCTCTCTGAGTCTCAGTGCCTGCTCCATGACTCTGTGATAATGAGCCAGCGGTGTTAGTACAAAGTGAGCATCTGGGGAAGAGTCCACGCCAGTGAAAATCACACAAGAGCCTTTCCAAAACCACCACTCAGTCCAAACAGAAAGAGCCTCTAAGTGCAGAGGGACTCAGAAGGGAGAGGTCATTGGAGTTAGGTGAAGTCGATGTGACAAAGCTTCCTGGAAGGGGTGTCCTGTGTGTCAGCTTCCATCCTGCTGGTGACAAAGGCCCCTGCTATCTTGTGTTCCAAGTGGAAAGAGCCTGGGTCCCTGATACCCCTGAGAATAAGAGATCCACCTCTGGCCATAGCTGCTGTCCCTCCAGAAGCCTGTGCCACACCCCTCCCTGGATCCTATCTCTCCCAGCAGCTCTCTCTCCTCCCATCAGGGAAGTCAAGGCCACCTCCGGGCTTCCAAATGGCTCATCTCCTGGCCTCCTCCCACCTGACGACCTTACCTGCGCATACATACACAGAGCTTCCTGCTCTACTCTGTTTTTCCTTCTTTTTTTTTTTTTTTTTTTGAGACTGAGTCTTGCTCTGTCGCCCAGGCTGGAGTGCAATGGCGCAATCTCGGCTTCCTGGGTTAAAGCAATTCTCCTGCTTAAGCCTCCTGAGTAGCTGGGATTACAGGCACCTGCCAACATGCCCAGCTAACTTTTGCATTTTTAGTAGAGATGGGGTTTCACCACATTGGCCAGGCTGGTCTCGAACTCCTGACCTCAGGTGATCCATCCGTCTCAGCCTCCCAAAGTGCTGAGATTACAGGCGTGAGCCACCGTGCCCGGCCTGTTTTTCCATTTTTTTCTTACAAAATACATCATACATCCCAAGGTCCCTGTTTTGATATGTCTCTGCCTGTGAATCCCACCTCCTCCTGGAGAAATAGTCCAGAGTCATCCACACTCAGATTGCTGGGCTGGGCACCTGACCCAGGCCACAGAGCTGAAATGACATCCTCCGTGCCCCAGCCATCAACTCCCACCCCTTCTCCCTCCCCATACTGGCCAGAAATAAGATAGCCACACCCGCTACAAATCCCATGCACGGTTTCTTGTTCCAAGCTGCCTTTCCCATTAGGCTGTAAGCCCCCTGAGCACAAGGACCAGGTCTGCCTGTTCCCCAGTAAATCCCCAGAGTTGTTGAATGAATAAGAGCAGAGTACAAAAAAAAAAATCTAAAACTTATCACAATACACTGTCTAAAAACTAAAGTAGGGCAGAACAGAACAGACCAAACCCTTCTCTGAGGATCAAGAGACAGGATTTGAGTTCTAGCTGTGCAACCCTGGGAGGGTCATAGGTCCTCTCTGGCCCTCAGTTTCCTCCTCCTTTAAAACAAGCCACTGGGCCAAGATGACCTTTCAGGCCCCCTACAACTCAAGTACTGGATGATTCTGAAAGCATTTTTCAAAGGCGCTTAGAATTACAAGAGTCCCACTTTAGGGGACAGTCACCGGCCCAGCAGGCCTCATGTGTGGCTCATCTTTCCCCGCTGTGGTGTGGTTTGGTTTAAAGGCAAAGTCAGAGGAGACACATCAGCCCTGTTGACTAAAGCGTAATATTTTCCATCAGGTGTCACGGCTTTCTGTACTTTCTCCTTTTCCCCTGGGGAATCTCAAAAAGAGTCCATGTGAACATCTGAAAATAAGTGTGCCTCATGAAAAAGCATGCACGCACACACATGTGTACACACACACACACACACACACACACCCCTGGGGCAAAGAACCACCAGGAACCCAAACACTAAACAACCTCCAGCCCCCCACCCCAGGCAAAGCTCCAGAAGCCGTATCTGGGAGACACTGCATTTTTCTGGAATTGTGTCATCATTCACAACAAAGTTCACTCTCAGGCCTTGCATCCACCCCGGAGCTGGGCTGGGCTGCCCAGAGCCACAGTGAAAAAAGAGCTGGCCACTCACACCATTTTTATGGTGAGCCGTGACCTCCAAACGAGCTGGGTGTGCGCCGGGCTGAAGCCCTGGTTCCAGCCGTGGTGGGGCAGCATCCCGCAAGCATATCACAGCACCCTAAGCTCCAGGGCTTAGACCCAGGCAAGAGGCATGAAAAATAGAGCAGCTACACGGAGGAGCCTAAGCTTCTGATTTAAATATAAAAGGAACGGAGGGCAGGGGTGGTGGGGAGGCTGGCTTGTCCCTCTTCTCCACAGGCCTGGCAGGATCCAGGGGGCTGTGGAGATCACTGAGTTAGGAGAAGACATCAGTGACCTGATGTAATTCCTTTTCTAATGCAATGCTGAACTGGAGATAGTTCACAGATGCTCCAATCTTCCTTGCTTGTCCTTCAAATTTCGGACTCTATCAAGGGCCTCTGTAATCTCAACAGACCCTCAGATGTGAGCTCAAGGGGGCACTGGGTGGTGTAGACACCCTCTGTCAAACCTGTGCTGTCACCACTGAGCCACCAACTCTCCCTCATCAGCAGATTAGTACAGCAGGGTTGAAACCAGCCTTGAGCACTAAGGGGGCGTATCAGGAAAACCAGGGCACTGTCCCCTCTCCAGTGTGGCTAGGGGATCCTCTGTAGTCCACACTGGCCATGACCCTCACCCTTCAGGGTCCATCATTTTCCCTAAGACCACCTGGCCTTTGGAACACTTGGTTTATTGGCCCCAGGGGAGGAGGGTGACTGACCTGATACATCTGGGCAAGTTCCAAAGTTCAAAGTTTCAACCATGGCCTCATCTCTCAATTTGTTCAGGGAAGAAAAATGCTATTTATTGAGGTATCCTCTACGACCCATAAAAATGAGGCAAAAGCCACAGAGTGACCCCAAGCCCTTCACAGACACTTGCCCCCAAATCAGGAACTCAGGACTCAAAGCAAATTTAGGAAGGCCACATTTCCGTCTCTTAACAGCACCATCTTTTTCTACAAATCAGGAGAAAAATAGAAAGGTAGACTGTTCTAGTTGGAAGTCAGCTTTACGAGAAACATGAGGACCAGAAGGAAGACACTATTTGCACAAGATCGTGCTGCTACCCGGGGTAGAACTAAAACCATGCCCAGGTCTCGAGACACCCGGTCCAGTGCCCTTCCCCGCCTCTCCAGCGTAGCCCTCTGCACCCAGCTCAGGGTTCTGGCCCATCCACACGGCCCAGAGAGAGACACTTCTCCCCTACCCCCAGCCCTGGGAAAGGGCTGCACGCTGGCCCCTAGGATCCAGCTGAAAGCCTCTCCTGGCAACTTCACCCTGTCTCTGCCCTTCAGGTTCCAAAAGGAGAAACAAGACAGCTCTCTGCCCGTCGCAGGCCTGGGCTGCCCAGAGGTCACAGCACAGTGATCCATCAACTGTCAACTCCACCAGGACCTGTAGCTGGGGCTGGCAAGCTCACCCCACCCAGATGGTTTCCCTTTGCATGGCTGTCTCCAGGATGGTCCTGCTACTCACACAGCTGCCCCTATCGGCACGAGCACGCCACGCAGGCCAGCAGCAAGAGGGATGGTCAGGGAGAGTGAAGACATATGTCTGACTTAGACTTCAGTCACCTGAGCCAGAATTGTACTTGGCACATCTGTCCAGATGCAGCAATATCTCAAGGCAGGGAGGGTGGGATGAAAAGAAGAAAATCAAGTTCTAATCCTTAGTGGAAGGGCTGAGGATTGGATATGCACAGGGCGGAGAAGCAGCTTGCAAATTCTAGACCACCAAAATCGAGGCGAGTGGTTCTCAACCAGGAGCAATTTTACCCCCAAGAGGACATTTGACAAAGTCTGGAGACATTTTTGGTTGTCATAACTATGAAGCTAAAGGCCACAGATGCTGTTAAACATCATCCAACGCACAGGCCGGCCCCCATGACAAAGAATTATCCAGCCCCAGATGGCAACGGTGTCAAGGTTGACAAACCCTGCTTTAGGTGTGTAGATGCTAGAAGGTTTTTTGTTTTATTTTCTTTCCCCCAGACATCTTTCATCATCGCTTTAGAAGACAGCAAGAAAATAACGTGGGAGTATGACAATTACAACTCCAGATAAATGTTCGCAGCCTGTCAGAATGGAAGCCTGGGCTTCTTCCTCTGTTCCAGTGACTCAGTAACTGAAGCTGCGGAGAGGAAGGCCAAGGCTTCGGGAGACAGCTCCGAGTAAAGACAGGCTTAAGACAAAGTTCTGAGTATGTTCTTGAAAAGCTCAGGCATCACAGAAAGGCATTGGTGATGCCATAAACATCCAGCTTGTGCTGCCTTTGAAATCTGATTGAACAAGAAATACTCTTACAGAGCCTTTTGGTTATAGTCTGCTTTTTGTTTTAACATGGTTTTAATCAGGAAATCATGGCTCTTTGTTCCTTCAGGAAATTCTGTCAAATGGTTCACATTCCTTGTAAAGAACTACTGTCTATGCAAATTAAGATTCAGAGTTTTAAATTCAAACAGTTTGGGAGCAAGCAGCGTTTTGTTGTTGTTTCTTAATGTCAACGTGAGAAAAAAAAAAAGTGAGGGGAGGAAAGAATGCAAATGTTCGTCATTGAAAACACACACAAAACCAGAAACATTTTCCCCTCATGCACAAGGTCAGGAGTCTCTGGGTGAATGAAGCTGCTTCATGTTTTGCAGACGCGCTGATGGAACATGGGAAATACTGTTGCAAAGGCCCTCGATAGGAGAGCGTGGAGATGCCTAGAAATAGACATATCACCCAACAACGGGTTATCTATGAGAACTGCATTGTTCTCAGTGTGACTGGGCAGCACAGGCTATGGCATCGGGATATGAAAAATATAGTAACATACTCTATTACACATCCTCTTTACTCAGAGCAAGAGGAGATAAACACAGGTCATGACTAAGCCACTTTCTCCAACGTTCACTTCCAATTTTGTGTGTAGCTCTGATCCAGTCATCAAGGTGCTGACTTAAGGAAAAAGTGTGGATGGAATATGTGGTGTAGGGCCAGGCACAGTGGCTCATGCCTGTAATCCCAGCACTTTGGGAGGCCGAGGCAGTAGGATCATTTGAGTCCAGGAGTTCAAGACCTGGGCAACAAAGTGAGACCTTGACTGTACAAAAAAAAAAAAAAAATTTAAATGAGGCTGTAGGATGCCTGGAGCCTGGGAGATCAAGGTTGTAATAGGTTGTGATGACGCCACTGCACTCCAGCCTGGGTGACAGAGCGAGACCCTGCCTCAAATAAAAGAAAAAGAAAAAGTTAAAGAAAATGACTATCTCTGACGTTGCCTTATCCTTCCTGGAATTAGGGAGAATGGCAAAGAAAGTTGTATGAAGGCCCCCACAACTGAGTTCAAACCCTACATCCACAAGTAGCTTCAGGACCTGGAGCAGGTGATTTAATTTCTCTGAGCCCCTCAGTTTCTTCATCTGTAAAATGAAAATTTACAGGTCAAAGGCTTAACACAGAAGAGACTCTCACTCAACAAACAATGAGCATGTTCTGACTGAAGGCTTTCCAGGGAGATTCACCCCACAGGTCTGGGCACAGCACTCCTAGACTCTGAAGAGCCTCTGTGGAGGTCAGAGGCTCTTTGAGGATTCAGTGTTCTTTTCTAAGCCCTAGTCCCTATCCAGAGTTGCCAAGAATGCGGGAAAGCAGAGACTCCACTGTTGGGAGCATGACTTAGTGGGGCCATTCTGGAAGGCAATTTGTTAAGACCCTTCATCTTTAAGCCCACTGCCAGGTATCTGTGACATCCTTGCACACGTGCACAAAGAGTTATGCACTTACAATAACAATGACACAGTAATAGTAAACTTTTTTGAGCATTTAAAAAGTTCAAAGTCAGCTGGACGCAGTGGCTCACGCCTATAATCCCAGCATTTTGGGAGGCCGAGGTAGGCAGATCACCTGAGGTCAGGAGTTCAAGACCAGCCTGGCCAACATGATGAAACCCCATCTCTACTAAAAATATTTAAAAAATTAGATGGGCATGGTGGAGCGCACCTGTAGTCCCAGCTACTTAGGAGGCTGAGACAAGAGAATTGCTTGAACCTGGGAGATGGAGATTGCAGTGAGCCGAGATCGCGCCATTGCACTCCAGCCTGGGCAACAGAGTGAGACTCCATCTCAAATAAGTAAAATAAAATAAAATAAAATGTTTAAAGTGTTTACACACAATTCATACATATTTGATACATGATATACCTGGTGTGTCACATAATATTTATTTGATATATGTACTAAGTAACTTAGATAAGCCTACAAAGTAGGTATTCTACATATGATATTTATTTGATATATATATTAAGTCACTTCACCCTACAAGGTAGGTATTATTAGTATCTCCTTTTTGTTTTTCGTTTTTTGTTTTTTGAGACGAAGTTTCGCTCTTGTTGCCCAGGCTGGAGCACAATGGCACGATCTCGGCTCACTGCAACCTCCGCTTCCTGGGTTCAAGTTATTCTCCTGTCTCAGCCTCCTGAGTAGCTGGGATTACAGGCACCCGCCACCATGCCCGGCTAATTTTTTTGTATATTTAGTAAAGACGGGGTTTCACCATGTTGACCAGGCTGGTCTTGAACTTCTGACCTCAGGTGATCCACCCACCTCAGCCTCCCAAAATGCTGGGATTACAGGCATGAGCCACCGCGCCCAGCTAGTATCTCCATTTTAAAGAAAAGAAAGTTGAGACATGGAGAGATTAGTAACTTGCCCTAGGTCAGAGGTCGGCAAATGTTTTCTGTAAAAGGCCAGATGGTAAATATTCTAGGTGGGCCATATGGTCTCTGTCACAACTACTCAATTCTGTGGCATGAAAAAAGCCCTAGATAATAGATCCACAAATGAGCATGCTGTTCAACAAAACAAGTTAATGGACACTGAATTTTGAATTTCACACCGTTTTCATATATTAGGAAATACTTACCTTTTTTTTTTAACCATTTAAAAATGAAAAAATCAGTCTTGCCTCACAGGCCCTACAGAAACACAGCGGGGTGGATTTGCCATGGAGGCTATAGCTTGCCACCCCCTGCCCTAGGTCACTCATCTAGTCTAAGTCCTGTTTCAAAGCCAGGCAGTCTAAGCTCCACAAGGCACATTCATAATCTCATGCTATCATTGCTTCATTTAGTATCAAAAAGAAAGGGTGAGGAAATGGCTCAATAAATTAGGAACAGAATTCATATTATGGAACGCCCTGCAGGATTAAAAAAATGTCATCTGCACATGGGCCAGTGTGAAGGAACTCTGGATGTGTAAGTGAAAAAAGCAAGCTGTACATCAACACACACATCATGACCCTCTTTTTATGGATCAAAAATAACGACAACAGCCAGCGATAGTGGCTCACTTCTATAATCCTAGCACTTTGGGAGGCAGAGGCAGGAGGATTGCTTGAGCCCAGGAGTTTGAGACCAGCCTGGGCAACATGGCAAGACCCTTTCTCCACACAAAAATTTAAAAATTGGCTGGGTGTGGTGGTACATGCCTATAGTCCCAGCTCCTTCAGAGGCCAAGGTGGGAGGATTGCTAGAGTCCAGGAGGTTGAGGCTGCAGTGAGCTATGATCACACCAGTGCACTCCAGCCTGAGACCCTGTCTCAAAAGAAATTAAAATAAAAATAAAGCTAATTACGTATTTGTGTGCATATGGATATAAACACTTGTTCACTCACATATAAACAGTCAGCATTTAGAAAGATGTCTGGAAAGATTATCACCAAATGTCAGCAGCCAGGCAGGGTGGGGGGGACTTTCATGATTGTCTGTATATATATGTGCCCCTATAATTTGAAACTTTTACATCCCAAATGCATCCTTCTATTATGTGTATCATAAAAGAAAATGATTGAGGTACTAGTTACAAGTCACCACTTGCCAACACACTTTGAGCTCTCTGAGCAGTTTCCATGTGGCCCCCTCTAAACAAAAGCTGGTTACAATTAATTATGGCAGGACAAAGACATTTTTTCCAGAGGGCAAAACAAACAAACAAACAAAGGTGGCATAAACTATAGTAAATAAACATAGCTGTGTCTCTTTGACCATCACCAGTGATTTTGTTTTAATTGCTATTAAACATGTGCATGACCTAACCTTCTCCAGACACTATTAACCTCCAACCCCAGGATGTCGGTTGTAAACAAAGCCTTCAAGGGTTTCATCTGGTGTGTGATAGTCCAGGCATAGCTTTCCTGACTACATAAACTTTAATTTATAAAGTTATTTTGGTTTGCTCCACTGGCATGAACATAGCTGAAGGGGGAGTCATCGACTGTGGAAATGAGATTTCCCTCAGTGCCAATTTTAAATCCAGCCTCCAGGTCATCGTATTTTTCTGGATGCTTCTCACAGTCACATTTTTTGTTTGTTTGTTTTACATGAAAGAGCACATTCCCTTTCCCCAAGTCAGGTTTACCATTTTCCATTGCTCTTATTAAACGTATCTTATTCTAATGGAATGTTCTCAGAGTTTCCGCCCTCCGCTGGCCTGGGTAAGAGAGGTCTGGAGTTGGACGCCCTAGGACGGACAGTCACTCAGATGCCGAGCTCCAGGCCATTGCCAAGCACCACCTCATCACAACTGCAGAAAGCAACGGGGTACAAAATCCCATCCTCGGGCCAGGGCACGGATCTGACCCCGGCATCCCAGATTCCTTCTCAGATCTGGATAGAACCCAAGAGGCTCTCAGCGAGGCCCTCTGTGCCAGTTAAAACAGCAGCTGGCTGAGGCAGTGTCTGAAGGTGCGGAAATGCAAATCCACGAGGAGACCAGCCCTTCTCAGGTGACATTCCCATCAGAGCTGTGAGGGCCTTCTGTTGACCAAACAGTGAAGGTTTTCAACCCCAAGCAACACCTGCTTTGGAAGGTGCAGGAGGGAGCTTTAAACCTCAACTAGGTATGCCATGCTAATCCCAAATTCGTGACATAATTGTACGCTCTGCCACACAATTCTAGCCGATGTCTGAACTGGGCCATCTCATTGTGGCCTCCAGACACCACTTCTTGAATGTGGCCATGACCAACATCCTTGGCAGATTAACTGGTGATAGGACATTACTTAACCCTTAACCCAAGGCAATCTTAATTCCTCTTTTGTGATGGGATCAATTTTATGTTTTCCAAATGCTTCCCATTACATCAGGAACAAAAAATAAACTATTATAAAATTTACATGATTTGGTATACACATACAGTCAGCCCTCCCTATCCACAGGTTCCACATCCATGGATTCAACCACCCTCCAACTGAAAACTCTTGAGGGGGAAAAAAAAAGCCGTCTGTACTGAACACATATAGACTTTTTTCTTGTCATTATTCCCTGAACAACACAGTATAACAACTATTACACAGCATTTACATTGTATGAGGTATTATAAGTAATCCAGAGATTAGAGTTTGGATGATGATGTGCATAAGTTATATGTGAATACTATGTCACTTTATATCAGGGACTTGAGCATCCATGGATTTAGTATATAAGGGGGGACCTGGAACCAATGACCAAAGGATACTAAGGGATAACTGTATATTTTTATTGTGATTTTAAAAAACACAACATGAGATCTGTTCTCTTAACAAATTTATCTTTTTTTCTTTTTTTTTTTTTTTTTTTTTTTTTTGAGATGGAGTCTCGCTCTGTCACCCAGGCTGGAGGGCAGTAGCATGATCTCGGCTCACTGCAGGCTCTGCCTCCCGGGTTCACGCCATTCTCCTGCCTCAGCCTCCCGAGTAGCTGGGACTACAGGCACCCGCCACCATGCCCAGCTAACTTTTTTGTATTTTTTTAGTAGAGACGGGGTTTCATCATGTTAGCCAGGATGGTCTCAATCTCCTGACCTCGTGATCCGCCCGCCTCGGCCTCCCAAAGTGCTGGGATTACAGGCGTGAGCCACCGCGCCCGGCCTTAACAAATTTTTAAGTGCACAGTATGATTAACTATAAGCACAATGTTATACAGCAGACCTCTCAAACTTTCTCATCTTGTATATCAGAAACTTTATACCCACTGAGCAACAATTCTCCATTTCCCTCTCCCCTGGCAACCACCATTCTCTTATGAGTTTGACTACTATAAATTTCTCATATGAATGGAATTGTGCATTATTTGTTCTTCTGTGACTAGCTTATTTTACTTACGATAATGTCCTACAAGTTCATACATGTTGTGGCTATGGCAGGATTTCCTTTTTAATAAGGCTGGATAGTATTCCATTGCACGAACACGCCACAGTTTTTTCATTTCATTCATTTACCTATAGACTTTGAGGTTGTTTCCACCTCTCGGCTATTATGAATAATGCTGCAATGAACAAGGGAGTGCAAATATCTCTTTGAGATCCCGATTTGAATTCTTTTTTTTTTTAAGAAAGAGTCTTGCTCTGTCGCCAGGCTGCAGTGCAGTAGTGCGATCTTGGCTCACTGCAACCTCCGCCTACTGGGTTCAAGAGATTCTTCTGCCTCAGTCTCCAGAGTACCTGGGACTACAGGCACACGCAACCACGCCCAGCTAATTTTTTTGTATTTTTAGTAGAGACGGGATTTCACCATGTTGGCCAGGATGGTCTTGATCTTCTGACCTCGTGATCCACCCACCTCGGCCTCCCAAAGTGCTGGGATTACAGGTGCGAGCCACCGCGCCCAGCCTTGAATTCTTTTGGATAAAAACCCAGAAGTGAGATTGCTGGACCATGTGGTAATCCTACTTTTAATTTTTTGAGGAACCTCCATACTATTTTCCATAGTAGCTGACTATGCTATTTTATATCCCCACCAACAGTGCACAACTGTTCCCATTTCTCCACATCTTCATCAACAAGTTATTTTTTGTTTTTATTATAATATCTGTCCTAACAGGTATGAGGTGACAGCTCATTGTGGTTTTTTGGGTTTTTGTTTTGTTTTGTTGAGACAGGGTCTCAACTCTGTTGCTCAGGCTGGAGTGCAGTATTGCAATCACAGCTCACTGCAGCTTCGACCTCCTGGGTCCAAATGATCCTCCCACCTCAGCCTCCTGTGTAGCTAGGACTATAGGCCCAAGCCACCATGCCCGGCTAATTTTTTGTTTTTTCTGTAGAGATGGGGGTCTCACTTTGTTGCCCAGGCAACACATTGAGGTTTTGATTTGCATTTTTCTAATGACTAGTGATATTGAGCATCTTTTCATATACTTATAGTCATTTGTATACCTTCTTTGGAGAAATGTCTGTTCAATTCCTTTGCTCATTTTTTAATCAGGTTTTTTGTTGCTGTTGTTGTTGTTATTGAATAGTAGGAGTTCCTTATATATTTTGCATCTTAACTCCTTATCAGACACATGATTTAAAAATATACAATTTACTTTAGAGCAGTGTCTTATGGTCTATTAGAATATAAATTTTTCAGTCATGTTTATATCAAGGGGATGGCAAGATAAGGCCTGTGGGCCAAATCTGGCCCAACACCTGTTCTTGTAAATAAAGTTTTATTGGCACACTGTCATGCCCATTTCTTTAGGTATAGCCTGTGGCTGCTTTCAAACTACAATGGCAGAGCTGAGTGCCTGCAACAGAAGCCATATGGCTCATAAGCCTTAACTACTTATCATCTGCCCTTTATAGAGACAGTGTACTAAACCCTGGTAGCTACTATATGATCAAGCTGAAGAGCATGTCTACTTTGTCCCCAATCATAACGTGACAGAAAGGACACCTCTGGGTCAGATTATGCTCTTTTATAAACTATGATTTTTGTCATTGAAAACAACTATAAAATCTAGGCTCCTACCACTCAGGCAGAGAAGTGACTGATGAACCACTAGGTCCTATCAGGGGTGCCTCGTGCTCACACAGTTGTGGTTTTCACTGTGTGGCACTCCTTCATCCCCTTCTTCAGTAAGTCATTCCACATGACCCCCACCATCCTTCCCAAGAGAGTCCTTTCCGTGACTTTCCTGCTGGTTTTCAGAAAAGAAGCTCTATTTGCCTTGGGGTTGTTAAGCAAGCTGTTCTTTGACCCCCTGACCCAGCCAAGAATTAAGCAGAGGAAAGACAAGCAAGCTGAGAGATAGGGACAGAAAGAAAAAAAAAAAAAAAAAGAAAAACTGGGAACATTGTTTGAATCCTTGGATCCAGAAATCCAGGAATACTCCCAGACATATGAATCCATAAATTCTCTTTTTTGTATACACTAATTATATTTGAGTTGCTATCAGTTGCTGTCAAAGGGTTTCTAAGCACTATAGTTGGGATTTTGTAATGTTCTACTTCTTGCATTTATGAGTTTATATATTATTTTTCATGATTCTATATTATTTTAATAGGTACATAACCCATCAGATGGGACAAACTCGACCTGGCCACCTAACATGCCGACACAGAGCACACCTCCCTGGGTGCCACAATCCTGCTGTATCAGTCCATTTTCTGAGATGGAGTCTTGCTCTTTCACCCAGGTGGGAATGCAGTGGTGTGATCTCAGCTCACTGCAACTTCCACCTCCCAGGTTCAAGCAATTCTCCTGTCTCAGCCTCCTGAGTAGTTGGGATTACAGGCACACCTCCATGTCCAGCTAATTTTTGTATTTTTAGTAGAGACAGGGTTTCATCATGGTGGCCAGGCTGGTCTTGAACTCCTGACCTTAGGTGATCCGCCTACCTCACCCTCCCAAAGTGCTGGGATTATAGGCGTGAGCCACTGCGCCTGGCCTATTAGTCTGTTTTCACATTGCTATAAGAACTGCCCGAGACTGGGTAATTTATAAAGGAAGGGGGTTTAATTGACTCACAGTTCAGCATGGCTGGGGGCGGGGGGAGCTCAGGAAACTTACAATCATGGCGGAAGGCAAAGGGGAAGCAAGACACCTTCTTCACAAGGTGGCAGGAAGGAGAAGTGCCAAGCCAAGGGGAAAGAGCCCCTCATAAAACCATCAGATCTCATGAGAACTCACTCACTATCACAAGATAGTTCACAAGAACAGCAAGGTGGAAACCATCCCCATGATTCAATTTCCTCCAACTTGTCCCTCCCTTGATACGTGGAGATTATGGGGGTTACAATTCAAGATGAGATTTGGGTGGGGACACAAAGCCCTAACCATATCACCTGCTTTGGTGTATCTCGTGTGCAGCAGACACACTGGGCACCATGATGCCAGGGCAGCTCTTGGATGCAGGAGAGCACTGTCAGCCAGTCAGGTACCCAGCTCACTGACAAGCTCAGGTGTGGCCAGGCAGGCACCAGTGCTCGGCAAGACTGCCTTCCTGACGTCAATGCAGCACAGCTTGTGGGCTTTCAGCTATGAAAAACCTACATCATTCCTGCCCCCGCTCCGATTCCATCCCTCAGAGCTGAGACTAAGCTAGATCGGGCTCCCCACCTGGCAGTAAAACTTTTCCACTCAGCATTCAATCTCTGGTCACTCAGTCGTTATTCTTCTTTAATAGGGTGTAAGTTATTAATAAAGGGGACCAAAATATGCCACCCGAAAATATACCACTTTGGCATAAGAATTGTTTTCAGCTGAAGGCAATTAGCTCTCTGCCCTTCTTCTGCCTAAAAGCAGGGCATAAATTTCTACTTGTAAAGATGTCTCCCTCCTCCCCCACAGCAGGAAGAAAAGCAGACAACTCTTAGCACCTGAGACAACTCTTACCTACTAAACAACCCTTATTTACCATACATTTCCTCCCCTTACCTTCCCATGGCTTCCCTACCCTCCAGAAGCCCAAAACTCCTTTTCTTTTTTAGCCTAAGATGGTATATAAGCCCCAAATCCTAGCTGCCTCCTTGAGCCACATTTCCCTATGAACTCCAGTGCCTAAGAATCCAATTAAATCCATTTTTTCTCTTGTTAATCTTTTGTCAACTTCATTTGTAACCCCCAACCAATGAACCTAAGAGGGCGGAGGAAAACGGCTCTTCCTCCTCTCCACCTGTGTGATTTGCAGGCCATTCCCTCAAGCAGGCAATTCCACAATCAAGGCAAAGACCATGTTCCCAGCCACCCCGACTGTCTCAGGGCCTGGGCACAGTGAAAGGCTCACTGGGTGAATGAATGAACATCCCCTATGTGCCCACCACTATGCCAATTTTCACAATTATATACAACACTACCATCAACTCTTTCCACAGCTATGCCAGCTTCATTTTCGTGAAAGGTGTTCTGAAAGAAGTTTGCAGTTAACGGTGTGGGACAGAATTTGAAGAAAGACCCGCATCAGGAAAAGCTAGTTGAACATTTTGGCAAAGTCTTATTGAACCTGTCAGTTGCTGACAGGGCTGGGAAGAGAGTGCACTAAAGGCCATCTGGCATGCATCCCTGACACAAAGGTGTTCTAGGGTCACTTTCCCCTTTTGCCCGTAGGAAACCGCAGTCTATGAGCACAGGGACCACAGAGCCAACCCCTCACGTGGCCTTTGCTCTTCTCCATTTGATTCTCACAGAAGCCCCGGGGATAGATGACGGCACCCTGCCCACGTCACAGACGAGGAAGCTGAGGCCGGAGGAGGAGGGCTATCTGCTACAGGTCAGTCCACCAGGAAGCACGCAACAAGGGACTAGAACACGGATTTTTTTCCAGTCTCCGATCTCCACCCTTTGCAATAGTCCACGGTTAAGGAGAGAACAAGTGGCCCCCAGCAAAGGGTTGAGAGCCCCCGGCACAATCCTGCCTGCTCCGACCCCAGAGCCCTTTGGCCTGGGCATCTGCATTCCTGGATGTTCTAGATATGCAGCATTCAGTCATGGTCCTTTTGCCTTTCAAAACTGCTCCTGGCTGGGCACAGTGGCTTGAGCCTGTAATCCTAGCTACTTGGAAGCTAGGGAGGCTGAGGCAGGAAGATTGCTTGAGCTCAGGAGTTCAAGTCTAGACTGGGATACGTGGTGAGACCACGTCACTTAAAAAAAAAATTGCAATCTATCCATCTGACAAAGGGCTAATGTCCAGAATCTACAAAGAACTTAAATTTACAAGAAAAAAACAACCCCATCAAAAAGCGGGCAAAGGATATGAACAGATACTTCTCAAAAGAAGACATTTATGTGGCCAACAAACATATTAAAAAAAAGCTCATCATCACTGGTCATTAGAGAAATGCAAATCAAAAACACAATAGATGCCATCTCATGCCAGTTAGAATGGTGATCATTAAAAAGTTGGGAAGGCCGGGCGTGGTGGCTCATGCCTGTAATCCCAGCACTTTGGGAGGCTGAGGCGGGCAGATCATGATGTCAGGAGGTCGAGACCATCCTGGCTAACATGGTGAAACCCCGTCTCTACTAAAAATACAAAAAAATTAGCCGGGCATGGTAGCAGGCGCCTGTAGTCCCAGCTACTCAGGAGGCTGAGGCAGGAGAATGGCATGAACCCAGAGGAAAGAGCTTGCAGTGAGCGGAGATCCTGCCACTGCACTCCAGCCTGAGTGACAGAGTGAGACTCCGTCTCAAAAAAAAAAAAAAAAAAAAAAAAAAAAAGTCGGGAAACAGATGCTGGAGAGGATGTGGAGAAATAGGAATGCTTTTACACTGTTGGTGGGAATGTAAATTAGTTCTACCATTGTGGAAGACAATGTGGTGATTCCTCAAGGATCTAGAGCCAGAAATACCATTTGACCCAGCAGTCCCATTACTGGGTATATACCCAAAGGATTATAAATTATTCTACTATAAAGACACACGCACACGTATGTTTATTGCAGCACTGTTCACAATAGCAAAGACTTGGAACCAACCCAAATGCCCATCAATGACAGACTGGATAAAGAAAACATGGCACATATACACCATGGAATACTATGCAGCCATAAAAAAGGATGAGTTCACATCCTTTGCAGGGACATGAATGAAGCTGGAAACCATCATTCTCAGCAAACTAACACAGGAACATAAAACCAAACATTCATAAGTGAGAGCTGAACAATAACAACACATGGACAAAGGGAGGGGAACATCACACACCGGGGCTTATTAGGGGGTGGGGGGCTAGGGGAGGGATAGCATTAGGAGAAAAACCAAACGTAGGTGATGGGTTGATGGATGCAGCAAGCCACCATAGCACATGTATACCTATGTAACAAACCTGCACGTTCTGCACATGTATCCCAGAACTTAAAATATAATAATAAACCAGGCCTAGTGCAGTGGCTCATGCCTGTAATCCCAGGACTTTGGGAGGCTGAGGCAGACGGATCACCTGAGGTCAGGAGTTTGAGACCAGCCTGGCAACACGGCAAAACCCCATCTCTACTAAAAATACAAAAAATTTAGTCAAGTACGGTGGCAGGTGCCTGTAGTCCCAGCTACTTGGGAGGCTGAAGCAGGAAAATCGCTTGAAACCGGGAGGCGGAGGTTGCAGTGAGCTGAGATTGCACCACTGTACTCCAGCCTGGGTGACAGAGTGAGACTGTGTCTCAAAAAAAAAAAAAAAACCTTCTGCTCCTTAAGGACCTGCCCCATGTGACAGAAGGCAGTTCAAGCTCTTGTTATCCCGAAGCCCCAGCATGGGAAAGGCCCTTAACTGGGGAGCTCTTTTATTTATTTCATTTATTTTATTATACCCGACTTGACTTTTAAAATAAGCTTCTCAGTAACAAAACCTCCTTTCTCTCTTTCCAGCAAGGAGTCAGGCTCTGAAGGTTGCACATGTCATTTAGATTACAAAAAAGAAAACTATATATATAATTAAATGAAAAATCACGTTTCTCTAATGCCTTGGCTTCAACACCCCCTTTTCCAAAACAAAGTTTTCTGCTCAGCTTTTTCTGCTCTTTCATGGTAGAGTAACCATCAACTTTATTGCCCAAACAGGGACCCTTTCAAGAATGAAAGGGGATTCTATTAATCCTGACACTGGCCATATGACCACCCTTCTCCGGGGTCATCATTTCTCATCAGAGCCCAGAAGAATGTGGCTAACCAATTCCAGATGGCAAATTAGAGTGCATCAATCTCAGGCCTTGAAAGAGTCAACCCCCGTGCAGTTCACTTTTAAGTAAAAGTGATATTCTCTTTGCTCGACTCTCTGGCACTGAAGCTCAGGTCAACGGCGCGAACCCTACATGTCTAAGAGAAGGCGGGTGTTTTCCTGCATATTGTCCAAGAAGCCAAAGGATCCAGGGATGCTTTATTTCTAGCAATAATCCTAATGTACTGAGACTAAACGCAGTTCCAGAAATTTCTCAGGCGGTTGAGGGGTGGGGTGTGTAGTATCAGAACAAAGAAGGCTGGGGAGACCATTGGGTCCATCCCAGTGCCAGGCAGGGCCACACCCTCCATTCCAGATGAAATCAAGTACCTGCTATTTATTTTAAACCTCCAGAGGAAATCGCGCCACCTCCCTGGATGAGCCAGTCCAAAGTTTAATTGAGATCTTCAGCAGAAGGCCCCCCGCTTCCCGTCCACCCTCCACCCAGGAAACTGATAAAGTCTGACCCTCCCGGCTGTCACCAGCACAGCAGAGGGCAGAACTGTCTGTCACCCCATCTACTGTGAGGGGCACACTCTCCTCTTCAGACCAGAAAACCCTCTCTGGACCCAGGAAATAGTCAGGACATGAAACAGAAAAACACGCACACAGAAAGCAACCTCCTTCCTCCCTAGATCAGCACCCCCTCACCCTCAAGCCCTTTAGTTCGTAAGTTTAAAGACAGGAAATGCAAGAAGCAAGGCTTAGAGCCCTTTCCATGCCTTAACTCCAGCCCCTTCCTCCATCCCTCAACTCCAGCCCCTTCCTCCATCCCTCTCTCTCTTGACAGACAGACAACCCATTAACAGCTGGCCCATAATAGTCTTTCCTGTAAGAACATGTAAACAGCATCATTCAAGCTGAAACTTGGGCATTTCCCAGCGCACTTGCTTCCATTTCCTTTGTCCTTTCTATTTTCCAGTGTTCCCATGGGGAGTGGGGAAGGCTGAGATGGAAGGGTCTCTCTCTCTTCCCCACCCCACCCGACCTGCCCTCCTCAGTTCCCTCCCCCTCTCCGGCTCCCTGAAGTTGAAAGGCCTTCAAGCCCCTGAATACTTCTATCAAGTAGCTTTCTTTATCACTTTTCATTTCCTTGAAGAAAGCCCTTCCCTTTAGTATGCTGGAGACTCCAAATCAATGCCTGCCATCTCTTCCATTCCAACATAGTCCTATTTCTAAGAATCCATATAGGGTTTTTGCCTCTTCTCAGCATTAAATGACAAAATCAGTGCCTATTGAAATTATGTTTTAAGTCAGTCCTGTGCTGGCCATAGTGCTTATTTTTTCAAATGAGAATTTGTTCTTTTTAGATCACTTGCAGTTTGTAAGGCAAATACAGGCCAGGCAAGATGGCTTACGCCTGTAATCCCAGCACTCTGGGAGGCCAACGGGGGCAAATCACTTGAGTGCAGGAGTTCGAGACCAGCCTGGCCAACATGATGAAACCCCATTTCTACTAAAAATACAAAACTTAGCTGGGAATGGTGGCACATGCCTGTAATCCCAGCTACTCAAGTGGCTGAGACACGAGAATCACTTGAACCTGGGAGTCGGAGATTGCAGTAAGCCAAGATCGCGCGGCTGCATTCCAACCTGAGTGACAGAGTGAGACTCCGTCTCAAAAAAAAAAAAAAAAAAGGTAAGGCAAATACACTACAGAAGACAGGCCCTGAAACCAGAGGCTGGTCAGGTGATATAAATGAGTAAAGGGGACTTGATATGAGACAAGAGGAACTATTGTGGCCTGTGGTAAAAGGAAGAGACTGGAATCTTGCCACAAAAGAGACAATCAATATTTAACTGCACTTTGGGAGGCCAAAGTGGGTGGATCACCTGAGGTCAGGAGTTCGAGACCAGCCTGGATAACATGGCAAAACCCCAGCTCTACTAAAAATACAAAAATTAGTCAGGTGCAGTGGCGTGTGCCCAGCTACTTGTGAGGCTGAGGCAGGAGAATTGCTTGAACCTGGGAGGCAGAGGTTGCAGTAAGCCAAGATCATGCCACTGTACTCCAGCCTGAGCAACAGAGCAAGACTCCGTCTCAAAAAAAAGAAAAAAATTAACTGCAGACAAATGCTGCTACACAAAAATTCTTACCTAATGTCGCCAAAACTTTGAATTATCTAAAAGAAGTCTTAAATCAGAAAGGTTACGTGAAATTTCCCGATTTTTAAAATAGTGTGTAGGGGCCAGGCGCAGTGGCTCACGCCTGTAATCCCAGCACTTTGGGAGGCCAAGGCGGGCGGATCACGAGATCGGGAGATCGAGACCATCCTGGCTAACACAGTGAAACCCCATCTCTACTAAAAACACAAAAAATTAGCCAGGTGAGGTGCGGGCGCCTGTAGTCCCAGCTACTCGGGAGGCTGAGGCAGGAGAATGGCGTGAACCCGGGAGGCGGAGCTTGCAGTGAGCCGAGATCGCGCCACTGCACTCCAGCCTGGGAGAGACAGCGAGACTCCGTCTCAAAAAAAAGAAAAAAAAAATAGTGTGTAGGTCAGTTTGCAACCTCTGGGCTAGACAATAAGAACTCCTGACCTCAGGTGATCAGCCTGCCTCGGCCTCCCAAAGTGCTGAGATTACAGGACAATAAGGAGCCCACTGCAACCTGGGCCCTGGCACTATTTGGCACCGTTAATATCTGCACAAGAGAACACAGTCCAGCAGCAGCAGCCACGGTCTAAGGGATGGGGGACAGCCAGGCATGGGAATGGGTATATGGCCCAAGAGAGGCTCCACCCAGGGGTTCGGGCCCCTGAACCATCTGGAACTTGGCTGTAAACCTCCATTAGCCTTTGGTTACCTGCCAGCCCCTCAGGAATCTCCTGGGGCAGAATCCAGGTGCTCCTAAAGTCACCATTTACACAAAGTACTTATTGAGCACCTATTGTCTACAGACATACACAAAAAGAGCAATAAAAAGACACAGGCCCTGTTCCCATGAAACTGATGGGCTGTCAGTCCCCAAGTCCACCTTATTTCTCAAGTAAATCCTAAATATAACACATTTTCAAAAAGGAAAAAAAAACTGTCAGAAATTACTCAAACAGATGTCCCTGTACCTTCACGTTCAAATGATTCATGCTTTTTGTTATTGAGCCAATTCATGAGCTTCATGGAGTCTGAACAACCCGAGTGTGCCTTGTAAGGGGCCCTCAATGAAAAAACAACTGGTCCCAGACTCCCACTCTGCAGCACTTGGGACACAGCCAGCCAGCCCACAAACAGCAGTGCATTTGCTTTTCTCTTCACCGAGGAACTCATTTACATAGACTTGATGGTGTGATTTTGTTTCTAAACCTGGCTCTTTTGCTTTAACATTTTCCAATTACTTACATGCTAGTGAGTTCCAGGATATGGTTTTCCAGGGATAATAGGCAAATCAAGTTGCTATTATTCTCTGTCCACCTTGTTCCCCCTCCTGATTTGTTTCCCTAGTATAAATCTACACATGAAGAACATCACCACTGATGAAAGCCAGATTTAGAAATTACACTTATCCCAGCCTGGGCAACATGGTGAAACCGTCTCTACAAAAATAAAAAAAATAAAAAAAAATTAGCCAGTCCTGGTGGTGTGCACCTCTAGTCCCAGCTACTCAGAAGGCTGAGGTGGGAGGATCACCCAAGCCTGGGAAGGCAGAGGTTGCAGTGAGCTGAGATGGTGTCACTGCACTCCAGCCTGGGCAACAGAGTGAGACTCCATCTCAAAAAAATTAATTAATTAGGCCGGGCGTGGTAGCTCATGTCTGTAATCTCAGCACTTTGGGAGGCCGAGGCAGGCTGATCACCTGAGGTCAGGAGTTCGAGACCAGCCTGGCTAACATGGTGAAATGCTGTCTCTACTAAAAATACAAGGCGTGCACCTATAATCCCAGGTATTCGGGAGGCTGAGGCAGGACAATCACTTGAACCCAGGAGGCAGAGGTTGCAGTGAGCCGAGATCGTGCCACTGCACTCCAGCCTGGGTGACAGAGCAAGACTCTGTCTCAAAAAATAATAAGAAAAGAAAAGAAGAAAGAAAAGAAAAGAAAAAAGGGGAGGGAGAAAAGAAAAGAATAGAAAAGAAAAGGAGGGGAGGGGAAGGAGAAAAGAAAAGAAAAAATTACAGTTATCACCCATTCTTGGCTTCCAAATTAAATTTAAGACACATTATCATTTCAAATCCACCTGAAAAAAGTAACCCCCAAATGTACTTTTGCCTCCTACTGACGGTGGAACTTGGGCAAGATTCCTAAGTCTTCTGTGCCTCAGCTTCCTCGTTTATAAGATGGAATTAACCAGTTGTACTTGCCTCATAGGTTTGTGGCAGAATTGAAATAAGACATGTAGAGTAAGAATGAACTACTTTTAGTAATATTTTTTGTCAACACCAACGTGAGGAACGTGGTGGTTAAAAAAGCACAGACTCAACGGGCTGGGTTCAAACCCTGGCTCTTCCATCAACAACTGTGACCTTGGGAAAGTTTAGGAACCTCCCTGAGCTTCTGTTTTCTCATCTGTGGAATTAAGATAAAAATAATATTTACCTCCGAGGGAGGCTGTAAGGAGGTTCTGACATGCATAAGCAGTGTATTAGGTTTACAGCTATTTTGGTGATGATGAAACCAAGGCTAATGGGAGGTGGCACCCAGCCCTAGAGCAGCTGGCTATATCATACGTTCACAGATATGCCCAGGCCCCCACAAGGAAATAGATGGGGGATCAAACCAACATGTGTGTGGACAGAATCCACTTCCGGACTCACACAGCTATTGTTCCTAACACCTTGGGTTCACATTTCCATGGTGACTGGGATGTTTGTTTCCTAATCTTTCTTTGCTACAGTTGGAGTCTCACAAGGGCAGCCAGGTTAAGGATTGTATTCTTTGTGGCAAATATCAAATACACCTGGCCCTCTGCTCAAGCAAAGCCTGGGACAAAGGTGCACATCCAGCCTTCCTTGACTCAGGGGGCTGGCTCCTCCTGACCCAGGCCCCATGTCTCTGGCCTGCTGTCTTGGGTTCTTTAAGGCAGGTATCCCCTAAGGATGTGACTTTTAACCCTGAATGAGTCAGGATCCTTTGACTGTAAGTGGCAAGTCACACGTTCACCCAAACAGGAAACCAGGGGGGTACATCTGGCCCCCAGAATGGCTGGACACCAAAATGAAACAATGCAATGAGGACTCTCTCTCTCTCCCCCACCCCATCAGCCTTTGATTCAACATCGTGCTATGCCGCCTTTATTCTCAGATAGGCTGTGGCAACGGCCACCAAGAGCTCCAAGTTTCCCTCCACCAGCTTGGCAACCCCAGCAGCAGAAGAGCAGCCCTTTTGGAACCAAGAATCCCATCCCCATCCCTGAGGCCAAGCAGAGAATCAAGGCTCTGCACAGCCAGGGCTGAGTCATGTGCTCACTGATGGAACCAATGAGACATCATCTCCACCCAACCTTGTGGATTAAATACAGGGAGGAGTGGTCCCCCAAGAAAAATGGAGGTGCTGTTGCCAGAAGAAGAGGGGGTAGATGTGGGCCAGAAAAACAACAGACACCGTCTGCTCCCACATTTCTTCAAAGCTACTGCCAGGTGCTTGCCTCTGGCATGGAGGAGCCCTTCACCCTCCAAGACTTCACACTGGCCATTTGGCCACTGAGGGAGGCCCAGACCAAGCTGACACCTTTCCCCAGAGCCAGCCACATCTCCTGACTGCCCTGCAGCATCACCTGGGTGCAAATATTATAGTTTTTTATCTTTTAGCTGACACATAACTACGTATTTATGGGGTACATGGTGATGTTGCAATTCATATGATGTACAGTGATCAGATCAGGGTAATTAGCATATCTGTCATCTCAAATGTTTATCATTTATTTGTGCTAGTGTATTAGTCTCTTTTCACACTGCTGATAAAGACATACCCAGGACTGGGCAATTTACAAAAGAAAGAGGTTTCATTGGACTTTCAGTTTCACATGGCTGGGGAAGCCTCATAATCATGGTGGGAGACAAGTAGGAGCAAGTCACGTCTTACATGGATGGCAGCAGGCAAAGAGAGCTTGTGCAGGGAAACTCCCCTTTATAATAACCATCAGATCTTGTGAGACTTACTATCACGAGAACAGCATGGAAAAGACCTGCCCCCCATGATTCAATTACCTCCCACGGGCCCCTCCCACAACACGTGGGAATTCAAGATGAGATGTGGGTGGGAACACAGCCAAACCATATCAGTTAGGAACATTCAATATCCTCCTTCTAGCTATTTGAAACTACATATTAGTGTTAACTACAGTCATTCTACAGATATAGAACACTAGGAGTTTCTTCCTCCTATCTAGCTATAATTTTGTGTTGTTAAACAAACCTTTCTCTATCCCCTTCCCCCTACCCTTCCCAGCCTCTAGTATTATCTGTTCTACTTTTTACTTCTATGAATCAACTTTTTTTTAGCTTCCACGTATAAGTGAGAACACATAGCATTTAACTTTCTGTGCCTGGTTTATTTCACTTAGCATAATGCCCTCCAGTTCCATCCATGTTGCTGCGAATGGCAAGACTTCATTCTTCAGGGCCGAATAGATTCCCGTTGTGTATATATGCCACATTTTCTTTATCCATTCATCTGTTGTTGGATATCTAAGTTGATTCCACTATCTTGGCTATTGTGAATAGTGCTGCAATAAACATGGGGGTGCAGATGTCTCTTTGATGCACTTATTTCCTTTATTTTGGATAAATGCCCAGTAGTGAGATTGCTGGATCATATGGTAGTTCTAGTTGTAGTTTTTGGAGGAACCTCCATACTGTTCTCCATCGTGGCTGTACTAGTTTACATTCCCACCAACAGTGTATGAGTTCCCTTTTCTCTACATCGTCTCCGGTATTTGTTATTTTTTGTCCTTTTGATAATGGCCATTTTAACTGCGGTGAGATAATACCTCATTGTGGTTTTGATTTGCACTTCCTTAATGATTAGTGATGTTGAGTTTTTTTTCTTTTTTTTTTTTTTTTTGAGGCAGAGTCTTGCTCTGTCACTCAGGCTAGAGTGCGGTGGCACGATCTCGGCTCACTGCAACCTCCGCCTCCCAGGTTCAAGCGATTCTCCTGTCTCAGCCTCCCAAGTAGCTGGGATTACAGGCATCCACCACCACGCCCAGCTAATTTTTTTTATTTTTAGTAGAGACAAGGTTTCACCATGTTGGTCAGGCTGGTTTCGAACTCCTGACCTCAAGTGATCCACCTGCCTCAGCCTCCCAAAGTGCTAGGATTACAGGCATGACCCACTGCACCCGGCCTCAGCACTTTTTATTGGCCATCTTTGTATGTCTTCTTTTTTTATGTTTAGATGTTTTTTAATTTTTTAATTTTTCTATAAGTTATTGGGGTACAGCAGTATTTGGTTACATGAGTAAGTTCTTTAGTGGTGTGTATGTCTTCTTTTGAGAAATGTCTGTCCAGATCATCTGCCCATTTTTTAATAGGAATGTTTTTTTCCTGTTGAGATGTTTGAGTTCCTTGTATGTTCTGGGTATCAATCCCTTGTCAGGTGAACAGTTTGCAAATGTTTCCCCCAATTCTGTGTGTTGTCTTTTCACTCTGTTGATTGTTTCTTTTGCTGCACAAAAGTTACAGTGTTGTCCTTCCACTCACCGCCATGTCCTATCAGGTGCCAAGTGCTATAGATTTAGTCTCCCCAAAGCTGCTCCAACCCACCCCTCTCCCTCTTTTTTGCAGAACCCTGGAAGCCCCCACAATACTTCCAAGAACCACTGCCCATTTGGCCCTACAGCTTCTGCTGCCAGATCTGGTGTCTTCAAGTACAGGTAGTTTTTGAGCCTCCTCTGCTGAAAAACTCTCAGTGGCTCTTTTTTTTTTTTTTTTTTTTTTTGAGATAGGGTCTCACTCTGCCACCCAGGCTAGAGTACAGTGATGTAATTATAGCTCACTGCAGCATCCCTGGGCTCAAGTGATCCGCTTCAGTCCTCCCCAAGTGGCTGGGACTACAGGTGCACACCACCACACCTGGCTAATTTTTTTATTTTTTGTAGAGATGGGGTGATACGGTTTGGCTGTGTCCCCACCCAAATTTCATCTTGAATTCCCACATGTTGTGGGAGGGACCCAGTGGGAGGTAACTGAATCATGGGGACAGGTATTTGCTGTTCTTGAGACAGTGAGTAAGTCTCATGAGATCTGACAGTTATTATAAGGGGGAGTTTCCTTGCACAAGCTCTCTCTTTGCCTGCTGCCATCCTAAGGCGTGACTTTGCTCTTCCTTGCCTTCTGCCATGATTGTGAGGCCTCCCAGCCACGTAGAACTGTAAGTCCATTAAACCCTTTTTCATGCATAAATTACCCAGTCTCAGGTATGTCTTTATCAGTAGTGTGAAAATGGACTAATATATGGGTCTTACCATATTGCCTAGGCTAGTCTGGAACTCCTGGGCTCAAGTAATCCTCCCACTTTGGCCTCCCAAAGTGCTAGGATTACAGGCGTGAGCTACCGTACCTGGCCGGCTATTTTTTGCCTAAAACCTTAACTCCCAAATTCTAGCCTGACACTCAGAGACCTCCCCATATGACCCTATTCTTCTGCAGCCTTCCTGCTCCCTGCTCCCCCACAACTACTCCAGGCTCCAGAAAAATGGGGCCACCACAAGCTGTTCCCAAGTCACCACCATTTGGCTTTCCCCAGTGCCAACAACCTTTGTCCCTCACACCCCGTAACCTCATAAGATGGAATTCTCCCCACAGCACAGGCTGGAAGCTCAAAGCCAAGCTCCAACACCTACCTGAATGTGTCCTTAGCCTGTCAGATTTGTCATGTGCAAAAGACAATGAAACCTAATGCATTGGACCGTGGTGAAAAATACATCTATCTCTATAAAGCCTCCTTCACAGAGCCTGCACCAGTTAGGGGCCCTGTAAATGCTGTCTTCATACCACCAGCCACCTGTCCTCAAGGCACAGCTCAAGACCACTTCTCTGATGAAAGCTTTACTGATCCCTGCCCCCCATCAAGGCTGCCTCTGTACTTAGATTACTTTGTAATGGAGTTGATCATGTACCTGCCTTTCCCCCAACTAGGCTGGAAGGTCCTGAAGAGGAAGAGCAGAATCTCACATCTTTGCATTCCTGAAGTACCCCAGCCAGCATTACACACCCAGGAGGTCTTGAATCATGTCAGTTCAATTGACTCGGATTTTGCACATGCTAAAGCACCCCTCCCTGCTCATTAGTTGGTCACTAGTTCACTAGACAGAGATAACAGGAATCTAGCCTCTACTGGGCACATCCCTGGTTAAAGGATTACAGACAGAGTATCTCTTCATCAACTGCCCAGCTTGTCAACCAAGGATAGGAGTGCTCACCTTCCACCAACCGTCATTTTATTATAAAATAATGGTGGTTACTATTAAAACAAACACACAACGCTGCACACCCAGAAGAGCCCAGCCTAACAAAGCCAATGCCTTGGAGGGTTTTTTATAAACCCCAACCCAGCACAGGGCACTGGGAAAGGTCCCAGTCTTCTCATTCCCCATTCTTGCCCCTTACTCTCCAGCTCCAAAATGGCCACTTTACGCATCAAGCCTAACAAAATTTGATTTTCCGAAAAATCAAATTCGCATTTGAAAGACAAAGACATGTCATCATCTAGCGGAGTCAAAACAGTATGCTAGATGCGTTAAGGCATCTAGCCTTAATGATGTGTATTTACAGTCCATCAAAGCAGTCAGTCAACAAATGGGTCCAAGAAGAGTTTCAAGAATCCTTGAAGTAACACAGCTGGAATAATCCTAGAATCTCCCATGGAGGAATGCTAAGAAGGCCAACCCTTGCTGAGATTCAGAAGACCTGGCATGTTTACTTTTCTTTAAGGATTTTATTTCTGTACAGTCCTCTCAAGTGGCCTTACATTTACAAGGCATTGTCACCCCCTCCCCAAAAAAGACATCTTTTTTCTTCTAATTATTAAGTGTAACGCACATTCGTTGTACATAATCTGGGTTTTCCTAACCCCTGCTCACTATGTTATGATCGTCTCTCCATGCCAATAAGAATAGGTCTCCATAATTCTTTTTTCTTTTTTTCTCAGAGACATGGTCTCACTCGTCACCCCAGGCTGGAGCACAATGGCATGATCACAGCTCACTGCAGCCTTGAATTCTTGGGCTCAAATGATCCTCCCACCCAAGTAGCTAGGACTACAGGCATGCACCACCATGCCTGGCTGATTGCTGATGTTTTTTAATTTTTTTTTTTTTTTTAGAGATTGGGTCTCACTATGTTGCCCAGGCTGGTCTCGAACTAGATCTCCATAACGTTTTTGCGGGGGGGCGGGTTGGTTTTTTGTTTTGTTTTGTTTTTTTTGAGACAGGGTATCACTTTGTCACCCAGGCTGGAGCATACTGGCACCATCGTGGCTCACTGCAACCTCCAACTCCCAGGCTCAAGTGATCATCCCACCTCAGCCTCCACAGTAGCTGGGACTTCAGGCGCACACCACCATGCCCAGCTAATTTTAGTTTTTTGTTTTTGTTTTTTGTAGAGATGGGGTTTCACCATGCTGCCCAGTCTGGATCTCCATAATTCTTAATAGCTATGTATGAGTCTACTATTTGAATATGCCAGGATTTATTATATCGATCCTTTACAGATGGTCATTGGAACTGTTTCCAATTAACCTCTATTATAAACATCATCTACTGAACAACTTCCTGCACGTCATTGGTACGCTAATTTTTCCTTAAGATAAAATCTTAGACGTGGAACTTCAAGGTCAAGGGTTACCCAATTTTAAGGCTTTTGATGTCTATATTACCAAAATGTTCTTGAGACAAAGACTTACCAATTTACACTCTAGTCAGCAACAAGATCGTAATGTTTGAAAGAACCTATTCACCCACACTTTTTAAATAAGCCTTTATCAATGTTTTAAATTATTGCCAAACTAAGATTCTATATATCTTAGATTTCTAGTGAGATCGAGCATCTTTTCATGTGTAGTGGATCCCTACATACTACCTGTCTAACCAGGACTTGCTTTTTTCCTTAGAAACTACCTCCCCATTTACTATCTCCATCCTTCCTGGCTGTAACAAGGCTACCATGTTTGTTTGTTTGTTGCTGCTGTTGTTGTTGTTTGAGATCAAGTCTTGTTCTGTCACCCAGGCTGGAGTGCAGTGCCACGATCTCAGCTCACTGCAAATCTCTGCCTCCCGGGTTCAAGCGATTCTCTTGCCTCAACCTCCTCCCTAGTAGCTGAGTTTACAGGCATGCGCCACCATGCCCGGCTAATTTTTGTATTTTTAGTAGAGATGGAGTTTCGCCATATTGCCCAGGCTGGTCTCAAACTCCTGGGCTCAAGCAATCCACCCACCTCGGCTTCCCAAAGTGCTGGGATTATAGGCATGAGCCACCGTGCCCAGCCTATTATATACTAAAATTTTACATATACTAGGGTTTGCATCTGGACTCCCCATCTTATTTACATTTTTTATTTGGTCTCTGTGATCAATAGGGCATTATTCCTATGTGATGATAAAGATACAGAGAGGCAGGCCAGTAGTGGTGGCTCATACCTGTAATCTTAGCACTTTGAGAGGCCAAGGAGGGCGGATCACCTGAGACTGGGAGTTAGAGACCAGCCTAGCCAACACAGTGAAACGTCTTTACTAAAAATACAAAAATTAGTCAGATGTGCTGGCGGGCGCATATAATCCCAGCTACTTGGGAGGCGGAGGCAGGAAAACCACTTGAGCCCAGGAGGCCAAGGTGGCAGTGAGCCAAGATCACGCCACTGCACTCCAGCCTGGGCAACAAAGCAAGACACCATCTCAAAAGAAAAGATACAGGCCAGGTACAGTGGTTCATACCTGTAATCCCAGCACTTTGGGAGGCTGAGGCAGATGGGTCATTTGAGGTCAGGAGTTTGAGACCAACCTGACCAACATGGTGAAACCCCATCTCTACTAAAAATACAAAAAAAAGAAAAAGAAAAAAAAAAGCCGGGCATGGTAGCAGGCGCCTGTAATCCTAGCTACTCAGGTGGCAGAGACAAGGGAATCTCTTGAACCCAGGAGGCAGAGATTGCAGTGAGCCGAGATCGCACCACTGTACTCCAGCCTGGGCAAGCGTGAGACTGTGTCTCAAAAAAAAAAAAAAAAAGATACAGAGACACAAAGTTACCAGCCTTGGTCTCTGGCAGGTTAGCAACAAAGCTAGGACAGAACTCACATCACTAGTCTCCACCTTTTGCTACTTCCAACTGTAGAAAAATTAAGCAGAAGAGAATCAGCACGCTTGAACCTGGGAGGCAAAGGTTGCAGTGGGCCGAGATTGCTCCACTGCACTCCAGCCTGGGTGACAGAGTTAGGCTTCATCTCAAAAAAAAAAAAAAAATTAAAATTAAAAAAAAAAAAAAGAAAAAGAAGAAGATGCCAGGCACAGTGGCTCACACCTGTAATCCCAGCTCTTTGGGGAGCCGAGACGGGCAGATCACAAGGTCAGGAGTTCGAGCCCAGACTGGCCAATATGATGAAACCTCGTCTCTATTAAAAATACAAAAATTAGCCGGGTGCTGGCTCATGCCTGTAATCCCAGCACTTTGGGAGGCTGAAGCGGGTGGATCATGAGGTCGGGAGATCGAGACCATCCTGGCCAACATGGTGAAACACCATCTCTACTAAAAATACAAAAATTAGCAAGGCATGGTGGCGGGCACCTGTAGTCCCAGCTACACGGGAGGCTGAAGCAGGAGAATGGCGTGAACCCGGGAGGCGGAGCTTGCAGTGAGCCAAGATCATGCCACTGCACACCAGCCTGGGTGACAGAGCGAGACTCCATCTCAAAAAAAAAAAGAAAAAAAAATACAAAAATTAGCCGGGCACAGTGGTGCATGCCTGTAGTCCCAGCTACTCAGGAGGCTGAGACAGGAGAATTGCTTGAACCCAGGAGGAGGAGGTTGCAGTGAGCCAAGATCGCGCCATTGCACTCCAGCCTGGGTGACAGAGCGAGACTCTATCTCAAAAAAAAAAAAAAAAAAGAGAGAGAGAGAAGAAAATCAGCAGTCCTCTCCACATCACCCTAAACTATGAAATCTGAGCATCACCAGTCAGGATACAGCTAGTATCTAGACAAACCTTGCAGGAGAATGCAGAACTGGGTGAGGTTTTGCCAGGAGCCCAGAAGAGTGCTTGATAGGGCCCATTCCCCTCCCAACCTCTTCCCCCGTATGTGACAACAGTGTCCCCGACAACAAGCCTTAAAAGGTAGGTAATACCTATCACTCTCTCACTCCTTGTGGGATGTCTTGAAGTCCACATGGCAATATTTCCACCCCTCACATCTAGATGGAAAATTCTTACATTTTCTCAACAATATTTACTTACTGTTTTCTTTGGCCAGATGAAGTACTGTGTATTTTTAAACTTTCCAGGAAGACAGTTTATTAAGATAATACAGTGTAGGATAATCAAACTGTTTATTTTTGACTTTTGATTTAATCTTCCTTTCTGTAATCTACTAAAGAAAACATTAGAATCATGCATTTGCCTTTCTTGGATTGCGAGAATCAGTTCAATTAGCAGTGGCGGGTTTTTTTCCTGTTTATTTCTACTACAAATGTAACCCCTCTTGGCTCTCATTCTTCCCTTGGGGTAATTTTTGTTTTAATGTGTAATGCCTGCTCTTCAAATTAACATCAAATTTTATTCTGAAGTACCCACAGTTGAATTATCAGTGGAAAATGCACCTGCAAATTCTCAAGATTTGAAGGGTGAGAAGAGACTCCAGGATCACCTGGCCAAGCTGCACATTTATGCAGCTGAGGATGGTTTTGCTTGGAGAGGAGCCACACAGCACATGAGTGGCACACTCTCCTTTTCCCTTTGAACTTCTCATAGAACCTTGATCAAGCTTTCAATGGAATGGAAACATCTTGCCTCAATGCACAGCAGGAGAAGATACCATATTACCTCGAAAATTAAAAAGTGGGTGACTAGGCTGGGCGCAGTGGCTCACGCCTGTAATCCTAGCACTTTGTAAGGCCAAGGCAGTTGGATAACCTGAGGTCAGAAGTTCGAGACCAGCCTGACCAACATGGTGAAACCCCATCTCTACTAAAAAAAAATGCAAAAGTTAGCCGGGCATGGTGGCGGGCGCCTGTAATCCCAGCTACTCGGGGCGCTGAGGCAAGAGAACCGCTTGAACCTGGGAGGCAGAAGGTTGCAGTGAGCCGAGATCGTGCCATTGCACTCCAGCCTGGGCGACAGAGCAACACTCCGTCTCAATAAATAAATAAATAAATAAATAAATAAATAAATAATAAATTAATAAATAAATAGTGGGTGACTGGATCTCACTTCTGGCAAGTTATGAAGCCTTGAGCTTTGCCAGATGTTAGCAACAACATCATTCCCACCTGCTAATAAATCCTATCCTAAGGTTGGTTATGTCTGTTACTTGGCTGCAATGCACAATGAGAGCCCAGTCTGGGAATCTGGAGGGCAGGGTTCTGGCTATGTTTGTTTGTTTGTTTGTTTTTTAAGAGACAGGGTCTCACTCTGTTGCCCAGATTGGAGTGCAGTGGCTATTCACTGGAGTGCAGTGCATAGCACACTGCAGCCCAGAACTCCTGGCTCAAGTGATCTTCCTGGCTTGGGAGTAGCTGGGACTACAGGTGAGTGCCACCGTGCCGGACTTGGGGTTCTGCTTTTAGTTCTACAGTGGGTATCATAGTTGTCTTCTAATATTAGAAGGGCCCCCTCAGGCAAAGAGTGGTGCATTTATCCTGGATACCTCCAAAGAGCAGAACCAGGACCTAATGGGTTAACATGGCACCAGACATACCAGGTCTCCACAGGCCGACTTGGGTTTACTTTTAGCATCTCGTTAGTTCCAGTAAGATACAAAGAAAAAGCCCTGGTGTCAGCCCTCAGGAAGTCTACAATTTAGTGGGTGAGGCAAGAAGCCTATCTAATATATATAGATATATATAATATATATATATTATTATAGATATTTTTAATCCAGTGGTTTAAAATCGGATAGGCTGCTTAGAAGAAGGTATGAGCTCCCCGTCTCTAGAAATATTTGAGCAGAAGACAGAAACCAACTGCCAGGGAACCTGCAGAGTCCTATTTGGGGACCCGGTCAGAGTAGTCTGGATGTCCAAGATAATCTCAGAAGGCACTCAGAAAACCCACCAGCTCCAGGGTTCTATAGAGCAGCAGTTCCCACGCCTGGTTCATCCTCAGAACCTCCTGTTTTAAAAATACAGGCTATCCCCAAAAGCTGCTGCTTCAGTACAGGCAGGGCCTGTGTTCCAGGGTTCACTGCGTCCTCCAAAGAAGATTATGTTGAAGTCCTAACCCCCGGTACCTCAGAATGTGACTTTATTTGGAAATAGGATCTTTATGGAGGTAATCAAGTTAACATGAGGTCATTCAAGTGGGCCATGATCCAATAGCACTGGTGTCCTTATACAAAGGATAACTCTGGACACAGGGACAGATGCACAAGAGGAAGACGCACAGGGAGAAGACAGCCACCAACAAGCCAAGGAGAGAGGCCTGGAACGGGTCTTCCCCGGGTACCTTCAGAGGGAGCACGGCCCTGCACACACCTTGATTTCAAACGTCTGGCCTCCAGAACTGTGCGACAATAGATGTCTGTTGTTCTAAACCACCCAGTTGGTGGCACTTTATTACGTATCCCTAGGAAACACACAGCCTGGGGATGGGTGTTAGAGTTGCAGAGCTGCCCTGGAGGAAAATCCAGGCCAGGGGACCCATCCTGCTTTGGAGCCTCTTTCTGCTCCTGCACGGCCACCCATGCGGGCCCCTTTTGGCCCTCAGATCCCTTCTTTGCGGAAGGAAGGAGCTGGCTTCAGTGTGAGGAGCTCCCTCCCACACTCTGACAGGACACGGAGCCCGTAGCCTCAGCACGCAGTGAAGGGGCAGCCCTTCCCCATGTAGAGCTAGCTCACACATCTGCAAATGTTTCCCAGAAGAAAATGCCATTCTCCTCCAATTGTTAACAAAATTACTGAAGGCCGTGGGGCTCTGGACTATGCCCTCATGCCAAGCTTATCTCGGAGGGAGGCAGAGCAGGAGGAGGGGCCACTGATTTGTTTTGTGTGGTGCTGTTTTTAATGGGCGTTTTCTATTCTCAGGTGGGAACCGTAGGGCCCTTGTCTAGGTAAATTCCATGCAAACCTTTAGTGAAAGCAGTTACCAGAGGAAGAGCTACAGAATTCCACAGAGGAGGATACTGTGCCAGATCAAAGACAGGGCAAATGACCTCAGGAGGACTGACACCAGCACAGGCAGCACTTGGAGGGGATTAGGAAGGGGCGTCCCTTCCTCAAGACACTTTCTGCCCCCCGACCTGATACATTTACACATCTACCAGCTTTAGGATGGGAACAATGGCTCCCTAGAATTGTACAATGTACAATGAAACGCAAAAGCTCTCAAACACGAAAAACGAAGCAATGGATTGGCACCACAGGAAACAAGGGGAAGTGGCTCCTTGGTATGTGATCTTGGAAAACCACTTCACCTCTCTGAGCTTGTTTTCCTTCTTTCTCAAACTAGAATAATACTAACAGCAACAGCAAAAACAATTCCCAGGCCCACAGGGTTGTGCTGATGATCCACAGTGAGAGATCCAAGACACCTTACGAAGCTGTGGGCTTGTTTTCTGAGTGTACCCCCTGCCTGATTTACACATGCAAAATCCAAGGGCAACTGAAAAGTCATCTACAACTAAAGTCTTTGACTGAACTCAACCTTAATTTCCCTAATTCAAACTTTGAATACCATAGAAAAGATGACTCATTACTCAGAGGTGAGGGATGTTAAGTCCCAAAGGTCTCAGAAATGTCATGTCACATGTATCATGCTCCTTTCTCATAAGAAAATCTACATTGTACATCCCTAGGGTCACTGAAGCCTATTTCACAAATTATTATGATTCTTCCCAAAGAGGAAAGGGGATGTTATTAGGCAGATACTCCCACAGGAAAAAAACAGAAGTCTTTAAAATAAGTGCATAAAGATGAATATATCATGGGTAGGATATTCCTTTATATTATCTTTAAAAATTAGAGAATTTAAATGGCTCATTCTAGGGGCTTGGTTAAATATATTATAAAACTAGTCAAAGACAATGAAAAACACAGACCCCTTTAGAACTGGATAACCCCTAAGAGTCTGCTAGAACATACCCAGCATTCCATTGAAACAGCATTCAGCTTCCAAAGTCTTTCACAATTTTTCCTGACACCCATCCATTTCATGGGAAACTATAAACACAGATATGGAAAGGCTCTGCAGCATATTGTGGACTGAAAACAGCTGCGGAACAGTGTGTACACTGGGACCCATTTTGTGTAAAGTTCTATCTAGATGTTCGTATGTGCATATACAGAGATTTGGGAAAACGTTCACCTACATGCTGACGCTAATTATTTCTGAGTGGTGGGATTGGTAGCAGGGGTGCATGGGAAGACAGAGAGAGATGCTTTACATGGTCCTTTGGACTTTTTTTTTTTTCCGAGATATAGTTTTACTTTGTCCCTCAGGCTGGAGTGCAGTGGCACGATCTCGGCTCACTGCAACCTCCGCCTCCCGGGTTCACGCCATTCTCTCCCTTCAGCCTCCCGAGTAGCTGGGACTACAGGCGCATGCCATCACACCAGGCTAATTTTTTTGTATTTTTAGTAGAGACAGGGTTTTGCCATGTTGGCCAGGCTCTTCTCAAACTCCTGACCTCAGGTGATCTGCCAGCCTCAGCCTCCCAAAGTGCTGGGATTACAGGCATGAGCCACCACTTCTGGCCTGGACTTTCTTTAGTGAGTATTACCTTTGCAAATTTTTTTTTTTTTTGAGCCTCTGTCACCCAGGCTGGAGTGCAGTGGCGCGATCTCAGCTCACCACAACCTCCGCCTCCCGGGTTCAAGCGATTCTCCTGTCTCAGCCTCCCAAGTAGCCGAGATTACAGGCGCGTGCCACCATGCCTGGCTAATTCTTGGATTTTTAATAGAGACGGGGTTTTGCCATGTTGGCCAGGGTGGTCTCAAACTCCTGACCTCAGGTGATCCACCCACCTTGGCCTCCCAAAGTGCTGGGATTACAGGCATGAGCCACCATGCCTCGCCTCTGAAATGTTTTTAAGCTACCAAAAAGACTAGCAAAAATACCAAGGACCATGATATAGAACAGTCACCACTAGCCACTGAAGCATAAACTAAGAGGTGCACCTGAAGACTAGCCCTCACCTCCGTAACCCATGGAACCAACCAAGGAAATCGGGTTTCTCCTTCCTTAATTTATATTTTGCTATATATTATAGAGAATTAAGCTTTAATTTGTAAAAATCCCTCTAATTGGATACTGCTGAAGGGAAGACATCTGGGGCAAATATCTAGGCCTGGTGCATTCCATCCCAAGCAATGGTTAGTGGTTTGGAGAATAAGTGTGCGGCAAAATAACCAGTGGTTACTAATTATTATATATCACAGGGCTTGGCACCATCCATAAAGCCTCATCATGTTGGCCTCTTCCTCTTCAGAGAGGATTACAGAATTGACTGTTTAGAAATTTTTCCTCCAAGTTAACATACGTTTTCCTTGTCTTAATTGGATCCAGCCTCCCTGCCCATGAGCAGAAAGGCAATTTTTCTTTAACGATTACATCCTTCAAATGCCAGGTCATCAGCCATCCCTAGGTCTGGAAGGATCAAGCTGCTTGGCTTCCTCTTTTCTTTCCATTTGCTCAACCTCATTCTAGCAGTTATGTGAAAAGCATGTGAAGCTCACATCGAAAGTTACCTTCGATTTGGCCAAAAAAGGGATGAGTGTTATCGGCATGAAACATCTCCTCCTACTCACACAGAGCCTCAGAAATGGGGAGAACTGTTTGCCCCAAATGTTTGGTCTAATGCAAATATTTATTTCTTCCAAAACGACTAAAACAAACCACTTCCAAATTAGGGGGGAGGGGGAGTTTGCCAAACATTTTTCAGAGTTAAGACAAACATTTGGAAAACATTTTCCAATTTGCCCTATAACCTTAGTTAACCTTTCTTAACCATGTTGAATCGTATCCTAATGTACCATCTATTGTGACCCCAAGGCCATTTCTTGAGGATATCACTTTCTCGGCTCTCTTCTTCACCATCACATAACATAAATACAGGTTGAGTATCCCTTATCTGAAATGCTTGTGACCAGAAGTGCTTTGGATTTCTGATGTTTTTGGATTTTGGAATATTTGCATTATACTGGTCGAGCATCCCAAATCTGAAAATCTAAAATCCAAAATGTTGCAAAGAGTCAAGTGTGGTGGCACGCACCTGTAGTCCCAGCTACTTTGGAGGCTGAGGCAGGAGGATCACTTGAGCCCAGGAGGCCAAGGCTGCAGTGAGCTAAGCTATGATGGTGCCACTGCACTCCAGCCTAGGCAACAGATCCAATGATCATTTTGTATGCATCATGTTGGCTTTCAAAAAGTTTCAGATATTGGGCCGGGCATGGTGGCTCAAGCCTGTAATCCCAGCACTTTGGGAGGCCGAGGCAGGGAGGATCACGAGGTCAGGAGATCGAGACCATCCTGGCTAACACGGTGAAACCCGCTCTCTACTAAAAATACAAAAAAATCCCAGCACGTGCCTGTAGTCCCAGCTGCTTGGGAGACTGAGGCAGGAGAATCGCTTGAACCCGGGAAGCGGAGGTTGCGGTGAGCTGAGATCGTGCCACTGCACTCTGGCCTAGGGACAGAGCGAGACTCCGTCTCAAAAAAAAAAAAAAAAAGTTTCAGATTTTGGATTTCAGATTCTTCAGTTAGGGATACTCAAGCTGTGTAGCATCAGTCATTCATTCTGGAAATATTTTTGAACACCTACTATGTTCCAGGAACATATTCATTAGACACACACTCTCCCTAATCTGTGACAGCAGGGGTAGTGGCATCAACCCACAACAGCATTTGGCTTGAGAAAAGTTGGATGCTCAGGTATCCTTTGCTATTCAAGTCGATGGTCCAATCCTTTGTCCTTACTCCACCCCTATTCTTCCTAGAGCTAGGAGTTCCTTCTCCTGGGATGTTATCTACATATCCCAACAAGCCCCTCCTGAGTGCATTAACAGAAAACATTAAGACCAAGCAGGACCCATTTCTGCATCAGCCACTTAAAGCTGTTCTTCCTGGGACATTTGTCGACCTTCTCCAGCTTGTTTCCATTTCAGAAGCAGTGCTAAGACCCATGCCAGGATGGAATTCCATTTTCAAATGAGGTTTCACAAGACTTTTTATCAGACTTGCAGAGCAATTACATTGGCTGGGTTCTCTCCATCCAGCAGTTGGGTAATTCTATCTCCTACCCCCTCCCCTTCCCTTCCTGGAGTGGGTAAGTTTAGAGCTACACCTTCTCTGCAGGAGCAGATCAAAAGCATGGCTTCCTGTACCCTCATCATCAGGGAGCGACACCAGGCTGCCTTCCCACCAGGATCTCAAGTCTGACTGTGGACCCCCAAGGAAGTGCATGGCTCTTATACACTCCCTTGCCTCACAAAGCCCCCTGAAAAGCAGAGTTGCAACATTAACGCAACACACACACACACACACACACACACACAAACGGGTTGACATGGTTTCTAAATGCAAACACTCAAGGTTACCACTGAAAAATGGCAAGGGGTCATCCGGAGAGAGCTTTTCTGGGGGAAAAGGCCACTTCATACCCTCTCTTTGGTGAGGGGGTGGGGATGCCCTGCAATCTGCAAGAAAAACCCTCCTCGCCTCCCCCTCTCTAACCCCCTACTTGGGTAGTAAGTAAAGAGAGCTGCAGAAACCTGAGCCTGCACATAAGGTACCACTGTCAGGCAGAGGTAACTGAGGGCGAGAACCTCCTAAGGAGCAGTAAGCGGCCAGGGAAGCAGGGTGCAGGGCAGATGGGAGCTATGTGTGGTGAGCCAGCAGGAACTGGCATGCCCGCTGCCCACCTCTTGCCTCTGCCAAGGAAAGGAGGTGGTGCTGCTGCCAATGATGTGGCCCACACCTAAACTCCCATGACTGTCCCCACCACCACCACCCATGGGGCTTCACATCCAGTCCCTTGGGGGCAATTCGTTGGCCACTAGCCATGCTGAGGGGAAAAATAACGCAAGAGGCTGGCCTCGCTTGTCCGATGTGTTGGTAGGAGGGGCCCAGGCAGCGAGAGAGTACAGGTAATGGGCCTCCACAGGCGATCATACCACATACGTACACATGTGCTTATGTGTGTACAGGCACTTATGTATGGCATGTAGGCATCCTGCCTTGTCCTCAAACACAGATTCAGTTGTATTGATACACAGTTCTACTTTTAAAATGGAAACATCTACTTTGAGGATTCACCTATCAGTCATTTACAACCTAGTAGGAATTAATTTACCCAACTGCTCTCAAACTGGCCCTCAGCTGAAATCACGGTCTGAGACAGAAATTATATTCCCAATTTGCCCCTTTTCCCAGGGAATCTGACAAAGACACTCTTTCTCTTCCACAATTACAACCTCATGGGTATTTACACTTAAAAACCCTACCATCTCGAGAAGAGTTTGTTGTTTTGGCATATATTATGAGAGGAAGGAAGAAAGATTTATTTTGGAACATAAAAGCACTTTGGAGGATAGGGGAGATCCACTTGCAATTGCTCCCCAAAAGTCCACAGTTCAAGTGACCTTGAACAAGTGACTCCCTTTTTTTATTTTTATGTTTTTTTTTAAATTATTATTTTACCTTTTAGACGGAGTTTCGCTGTTACCCAGGCTGGAGTGCAGTGGCACTCCCAGGTTCAAACAATTCTCCTGCCTCAGTCTCCCAAGTAGCTGGGATTATTATAGGCACCCACCACCACATCCAGGTAATTTTGTATTTTTAGTAGAGATGGGTTTTCACCACGGTGGTCAGGCTGATCTTGAACTCCTGACCGCAAGTGATCCACACACCTTGGCCTCCCAAAGTGCTGGGATTACAGGCGTGAGCCACCACGCCTGGCCATTTTTATTTATTTTTTATTTTTTGTAGAGATAGGGGTCTTGCTATGCTGCCCACGCTGGTCTTGAACTCCTGGCCTCAAGCAATCCTCCTGCCTCAGCCTCCCAAAATGCTGGGATTACAGGCGTGAGCCACTGCACCCGGCCCTGACTCCCTTTCTTTCATCTCAGTTTCCCCATCCGTTAAACCAAGGGTAACCTCTATGCCGGAAACAGAGGACAGGGCAGCAGATCAGCTGAGAAGGCTCAGGGAAGCCGAGGCACCAGTGGCCCTGTGGCCTCTGCCACTTCAGGACAGAGGCATGTTCTTATCTGTTTATCTCAGCTTATCTGTTTACCCTTGCTTTCTGCACAGGCCCCAGAAGCTGTCCTTGGGGTTCATTTCATCATTACCTTTTTAAAAAAATTTTTGATATTCCACAGATTACAAGTTCTTAGAAACACAGTAGGCCCTATCAAAACTGGCCTAGTTTAGGAGGATGTCACCAGTTGACTCTGGTACGTCAGATAGACTCCCTTGCTTCGGACACCAGGGAACAAGCAATGAACTGTTTTATTGTTTCAAACACTTTCTTTCTAAGTGTGCTCTGAGTTATTGTTAAAATGTTTCAAATCTCACAAGAAACAGTTTTTAAGGAGAAAACCATTTTCAAGTGGATACAAGAACAGTGAGTTTCTTTGGCATCTTTAAGTATACCTTCTTCCTGATGTCTTCCCAGCTCAGAAAAAATGAAAACCCTTAAAATGGTTTTGCCTGTCTTCACCCCCATTTTAGATCACCTGCCTGTGGAGGTTTCTTTCTATTCTTTCTGTAGATCTGCCGCACTTATGCAACTTAATTGTTTTTTTAAATAAAATGACTGCTTTAAAATAGCCCCACATTAAGAATTTCAAGAAGGAACATGGGGCTCTGTATGTATCTATATCATGCACTTAATTTGAATCAGGAAAGTCAGTTGCTCAATTTAGGCAAATTTCCCAACAAGATATTGAAAAAGGGGGTGGGGGAGGATATGGTAGCTTAACCCCCTCCACCCCCGCCACCATCCATGATTGTCCCTGACCTGAATTTCCTCTTAGGTGAGTCAGTCCCAACTCCCAACCCCTGCCTTCACCCCTCCTCCATGGTGCAGCCCCCTCCCCTTCCTCAGTCTCTTCCTCACTCTCCGCACCCCCTTCCCTATTTTCTCCTTCTCCTACCCATTTCCCCCTCTCATCTCTCCTTCTCCCCCTCCTCCACACTGTCTCTCTCCCCAACTCCCTGCCTCCCTCTGCTTCTTTTAATTTTCCCTAATTTTTCATGTCAGAAGTCATGGGGTTATCACACTCACTAAATGCACAGAATCCTCTAGAGAAGCTCTGTCCCGATGAGCTTTCTGCAATGATGGGAATGTTCTATATGCATGGCCCAATACAATGGCCACTAGCCACACATGGCTACTGAGCACTAGACATGTGGTTTGCATGCTTCAGGAACATAATTCCTAACTTTAATTAATTTAAGTATAAATAACAACATACAGCTAGTGGCTACTACGTTGAACAGAGCCCCTGAAGAGGAACAGGTACCTTTAATCTTTTCGGTCATTCCCTGTGACAGGCTATGTCAAAGGACATACCCAGGCCAATCCCAACAGAAAGCCAGAAAAGAATGCAGCCTCCACCGTCTTCACTCCAGAACTGCAGCCCGTCTACCCGCCCAGGCCTCTGCCCTGAACACCTGCTCTGCCTGGAAGGCGCCATGGCACACCAGTTTTCCTCTTGGATCTTGTCATTCCTCAACCAAAGGGTCTTCTTGCCATTGTTTTTAATGGTTTCCATTTCTAGGAACAGACCTTCATAAAAACAGTGTTGGCCGGGCGTGGTGGCTCACACCTGTAGTCCCAACATTTTGGGAGGCCAAGGTGGATGGATTGCTTGAGCCCAGGAGTTTAGAGACCAACCTGGGCAACAGGGCGAAACCCCATCTCTACAAAAAATACAAAAATTAGCCAGGCATGTTGGCACGAGCCTATAGTCCCAGCTACTCAGGAGGCTGAGGTGGGAGGATCACTTGAGCCCAGGAGGTCGAAGTTGCAGTGAGCTGAGATGGCACCACTGCACTACAGACTGGGTGACAGCAAGACCCTGTCTCAAAAAACAAAACAAAACAAAAACCCCTCAGTGCCCCAGAAAATTAGCAGTTGTCTTCCAGATTCAGGTCTATCCCTCAAGTATAACCTTTTAATTATGCTTAAATCACATACTGGTCCCTCAGGCCATTGTCCAAATTCTAGGCACAGTAGAGTCAATGCAGTCTACACAGCTAAGGAGGTCACACCCCAGTCAGCCTCAGCTCTTCGGGGAAAAAAATCCAGTTCTGTTCACACCTAGTTGATCAGTTAAAAAACATCAAAAGAGACTGAGTGCAGTGGCTCATGCCTGTAATCCCAGCACTTTGAGAGGCCAAGGCAGGCAGATCACCTGAGGCCAGGAGTTTGAGACCAGCCTGGCCAACATGGCGAAACCCCGCCTCTACTAAAAATACAAAAATTAGCCAGGCTTGATGGTGGGCGCCTGTAATCCCAGCTACTCAGGAGGCTGAGGCAGGAGAATCGCTTGAACCTGGGAGGCAGAGGTTGCAGTGAGCCCAGACTGCGCCACTGCAGTCTAGCCTGCGCGACAGAGCAGACTCTGTCTCAAAACAAAACAAAAAACAAACAAAAAAACATGTAAAAAGAGAACGGCAGTGCCCAATTGCATCTTTTCAGTCATTTCACATTGTATTATCTGAGGCTGACACCCGAATGTCACCTCCGCACTGGGTCCTTCAACAACCAAATGCTGAACAAATAAATTTTACTCTTGTAAGATTTTCAGAAGCCTATTCAAGAATGGTTTCCTCAAAATGAGAAGCAGGGGTGGGGGAAGGGTCCAGTCAGGAAGTAAGGACTTTCTCTTTTAAAAGCAGCACAGTTTTCACAAAATGAAATGCTTCTTCCAGTTTTTGGATGGTAATAAAAGGAATGACATTATCTCTGCCCCCCCAAAATACATCTTTTCAATATTTAGAATATTTTTAAATAAAAATTTTCACTGAAATATAACAGGATATGTTTTAAAGTGGAAATCAACCCTATTATTTAAGGCCATAATACATTTTAATTTTTTATTTTTCTTTTTTGAAACAGAGTCTTACTCTGTCACCCAGTCCGGAGTACGGTGGTGCAATACTGGCTCACTGCAATCTCCACCTCCCAGGTTCAAGTGATTCTCCTGCCTCAGCTTTCCGAGTAGCTGGGATTACATGCGGGCACCACCACACCCCGCTGATTTTTGTATTTTTAGTAGAGACAGGATTTCACCATGTTGGCCAGGCTGATCTCAATCTCCTGACCTCAGGTGATCCGCCTGCCTCGGCCTCCCAAAGTGCTGGGATTACAGACATGAGCCACCATGCCCAGACCATTTTAGTCATTTAAAATCATGCCTTCATCCCCTTGTCTTCAATATTCTCTTCTATTCCATTCATTTATTTATTTATTTTTAGAGACAGGGTCTTGTGTGTTGCCCAGGCTGGAGGGCAGTGGCTATGCACAGATGCAGTCCCACTGCTGATCAGCATGGAGTTTTTACCTGTTCTGTTTCCCACCAAGCCAGTTCACCCCTCCTTGGGCAACTTGGTGGTCCCCACTCCCGAAAGGTCACCATATTGATGCCGAGCTTACTGCAGATACCCAATAGGCATAGTTCGCTCCAGACCAGTACTCCTGGGCTCAAATGATCTTCCTCAGCCTCCAGAGTAGCTGGGACCACAGGCTGTGCCACCGCACTCGGCTCCACCATTCTATTTTGATGTGAGAAATGGGTGCTGAGGGCTGTATGATTGAGGAAATTCCTAATTATCTTCTCAATGTGTCACCTGTTGGTAGTCACTTTCTGTTTTCTCAAGTTTCACCTCTGAGTTGCATGACCTATGACAATAATGCCTTTTGGTAACCAGAAGACTTTTTTATTTCAAAAATGTCTAGACATTATAATGCTTTATCTTGCACTCCAAACATATTGGCAACAAATATTAACTTTGAATATTGCCCACAGTCCTGGATAGTTTTATTTAAAACATCCCAGATATGGATTGAATAGCCCTTGGTAAAGGTGAATTTGGTTAAACATTGAGCCCGCTCCTGAAATTCACTTGGGCATTCTGGAAGTCTTCAGCCCAGATCCAAAGGGTATCATTTAGCAAGCCACTATAAGAGTTATAGCTTCTGAAGACATAATTTAAACAAGGATTAGTTTGGGCACTGGAAGAGTCAAGCACTTTGGAGTTTAGAATCTGACAAGCAGCAGCTAAGCTACTGAAAGATGAGAGCCTTGTGGGCATTTATCTGATGGTTTTTCAAACAGGCAGCCAGATTAACTACAATCATCGTTTGAAATCTTTAAGAAAGCAAAAGGCCTTCTGAAAACATTGCTTTTGGTTTCTCTACCTCCAAGTTGTCAGTACTGAAAAGGAAACTTTAAAAAAAAAAAAAGAAAGGCAGTTTGATTTAACGGCATTGTGTTTAACAGGCCAGGCTGCTTTTACACACACCGAGCTGCCTTAACCAGGATGAAAGCTGTCGCTTGGTAAGATTAACATTAAAATTGAAGGAGAAGCTTCAGGGTGGAGTACGTATGCCTCCACGTATGCCTTCACATAGCCATAAGAGGGCTTTGAGCTTCAGAGATGTTCCAACGTTCTAATAACCTAATTCACCATGTTTTGGTTTTATCACCATGAATTAGGGGTGCAAGGGAAAGAGGTCCAGGGCTTTCAGCCGTGCTGTGGAATGTTAAGTCTGTCCACGCCATAGCCTGCCCCACGCAGAGCTGGATGCTGGCTCACTCCTTCTTCCTGCCCTCCCTAACCTCTTCCAGGCCCCGAGGTGCTAATCTTGATGATCAGGAAGATCCAGCCAAGTCACAGAGTTACCTGAAAAAACGGTTCCTGTGTATTCTAATGTTTGGCAATTGTGACAAATGACAAAGTTGTTCCAGTCCTAACTTCTCAATTCCTGTGCTTGCTAGGGCCTCAGGAAAATGTGATCAATATTCCTTCAGGTATCTTTTTTGATCAGATATGGCTACTGCTGGCCTGTGAAGAAAGGAAAAGCGGGGCCTTGCAAAATTTTTTCTCACCACTGTTCACTCAGAAGAAAGGCAACAGATCTAGAAGATGAGAAAAACACAAAAACCTTTACTGCAACAATAAAACCAAAAAGAAACACACAAAAGGCACTCAGCAAACTCTCCTTCTCATTATTATTTCAACATTAGGTCGCCTGCCAATTTTCTGAGATTCTGAAATGTAAATAAATAGATAGAGTTAGTCTGGGCCTCTTTTTCATGAAATGCTTAATCACTTAGCTCATTCCCATAAATTGCCATGAATTCAGTCTCAACTTCTTTCTTTTTTTCCTTAAGCACTTTTTAGGAGAGCAATCTAAAGTTCCTAAGAGTGATCGAGTTGATGTTTTCTCATGAGACCCAGGACAAATAAACAGGCCCCAAAATACATTTCCGTGGTTCAAAATCTTGAACCCATACCTCTACCTTTTCTTATTTTAAAATAATTATCACAAGTGTTCATGAAGCTTGCTTGCTATATTTTCTAATTACTAACAATCCATCATTTTACTCTAATCCACTTACAGGCTTTCTATTTTATTGCTACATTAATGCTTTCCACTTTATATTATGTCTTATTACGGTAAGACTTTGAAGATACAGTGAATTTAGGAGCCATCTGTCTTTAATGCAAAACAAAAAGAAAAGATAGGTCCCAGTGTTACCCACCAACATGGACAACTACAAATTATTTTACAGCATTTTCAAAGTGTGCCTGTCTTTCTTCAAGGTCTGTTTCTCTATTGTTTGGGACAAATGTGACTTTTACTTGAAAGCCAAATTTTAAATTGCTTACGGTGTATTTTGTTAAGTGAACTAAATTAAATTTCACATTTGCCAATTATATTTCTCATCTGTAACCACTGACAAGAATCTTTAAGAAGTGTTTTTAAACCTTTTAAACAACTCAGATTTTTTTAATATACTGTTTTATATTAGATATTTCACTAAACTGACTGAAGATTTCATTTCTGAATATTTAGATAATATGGTTATTTGGAGAACTACTAAGTTTAGTAAAATAAATTCAAATATATGAGAACTGAGAAGAGAAACATAAATTGCTTTAATTTCTAAAAGTGTCCACACTAATTAGGATATATGGGCTCAAGTCTCTAATAAAGGCCCAGCCAAAAGAAACTGGAAGCACTTAAAATCATGGCTTTCCTCTAGGCATAAGAGAGAAAGAAGGGGAGAGATGCAAATTGTAAATGAGGTTTCCATTAAATGATTAATTTTTCTTGTTCACGTGTCAGTCTCTCCCTGCTTCCGCAGGCCCTCTCCATTTCCAAGGCATCATCAAGAGCTATTTTCTCACCATGAGATGACGACCAAACTCTCACAGCAAAATTGAAAAAGCCTTTAAAAGGAAAAAAAAAAGTGAAAGGCACATTCTTGAGCACTTTCAATCACTGTAATTCTGCCCCAATGGGAGTCGGTCACTCCACACAAGCTTCCAGCCTGCAGCTCTCTTCTCCAAGGCTCTGGGAAAAAAACCCAATTTGTTGGCCTAACGAACAACAATATCAGACAGTAAATTCACGTTGGTGAAAAAATACTGGGGAGAACAATTTGGAGGGGGCGGGTGGAATTGATATCACTTTGCCCACTCTAAGCAAAGCATTATAAAAGAAGCAACCAAATGCTCAGGGAAGAAAAAAAGCATCTATCAGGCAAACAAATATCTACAGCAGCAAATGTCGGGGGCAGATTCCCTGGGCAACAGGAGGAACCAGCGAAACTTGCAAGGCTCCAGTACCATCAGACCCAGTGATTTCCCAAGAAATAATTTCAGAATGGAGCGAGAGTGAAAACTTTCCCAGCCCCCGAATCCTGAGATACACAACCGTGTCCCACCACTAGGTGGCCAGCTGCAAAGGCTGAAAGAGGGGCGGGGGAGGTGGAGGGCTGTTTTCTCTGCTTCCTCCCTTTCAGGACCATTCCCCAACCCAGAGGAGAGCCTACCAGCACCCACCTAGATCCTGTCCACTAAAAATGTCAGGTTAGGAAAAAAAAAAAAAAAAAAAAAAAAAAACCACACACACACACACAGCTCAGGCCTTAGAACCTGAAGTCACCAAGTAACAAGCCTCTCCTAAAAATTTATTCCCACCAAAGCTAAGCAATGGGAGGGAGACTAACCTGAATATTTTAAACTCTGCTGGGGTTTTCAAAGCACTGCCTCCCTTCGGGGCTTCTGAAATAAACCTTCTTGCCCACTGGCTGCTTTAGAGTGACAAGTGACGACGAAAGTAAGACACGAATGCCGGGTTGAGTTGCTGAAACGCTGCCCACGGAAGGCTATGCATCACCTACCCCCACAGTGTGTAGGGAGCCACAAGGTGATGGAACGGGCTGAATAAACACGAATCGTTTTATTGCTGGCCAGAAATTCTTCCCTTCATTCATCAAAGTAGGTGAATGAAAATATTAAGCAGGTAAGACATTTTCATGGGCTGCTCACCGAGTATCCTTCTAAACTCAAGCCCTTACTCAGTCTGCCTTCTACCTTGTATCAAATAAAGCGTTCTCCCGTGAAAGGGAAAAACCTCTTCCCCTTTTATGAAAAAGGTCGCACACTAGAGCTCAAATCTTGACCAGAAAAAAAAAAGGAAAATATGCGACATAAATTCCAGGTATTCCTAAATACATATGTTTACATGGACACAACACAATCATTTCAGGAAGCACCCAAGTTTCTGCCTCCCCCCCCTTTTTTCTGTTTTTCATCAAAAGGAAGAGTCAAAATATGCGTTCTTAGGGTTTGACTCAGGATCTTACACACTCCATTTAGACAATATTTCCTGCCAGCTAAATGCAGGAAATCTAATGATTTGCATAGAAAACGTATCTAAAGCACCAGCACACTTACCTTTCTTTTCTTAACTGAGCCAAAATCTAACAATTTCAGTTATCACACTCCCAGAAAAGAAAAACCTGAAATACTGAATTATTTTCTAGGTGGTCTGTACAGCCATCCTTTGATAATTCTATGAAAAGGCTAATTCCTCAACATCTGACTTTGCCTTTAAAAGGCTTCCTTCCACACGACGGGATTTCCCTAAGAAACATCCCAGCGGATGGTTTCCAGCAATAGTCTATATCAACTCAGCCTGCGCAGGCAAAGACTTGGCTTCTGCTCATTCCACCCCCGCCCCTCGAACACACACACCAGTTCACACAGAACCATCCCGGGCCGACTTGAAACGCTATTTTATGTGCATGTTTGCTCGTCGCTCCCCGAATGAATGCTTTTCCAACTGACCTTTCAACAGCTGCCGAGATGGCACGCTCTGCAGGGCGAGCGCTGGAAACTAGGAGATATGTTAGCATCCAAATCCCTGCAACCTTCTCAGCCCAAGTCCAGATTCTCTGAGCCCCAAGGCAGGAACCCTGAAGGGTCTGCAGAGCCGCTCTCCGAAGTGTCCTGCTCGCGACCCACTCGCCGGCAGCGGGCATCCTGCACGGGCGCAGCCCCAGCCCGCACGCCACCCGACACCCGCACCCTGGCCCGCGGCGGACGCGCCGGGCACGTACCGGCCCTGCCTCTTACCTTCCCTGGCTTTCAGCAAGACCGTGTTGGCCACGATGTTTTCCAGCTCCATTGACAGTCGGCGGTCAGCAACGGAGCCGGCCGGCGGGGCTGTCAGCGCCTGGGGTGCTGCCGCTGCTGCTGCCGCTGCTCGGGCTGCCGCCGCTGCTGCCGGAGCCGGGGGAGCCAGCAGCCCGCCTTGCCTACCGCATTATTCCTGCTCTCAGCCCAAGAGTTTCCCCCTCTGCAAAGAGGAGCCGCCGCCGCCGCCGCCGCCGCCGCCGCTTCTTCCTCCCTCTGTGTCCCCCCTCCCCCCTCCCTCAACACGCTCCCCCCCACCCCCCACCCTCCGCGTGTCTCTGTCACTCCATTCTCCTCCCCTCCGGCTCCCTCGGATGCTTTAATGCCTCGGATGCTTCTGCCTCCCCTCAGTCCCTCCCGGGGGTGTGGTACTAGCAGGCTCGGGCGGCCGCACTGCGCAAGCGCCGGCCCAGGCGCGCCTCCTGCCTCGGTGCTCGCGGCGCGGGGCCTGCTGGGAGCTGGAGTCCTCCCGGCCGCGCGGCGCCGGGGCTGAGCTGGGCTGGCGCGCGGCTGTCGGAGCGAGGACCCGCCCCGGGACGGCACCGAAAGCGAAGGCGGGCACCGCCCGGCCGACAGGCGACTCAAAGGCGGCCCAGCCAAGCCGAAGTCCCCAGCACCCCCCCGCAGGCTCCCGCTTGCCCCCTTCCCGCCCCGTCGCCAGCCCGGAAAGCGGAGTGCACGGGCCCCGGTGACGGCGCGTGAAGCGCCGCGGCCCGGCAGGAGCCAGTGCGGGTCCCGAGCCGTGCTCGGAGTGGGAGGGCTGCCAGCTCGGCCGCGCGCCACAGCCCGCTTCCTCCGGTCCGCGCCAGGCCCGCGAGGGTCTGAGTCCCGGGTCAGTGACGCGCGCCCAGGGTCCCCGCACGCGGCGGCGGCCGGCCCGGCCTGGCCCCTGCCCAGCGTCTCCCACGCGGCGCCTCGGGCCGCGGACAAAGATGCACTTTGTTTCCTCGGAGGGCGCGAAGGGCTCTGCGGGTCGGCTGCGACCCGGCGCTGGCTGCCCGCGCTGCTCTCGGTGCGACCCGAGCGCCCCCCGCCGGCCGCGGTGCGCGGCGCGGGGTCTACGCGGACGGCGCCTGGGGCTCAGGGTCCAGCGTGGGAAGCTGCTTATTCTGTGAATAAACTGCCTTCCAGCACACCCGGCCAGCAAATCCACGAGCCTCCCTGCAGCCAAACCCAGCCAGATTAAGTAATAAAAACGCAGACGGAGTCGCCGGAGTCTCCGCCGTGGGGAGCGTTAATGAGTAACAGCCAGGCCAGCGCCAAGCCGGCGTGGGATTAACGTTTTTAAATTCCGGTCTTATTTATTTTGGGGCTCTTAGCTCCTTCCAGTGTTATGCTCAGAACATCAGACTCCAGGTCTGTGCTCAGCCCCGTTTCCTTGCTCCCTCCGCTCCGAAGGCCCCACTCCTGGAAATGGGCTGTCTTCGGTCACCCGGGATCTGCCACGAGTGTCCTACAGCTGGGGGCGGGGCAGGCAGGCCCCAAAGAACAATGAGGCCTTTGCCTCCTCTGCATCCTGCGGGCCGGATATCCGTTCAGAAGCCGACTCTGGGCCTTCTCTGTCCAGAAGGAGGAAACCCTCTGTCCCCAGGGCTGCCAGGAAGTCGCAGGGAGGTGCCGAGAGAAACAGAGAACAGTTATTATGCATTGGAGAATATAAAGAAATCAATAAACCTTCCAGGCCTTGGAAACTGGTCTGGTCACTGATTGTAACAACCCAAGATTACCTGCTTTCCTGGGGGAGTATACCCACCACCACCACTTCCTGGTGTCTAGACTTGGGTCAGTGAGTCTCCCAGGGCCTCATTTATCTTGTCTGCAAAATGGGGGCAACAACAGTTTACCTGTCAGAAGGCGGAGGGCTCAGCGGGTAACTTTTCAGGCACTTACCACTCCAGGAATTACTGTTCTAAGCAATCCAGGCTTGGTCTTTGCTACATATTCACGTGCCTAGAGCCCTAACCTTTAATGAAAGGATCTCTCTCAGACAGCGAGACCCCTAAAGCTGGCAGCTCCTAGAGCCCTCCACCAACCACGCTGGTCACTTGCTGGCAGCATAGGGCCTGATGAAGCCCGAAGTTTGTTTATTCGGCTAACATAAAAAAAAAAAGAAAGAAAATTTTTGAATGCCTTTAGATGGCTTATGCACCTTAACAATTTTCTTGGGCCGGGCGCGGTGGCTTACGCCTGTAATCCCAGCACTTTGGGAGGCCGAGGCGGGAGGATCACGAGGTCAGGAGATCGAGACCATCCTGGCTAACAGTGAAACCCTGTCTCTACTAAAAATACAAAAAAAAAATAGCCGGGCGTGGTGTTGGGCTCCTGTAGTCCCAGCTATTCAGGAGGCTGAGGCAGGAGAATGGCGTGAACCCGGGAGACGGAGGTTGCAATGAGCCGAGATCGCGCCACTGCACTCCAGCCTGGGCGACAGAGCGAGACTCCGAACCAAAAAAAAAAAAAAAAAAAAAAAACAATTTTCTCAAAGGTTGTTTTTGTTTGTTTTTTTGTTTTGTTTTGTTTTGAGACAGTTACTCTGTCACCCAGGCTGGAGTGCAGTGGCCCAATCTCGGCTCACTGCAACCTCGGCCTCCCAGGTTCAAATGATTCTTGTACTTCAGCCTCCCAAGTAGCTGGGATTACAGGTGTGTGCCACCATGACTGGCTAATTTTTGTATTTTGAGTAGAGACGGGGTTTCGCCATAATGGCCAGGCTGGTCTTGAACTCCTGGACTCAAGTGATCCAACCCGCCTCTGCCTCCCAAAGTGCTGGAATTACAGGCATAAGCCACCATGCCTGGCTCAAAGTTTCATGAGCATACAAATCACGGGGGATCTTGTTAAAATGCAGATTGCATTTGGATAGATCTGGGGTGGTTTCTGAGATGTTGCTCTTTCTAACAAACTCCAGGGCTCTGTCGATCCTCGTGGTCAGTAGACCACACTCAGAGTTGAAAAGCTTTCTAGTTTACCGTAACTCCCTATTGTCTTATACCCAGCCCAAGTCACTAGTGATTTTATTTATCTGGCCTGTATAGACATTTAAGTTTTCCATCCTGGGAACCCCTGCCTCTCCCTCTCATTTTACAGATGTGAAACAGACCCAAAGTAAGTGAGTTGGCATGGTCACTCAGCAAGTTAGTGTTAGACTATTTTTTTGTCCACTACAAGCTGTTGCATCCTGCCTACACAAATACATGGTTGTACATCAGGTTTTTGTGCCTCTATGAGGAAATTCAGACACTCCAATGCAAGAATGGAACAATAATGGCTAGCATTTACTCAACACCAACTGTGGGCCAGGCTCTTGTGGTCTTTTAAATGGATTATCTCCTTGAACACAATATCCAGATGAGGTAGGGAACACAGGCCTATTTTATAGATAAAGCACCAGGTTAAGAAAGGTTTTATAGGCCGGGCACGGTGGCTCACGCCTGTAATCCCAACACTTTGGGAGGCCAAGGCAGGCAGATCACCTGAGGTCAGGAGTTCGAGACCAGCCTAACATGGTAAAACCCCGTCTCTACTAAAAATACAAAAATTAGCTGGGTGTAGTGGCAGGTGCCTTGTAATCCCAGCTACTCGGGAGGCTGAGGTAGGAGAATGACTTGAACCCGGGAGCCAGAGGTTGCAGTGAGCCAAGATCATGCCATTGCACTCCAGCCTGGGCAACAGAGTGAGACTTTTTTTTTTTCCTCAAAAAAAAAGAAAGGTTTTATAATTTGTCCAGGGTCACATAAGTAATAAGTAGAAGACCCGGGATTTGAACCTGTCAGCCTGACTCAGAGTTGGTGCACTTAATTTCTGGCTTGCGCAAGCTAGCCAGCACAGCTTGGTAGTAACTGTTCTGTGTGGCTGCCGGGATGAACTTGTATTATAAGAAGGCAAAGCACCCAGTTGACTAAATCATTAAGATTTCAAGGGGTTTTCCATTTTCATCTATAATTCCACCATTATGGCTTTATTCCTTTCAATTAACTGCACTAACAACTCGTGGTCTTCTTGAAAAATGGGTTTGATTCAAGGAAGAGTAGGCTATTAAATATAAATAGCTAAGTAGGGAATCATTGACAGCCAGCTGAGAGCAAGAAGGGAAATCCAAATGGAGGAGTGGGGGTGAGGATGGAGGGATGGGAATATGTCAAAGACAGCCAGCTTCAGACTCCACTCAGGAGCAGCTGAGCCAAAAATGCAAAAGAAGTCAGATGCAGTGGCTCATGCCTACAATCCCAGCACTTTTAGAGGCTAAAGCAAGGGTGCAGGGGATGGGGGGGTGGAGATCGCTTGAGCCCAGGAGTTCGAGACCAACCTAGGCAACATAGCGAGACCCTGTCTCTACGAAATAAACCTAAAAATTAGCCAGGTATGGTGGCACTGAGCTATGATCGCCCCACTGCACTCCAGCTTGGGTAACAGAGTAAGACTGTCTCTAAAAAATAAAAAAGCAAAAGAAACAGGGAACCTTCAAATTCTTCTCTCAGCACCTGTATCTGCCATGAATAAAGCTGCTGGGTCAGAGTTCTTGTAAATAGAAGTCTACTATGCTGGAAAGCCACAAACCTATCGGCCTTCTAAAATATAGATTCCTTTTGCCTGAATAATCAAATTGGCTTTCTGAATAGTCCAGGAACTGGAGTTTCCATTCCTTTCCTTGACTCAAAGCTTTTTAATCCTCAGGAAGCAGCTGCAGATAGAGCTTCCATTCTCTCATTTATCCTCTTCTCCTTCAGAGTTTACCTTTCTGTGTCCAGCCCTGCAGGGAGTTCAAGGCAATTTCCCAGGGAGCTCGCCACTGGGAAGGAAAACACACCGGATGCAAACAACCTCCATACAATGGAATAAGGGCCATTGTGGAGACACACACAAAGGACTTTGCAAACGGGAAGAAGTGATTTCAGGCACCAAAAGAGGAGAAATGTGAGCTGAAAGCAAATCTGGAGGCTTGAGGTTTCCAGTTAACATTTCCTCCCCTCTGAATTCCCTTCATCAATGGACCTCAGTGGTTATCAATTGGACATTAAAAGTTTTACTATGGGCAGGGCACAGTGGTTCACGTCTGTAATCCCAGCACTTTGGGAGGCCAAGGTGGGCAGATTACCTGAGGTCAGGAGGTCGAGAACAGCCTGGCCAACATGGTGAGACCCGTCTCTTCTAAAAATACAAAAACTAACCAGGTATGGCAGCGTGCGCCTGTAGTCCCAGCTACTCAGAAGGCTGAGGCACGAGAATCACTTGAACCCGTGAGGCAGAAGTTGCAGTGAGCCGAGATGGTGCCGCTGTGCTCCAGCCTGGGCGACAGAGCGAGACTCTGTTTCAAAAAAAAAAAGAAAAAGTTTTAACATGTTGTAAACTGCCTATTGCTCTTCTAGTGACTTCATATTTTTCTTTTTTTTTTTTTTTTTTGAGATGGAGTCTCGCTCCGTTGCCCAGGCTACAGTGCAGTGGCATGATCTCGGCTCACTGCAAACTTTGCCTCCTGGGTTCAAGCGATTCTCCTGCCTCAGCCTCCCGAGTAGCTGGGATTACAGGTGCGCACCACCACACCTGGCTAATTTTTGTATTTTTAGTAGAGGTGGGGTTTCACTATGTTGACCAGGCTGGTCTTGAACTCCTGACCTCAAGTGATCCACCCACCTCGGCCTCCCAAAATGCTGGGATTACAGGTGTGAGCCACCATGCCCGGCCAATATTTTTCTTTAAAGTCAGCTCACTTTGAAAACTTTAATTCATCCTAACCAATAATATTTGTGAAATGTGAGGAGTAGTAGAAGTGTCATGCTTGAGAAAACCAATCTCCAAGCAACACGTGGTGTCTTTGCAGCCTTTGGTTTCCAGATGAACTGGCCAATCTTAATGAATCGATTGGTTTTGCCAGGTGATTATTACCTATACACATCTAACCACCTAGCTTGGTCACAAGATTTTGTGGGATCATTTGTCTTGCATCAATTCTCAACTGCAAGTTCAGAAAAGAAGATTCTTGCTGAAATGCACACACCTGCTGATTGTCTCAGCCACATGTGGTTGCCAAACTCCCATCACTACAGCAATTTAACACAGTCTTCTTTAATGAAAAGGAAAGTCCTCCTTCCCTGGTGCCATGTTCAGTCAGGAGGGTTCCCACAGTAGATGTGTTACAAAGTTTAATGAGACAGCTTTTCAGTCCGTGCACCTTTCTCCAGTACCCATCCCATTACTATACCCAGAACCTCATCCAATCCTCCAAGGCAGGTACTTTCGAAAGACATTGTTGCCTCCATTGTATACAGAGGCAACTGAGCCTCAGAGAATTAGGAGGTCTGCTGCCCAAGGCCAACTGATTAAGTGGATGGTGAGGCTATTTAGGTGTCTGCTTTCCCTACTCAAAGGCCTAAAATGTGTCTTTTTTCATCTTTTGATTCTCTTCTCTATTGAACCTAGTACATGCCTGACACAGGGAGCATTTGGCCATATTTATTGACTTATACCCCATATGGCATGACTCAGCCCCACCTGGGCCTCCTGGCTGCTAAGTTTTGCTATATTAGGTAACTATCAAAATTCCCACATCTCTGCCAGGTCAGATTTTAAAAGGGAAAAAATTAGGGGAGATTGGTCTCCTGTCAGAGGTCAACGTGTTACAGAAAGTCAAGGGCAGACTGTCAGTCCCTGGAACTTCCAGCTCTCTGATGGTACCTCTGACCTCGAACCTGGCATCTCCTATAATCAACCCAGTAGTTAAATTGGTCCCAGAATTTTAAAGGAAACTAGGCAAACCAACTTCGATTCCATTTTCAGACTGAGTAAAACATGAGATGTTTAACCCAAAAATGGCACACAGAAAGTTGGGCACTTTTTTGTTTGGTTCAGTGATGAAACAATCAATAGATTTAGATGGAGGAAAAATGTTCAAATAGGCAAGGAAATTACACAGTAAAAATATAAAAATTAATTCTGTACTTTCAGAGTAGGTGAAGGAAAAATAACCTCTTCTCCAGTAATTTTTACTTATTTTTATATATATTTTTTGAGATGGAGTTTTGCTCTTGTTGCCCAGACTAAAGTGCAATGGCGCCATCTTGGTTCACTGTCTCCCAGGTTCAAGTGATTCTCCTGCCTCAGCCTCCTGAGTAGCTGGGATTACAGGCGCCTGCCACCACGCCCAGCTAATTTTTTGTATTTTTAGTAGAGATGGGATTTCACCATGTTGGACAGGCTAGTATTGAACTCCCGACCTCAGGTGATCCGCACACCTCGGCCTCCCAAAGTGCTGGGATTACAGGCATGAGCCACTGTGCCCGGCCCCTTTTCCAGTAATTTACTTAAAAGCCAATGATTTCCTGTTAATATAGGTAAGGAAAGAATCCAGACCATCACTTGTGGTCTCTTTATGACCAGCATCTATCAGGTGATGACATGCCTAAAGCTAGTCAATTGTTTTGCATGGTAGCCTATATTGGACATATAGATACGATCTTATCAATGGTAGAACTCCTTCTTAAGAGGAGGAGGAGGCAGGCTGAATTAAATGCAACATTAGGAGCCCTTATAACCAGATGACTCATAGGTGAAGTGGGCTCACAGGGTTTCAACCCTCCTGCTGCGATAGCATAAACTTTCTTTTATTTATGTATTTTTTTTTTTTTTGAGATGGAGTCTCACTCTTGTCACCCAGGCTGGAGTACAGTGGCACGATCTCGGCTCACTGCAACCTTCGCCTCCCAGGTTCAAGCGATTCTCCTGCCTCAGCCTCCTGAGTAGCTGGGATTACAGGCGCCCTCCACCACACCTGGCTAATTTTTTGTATTTTTAGTAGAGATGGGGTTACATCATGTTAGCCAGGCTGGTCTCGAACTCCTGAACTTAGGTGATCCACCCACCTCGGCCTCCCAAAGTGCGGGGATTACAAACGTGAGCCACTGCGCCCAGCCACATAAACTTTCTCTTGCTCCAAAAACTCTGAGTCCAATTATTTTTGAAGCCTCGGAATAAAGCGTTTACTGACCTAAGATAGGCCATTATATGCATGTGTATATTTCATGGCCCCGATAAAAGGAGGATATATTTTCTCCTTCATTGAAATCTCAGCTAGCCAGTTATATGCTAAATGTAATGCATTGCACAGAATGATCTTTTTTTACAATTACATAAAATAGAATATAATATCTAATTTGCCCAGTTGGTTTGGAGCAGCTCAAGTCCTCCTGTAGTGGCATCTTAGAGCAAAGCTGTGAGTTGATGTGCTATAGAAATGAGCTTGTGCAGGAGCAGTTAGATACAGTTGGAGCACTCACTCCAAGCAGCTGTCCTAGTCTCCTCCATGGAGAGAGGATGCCACCTAGCATGAACTCTGGAGAGCTGCAGCCAAATGGCGAAAGCAAGCTGCAAGCTCCGCAACCTTCGTATGCTCCAGGATACCAATCAGACCCCTCCAGTCCAGGCTGAATGGGACCTCTGTTTGGGGGAGGTGGGAGGCAGGTCAGCCTGGGGAGACACTGGTTAATGTGTGTCCCAGTCCTTTAGGGCTGCTACAACAAAGCATCTTAGACTGGGTAACTTACAAACAATAGAAATGGATTGCTCGTAGTTCTGGAGGCTGGAAAATGCAAGATCAGGGCACCAGCAGATATGGTGTCTGGTGAGAGCTCCCTGCTTCATGGATGGTGCCTTGTTGCTACGTCCTAACGTCACAGAAGAAGCAAAAGAGCTCCCTCAGGCCTCTTTTATCGAGGCGCTAATCCTATTCAGGAGGACTCCATTCTCATGACCCAGTCACTCTCAAGGCTCCATCTCTTAATACCCTAGAAGGGCCAGGATGGGGAAAAAGAGGCAAGATCAAGGGTGCTCTACATGGTGTCCTCCCAAGTTAGCAGATCCTGCATCACAGGAGGGAGGAAGGAGTATTTCAAAGGAGAAAAACAGTCCCTAAGGAGGTCCGTATGGGGCTAAAAAGGTGATAGAATTTTTACCTCACATCCTGCTTTATGTTTGCCTTATCGGCATTGTAATTTTAATTTCTGTCTGTTATTTCTAAGGCTTCAGTTTAAAAGGACTGCCTGTCCTAGCTGGGATTGGAGAATTGAGAGAAAGGCATGTGATCCTCCCGGGACCCAGAGGTAAGTACAAGGAGAGCAGCAGCAGCCCAGAGAAGCCCCTGGAGCTAGGGCTGGAGGGGACCGGAGAAGCAGGTGTCTGCAGTGAGCTGGATACCTAAGGTGAAGAGCCTGCCCAGGATCCATATGAACAAAACGGAAAGTTTTCTTTGGGGTTCCCGAGAGGTCCCGAGAATGAATCTTGCTAGTCCGGGCAAGTAGGGGGCGCTGGTTGTTGGACTTTTGGATACCAACATTAGTAACTTTTTTGGTAGCTGCAATGAACTGAATATGTTCCCCCAAAATTCAGATTGAAATTCTAATCCCTAATGTGATGGTATTAGGAGGTGGGACCTTTGAGAGGGAATTAAGTCATGAATGTAGAGCCTTCATGAATGGGACTAGTGCTCTTATAAAAGGGACTTCAGAGAGCTCTTCCACCCTCTCCCCACCATGTGAAGATACAACAAGAAGTCAGCAGCGGGCAACCCAGAAGAGGGCCCTCATCAGAACCTCATCATGCTGGCTCCCTGATCTCAAACCTCCAGCCTCTAGAACTGCGTGAAAGAAATTTCTGTTGTTTGTAAGCCACCCAGTCTATGGAACTTGTTACAGTAGCCGGAACTAGGACAGTATCCCAGCATGTCGAAACAGAACCTGACAAAATAAGGTCGCATTGTTCAAACATGTGTGACTTCCTTCCTTTGACATTTATTGAGTGACTATTAAGTAGGAAGCATAGTTGGGCACCACAAAGATGAGTCAGACATGCAAGCCCTTTTTTAAACAGCTTGTAGGTGTTTAGGGCCAACAAGTTACACACACAAGAAGCCAGAATAGAAGACAGATCAACATGAGAAGTACAGACTGCTGTAAGAAGGGTATTTTAAACTGTTTGGATCCAGTGTTGGCAAAAATCTCCTAGAAATTGCTACCTTCACTCACTGTGGAGGGAGTATAAACTGGCACAGCCTTTCTTGAAGGTAGTTTGGCAATACATAACAAAAATCATAAAAACGCACCTAGGGCCCGGGCATGGTGGCTCACGCCTGTAATCCCAGCACTTTGGGAGGCCAAGGTGGGCAGATCACGAGGTCAGGAGTTCAAGACCAGCCTGACCGATATGGTGAAACCCTGTCTCTGCTAAAAATACAAAAATTAGCCAGGTGTGGTGGCACATGCCTGTAGTCCCAGCTGCTCAGGAGGCTGAGGCAGGAGAATCGCTTGAACCTGGGAGGCAGAGGTTGCAGTGAGCCAAGATAGCACCACTGCACTCCAGCCTGGGCAACAGAGCGAGACTCCGTCTCAAACAAACTAACAAACAACAACAACAACAAAAACACCTAGCCCTTAGTCATAGCAGTTCCAATTCTAGAAAAACACCCTAAAAAATTAGATAAGAACGTGTACAAAGATTTGGCTACAAGGATGTATACAGATTACATTATTGATTATAAAATGAAGAAAAAGTTGAAACAACACAAATTTCCAAGAATAACAGATTGGTTAAGTAAATTATGAAACAACACTTCAGTGGTATTCCTGCCAAAAATGTTTAACCCGAATCTAATCGGAGGAAATATCAGACCAACCAAATAGGAGATGTTCCACAAAAGAGCCAGACTCTGTTCCTCAAAAATGTCAAGGTCAAGAAACATAAAGAATGACTGAGGAACTGTTCCAGATTAAAAGAAACTAAAGAGGCCAGGCCCAGTGGCTCACACCTGTAGTCTCAGCACTTTGGGAGGCCAAGGCAGGCAGATCACTTGAACCCAAGAGATTGAGAACCAGCTGGGCAACGTGTTGAAACCCCATCTCTCCAAAAATACAAAAATTAGCTAGGCATGGTGGCACGTGCCTGTAGTCCCAGCTACGTAAGAGGCTGAGGTAGGAGGATTGCTTGAGCCCCAGAGGTGAAGGCTGCAGAGAGCTGTGATTGCACCACTGCACTCCAGCCTGGGTGAGAGAGCAGGACCTTGTCTCAAAAAAAAAAAAAAAAAACTAGAGAAAAGACCACTAAATATGCCATGTGTGATACTGCATTAGATCATGGTAGGGAGGTGAGTGGCTACTATGAAGGATATTGTTGGGACATTTGATTAAATTTGAATATGGACTGTGTATTAGATAACAGTATATCAATGTTAAAATTCCTGGTTTTGAGCATTGTAATAGTATTATCATATAAGAGAATATACTTGTTCTTAAAAAATACACTGTCAAATATTGTGGGGCTTTAAAAAGCAAATTAGGGCTGGGCGCAGTGGCTCACACCTGTAATCCCAGCACTTTGGGCGGCCGCAATCACCTCAGGTCAGGAGTTCATGATCAGCCTGGCCAACATGGCAAAACCTGTCTCTACTAAAAATACAAAAAAATTAGCCGGGCATGGTGGTGGGTGCCTGTAATCCGAGCTACTCGGGAGGCTGAGGCAGGAGAATTGCTTGAACCCAGGAGGCAGAGGTTGCAGTGAGCCAAGGTTGTGCCACTGCACTCCAGCCTTGGTGATAAAAGCGAAACTCTGTCTCAAAAAACAAAAAAAGTGAATTAGTTATTTAATCTGCAAACTAGGATAGGCATCAAAGATTTTGAAGAAACAAACCATGATTTAAAAATAGTTCGGCCAGGCACGGTGCCTCACACCTCTAATCCCAGCACTTTGGGAGGCCGAGGTGGGCAGATCACCTGAGGTCAGGAGTTCAAGACCAGCCTGACAAACATGGCAAAACCCCATCTCTATTAAAAATACAAAATTAGCCGGGTGTGGTAGTGCATGCCTGTAATCCCAGCTACTCGGGAGGCTGAGGCAGGAGAATCACTTGAACCTGGGAGGCAGAGTTTGCAGCGAGCTGAAATCGTGCCATTGTACCCCAGCCTGGGCAACAGAGCAAGACTCCATCTCAAAAAAAAATTTATATATATATATAGTTCAAGGCAACAGTAGTTTTGTGATAAAACACAGAGGATTAACCACCAAAAGAATGATGTTGATGATAATTGCCACAGGCATTCAGGGAAAGGATGTGTCAGCTGGGGGTGTCAGAAGTGGCTGCACAGTGAGAGTTTAGCTGGGCCTTCCACCAGATTCATCTGAATTTTCTAGGAGTCTGCCATGTGCCAAGCACTGTGCTAAGTGCTGGAGATATAGCAGTGAGCAAGATGGGCATGATCCTTGCCCTGTCAGGCTTCTGTTCTAGGGAGGAACCCAACCAATACCCAGTAAATAGATAAAGTAATTGCAATTTTAAGTTTCCAGTAAAAGGAAACAAGGGCCAAGACAGAGACATTCACAGTCATTGGGGAAGTCTTCTTGGGGAGGATGCCATCAAAGCCAGGAACTAAATAATCAAGAAGAGCTAGTCAGGTATGTGTGGAGGGTAACAGCACGTCAATCAAGAGGACCGCATGTGCCCAGGTGAGGGGTAGCTTTTGGGGAGGTGGAAGTAGACCAGTATGGCTAACACAGGGATGGGGTCCAGAGGAGCCCAAAAGGAGATGTCTGAAAGGAGGCAGGCATGCAGACCTGCAGGGGCACAAGCCACATAGAGCCTTGTACAAATTTGTGTTTTCCTCTAATGAGATGGAAAGCCACGGAAGAGCTTTAAGTACGAGATGAAACAGTGGTTGGTGTTTTAAGAAGCATCACTGTTGATGCTGGGCAGAGAATGGACTGAAAGGAGGCAAGAGTGAGAGCGAGAGGCCAGTTAAAAGCAGGCGGGGGGAAAGGGAAGCTGTCAGACAGGGGCAGTCCTCATGCTTGGACTTTTGCAATGTTCCCAGATAAAGTTCCACATACCGTTACAGAGAGAGACTGATGAGACTGAAAAAGACCATCCCACACCTGTTAGTCTGGTTCTCATGGTGAGTGCTCCTGGCCTGAATAAATATTTCCACCTAAGTCCTATAATCAGCCTGTGGGGAGCATTTCGTATTACAGTTTTTGTTGTGCTCTGTCTTAGTGTGGGTGTCCCTAAACCTGGAGATAAGGATTCAAATGCAAGTAGCTTATTTGGGAATGGAGATAAGGGAGGGGATCTAACACAGGGAAGGCAGCCAGCGAAGGGTGTGTTAAGTTACCTTCATGGTGACTAGGACTGGATCTGTGGGAAGACCCTGGGAGGTAAATGCCCCAGATAGTCCATTCAAGAGGTGAGGGAGCTGGGGTATTTCTACACGAATTCCCTCCACCCAGCCATTGCTGAGGGCTGCAGGCAGCGGTATAAATTCCCAAGCACCCCTGTCTTTCCTCAGGGGTGGGTAGACCAGGTTTCTGCAATTATGCAGAAAGACCCCCACACAAAGATGCAAATCCTGGCAGCTGGAAATCTCTGGAGCCCAAAGAAGTGGCAGGGTCTGAGGATACCAGAGAGATGTGAAAGCTATACTCTGTGTGGTTGTTGTTTCACTTTTAAAATAGACCTCTGCCATATGGTGGCTCACGCCTATAATCCCAGAACGATGGGAGGCTAAGGCAGGAGGATCGTTTGATGTCAGGAGTTCAAGACCAGCCTAGGCAACAGAGTGAAACCCCTGTCTCTACAAAAAAATATTTTTTTAATTAGCTGGGTGTGGTGGTGCACACCTGTAGTCCTAGCTACTCGGGAGGCTGAGGCCGGAGGATCCTTTGAGCCCAGGAGTTTGAGGCTGCAGTGAGCCATGATTGTGCCATTGCACTTCAGCCTGGGTGACAGAGTGAGGACCTATCTCAACAAATAATAATAATATAATATAATAGACCTCACATGATGGAAGTAATCTTGCCTCTTGATAGCCAGGAGACCTTCAGAAGCTGTGAACGAGTTGCATGAGAAAAACGATGGTGGCCTGGACTGAGGTGGAGGCAAATGTAGGTGGAGACAAGACAGCGTCTCCTTTGGGTGCTGCTGGCCAGCAGTGGGGAGGGAAAGGTGGGAACTGTAGGGGATGAAAGACATTTTTTTCTCATCCATCTCTAGATTCTCTAAATTCTGAGACCCTCTATAACCACAGACGGAGTAACAAGAGAAAAGCATACACATTTATTGAATATATTGTACGCAGCATGGAAGCATCCACAGGTGAAGACCCAAAGGAACAGGGAACCCCGTGTCTTTTCATGCTTAGTTTTGATGGAGTGGACAGTCATGCAGCAGTATGACTGGACAAAGGGGATGTGATCTAATGGCAATAAACTGAGGGAACTTAGCAAGGCCTGTTTGTTCATATTCCTCTCTGTATCCCTGTGTCTCCAGACATAAGGACATTCCTCTCCTCTGGGTACAGGCTGGGCACCCCTGGAATGAGGGCCTTCTTCAGAGGAAGGTCAGATGATTCTTTCATGGTCTGCTTCAGGGGAGAAGGGCAGGAGGAGGTCAGAAAGTGACCTTCCTGCTTTCGCTGTTTTCCAAATGCCATGGTGCTATATTTTGGGATATGGTGTTCTGAACCCCATCAGAATCAAGATGACTCCTACTTTCTGGCTTGAATGATTGTATGGACTGTGAGGCCATGTACTGACCTGAGGAGGTTTGGGGAAGTCAGTGGCGGGGAACAGATTTGAAGAAAGCAAGAGCTTGAGGTGCATAAGAGGCATCTGCGTGGAGATGTTGGCAGGCGGCACTCAGAGGACAGGCCTGGGCTGGAGACACAGCTCTAAAAGATGACAGGCTGCCAGAAGTTGGAGGAGAAAGAGGGATAAATGGGCAAAGTACAGAGGATATTTAGGGCAGTGAAGGTATTCCATATGATAATATTACGGTGGATACATGTCCTTATACATTTGTCAAAACCCATAGAATGTACAACACCAAGAGTGAACCTGAGTTTAAACTTGGACTTTGAGAGATAATGGCACATCATTGTAGAGTCACCAAGTGTAACAAATCTACCATTGCAGTTTGGGATGCTCATAGTGGGAGAAGCTGAGAATAGGGGCTATGGGAGATCTCTCTGTACTTTGCTCAATTTGCTGTGAACCTAACACTGTTCTAAAATATAAAGTTTGGCAGGGTGCAGTGGCTCTCACCTATAATCTCTGCACTTTGAGAGGCCAAGGCAGGTGGATCACCTGAGGTCAGGAGTTTGAGACCAGTCTGGCCAACATGATGAAACTCCGTCTCTACTAAAAATACAAAAATTAGCTGGGCATGGTGGCATGGACCTGTAGTCCCAGCTACTTGGGAGGCTGAGGCAGAAGAATTGCTTGAACCCACAAGGCTGAGGTTGCAGTGAGCCAAGATCGTGCCACTGCACTCCAGCCTGGCAAGAGAGTGAGACTCTGTCTCAAAAAATAAATAAATAAATAAAGTCTTTTTAAAAGGGTGGAGGCCGGGCACAGCGGCTCACGCCTGTAATCCCAGAACTTTGGGAAGTCGAGGCGGGCGGATCACCTGAAGTCAGGAGTTCAAGACCAATCTGGCTAACATGGTAAAACCCTGTTTCTACTAAAAATACAAAAAATTAGCCAGGCACGGTGGCAGACACCTGTAATCCCAGCTACTCGGGAGGCTGAGGCAGGAGAATCACTTGAACCCAGGAGGCAGAGGTTGCAGTGAGCCGAGATCGTGCCATTGCACTCCAGCTTGGGCAACAAGAGTGAAACTCCGTCTCAAAAAAAAAAAAAAAATGGTGGAGGGAATGGGCTGCAAGGAGGAGAACAGCTCAGAAGTAAGCAAGCCAAGGTGTGCCTGGGGGTGGGCAGAGAGGGGGATGACTCAGCCTAAGAAATTCACCCGAGGCCTAGTGGGTGGCACACACTTCCCAATCAGCCTGTGAGTGAGGGTTTATACAGAGACAGACTGAAAGGTGAACGAATCCATGGGGCTTTGAATCAAGGACAACTCAACTCCTTCCAATCCTGGGCTGCCTGCCTTTGACATTAACTTGGAACAGCACAAGACCATGCTGGAGCATGCTGGGGGTAAGTTTAGAAGGGAAGCCTTGGCCGGGTGTGGTGGTTCACACCTGTAATTCCAGCACTTTGGGAGGCTGAGGCAGGAGGATTGCTTGAGCCCATGAGTGTGAGGCCAGCATGGGCAATAGAGAGAGATCTTATCTCTAAAAAAAAAATTTTAAATTAGCCACGCATGGTGTTGTGCACCTGTAGTCTCAGCTGCTCAGGAGGTTGAGGCAGGGGGATCACTTAAGCCTGGGAGGTTGAGGCTGCAGTGAGCTATGATTGCACCACCGCACTCCAGCCTGTGTGACAGAATAAGACTCAAAAAATAAAAATTAAAAATTGAAAAAAAGAGGACTTGGCTGGGAGACAGGGCTTGGTTCCGAGACTTCATCTTTTCTGAACCCAGGAGAGAGCCAAATCTGGGGCTCCTCTTCAATGAGGGAAAAAAAGGAAGAAAAAAAAATGTATGTTTTTTGCTGTGGAAAGAGGAAGAACTCAGCAAAACCCAGAGTCCTGCTTGCCATCTCTAATTGCAGCCCCAGCTACCAGAAAGTTAACTTGTGGTTCCAGGGGCGTATTTTCCTAATCATCATAAAAATGAGCATATATCTTTTCATTTGCCTCCCCCTCAACTAGGTCCAATTTTTTTCCCTCCCAAACTGAAAAGGGAGAATTTCAGTCATTTTCTACTCTTTTACTCATGAGAATAAGGCCAGTTCATCTCTTTCCCTTTCTTTCCTTCTTTCTTTCTTTTTTTCTTTCTTTCTTTCTTTTTCTTTCTCTTTCTCTTTCCTTTCCTTCTTTTTCTTTCTTTCTTTCTTTCTTTCCTTCCTTCCTTCCTTCTTTCTCTCTCTCTCACTCTCTCTCTCCTTCCTTCCTTTCTTTTTCTTTCTTTTTTTTTGTTATCTTTTTTGTTGTGGTGGTTGTTGTCTCTTTCTTTCCGGGGAAAAATGTGTGTTATTGTTGCAATAGCTAGAGAAAGCTGAATAAATTTTTTTTCTTTTTTCTTTTTTTCTGAAATGGAGTCTCACCCTGTAGCCCAGGCTAGAATGGAGTGACGTGATCTCGACTCACTGCAACCTCCGCCTTCCGGGTTCAATTGATTCTCCTGCCTCAGCCTCTCCAGTAGCTGGGATTACAGACATGTATCACCACACTTGGCTAATTTTTGTATTTTTTGTGGAGACAGAGTTTCACCATGTTGGCCAGGCTGGTCTCGAACTCCTGACCTCAAGTGATCCACCCATCTCAGTCTGCTAAAGTGCTGGGATTACAGGTGTGAGCCACCGCGCCCAGCCAAAAGATAGTTTTTTTTTCAGAATGTGTGTAGAAATCCTGCCAGCACTGCTTATTGACTCACTTGACAAACTTGCTCTGGGTAGTTGCTGCAAGCCAGGGATTAGCTGAGCCTTGGGATTCCAGGGATGAGTAAGACATGAGCTCTATCCTCAAGAGGTGCACAGTATTGTTAAGACCCAGACAAGGCAATAGAAAATTCCAATGCCATGTGACAGGAGCTGGGAGCGCTGAGAATGAGAAGGGCATGGTGTTTTCTAGGAACCTGGTAGGGGTCTCTAACCAGGACAAGCTAGGAAAGTGGTCAGGGAATGCTTGGCAAAACAGCTGCTCCTTCCTCCTAAGGCTTATATTGGTGATCAAAAATCAATCATGGTTATCTTTTGTTGGAATGAACAAAAGGGGGACTCTACTAGTCCTACCAGGGGAAGTCAGTTGCCACAGCCTGAGACTAGCTGGACACTTTGCAGATCTTAACAGGCCATTGGGAGGCTCTTGCATGAAATTCCTTCTGGGCCTCTGGGTCAGAGATTCTAGGGTATTTCATTTCTTTGGCAGAGATCAGCAGACCAGAAGGCCTACATGTACACTGGAAAGCCCCCAACCCAGGAATCCCTGTACGACTTGAGGTAAACTATTTAACCACAGGCAACTGCCTCAGCTTCCTGTTTGGTCAAGAAGTGATAAGCAGTGAAACTTCATCTCCAATGGCCAAAAGCCCTGGGAATTGTGCTGCTGTGCGCGGCCTCTCTGCCTGGTGTGAAGCAAACAGTAATGCTTTGTTGAGCTTGCCTGAAATGCCCATGTGAAGAATGACTGTTGAATGCTTGAGATTTATGGAGATAAAAATTACAAAATGTCTTAGCTTGATTTACATTGACGGAAAAAGCAAAAAAGATACCTATAAGGCAGTGCATTTTTAAGATGAAAATTAAACCATACATTAAACAGAAAATATTTAAAATGTGAGGCACAAGTTAATACAGTGGAAGTTAACTCTTTCTCCATCTGACAAAGAGAACTTTTTTCAAAATCGGACCAAGCTGTTGGACACCCAGGCTGGAGTGTGATGGTGTGATCTCGGCTCACTGCAACCAGGGCCTCCCAGGTTCAAGTGATTCTCCTGTCTCAGACTCCCAAGTAGCTGCAATTACAGGTGCCCACCACCACACCCGGCTAATTTTTTTGTATTTTTAGTACAGAGAGGGTTTCACCATATTGGCCAGGCAGGTCTTGAACTCCTGACCTCAGGTGATCCGCCTGCCTCTGCCTCCCAAAGTGCTGGGATTACAGATGTGAGCAACCATGCCTGGCCAAGATGTCTTTCTAATCATAGCTAAAGTCCATCTCAGGTAGATGGGGATTTGATAGGTGTCTGACCATTGTGGTCACCCTTATTCCTCATAGTTAGCTTGCTTTATTTATTTATTTATTTTTTGAGACACCATGTCACTCTGTTACCCAGGCCCTTATTCCTTATAGTTACCTTTATTTATTTATTTATTTTTGAAACAGCGTATCACTCTGTCACCCAGGCTGGGGTGCCGTGGTGCAAACATAGCTCACTGCAATCTTAACCTCCTGGGCTAAAGCAATCCTCCCACCTCAGCCTCCCGAGTAGCTGGGACTACAGGCATGCACCATCATGCCCAACTAATTTTTGTATTTTTTTTTGTAGAGACAGGGTCTCGCCATGTTTCTAGGCTAGTCTTGAACTCCTGACTTCAAGTGATCCACCTGTCTCGACCTCCCAAAGTGCTGGGATTACAGGTGTGAGCCACCGAGCCCTGCCCATAGTTAGCTTTAAAAGAAAAAACTGGGCTGGGTGTGGTGGCTCATGCCTATAATCCCAGCATTTTGGGAGGTAGAGGCAGGTGGATCACGAGGTCAGGAGTTTGAGACTAGCCTGGCCAATATGGTGAAACCCCGTCTCTACTAAAAATACAAAAATTAGCCGGGTGTGGTGGCGCATGCCTGTAACTCCAGTTGCTCGAGAGGCTGAGGCAGGAGAATCCCTTCAACATGGGAGGTGGAGGTTGCAGTGAGCCAAGATGGCGCCACTGTACTCCAGCCTAGGTGACAGAGTGAGACTCCATCTCAAAAAAAAAAAAAAAAGATAAGATAAAAGAAAAAACTGGCAAGGTTTCCTGAGTCAAAGCACAGCCCAGACCCAGCAGGTGCCTCAAGGCAGAAGAGGTTAAGCTGCCCTGAACAGGTAGATTCCCAGTACCTTTCTTTCCTTGCCTGCATGTCCCTGTGGCTTCCAGAAGAGCCTAATTTGAGCCTGTTTGGGGATCAGCGTTTGCACAAATTCCTCACCCCTCACTCCTGAATGAAAGGAGGAAAAGGGCTGGGCATGGTGGCTCACGCCTGTAATCCCAGCACTTTGGGAGGCCGAGATCGGCAGATCAATTGAGGTCAGGAGTTGACCTGGCCAACATGGTAAAACCCCATCTCTACTAAAACAAACAAACAAAACAAAACAAAACAAAACAAAAAAACCTGGCATGGTGGCACGTGATTGTAATCCTAGCTACTCGAGACACTGAGGCACAAGAATTGCTTGAACTTGGGAGGCAGAGGTTGCAGTGAGCTGAGATCATGCCACTGCATTCCAGCCTGGACGACAGAACAAGACTCTGTTTAAAAAAAAAAAAAAGAAAGAAAGAAAGGAAAATGAACTTCATCACTTTGAGAAAAAATAAAATGTCTTCAGAGCCTGTGCCAGTTGTTTGAAAATGTAGTATGTCTGCTTGTGGGGAAAAGAATAACTTATTTATACCACTTTCTCTGTATCTAGCACCCCACTACATCTTTTGCAGGCATTATCTCACTGTGCATGGCTGAAGCGGTAGATGCCATCATTACCCTCATTTCACACCTGCAGAAACTGAGGTATAGAAACATTAACTGGTCTAGTCACGAGGGATTCTGTGATGCCTGAGACATATGACCTGCCCTCCAAGACCATAAGTGACAGACCAAGAATTTGATCCCATGTCCTGGTGGCCCCACAGCCTGTGCCATTACCATTAGAGCAGTGGTTTCCTCTGGGGGTTCTCTTGTCCCCAGGGGACATTTGGCAACATCTGGAAACATTTTTCGTTGTCACAAATAAGTGGGTGCCTTCCTTTCACAAGCTTGGCAGGAAGACAGGAACAGACAGACCCCAGAGAAGGAAAGGAAGGCTGAGAGTCGCCCGAACACAGTGGCTCATACCTGTAATCCCAGCACTTTGGGAGGCCAAGGCGGGCAGATCATTTGAAGTCAAGAGTTCAAGACCAGCCTGGCCATGTGCTGAAACACATTGAAAACCCTGTCTTTACTAAAAATACAAAAAAATTTGCCAGGCGTGGTGGCGGGCACTGTTATCCCAGCTACGCAGGAGGCTGAAGCAGGAGAATTGCTTGAACCTGGGAGACAGAAGTTGCAGTGAGCCGAGATGGTACCACTGCACTCCAGCCTGGGTGACAGAGTGAGACTCCGTCAGAAAAAAAAAAAGAAGGCTGAGAGTAGAGTGGGCCCCAAGGTGGTGAACATCAATTGCAGGGGCGGAACCTATTAGAAATGCTTAGGCAAAAGAGCACAGCGTACCGCATCAATGGACAGAATCCACAGTGAGGCCTGGTGCCTGGGAGTGGAGTACTTGAGATATTTCACTAAAGGACAGATGGTCAGTGCTCCTTCATGTCCTCACACAGCCCACATTTATAGTACCATCTCCTATTATGTCCCATCAAGCACATTATGCTCCAACAAATACTGTAGGAGGTCATACAATATTGCTTTAAGAGTTGGGGCACTTGGCCAGGCACGGTGGCTCACGCCTGTAATACCAGCACTTTGGGAGTCCAAGGTGAGTGGATCACGAGGTCAGGAGATGGAGACCATCCTGGCTAACACGGTGAAACCCCATCTCTACTAAAAATACAAAAAAATTAGCCAGGTGTGGTGGCGGGCGCCTGTAGTCCCAGCTACTCGGGAGGCTGAGGCAGGAGAATGGCGTGAACCCGGGAGGCGGAGCTTGCAGTGAGCTGAGATTGCGCCACCGCACTCCAGCCTGGGCGACAGGGCGAGACTCCATCTCAAAAAAAAAAAAAAAAAAAGAGTTGGGGCTCTGGCCTCACACCGGTAATCCCAACATTTTGGGAGGCCAAGGCAGGAGGACTGCTTGAGCCCAGGAGTTTGAGACCAACCTAGACAACATAGGAAGACCCTTCTCTACAAAAACTAACAAAATTAGCTGGGCTTGGTGATACACACTTGTGGTCCCAGCTCCTTGGGAGGCTGAGGTGGGAGGATTGTTTGAGCCCAGGAGGTTGAGGCTGCAGTGAGCCATGGTTGTGCCATTGCACTCCAGCCTGGATGACAGAGAGAGACCCTGTCTCAAAAACAAACAAACAAACAAAAAACAATAAAAATGAAAAGGAATGGGGGCTCTGCAGTCAGCTTTCAAGGTTTAAATCCTGGCTCCTTCCCTTTCCAGTTGTGGGACTTTGGACAAATTACTAAACCTTCCCAAGCATCAGTCTCCTCACCTTGGAAATGGGGATGATGAATTAAAAACAGTACCTGTGGCTGGGTGTGATGGCTCACACCTGTAATCCCTACACCTGGGGAGGCCGAGGCAGGCGGATCACTTGAGGTCAGGAGTTCGAGACCAACCTGGCCAACATGATGAAACCCCATCTCTACTAAAAATACAAAAATTAGCCAGGTGTGGTGGTGTGCACCTGTAATCCCAGCTACTTGGGAGGCTGAGGCAGGAGAATCACTTGAACCCAGGAGTGGAGTTTGCTGTGAGCTGAGATCATGCCATTGCACTTCAGCCTGAGTGACAGAGCAAGACTCTAAAACAAAACAAAACAAAACAAAACAAAAAACAAACCGAAAAAGCACCTGTGTCATAGGGTTGTGCAGACGGAATAGAGATACTGCATTCAACCCAGAGCGTAGCCCCATAGTGTGGTCACTGAAGATAACAGTAAACCAAAGGGACAAAGGTCACTAGTCACTTCCACCTGCCATCTTCCCCTTCACCTTCCCCAAGCAGCAGGATAGATGATTTCTCTGTGAAGCCCTTCTTGGCCCCTTTCTCTAAACCATGATAGCACTTCACTTGCACCTCTCTTTTATTTAATATAACGAACACTATGTGCCTGCTGACTGTGCTAATGCCTTTAAAATATGAACTCATTTATTCCTCACAAAAGCCCTTGGGGTAAGCACTAACATCATTTCAATTTTACAGATGGGAAAATGTGCTAAGTAACTTGCCCAAGGCCACGTGCCTGCAGCTAGCAGAGCTGGTGTGTCAATCTCAGCTGTCCACACTCAACCATTATGCCTCTTTCATGCCTCTTAAAATGCTGAATCTTGGACTGGGTTTTTTTTTTAATGATTTTATCAGTATTCCTTGGATACACACACAGTTCCTCGGCAGCAGGGTCTAAGTGATCCTCTCCAGTACATGTTTATTAATGATTAAAATCACATTGTTGGCTAGGGACGGTGGCTCATGCCTGTAATCCCAGCACTTTGGGAGGCCGAGGCGAGAGGATCACTTGAGGTCCGGAGTCCAAGACCAGCCTGGCCAACATGGCAAAACCTGGTCTCTACTAAAAATACAAAAATTAGCTAGTTGTGGTTGTGGGCACCTGTAATCCCAGCTACTCAGGAGGCTGAGGCAGAAGAATCTCTTGAACCCAGGAGGCAGAGGTTGCAGTGAGCCGAGATTGCACCACTGCACTCCAGCCTGGGCAACACAGCAAGATTCTAAAAAAAAAAAATCACATTGTTAATTGATCCAATACCAGAGGGCTCTCTATTTGGTACCTAATAGGACAGGAAACAGATTACTTCAGAGGCTAAAATGGGCAGGAATCATGCAGGAAATCTAACTGAAGGCAGCCGCAGGTGAATGGGGCTACATGGAAGACGGAAAGTAATGTTACCTTGAAGCAGCCAGGCACGGTGGCTCACACCTGTAATCCCAGCACTTTGGGAGGCCGAAGCGGGCCGATCACCTGCGGGCCAATCACCTGAGGTCAGGAGTTCGAGACCAGCCTGACCAACATGGCAAAACCCCATCTCCGCTAAAAACACAAAATTAGCTGGGCGTGGTGGTGCATGCCTGTAATCCCAGCTACTCAGGAGGCTGAGGTAGGAGAATCACTTGAACCTGGGAGGCAGAGGTTGCAGTGAGCCGAGATCGCACCATTGCACTTTAGCCTGGGCAACAAGAGCAAAACTCCGTCTCAAAAAAAAAAAAAAAAAAGAATTGCTTTCAGAGCCAATTATGAGGCCCTCAAGTAATGTTACCTTGAAGCCTAACCCTGCCTATGAGCTGGCACTAACTAATGCATCTGAGCTTTAAAACTGAAACCAGGATGAGTGAGGTGAAATTCTAAGGGAACTCCACTCTGCTCTGTCGCTTTGACTTGCACCATGCTTTACATTTTTATAGTGAAGTTTAGTTATGAGCCAAACTGCCTGTGTGCAGGAACTAAAAAACACACGCCTACAATAGGAGAGCAAGAGGCCCTCCAGCATGGGGAAGGGAGAGGTGGGCGGCAAAGGGCTGTGGGCATAAGGAGAAGAGAAGGCGACCCCTTGGCTTGGCTTTGCCCCCCTCCCCCCTCCCCTTTTGTTGACTTGAGCTACTGAAGCTTAAGTACTTTAAAACTGCAGGCTGTTGTGACAGTGGCTCATACCTGTAATCCCAGCACTTTGGGAGCTGGAGGATCACTTGAGGTCAGGAGTTCAAGGCCAGCCTGGGCAAGATAGCGAGACCTTGTTTCTACCAAAAAAACAACCCTGTAGTATGAGGGAGAAGAGGAGACGATGAGGGTGTGGATGACGTAATCTCACGAGTTGGCTGGGGAAAAGGTGCTGAGGCTGAACTCCATCAGACACACACGCTGGGTGGTCAGTGGTATGGAATTTCTGGGTTCTTGCCCTACCTCTCTGCTTCTAGCCAGTGATGTGATTTTGGGAAGGTCTCTCCATCTCCAAAAGGCTCAGTTTTCTGAGCCTTTTAGATCTATTAAATCACTGGAGTAGACTACAGTATATAATGTTTTTAGTCCCTATTTCTTCTACATTTTCTCTCTCTCTTTTTTTTTTCTTTTCCTTTTTCTTTTTCTTTCTTTTTTTTTTTTTTTTTTTTTGAGACAGGGTTTTGCTATGTTGCCCAGGCTGGTCTCAAACCCCTGGGCACAAAGTGATCCTCCTACCTTGGCTTTCCAAAGCGCTGCAATTACAGGCATGAGCCACCATGCCTGGCCTTTTTCTAATTTTTTTTTTAATTGAGGTGAAATTCACCAAATATAAAATTAATTATTTTAAAGTTTACAATTCGGGGTATTTAGTTAATTCATAATGTTATACCCACCTCTATCTAGTTCCAAAACATTTTCATCACCACAAAAGAAAATCCTGGACTTCCCTCTCCCTCTCCCTCTCCCTACTCTCCCTCTCCCCACGGTCTCCCTCTGATGCCGAGCCGAAGCTGGACGGTACTGCTGCCATCTCGGCTCACTGCAACCTCCCTGCCTGATTCTCCTGCCTCAGCCTGCCGAGTGCCTGCGATTGCAGGCGCGCCGCCACGCCTGACTGGTTTTCGTATTTTTTTGGTGGAGATGGGGTTTCGCTGTGTTGGCTGGGCTGGCCTCCAGCTCCTAACCGCGAGTGATCCGCCAGCCTCGGCCTCCGGAGGTGCCGGGATTGCAGACGGTGTCTGGTTCACTCAGTGCTCAATGGTGCCCAGGCTGGAGTGCAGTGGCGTGATCTCGGCTCGCTACAACCTCCACCTCCCAGCCGCCTGCCTTGGCCTCCCAAAGTGCCCAGAGTGCAGCCTCTGCCCGGCCGCCACCCCGTCTAGGAAGTGAGGAGCGTCTCTGCCTGGCCGCCCATCATCTGGGATGTGAGGAGCCCCTCTGCCTGGCTGCCCAGTCTGGAAAGTGAGGAGCGTCTCTGCCCGGCCGCCATCCCATCTAGGAAGTGAGGAGCGCCTCTTCCCGGCCGCCATCCCATCTAGGAAGTGAGGAGCGTCTCTGCCCGGCCGCCCATCGTCTGAGATGTGGGGAGTGCCTTTGCCCCACCGCCCCGTCTGGGATGTGAGGAGTGCCTCTGCCCGGTCGCGACCCCGTCTGGGAGGTGAGGAGCGTCTCTGCCCAGCCACCCCATCTGAGAAGGGAGGAGACCCTCCGCCTGGCAACCGCCCCGTCTGAGAAGTGAGGAGACCCTCTGCCCGGCAGCCGCCCCGTCTGAGAAGTGAGGAGCGTCTCCGCCCGGCAGCCGCCCTGTCCGGGAGGGAGGTGGGGGGTCAGCCCCCCACCCGGCCAGCCGCCCCGTCCGGGAGGTGAGGGGCGCCTCTGCCCAGCTGCCCCTACTGGGAAGTGAGGAGCCCCTCTGCCCGGCCAGCCGCTCCGTCCGGGAGGGAGGTGGGGGGTTCAGCCCCCCCGCCCGGCCAGCTGCCCCGTCCGGGAGGGAGGTGGGGGGTCAGCCCCCCGCCCGGCCAGCCGCCCCATCTGGGAGGTGAGGGGCGCCTCTGCCCGGCCGCCCCTACTGGGAAGTGAGGAGCCCCTCTGCCCGGCCAGCCGCCCCTTCCGGGAGGGAGGTGGGAGGGTCAGCCCCCCACCTGGCCAGTCGCCCAGTCCGGGAGGGAGGTGGGGGGGGGTCAGCCCCCCGCCCGGCCAGCCGCCCCGTCCGGGAGGGAGGTGGGGGGGGTCAGCCCCCCGCCCAGCCAGCCGCCTCGTCCGGGAGGTGAGGGGCGCCTCTGCCCGGCTGCCCCTACTGGGAAGTGAGGAGCCCCTCTGCCCGGCCACCACCCCGTCTGGGAGGTGTGCCCAACAGCTCATTGAGAACGGGCCACGATGACAATGGTGGTTTTGTGGAATAGAAAGCGGGGAAAGGTGGGGAAAAGATTGAGAAATCGGATGGTTGCCGTGTCTGTGTGGAAAGAAGTACACATGGGAGAATTTTCATTTTGTTCTGTACTAAGAAAGATTCTTCTGCCTTGGGATCCTGTTGATCTGTGACCTTACCCCCCAACCCTGTGCTCTCTGAAACATGTGCTGTGTCCACTCAGGGTTAAATGGATTAAGGGCGGTGCAAGATGTGCTTTGTTAAACAGATGCTTGAAGGCAGCATGCTCGTTAAGAGTCATCACCACTCCCTAATCTCAAGTACCCAGGGACACAAACACTGCAGAAGGCCTCAGGGTCCTCTGCCTAGGAAAACCAGAGACCTTTGTTTACTTGTTTATCTGCTGACCTTCCCTCCACTATTGTCCTATGACCCTGCCAAATCCCTCTCTGTGAGAAACACCCAAGAATGATCAATAAAAATAAAATTAAAAAAAAAAAAAAAAGAAAATCCTGTACCTACTAAATAGTTCCGGCTGGGCGCACTGGCTCACACCTGTAATCCCAGCGCTGTGGGAGGCCAAGGCAGGCAGATCACTTGAGGTCAAGAGTTCGAGATCAGCCTGGCCAACATGGCGAAACTCCGTCTCTACTAAAAAATACAAAAAAAAATTAGCTGGGCATGGTGGTCACACCTGTAGTCCCAGCTACTCGGGAGACTGAGGCAGGAGGATTGCTTGAATCTGGGAGGCAGAGGTTGCAGTGAGCTGAGGTTGCAGTGAGCTGAGATTGCATCACTGTACTCCATCCTGGGCAACAGAGGGAGACTCTGTCTCAAAAATAAATAAATAAAATAAAAAATAAATAGTCAGTCCCCATGCCAGCTTCTCCCAGTCCCTAACAATTGCTGATTTGCTTTCTGTCCCTTTGGAATTACCTATTTTAGATGTTTCATATAAAAGGAAACACACACTATTTGTTCTTTTGTGTCTGGCTTCTTTCACTTAGCTAGTGTTTTCAAAGTTCATCTGTGTTGTAGCATATATCAGTATTTCATTCCTTTTATGGATAAATAATATTCCATTGTGAACTACAGTATTTTTTTTTTTTTTTTTGAGACGGAGTTTCAATCTTGTTGCTGAGGCTGGAGTGCACTGGTTCAATTTCGGCTCACTGCAACCTCTGCCTCCCAGGTTAAAGTGATTCTCCTGCCTCAGCCTCCCAAGTGGCTGAGATTACAGGTATGCACCACCATGCCCAGCTAATTTTGCAATTTTTAGTAGAGAAAGGGTTTCACCATGTTGGTCAGGCTGGTCTTGAACTCCTTACCTCAGGTGATCCACTCACCTCAGCTTCCCAAAGTGCTGGGATTACAGATGTGAGCCACTGCGCCCGGCCTACAGTACGATTTTGAGCTCCAAAATGATTGTCTCCTTTTCAATCATCTGCTAAACACAGACATAATTAAAACCAATTAAACAAACACAAGGAAGGTGTGAGGTGAAATAGTCGAAACGTGTGTCCCCACACATCCAAGGCAGTCCTTTCCACATCTGGGGACTGGTACCCAGGGTGGCGCCTAGTGGTACCTGAGATGATTTTAGAAAATATACTGGGCTGGGTGTGGTGGCTCACGCCTGTAATCCCAGCACTTTGGGAGGCCAAGGTGGGAGGATCACCTGATGTCAGGAGTTCAAGACCAGCCTAGCCAATATGGTGAAACCCCATCTCTACTAAAAATACTAAAAAAATTAGCCGGGTTTAGTGGTGCACGCCTGTAATCCCAGCTACTCGAGAGGCTGAGCCAGAAGAATCGCTCGAACCAAGGAGGTAGAGGTTGCAGTGAGCCGAGATTGTGCCACTGCACTCTAGCCTGGACGACAGAGTGAGACTCTGTCTCAAAAAAGAAAAGGAAAAAAAAAAAAGAAAGCCAATTTAAAGAAAATAGTAAGTGATATTTGGTGATAAGAAGACTTGAGAAACGAAGTTGCTAATTGAATGACTAGTGATTGGAAAATACCAACTCAGACCGGGTGCAGTGGCTCATGCCTATCATCCCAGCACTTTGGGAGGCCGAGGTGGGCGGATCACTTGAGGTCAGGAGTTTGAGACCAGCCTGGCCAACATGGTGAAACCCCATCTCTACTTAAAATACAAAAACTTAACTGGGCATGGTGGCAGGCGGCTGTAATCCCAGCTGCTCAGGAATCCCAATTACTCATGAAGCTCAGGCAGGAGAATCGCTTGAACCCGGGAGGCAGAGGTTGCAGTGAGCCAAGATCATGCCACTGCACTCCAGCCTGGGCGACAGAGCAAGACCCAGTCTCAAAAAAAAAAAAAAAGAAAAGAAAAGAAAAGAGAAAAGAAAATACCAGCTCCAAGACTGCAATTTGTCACACTTACTGTAAGGCCACGGTGTGATTTTTATCTATGTTTGATGTGGTTGCTTCAAGTACTATGCTCACCACTGAACACTTGGCTTCATTAATAGACAAAAACCAAATTTTAAATTTGTCCCAGTTTTCCCAATTTTGGGAAGAGAGGCCAAATGTTAGACCACACACAATTCCAGCGGATTTCAGGCCAACAAAGCCTTGATGTGTCTAGCCCACTTAGCTTATTAACGGACTAAAACTGCATTTGTAATTAATTCCATTTCATACAGAAGCCGGAAGTCTCTACCTGAGGCTGAAATAAGAAAGGGATCCTGTCACAGAAATACTAGACACAGTAATCCACACAAGGTTAACAAAACAGTGGGAAATATGGAAACAAATACCTAATGCCCCGCCTGGATTCGTTCTTTTAAGGTTGGGGCGACAGTAGGAAAACCACGTGTCACTTGCCCAAGCATTCAGCCTTAAAGGGAATTTCTCCCTCAGGGTCTCCAGGAGGCGGGGAGGCGGTGGCTCCTCCGGCCCCGCCCCCCCACCAGCAGAGGGCCCGCTCACCACCCCGTAGGCCCCGCCCCTGCGTCTCTGCCCGCCCCGTGGCGCCCGAGTGCACTGAAGATGGCGGCTGCTGTAGGACGGTTGCTCCGAGCGTCGGTGAGTGGCTGTCGGCTGGGGACAGGCGTGGAGACACTGGTGGCTCCGGGAACGTGCTTCTCAGACAGGACCCCGCGCTTCTGGGCATGAGGGCCATTCGCCCTTCTTGGAGGGTTTCCGCGGGTAACGGACCCAGAGGCCTCCCTCCGGGAAGGTTCCATGCGCCTGCGCAGAACCGCCCTTCCCCACTCCATCCTCGCGGTCTCTTCCCCGAGTCCCTCCTCTTTCGGCGTCCCCGGTCCCCAGGCCCATCTCCACTTAAGGTCCTGGCCCTGATTCTGCCACCGACCCTGTGATCTTGGGCAAGCGCCTTCGCCTTTCTCAGACTGTGTACTTAAGATGGAAAGAATGATGCCTACATCAAGGCGTTGCTGTGAACAGCCCCTTAAATACTGGATAAAAACGCGCAAAGTGCTAAAAAACTCACAAAGGCTTTCCCTCCCAATCCCACTCCCGCGTGTTTCTGCTGCTGTTTCCTGCTTAACTGTGGGCAATGCGTCGTGCTCTTTTGGTACACGGCTTTCTCTGGTGGGGTTCAACACAGCCCCTTTCGTTCTCCTGAGTCATTTTGAACATTAAAGTTGAGCAAACCGGCAGAGTGCGGTGGCTCACGCCTGTAATCCTAGCACTTTGGGAGGCCGAGGCGGGCAGATCACTTGAGCCCAGGAGTTTGAGACCAGCCTGGACAATAATAGTGAGACCTTGTCTCTAAAAAAAAAAATAGCCGGGCATGGTGGTCAGTGCTCCTGGGGAGGCTAAGGTGGGAGGATCACTTGAGCCCAGGAGGTCGAGACTGCAGCGAGCCGAGATCGCGCCACTGCACTCTAGCCTGGGTAAAAGAGCGAGACTCTGTTTCAAAAAAAAAAAAAAAAAGTTGAGTAAACATGTCCCTTGAGCCTTTAACAGACTCCCAGAGGCTGAATTTGGCTCTTCTTGTTTACTTGTCGCTGGTGCTGGAGGGGCCTTGTTTTTCTAAGGAAAACCTTGAAATGGTAGAACATACTCAGCAGATAGTGCTGGGAAAAGCCTGCACAAGTCCCCTGGCTTCTGAACCCTGTGTTGCTTTAAGCGCATGGAGTTTCTGATTTTTTTTTTTTTTTTTTTTGAGACGGAGTTGTCGCCCAGGTTAGAGTGCAATGGCGCGATCTCGGCTCTGCAACCTCTGCCTCCCGGGTTCAAGCAATTCTCCTGCCTCAGCCTCCCAAGCAGCTGGAATTACAGGTGCCCGCCACCGCCGCCTGGCTAAGTTTTGTGTTTTTAGTAGAGATGGAGTTTCACCATCTTGGCCAGGCTGGTCTCGAACTCCTGACCTGGTGATCAACCCGTCTTGGCCTCCCAAAGTGCTGGGATTACAGGTGTGAGCAACCGCGCCCAGCCGGTCTTTGTGTTCTTATAGTTCCTCTCCACCTTCCAGTCTCCTAGGAGAAGGAAGCAGAAGGGAGTGTTAAGAACATGCAGATCCAATCCATGCTCTTAGAGTTTGGGGTTTGCTATTTGGTTCACAGGAACAGGGACAGCTGAAACCACCGTTGGCACGATGCCCTTTCAGCCTTCAGTCACCAGTCCAGGAAAACTTTCTAATAAAAAGTTTCTCTTTCCAGGTTGCCCGACATGTGAGTGCCATTCCTTGGGGCATTTCTGCCACTGCAGCCCTCAGGCCTGCTGCATGTGGAAGAACGAGCTTGACAAATTTATTGTGTTCTGGTTCCAGTCAAGCAAAATTATTCAGCACCAGTAAGTGTTATGTCATGTCTTGGCTGGAGCCAGGTAAAGGAAAAATGAACCATCGTCTCTGGACAGGGGCTCTGAACCCTGGCCAAACGTTAGAGTCACCTGGGAGCTTTCAGGAACACAGCACTGCCCCCGTCCCACCCCAGACAAGTTAGTCTGTGGGGTGAGACCAGGATGTGCCGGGTGATTCTAACGTGCAGCCAGGGTTGAGAATCACTGAGGCAAACTGCCCTTGTCACATTTCCATGTTGGTTGTCAGAGTTTCTAATCCACTGTGTTGAGGAGGGTGTTACTGGGAGCTCAGATGCCTTCTGAGTCTAGTGTGTCTGAAGAGCTGTGAGTGGTGGGCAGCCTGTGGGGGACCTGAGAGGGCAGCTGCTCTAAGATTCAAACCTGTGTAATGGCCCCAGCTGGCCACTTAGGAACCAGACCTGTCTAATGGTATCTGTAATCTGAGCGAAATTTAGCTGTTTCTTGAGATTTACACTCCCTTCTCTAGGATATGGGCTTTGCTAAGATCAGCCTCAGATAATGAGTGGTATTTGAAAATACCTTGTCTAGATTTGACTAGCCTTTGAAAAAGCCCGTATTTAATATGTAATGGTTTGTGGGGATATACTTTAGTAAAGCCTTTGTTTGTGGGCAAAATGTTCTAAGAGCTTTCGCAATTTTACTACCCTGGAGCTTCAAAATATTTCTAGTAGTGATGTGATACCACAGGCTTAAAACTTTACTCCACTGGTTTCGAATCCTCATCCCCAGCAGCGCCTCCTGTTTCTGTTCATGGCGGTGTCAGGCATTTTGACATTGGAACTACTCTGTCGCTCATTCCTGGGTAGAAGCAAGTCCTTTTCAGTTTTGACACATCTCTTGCATCCATTCCTTTCTGTTCTTTCTGCCCCATACCTCCCCTCAATACGTCTAAGATCACTGAAATCGAGGCTGGGCACAGTGGCTCACACCTGTAATCCCAGCACTTTGAGAGGCCAAGGCAGGCGAATTACTTGAGGTCAGGAGTTCAAGACCATCCTGGCCAACCTGGTGAAATCCCGTCTCTACTAAAAATACTTAAAAAAAATAAGCCGGGTGTGGTGGTGTGCTACTGGAATCCCAGCTACTTGGGAGGCTGAGGCAGGAGAATTGCTTGAACCTGGGAGGCGGAGGTTGCAGTGAGCCGAGACCATGCCACTACACTCCAGCCTAGGTGACAGAGCGAAACTCTGTCTCAAAAAAAAAAAAATCACTGAAACCACCTCCTAACATGTCTCCCCCTTCCTCCTGCTCCTCTTTCCCTCCTGCCGGACTAATCTTCCTAAAAACCCCCATCTCAGCCAGGCACTGTGGCTCACGCCTGTAATCCCAGCACTTTGGGAGGCCGAGGCTGGCAGATCACGAGGTCAGGAGATGGAGACCATCCTGGCTAACACGGTGAAACCCCATCTCTACTAAAAATACAAAAAATTAGCCGGGCGGGGTGGCGGGCGCCTGTGGTCCCAGCTACTCGGGAGGCTGAGGCCGGAGAATGGCGTGAACCCAGGAGGCAGAGCTTGCAGTGAGCTGAGATTGTGCCACTGCACTCCAGCCTGGGCGAACAGAGCGAGACTCCGCCCTTGACTCTGTTATCTTTCCTGCTAAGAAGACCCAGCAGCCTAGTATTTAAGGACTGTTGCAACATGGCCTTCAACCATTCCTGCCTGCTGCCTGCTCTTCACTCCGTACCCTTAGACACTCTCTGTTCTCATTAGACTGCCACACGCTGCTCCACACACATGTCCTGTCTTCCTTCCTGCTGTTTCCTACATGCCATCTGCCCCATCCCATCTAGACTTGACAAAATCTGAACCATATTTAAAATCCATCTCTAGTCTCATGTCTTCCTTAATTCTATCCCTACTTTGTCTTCCTCTTTTTAGTTTCTGTAGCAGTTGGAATTGAATTTGTGCACAATCTAAAACTATAGAAGGAGAAATTACAGTTGGCCCTCTGTATCTGGATTCTGCATCTGTGGTTGGTTGAATCGAAAATATTGGGAGGGAAAAATGGATGGTTGTGTCTATACTGAACACAAAGTCTTTTTTTCTTGTCATTCCCTAAACAATACAGCTTAACGACTATTTACGTAGCATTTACGTCGTATTAGGTATTATGAGTAATCTAGAGATGATTTAAGTATACTGGAGGGTGTGTGTGGATTATATGCAAATCACCACTTTATGTAAGAGACTTGAGCATCTGTAGATTTCGATATCCTAGAACCAATCCCCCCACAGGTGGCAAAGGATGACTGTGCCTAAGATGTACAGTTGAACCGAATGTTTTGATTTATACTAAGCACTTTATACTACTAATTAATTATGAGAAGTTTAAATAAAATCATAGGTGCTTGACATAGCAAATGATGAACTCCATATGAGTGTGGGTTTTTTTTCAGGTTCCTCATGCCATGCACCTGCTGTCACCCAGCATGCACCCTATTTTAAGGGTACAGCCGTTGTCAATGGAGAGTTCAAAGACCTAAGCCTTGATGACTTTAAGGGGAAATATTTGGTGCTTTTCTTCTATCCTTTGGATTTGTAAGTGTAATTTCTATGATGCTTTCGTGTCATTCTGAGAGCAAGCACATATCCTGTTCCCACACTGAATTGTCTATCCCTAGATACCCTTGTGAAAGGAAGGATTCTTTCTGACCCTTTATCACTGATGGCCTTGTTGATTACAGCTGGGATCTGTAGCTTGTTTACAAGTGATAAACTTCGGGGGTGGGGTAGGACAGCTTTCTTTATAGTACACCTCTGTGCTCTGGAGCACTGCTTCCCTAAGCCAGTCTATGAAAAAGTTTTCACTGGTCTGGGGAAAAATGAGAAAAGTAGGCATAATAAAATGATTTTTTTCAAAAAGCAACTTTATTGAACTGTAATTTTTTTTTCTTAAAATATGTGTTCCCTTTCCCCATTTTTTGATACAATTCCTAAAAATAAAAAGGTGAGGGGAGGTAGTAGTACTTTTGCCAGCACAACACTATAGTCCAGTGAGGATGGTAAACCATTTTGCCTTTTTTACCCTTAGCAAGTTGAACTAGTTGTTAGACCACTAATTGTTAAAATCCTTGTTTTTAAATGCTCTAATGAGAATTTCTATCCTTTTTTTCCAGCACCTTTGTGTGTCCTACAGAAATTGTTGCTTTTAGTGACAAAGCTAACGAATTTCACGACGTGAACTGTGAAGTTGTCGCAGTCTCAGTGGATTCCCACTTTAGCCATCTTGCCTGGATAAATACACCAAGAAAGGTATGGCATTGTACCCCTAGCTTTTGCTCTTATAAACTTGCTTGGAAGAATCTAAATTTCTAGCTATGCTGCTGGACTATCAAGATCAAATTACGCAAGGGTTGGGTTTTTTTTTTTTTTTTTTTTTGAGACGGAGCTTCACTCTTGTTGCCCAGGCTGGAGTGCAATGGCACAATCTCAGCTCACTGCAACCTCCGCCACCTGGGTTCAAGCGATTCTCCTACCTCAGCTTCCCGAGTAGCTGGGATTACAGGCATGTGTCACCACCCCTGGCTAATTTTGTATTTTTAGTAGAGACGGGGTGTCTCCATGTTGGTCACGCTGGTCTCGAACTCCTGACCTCAGGTGATCCGCCCACCTTGGCCTCCCAAAGTGCCGGAATTACAGGCATGAGCCACCACACCTGGCCTACTCAAGGTATTTTTTTTATTATTACTCTTCCATGTCTATGTTTGAGAAAATTAGCCTTTAAAAGAATGCTTTAAGAATTAGAAAAAGCAGCCGGGCGTGATGGCTCACGCCTGTAATCCCAGCACTTTGAGAGGCCGAGACAGGTGGATCACAAAGTCAGGAGATCGAGACCATCCTGGCTAACACGGTGAAACCCCATCTCTACTAAAAATAAAAAAAATTAGCCAAGTGTGGTGGTGGGCGCCTGTAGTCCCAGCTACTCGGGAGGCTGAGGCAGGAGAATCGCTTGAACCCAGGAGGCGGTGGTTGCCATGAGCCAAGATCGCACCACTGCACTCCAGCCTGGGCGACAGAGCGAGACTCCATCTCAAAATAAATAAATAAATAAATAAAATAATAAAGAATTAGAAAAAGCATCTGTAGTCCCAGCTACTCAGGAGACTGGGGTAGGATGATTGCATGAGCCCAGGAGTTTGAGGCTGCTGTGAGCTGTGATTGCATCACTGCATTCCAGCCTGGTGACAGCGAGACTCTGTGTCTTAAAAAAAAAATTGGAAAAGGTCTATAGTATTAGCCGGGTGTAAATCTTCCTTCTGCTCCTTTCTAGCTGTGACCTGGAACAAGTTACTTAGGTTTTTCTTGCCTCAGTTTCCTCATTTTGATAGTGTCTTCTCCAGGGTGGTTTCGAGGAGGCAGTAGGTTAATAGAGTAAGCAGTGCTTGGCCCGTTGTTGAATTACTGTTACCTATCGCCGTTACTGTTGGTCTCAAACATTGTGGTACGTGGTCAAGAATGTTGTGAGGCCACACATTCTAACAGTCATGTTTGCATTTTGATTAGAATGGTGGTTTGGGCCACATGAACATCGCACTCTTGTCAGACTTAACTAAGCAGATTTCCCGAGACTACGGTGTGCTGTTAGAAGGTTCTGGTCTTGCACTAAGGTAAGATCCTGTTTCTGATGAACTTAAGATTATTTTTCATGTTTAGTATCATTCTGCTTCTTAGGGGATTTATGTAGACCTTGGTAAAGCATTTTTAAAACCAGAAGATCCTGGCTGGGCATGGTGGCTCATGCCTGTAATCGTAGCACTTTGGGAGGCCAAGGCGGGAAGATCACTTGAGTTCAGAAGTTCAAGACCAGCCTGGGCAACATAGTGAGACCTCATCCCTATTATATTAAAAAGAATTAAAATTTATAATAATCAATCCTTAATTTTAGTCTTTAATAAACACTGATGAAATGCCTCCTGCAAGGGTTGGCGGTCTCTCAGAAATGCTGAGACATGCATGTCCCCTCCACCACCTTGGGTCTCTTTCTGAAGAAGGCTGGCTGCGTCTTGAGGCCACACTGCTCCATACTCCCTAACTATGTGGGAGCCACTTCCATGGGGACACACACCTGACATTGAAGCCATCAGACTCTGCAGAAGGGGGGACTAGCAGGGTAAGAGGTAGTCTCTTGGAATGGTGACCATCTTCAGCCCTGGAACCAAACAATCCTTGGTTTGAGTTTTTCTTTTTTTTAACTCAGCTACTTAATAGCTGTGTGACTTTGGGCAACTGATTTGATTTAACCTTGTTGAGCCCCAGTTTTCCCATAACTAAAATGAGGTGGTACGTCACAGGTGGGTGTGAGGATTAAATAGTGACACAGCTAGAGTTTTTAGCATAGTTACTGGCAGCAGTTGTTAGGATTTCTGCCCCAGAACATCATTTCTATCTGTATTCAGTCCCTTATTAAACCTTTATTCCTTTGAGTGTGAAAAGCTTTCAGTCCTCAGCAGCCCCACATTCAAACATAACCTTCCTGGGAGGGATGAGAACTTGGGTCTTAGAATTGGCATCTTGAAGTCTGCTGAGAATAGGAGTGAAGGAGGGATAGGGCAGAACTTGACCTCCAGGAAGGAAGAGAGGGGATCCCCCTTTGATGTGCTGTGCCTCACAGTTTTGCTGGGGGCTGGTCAGCTTAAAGCCAGCTCACCTGGCCGGGCGCGGTGGCTCAGGCCTGTAATGCCAGCACTTTGGGAGGCCGAGGCAGGTGGATCACGAGGTCAAGAGATCGAGACCATCCTGGTCAACATGGTGAAACCCCGTCTCTACTAAAAATACAAAAAATTAGCTGGGCGTGGTGGTGGGCGCCTGTAGTCCCAGCTACTCGGGAGGCTGAGGCAGGAGAATGGCGTGAACCTGGGAGGTGGAGCTTGCAGTGAGCTGAGATCGCACCACTGCACTCCAGCCTGGGCGACAGAGCAAGACTCTGTCTCAAAAGCAAACAAACAAACAAACAAACAAAGCCAGCTCACCTGCCTGTCTTGTAGGTGACCTCTGGCCTGCTCTTTCTTGGGTTACACCTTGGGTTTTAGCGCTGAGTGGCATCTTAGAGTTTGGGCCTTTTTTTCCTCTCTTTTTTTTTTTTTCTTTTCTTTTCGAGACGGTGTCTTGCTTTATCGCCCAGGCTGGAGTGCAGTGGCGTGATCTCGGCTCACTGCAACCTCCACCTCCCGGGTTCAAGCAGTTCTCCTGCCTCAGCCTCCCGAGTAGCTGGGATTACAGGCACACGCCACCACGCCCGGCCAATTTTTGTATTCTTAGTAGAGATGGGGTTTCATCGTGTTGGCCAGGCTGGTCTCAAAACTCTTGACTTCGTGATCTGCCTGCCTCGGCCTCTCAAAAGTGCTGGGATTACAGGCATGAGCCACCGCACCTGGCAGACCATTTTTTTTTTTTTAAACTTTAAAGAGATTATCAAACGAATGCCTAGGTCTTTCAGAATTGTCAATGGCCAGAGAAAGGGTACTGGCTATTTTTCTCCTACGGTCCCTTTCCCTATGAGAACTCACTAATTTTGCAGTTACCTCTGTACCCGTTTTAATATTGAGATTAACAAGAGAGAGAAGCTGAGTCTGGCTTATAAGATAAAGACTTTTGGGAGTCTATGGGCCCTGCTCTGTCCCAGCTCTGCCTCACCTTCTATTGGTGGACTTCAGCTGGCTGCACCCTCTGGGAACAGTTTCACCTCAAACCCCAGGCTCCCAGTGCCTGACCCAGGGAGGGAGAAGCATCTTTTATCCTGAGTTTTCTCTAACCTGCCTTTTCCATGAGTGATTGATACCTGAAATTTCCACATCCTTTTAAGACAGACTGTTAAAACCTGTAGGTTAAATAACCGGACACAGTGACACACACCTATAGTCACGCTACTTGGGAGTCTGAGGTGGGAGGATCAGTTGAGCCAGAAGTTCGAGGCTGCAGCCTGCTGTGATCACACCTGAGAAGAGCACTGCACTCCAGCGTGGGCAATACAGTGAGACCCTATATTTAAACCAAACAACCAAAAAAACTTCTAGGCTAAACATATCTGCATCTGTCACAGTAACACCAACACAGAAGATAAACACAGACCACTGTGGTAGCGTGGTTCATCTCATTACATGCTGCTACATGATTAAAAGTGATGGGCATGGTTTTCTGTTTTGCATAGACTTAGAGCCTGTACATTCTTTCTATGAAGATTTTTCCCGTGGGATTTCCCCCCATTTACCCAATAATTCATTCATAATAAACAGTTGTTGAACCTAGATAAAATACACCTCTGTCTCTTCCCATTTGCCTATAAGTTTCTTGCCAAGATGTGATACAGCAGCTCAAAGAATGCTTGCCAAGTCACTAATAGTCTTTGCTCTCTCTAGTTCAGTGACTTTCCGATACTGTGTAACATTCAGGGCACTATGTGAACTTGTAAGTGTGACCATACTGCATGTTTTATGGTGACCTGGTCCAGTACTGCCTTTGTTAAAGCATCTGTCATCAGTAAGAGATGATAAGTTTTTTGCACAACAGTGAAAACCCCACCTTTAAGCATATGATTACGCTTAATAAATATTTTATTAAAAGGAGAATTAAAGACCTAAAAGGGAAGAAGTTAGACTGTTCTAGTTCTGGTACTGTTGAGGCACTGATGAGGATAAATGATCATGCAGAGGTCTCTTCATAATTGACCCCAATGGAGTCATCAAGCATTTGAGCGTCAACGATCTCCCAGTGGGCCGAAGCGTGGAAGAAACCCTCCGCTTGGTGAAGGCGTTCCAGTATGTAGAAACACATGGAGAAGTCTGCCCAGCGAACTGGACACCGGATTCTCCTACGGTAGGTTTTTTTCCCCAAAAGCAGTGAGGTCCATGTTCTCTCAGCCTCGAGAGCTATTGACCTGAAATATCCACAAAAGGGAGCCCACTCTTGAAGCAAGCGTGCAGATGATATGCAAATGGGTGAAGCTGCTGTGGGGTAGAGGGGGTGGGGTGGGGAGCCAGGAACCAATTATCAGAGACAGGCAGGCCTTTTTTTTTTTTTTTGAGACGGAGTCTTGCTCTCGCCCAGGCTGGAGTGCAGTGGCGCTCTCTCAGCTCACTGCAAGCTCCGCCTCCTGGGTTCACGCCATTGTCCTGCCTCAGCCTCCTGAGTAGCTGGGACTACAGGGCGCCCACCACCACGGCTAATTTTTTGAATTTTAGTAGAGACGGGGTTTCACCGTGTTAGCCAGGATGGTCTGGATCTCCTGACCTCGTGATCCACCCGCCTTGGCCTCCCAAAGTGCTGGGATTACCGGCGTGAGCCACCGTGCCCGGCCTAGAGACAGGCAGGCCTTAATGAAACTTTCATCTTTATGTTTTAAAGGAAATCTTTAAAAGTTTAAAGAACTTTAGGTTAAAAATTGGGAGATTGCCACTCACTTTTGGGACTATTATTATGGTAAAGTCACAGTTACCTAATTAAGCTTTTGTATTTTCAGATCAAGCCAAGTCCAGCTGCTTCCAAAGAGTACTTTCAGAAGGTAAATCAGTAGATCACCCATGTGTATCTGCACCTTCTCAACTGAGAGAAGAACCACAGTTGAAACCTGCTTTTATCATTTTCAAGATGGTTATTTGTAGAAGGCAAGGAACCAATTATGCTTGTATTCATAAGTATTACTCTAAATGTTTTGTTTTTGTAATTCTGGCTAAGACCTTTTAAACATGGTTAGTTGCTAGTACAAGGAATCCTTTATTGGTAACATCTTGGTGGCTGGCTAGCTAGTTTCTACAGAACATAATTTGCCTCTATAGAAGGCTATTCTTAGATCATGTCTCAATGGAAACACTCTTCTTTCTTAGCCTTACTTGAATCTTGCCTATAATAAAGTAGAGCAACACACATTGAAAGCTTCTGATCAACGGTCCTGAAATTTTCATCTTGAATGTCTTTGTATTAAACTGAATTTTCTTTTAAGCTAACAAAGATCATAATTTTCAATGATTAGCCGTGTAACTCCTGCAATGAATGTTTATGTGATTGAAGCAAATGTGAATCGTATTATTTTAAAAAGTGGCAGAGTGACTTAACTGATCATGCATGATCCCTCATCCCTGAAATTGAGTTTATGTAGTCATTTTACTTATTTTATTCATTAGCTAACTTTGTCTATGTATATTTCTAGATATTGATTAGTGTAATCGATTATAAAGGATATTTATCAAATCCAGGGATTGCATTTTGAAATTATAATTATTTTCTTTGCTGAAGTATTCATTGTAAAACATACAAAATAAACATATTTTAAAACATTTGCATTTTACCACCAGTAACTGTTGGATCAGCTTATTTTGGGCTCTCCTTTCCTTCTCAGATTATCAACAAACATTTATTGAGCATTTACCTCAGGGGCCACAAAGAGAATAAGATGCTGGTTCCGCACTCAAGGAACTCGGTTTAGGGGCAAGACAGATAGGGAAACATTTTCTCGTTGTTTCAGTAAATCCTTGAGTGCCTACCCCGCACCAGGTGCTGTTTTCCAGGCACAAGAGCGAACAACGGACAAACCCCTGCTTTTAAGCTCTTACATTCTAGAGGGGAAACACCTCATACATGTAGTAAAAGTAGAGTGTTTGGAAGGAAAATAATGTGGAGTGAAACTGCTGAAGCGGAGTTGTAGGTGTTCTAGATGGGGTTGTCAAGGAAGGCCTTAAGGGAGAGCCTCTCTGGATCAATTTTCTCATTGTAAAATGAGGACAATAATTGTACTTATCTCAGGGTTTTGATGAGCATCGAGGGAGAGAAAACGCGTAGAAAGTGAGAGTATTACGGGGATAAGAGACTTCTAGGCAGAGGGCAGGGAAAACACAAAGGCCGTGAGGCAAGAGTGGGCTCAGAGCGGATGCAGATTTACTAGGAGGCCGGTGACTATGGCTGTGGTGGGGGTCCCAGAGTGCCTTTTGGCCAGGCCAAGGACTTTAGGTTCTGTTCTGGGGTGGGGAATGTCAGGAAGGATTTGAAAAGAAGAGTGACATCAACTTGTTCTAAGAGAATCACTCTGGCTCCTTTGTTAAGACGACATAGCAGTCCAAAGTGGGGAAGCAGGCCAGCGGGCTGGCTTTGTGACATCCTGGAGGGTAGAGACAACAGAATAGAACAGCACGCTACATACTGCACTGGTGCTTAGATGGATTTCTGCGGCATAAGGGTAGAAGTGGAGGGGGCACCTTACTCAACTCGGAGGGTCAGGGAAGGCTTCCTGGAAGAGGAGATAAACCCCTGGAGGTTAAGAAAAGTGAGCTAGGCAAACTGAGCAAATACAGAAGCAGAGTCATACAGGCCTGAAGGACGCCATGAGCCAATTTCCTGTTCCTGGAGGCGCAGGGCAAGGGAAGGAATTGGCCCGCTGGAGGTTAATGGCCAATACTGAGCACTTCTGAGGGCTCAGTGCTGTGTTAGGGATGTTTTATCTCCTTTGATCAGAAACAAAACCCTGAGATAGGTACAATTGTTATCCTCATTTTGCGGATGGGAAAATAGACTTCGAGATACTGACTTGGCGAGGGTCACACAACTAGATGATGTGCTGGGTCCCCCAGTCCTGGACTCCGGAGGCCCCCTGAACGACCTAGGCACACTTGTGGCTTCCGTGAATTTAAGTGCACACAGCCCCCGCCTGGCCCTGTGCTGGGGAAGGGCAGGTGGGAGGAGGAAGGGAAGGCAGGTTTTTCTTTACAAATGGTACCTATTTGGTAGTCAACAAAAGGAACTGGATTTGCCCCAACACTGGAAGAAAAAAAAAAACAACCTGTTGGGCTGAGGGATAGTGCACTGTGCCCAGGGCCCTATACTTGGTTTGATGCTCTGGTGTTACTCTCTTGAAATTCTCAGTAACATGAATAAGGGGCACCGCATTTGACATTTTCCCTGGGCTGAGACCATGATGCAGCCGGCCTGACTGCGCAACACCATGCACACTGGAATTCGTGGGCCATCGGAGGGATTTTCGAGGGTAATGACCAGGGGTAGGGCGCGGCAGAAGCGCAGGGTGAGGTTGCGGACGGCCTCACTCACAACCTTTCCGGGTCTTCGCATTAGGTACTGTGATGACGGGTTCCGATAGTGACCCCTTGGGGCCTGGAGACGGCCCGGCTCCCCAAAGGTGCGGAGCAGGGCAAGCAGGGTTGGGAGGACGTGGCCCGTGGGAGAGCTGCGCTCGCCGGAACAGTGGGCGCGCAAGGGCCCCGAGGCGCTGTGACACGGGACGTCGGGCGCGCGGGCCTGGGGCGGGAACTGCGGGTGCGCGCGGCCCGGGGCGGGGCTCGCCGCCCGGCTCCTCCTCCACGCGCGGCCTGGCGGCGGCGGCCACTCTAACCAGCGCAAAATGTCCCTGGAACAGGAGGAGGAAACGCAACCTGGGCGGCTCCTAGGACGCAGAGACGCCGTCCCCGCCTTCATTGAGCCCAACGTGCGCTTCTGGATCACCGAGCGCCAAGTACGGCCCGGGCCCGGCGCGACTAGGGGCAGGGAGGGGGCGGGCCGGGCCGCGTGGAGTCGGGCTGACCCGGGTGACCTTGGCCAGGCCACGTGGGCGCCCCCTGTCTCCGTTTCCTCCTCTCGGAGTTGTGCCGGGAACGCGCACCACCGGCCTTCACCCCTTAGGGCGCGGCAGGGGACGCAGGGGAAATCGAAGCTGCCAGATGCCCACGACCACAACGTCACCCTCCAGATTGCCCTCTCGGAGGGGCCCAGTCCGCGCAGGTGGCTGCTCCCTACTGCCTGAGCTGTGGCTGAGCAGCAGATTGGGGAGAAACAGGCTCTCGCACCTTGGTAAGCTCAGCCACTTTCGGTGAGACCCCCGAGGCTTTGGGAAGCCACCCTTGGGCAGGACATAAGCAGGACTTATCTCCCTGCAGCGTCTAGGGCAGCACCGTCCAATAGAAATATGATGTGAGCCTTACAGGTAATTAAACATTTTCTAGTAGCCACATTAAACAAGATAAAAACAGCTGAAATTTTTAACAATACAGTACATTTAGCCTAGCAGGTGCAAAATATTAACATTTCAACATGTAATCAGTAAAAAACATTGCTGAGATATTTTACTCGCTTTTTTGGTACAGAGTGTTCCAAATCCGGCGTCTGTTACCTTCACAGCACATCTGGGTTCAGCCGCATGTGGCGAATTGGAGAGCAGGGCTTTAGGGGGTTCTCTTTGAGGCCTCTCCTAAAGTGGGGTCCAGCCCTGTTTTTTTTTTAGGTGGGGAAATTGAGAAGGGGCGGTGAGCTCAGGTTGCTCCAGCAGAGCCAAGGCTTAAAGCCAGAACCACTACAAAGTTTAGAGTTTGCTGGAGCAAACCTCTTTTTCCCCAGTGTGACCCCAGCTGCACCATTGAGCCCTTAATGGGGCGTCCATCCTTTGTCACTGGAGTGAAGCCTTATAGCAAGCAGAGAGTGAGGCCACAGACTCTTGAGATATTCTAGGCCATTGCTTCGAGGTCGTATGTGAGATATGAACGTAAGACCATTTGAACCCCCAAAGTCTGGGATTTTAACCCTCAAGGGCAATTTGATACTGAGAGGTTAAGGGCACAGACTTCTGAATCATTTCCTGGCTGTGTTGCCTTGAGTACATTCAGGAGTCCCTCTAAGCCTCAGCTTCCTCACCTGGAGAACCTGGAGAGGTTGGGAGGATCCCAGGAGATGATGCCAGTAAAAGGCAGATCACAGACCCTGGCAGGTTCTCAGAAAAAAAAAAAAAAAGCCAACTGTTAGTATTTATATCTTTATTTTTCTGCTGCCATTAACCTCTCTGTTGCTTTTCTCCCTCCTAAGTCCTTTATTCGACGATTTCTTCAATGGACAGAATTATTAGATCCTACAAATGTGTTCATTTCAGTTGTAAGTATTGTTTTCAGAGCTAATGAATTTCACATTTTATTTTGAAACTTGAAGTCTGTGTGTCCCTTTTTTTTTTTTTTTTTTTTTTTTGAGACGGAGTTTCGTTCTTCTTGCCCAGGATGGAGTGCAGTGGCACCATCTCGGCTCACAAGAACCTCTACCTCCCAGGTTCAAGCGATTCTCCTGCCTCAGCCTTCCGAGTAGCTGGGATTGCAGGCATGCGCCACCATGCCCGGCTAATTTTGTATTTTTAGTAGAGACGGGGGTTTCTCCATGTTGGTCAGGCTGGTCTTGAACTCCCGACCTCAGGCCCTGCCCACGTGTCCCTTTTAAAAGCAGTTGAAATAACAGAATCTACATATATTATTGTGTTTATTCCTTCTAAATGAGCTTGTCAGATTGGAAGGGGTAAGGAAAAGCGTACATCTGACCGTGTGCCGTGGCTCATGCCTTTAATCCCAGCACTTTGGGAGGCCGAGGTGGGTGGATCACCTGAGGTCAGGAATTCGAGACCAGCCTGACCAACATGGTGAAACCGACGTCTCTACTAAAAATACAAACATTAGCTGGGTGTGGTGGCAGACACCTGTAATCCCAGCTATTCGGAAGGCTTGAGGTGGGCGAATCACTTTCTGAACCCAGGAGGTGGAGGTTGCAGTGAGCCGAGATCTTGCCACTGCACTCCAGCCTGCGTGACGAGCGAAACTCCATCCCCTTCCCCCAGCAAAAAAAGAAAAGAAAAGCGTACATCTGTTTAACAGGTAATATCAGGCCCAGGCCAGGTGCTGGGGATTCAGAGAGAATCAAACAAATCTTCCACGTGATGGAGGACAGACTGGCTAAACTGGTCACATCCTGGGTGACAAGAGTGAAACTCCATCTTTAAAAAAAAAAAAAGAAGAAAGAAAATGTAATAAAATTAGAAGCAAATATAACCAGATGTTTACAGTTGTTAATTCTGGGTGAGGGGATTATAGTGTGTAGCCATTCTTTGTAATTTTTGTATTTATTTTTTCTCAAATTAAGAAATGGAGGCTGGCTGTGGTGGCTCATGTCTATAATCCCAGCACTTTGAGAATCTGAGATGGGAGGATCTCTCGAGAATAAGAATTTGAGACCAGCCTGGGCAATGTAGCGAGACCCTATCTGTACAAATAAAAATAGAAAGTTAGCCAGGTGTAGTGGGTTGTGCCTGTAGTCGCAACTATTTGGGAGGCTGAGGCAAGAGGATCACTTAAGCCCAGAAGTTTAAGGCTGCAGTGAGCTATGATCACACCACTGCACTCCAGCCTGGGCAACAGAGTGAGACCCTGTCTCTTAAAAAACAATAAGAAAAGAAAGAAAGAAAAAGAGAGGAAATAAGACTGAACTGATAAGACATGGAAGTGGGTGAGGGAGAAGGACTTCTAGGTTTCTGACATGTATAGCCAGGGGATGGTGGTAACCATTCAGTGCGACAGTTGACATCAGAGAGTGGGGGAGGTGACAGCACCATTGGGGGCAGCTGCTGGAGCATCTAGGAAGAGGAAGGCATAAATCTGAATGGCACTCAGGGCTATCCTAATGGATAGAGAGCCTAGGGCACCATGTGGCTTGAAATCAGGCATGCAGTCGAAGTCCAGTGCATGCTGGTGAGTGAGCTGGTGATTCCTACCTCTGGGGATAAACCTGAACAATGTTGAGATCATTACTTGATTACTTGATATCTGATTTTAGGAAAGTATAGAAAACTCGAGGCAACTATTGTGCACAAATGAAGATGTTTCCAGCCCTGCCTCGGCGGACCAAAGGGTATGTTTCACGTGCTCAGGTCTGGCTGGTTGCCCTCAGATGGTTCTGCCTGCATGGTCTGAAGTCAGGTGGAATTTGGCCATTAATCTCTGTCTCCGTCTCTTTTCTTTCTTTTTTCCTTCCCTTGGGAGCCACTGTTCTATTGGCTATTAATGCTGTCATTGTTATATACTGCCCAGAGGACCAGCTTTGCAAAACTGGGTTAGTTTTTTAAATGTAGTTAGAATTCTGTCCCATAAACCAGACAGCAAGTTTCCTCCTACACAGTGGATATTTGTGGGGATTCCCTGCAGCTGATTCCTGGAGCCCAGTGGCAAACCCCAGAATTCAGACAGGGCTCTGACGTCAGAATTCATTCTCCACTGCAGGCAGCGTTCCTGCCGATAGGCTCAAACGGACTGTTCCTTATCTACCTTGCAGTATGTGGGGCTTTCTGGAGCTCACAAACACCAGCTCCTCAAGACAGCCTATGGAGAGCTCACATATTTAACTTTTTCTAAGAATGTGCTGGGGACCCTGGGCTGACAGCTTGGCTCTGTTGCAAGTAACTTGACTGATGGCATGGTGTGTCATCAGCACACAGCCTGCTCTGCTCTGAGCCAGAGGCAAGCCGGATTCGGGGACTCATCTGAGGGATAAGTTAGGTGTTGGTATTCTCCAAGGGTAGAGACAGGACTTTTTAATGTTCTGGTCCATTTCTCTGTGTGGCTCGTCTCTTTGCTTGTCATTAGTTCATTTGTTTATTCATATGATCCATTTATTTTGATTTGTTCTGTCAATGTGGTAAATAACAGCTCTGGCCTTCACTCTCTGAAAGGTAGAACAAATGTGGTCCCAGAAATGAGACAGGCAAAGAAATTCTTTGCTGTTGAGCCACCTTTAAAAGCTTTTTTTTTTTTTTTGTTTTTTTTTGTTGTTGTTGTTGTTTTTTTAAGGCTGGGTGTGATGGCTTAACCCTGTAATTCCAATGGTTTGGGAGGATGACTTGATGCCAAGACTGCAAGACCAGCCTGGGCCGTATAGCAAGACCCCATCTCTACTAAAAATTAAACAACTAGTTGGGAATGGTGGCGTGAGCCTGTAGTTTCAGCTATTCAGGAGGGTGAGGTGGGAGGATCGTTTGAACCCAGTAGTTCGAGGCTGTTCTGCAGTGAGTGATGATTGTGCCACTATACCCCAGCCCTGGGTGACAGAGCAAGACCTTGTCTCTTAAAAAAAATTTAAAATGAAACAAAGCTATTCTTTTTTCTCCTTTAAGATACAAGAAGCTTGGAAGCGGAGTCTTGTAAGTTTCAGCCCCTTCCTAATTTTTAGTGTCCTATAATAACAAAACCAGACATCCAGCTAACCTTGCATCTCTCCTTTTGAAGGCAACAGTGCATCCCGACAGCAGCAACCTGATCCCCAAGCTTTTTCGACCTGCAGGTGAGTTGGTTCTAATTTTCAGAAGTGGGTTGGGAAGATGTAGTTTCTAACACTTAGAAAACTCTGCCTGCCGGATCACCTGGGGTCAGGAGTTCGAGACCAGCCTGGCCAACATGGTGAAACCCCGTCTCTACTAAAAATGTAAAAAATTAGTTGGGCATTGTGGTGGCACGTGCCTGTAGTCCCAGTTACTCAGGAGGCTGAGGCAGGAGAATTGCTTGAACTTGAACCCGGGAGCCGGAGGTTGCAGTGAGCTGAGATCATGCCATTGCGCTCCAGCCTGGGCAACAAGAGTGAAACTCCGTGTCCAAAAAAAAAAAAAAAAAGAAAAGAAAACTCTGCCTGCCTTGCTTTAATTATTTCTCCCCCAGCAGGATTTCTTTCTTTTTTTTTTTTTTTGAAACAGTGTCTTGCTCTGTCACCTAGGCTGGAGTTCAGTGGCACAATCTCGGCTCACTACAACCTCCGCCTCCCAGGTTCAAGTGATTTCTCCTGCCTCAGCCTCCTGAGTAGCTGGGATTACAGGTGCCTGCCACCATGCCCAGCTAATTTTTTTCCTTTGTGTATTTTTAGTAGAGACAGGGTTTCACTATGTTGGCCAGGCTGGTCTCGAACTCCTGACCTTCTGATCCGCCCACTTGGCCTCCCAAAGTGCTGGAATTACAGGCGTGAGCCACTGTGCCTGGCCATGTTATAGTAATTTTATGTACATACTTTATTATTATTGTCATTTTTAGAGACAGGGTCTCGCTCTGTTACCCAGGCTGGAGTACAGTAGCACCATAATAGCTCAAAGCAGCCTCCAACTCCCAGGCTCAGCTGATCCTTCTACCTCAGCCTCCTGAGTAGCTGGGACTACAGGGTCATGCCGCCACACCTGGCTTTAAATTTTTTATGGAGGTGGGGGTCTCGCTACCTCTACAAAATAGAGGCTGGTCTCGAACTCCTGGCCTCAACCCATCCTCCAGCCTCAGCCTACCAAAGTGCTGAGACCTTGACCCCCCACTTTATTAGAAAAACAAAGAATGAGTGGAAAAAGTCCTTTGAGGTCTGTGCCTTCTGGAAGCTGGGGAAGAGGTGTTCAGGTGGGTAGTCCCCTTCTGGCCCCCTCTGCCTGGGCAACTGTGATCACTGACACCTCCTCTCTTCTCTTCCTGCCAGCGTTCCTGCCTTTCATGGCACCCACGGTGAGCAAGCAGACATTTGCCGTTAGGAGACTAGGGGCTTGGGAAGATGGCCACTCTCCTCCTAACCTCAGCTGTGTCCCTCCAGCTCCGGACCCCTGTCACATGACTGCCTGATAGATGGTTGTGGATCCCCACTGATAACCCATGGCTGCTGTTCATACGTCCTTGTCCCCACTCCCTCCCCCTCCCCACACCCTCCCAGTCAGGCATCCGGGCCTCTGGAAGGCCCACAGCTTGGCAAGGTCATCCCTTTTCTGAACACCAAGTATGCGCAGAGCACGGTAGAAGCGGCCAGTGAGTTAGGATGAGCTCCCTGCACAAACCCCTGGCCACCAAGTCCTCCTCTGACACAGCCCCTCACCTGGGACCTGGCATTGTCCCTGTGAGGCTTTTCTCACCTTGGCCCTTGGGAGGTGCTTTTTGGTTTTTTGGGTTTTTTTTGTTTTTCGAGACAGAGTCTGGCTCTGTTGCCCAGGCTGGAGTGCACTGGCGCAATCTCAGCTCGCTGCAACCTCTGCCTCCCTCGTTCAAGCAATTCTCCTGTCTCAGCCTCCTGAGTAGCTGGGATTACAGGCGCTCACCACCATACCCAGCTAATGTTTTTATTTTTAGTAGAGATGGGGTTTTGCCATGTTGGCTAGGCTGGTCTCGAATTCCTGACCTCAGGTGATCCACCCACCTTGGCCTCCGAAAGTGCTGGGATTACAGGCGTGAGCCACCATGCCTGGACCGTTTTTTGTTTTTTAAAATAGGGTCTTGCTCTGTTGCCCAGGCTGGAGTGCAGTGGCACAATCATAGCTCACTGTAACTTCAAACTCCTAGGCTCAGTGGATCCCCTTACTTCAGCCTCCTGAGTAGGTGGGAATACAAGTACTTGCCACCATGGCAGGCTAATTTTTTTATTTTTACCAGAGTCTGAGTCTTGCTACATTGCTCAGGCTGGTGTCGAACTCCTGGCCTCAAGGGATCCTCCCAGTTTGGCCTACCAGAGTGCTGGGATTATAGGCGTGAGCCATCACTCCCAGCCTAGGAGGTACTTGTCCACACCACAGGCTCCTGTCTGCTTTCCCTAGCAAATGTGTACTTCTTTTTTTTTTTTTTTTTTTTTTTTTGAGACGGAGTCTTGCTCTGTCTCCCAGGCTGGAGTGCAATGGCATGATCTTGGCTCATTGCAACCTCTGCCTTCCAGATTCAAGCGATTCTTCTGCCTCAGCCTCCCGAGTAGCTGGGATTACAGGTGTGCACCACCACACCCGGCTAATTTCTGTTTTTCGTAGAGACGGGGTTTCACCATGTTGGCCAGGCTGGTCAACTCCTGGCCTCAAGTGATCCTCCCACCTCAGCCTCCCAAAGTGCTGGGATTATAGGAGTGAGCCACTGCACCCAGCTAACAAATGTGTACATCTTAGCTACCCTGCTGGACTAAGGCCCTGGAGACACGGCCTGCTGTTCGACCCTGGATGTCCTTAGAGCTGCTAGTTTGGTGTTTGGCAGGTGCTCACTCAACCTTGTCTACGGACCGGCAGCCCCTGTACCCACCACCATCCTCTCCTGCCCCAGCTCCTTGGGGGCTCAATTCTCCCTCTCCCCTGGAAAGTTCTTTGCTACTGCAAGTTCTCCTTCCACAGCAACACTTGTAACTCTGTTCCACTGTCTTCTTAAAAGGTATTTTTGTCAATGACGCCACTGAAAGGGATCAAGTCCGTGATTTTACCTCAGGTAGCCATTCTTCCTGTTTCACGATTACTAAATTCTGTTATGCTTGAAACGAAAATGCGATCCATTTGCCCCTCTCGGCAGGTTTTCCTCTGTGCCTACATGGCAGCGTTCAACAGCATCAATGGAAACAGAAGTTACGTGAGTATTATGAGACCCAGAGAGTGTGGGGTTTTGTGTTATTCCTTTTGGAGTTTGTTGTATGTGTTTGTTTTTAAATTATCTTTGCTGGATAAAACTGTGATATTTGCTAATTAAGTACTTTTGTTTCTCCTTAGACTTGTAAGCCACTAGAAAGATCATTACTAATGGCGGGAGCCGTTGCTTCTTCAACTTTCTTAGGAGTAGGTATTTTTAGAATCTGTCAAATCTTCTTTATTCCTCAGAATCCAGGAAGTTTTATTTATTCCAATTACAAATTTATGTTCCAATTTAAACAATTTAGAAAATATGACTAGGAAATAAAAGTCACCTGTAATTGTATTATCCCAAAATAATCATGTTAATAGTTTAAGTTTCTAAGCATATACATGGTACTGTTGTCTTTTTATTTTTTTCTATTTTCTTTTTTTTTTTTTTTTGAGACACAGTCTTGCTCTGTTGCCCAGGTTGGAGTGCAGTAGCATGATCTCAGCTCACTGCAACCTCTGCCTCCTGGGTTCAAGTGATTCTCCTGCCTCAGCCTTCCGAGTAGCCGGGACTACAGGCACGTGCCACCACACCCAGCTAATTTTTTGTATTTTTTAGTAGAGAAGGGATTTCACCATGTTGGCCAGGTTGATCTCAAACTCCTGACCTCAGGTGAACTGCCCGCCTTGACCTCCCAAAGTGCTGGGATTACAGCCATGAGCCACCACGCCTGGCTGGTACTGTTATCTTTTTAAAAATTGTTATATGAATTGTGTGTTATAAATATGTTATATAATTTGTGTATTGCTTTGGATGTCAAGACACTGTAATGGTGAAAGATGGGGAGATGTTGGCATCAGACAAGCCTGGGCCCTCATCCTGGCTCAAACCTTTAATGGCTCTGTGACTCTCAACAGCTTCCATACCTCTCTCTAAGCCCCTGTTGACTCCTTAGATGAACAGGGAGAGGACCTCCACGTTGCAGGAATTTGAAAAATACCTGAAGAGCACTGGCAGTGGTCTGACTTGTAATAGGAACTAGGTCAGGGCGACCTCTCTGCTAGTGAGTAGGTTCCGCTGATTTTTCAGTCCCATGAAATAATGATTTTTCTCTCTTCTTTTCTAGGTAATCCCTCAGTTTGTCCAGATGAAGTATGGCCTGACTGGCCCTTGGATTAAAAGACTCTTACCTGTGATCTTCCTCGGTGAGCAGGAAGGGCTGGAGGCTGCAGTCTGGGTGGGGTGTCTTTGTGGTCTGTGAGCCTTCCTTCATCTCCAGAGGCACCTGGCTCCCTTGGCACATTGTGACTGATGACAGGTGGCCTTTGCAGCCCGGCAGGCCCCCAAGCCCAAATCAGGTCTTTGGTTTGAGAGGTGACACTTTCTGTAGATACCCACATTAATGGCTAAAGAATGAACACAAGACTGGAAACACAAATTACATTTTTTTTCTTGAGACGGAGTCTTGCTCTGTCACCCAGGCTGGAGTGCAGTGGCATGAGCTCGGCTCACTGCAACCCTCCGCCTGCTGGATTTAGGCAGTTCTCCTGCCTCAGTCTCCCAAGTAGCTGGGATTACAGGTGTGCGCCACCATGTCCAGCTAATTGTTTTTTTGTATTTTTAGTAGAGACAGGCTTTCACCATGTTGGCCAAGCTGGTCTTGAACTTCTGGCCTCAAGTGATTCGCCTGCCTCAGCTTTCCAAAATGCTGGGATTACAGGCATGAGCCACCGCGCCTGGCCCTACATTTTAAAGATTATCTGTGTAAACGTTCTACTTACATTATTTTACTTAATCCCGACAACAACTTATGGGTAGGAAATATTATTCCTATTTACAGAGGAGGAGACTGAGGCACAGGGAGGTTAAGTAACTTGCCTAGAGTTACACAGCAAGCAAATGGTTAGTATAGAGATTCCAACCCAGTGGGGTGACAGAGATATTAGCTGAATATTTTGACTCTGCCAGCCTGCAAGTTTACTATGTCACGCTCCAAATTTGGGTTTGGGAATCATAGCAGTTTGAAGAGTTGGCAGACTGATGTCAGTGGTGAAATTGAGGAAATGGTGTTATAGAAACCTTACAACTTTGGCCGGGCATGGCGGCTCACACCTGGAATCCCAGCACTTTGGGAGGCCATTGCGGGTGGATCACTTGAGATCAGGAGTTTGAGACCAGCCTGACCAACATGATGAAACCCCGTCTCTACTAAAAATACAAAAATTAGCCGGGCGTGGTGGGGCATGCCTGTAATGCCAGCTACTCTGGAGGCTGAGGCAGGAGAATTGCTTGAACCCGGGAGGCGGAGGTTGCAGTGAGCTGAGATCACACCATTGCACTCCAGCCTGGGCAACAAGAGTGAAACTCTGTCTGAAAAAAAAAACTTAAGCAAAGACGAGGGAGGAATATGTTTCCAAGATCCCAGGGTTTCTCCTAGAATCCGGTAAGGAAGCAGGGGTGCTGGAAGCTGGTCCCAGGCTGTGGTCAGGATCCAAGACTGAGTGGCCAGCAGTTCTTAGCCTACTTCCACAGCCCCAGGAGAGCACTTGGTTGGCCCAGCCTATGGCAGGTGTCCACCTGAGGGTCAAGAAAGGCCAGCTGTCAGAGAAAGAGGCTTGCAGGGGGCAGACACCCAAAGAGATGTTCCTTTGCTGGAACAAGACTCACCCCCGTCTTGGGTGTTCTTTACTTCTTTACATCTACAGTGCAAGCCAGTGGAATGAATGTCTACATGTCCCGAAGTCTTGAATCCATTAAGGGGATTGCGGTCATGGACAAGGAAGGCAATGTCCTGGGTCATTCCAGAATTGCTGGGACAAAGGTAAGAGACAGGATGAAGCTATAGCTGCTTGCCTTTTGGGCAACGACTAGACTTTTCTGTTTGAAAGCCGGTGACAAATTCATGTCTGCCTTCAACCTTTCTTTACCCGTCTTTCCTTAGCATGCTGAGAGAGAAATTTCTCATTTTGCCCCCTGATAAGATGGGGCATTAGTCTGGGTTCTCTGGAGAAACAGAACCAATGGGATATATGTACATAATCTTTCTTTCTGAGACAGGGTCTTGCTCTGTCGCACTGGCCTGGAGTGCAATGGTGCAGTCTTGGCTCACTGCAACCTCTGCCTCCCTAACACAAGCGGTCCTCCCACCTCAGCCTCTCAAGTAGCTGGGACCACAGGCACACACCACTGCACCTGGCTTATTTTTGTATTTTTAATAGAGACGGGGTTTCACCATGTTGGCCAGGCTGGTCTCGAACTCCTGGCCTCAAGTGATCCACCCACCTCGGTCTCCCAAAGTGCTAGGATTACAGGCATGAGCCACCATGCCTGGCCCCCAATTCCTTTTTGAAATCTCTCAAAAGAAAAGCATGCACCTCTGTCTCCATTGTCCCTCCCATTCACTCCTGAGTTCAAGTGATCCTCCCACCGTGGCCTCCCAAAGTGCTGGGATTACAGGTGTGCACCACCGCACCTGGGCAGTACATGTCTATTAGGAGATTTGTTCTAAGGAATTGGCTTACACAATTGTGGGAATCTGCAGGGCAGGCCTGGAGGCTGGAAACTTGGACAGGAGCTGCTGCTACAGCCTTGAGACAGAATTTCTTCTTTGGGAAACCTCAGTTTTTGCCTATAAGGCCTCTAACTGATTGGATGAGGCCCACCCACATTGTGGAGGGTAACCTTCTTTTCTTTTTTTTTTTTTTTGAGACGGAGTCTTGCCCTGTCACCCAGGCTGGAGTGCAATGGCGTGATCTCAGCTCACTGCAACCTCCGCTTCCTGGGTTCAAGCGATTCTCCTCCCTCAGCCTCCTGAGTAGCTGGGATTACAGGTGCGTACCACCACGCCCAGCCAATTTTTGTATTTTTAGTAGAGGTGGGGTTTCACCGTATTGGCCAGGCTGGTCTCAAACTCCTGACCTCAGGTGTTCCGCCCGCCTCGGCCTCCCAACGTACGGGGATTACAGGTGTGAGCCACCGCGCCTGGTGGTAACCTGCTTTTCTTAAAGTGAGCTGATTGCAGACGTGCCCTGTGTCTGCAGAGTACCCCTACAGCAACAGCTAGATGAGTGCTGGATTAAATAACTGGGTACTGTTGCCATGGTGACCCGTGAGGCTGACTGCCACAGACAGGCATCTGACAAGTGCTGGGTACCTCTGAGAGTGAGATCCTATTCTTCAAATCCAATATCTGCCCTCCCAGTGTGTGCTGATTGGGGGCCACTCCCCTCCCAGCCTGCTCTGCACTTACAGAGGTCAGTGGACACCCCTTTCTGGGGTTAAAAGAGCCCCTGCTTCTCCCATTCAGCAGATGTCCTTATAGTCTTCATTGCTAAGGACTACTTTTGTCAAGAATGGACTTAGAACATTGAATTCTCTGATCCAAAACTCCTTTTCAAGGCCTCAATTCTGAATAATTTTTACTATTAGTTTCTTCTTTTTCTTCTTCTTTCTTTTTCTTTTCTTTCTTTTTTTTTTTTTTGAGACAGGGTCTCCTTCTGTCGCTGGAGTGCAATGGTGTGATCACGGCTCTACAGCCTCAACCTCCCAGGCTCAGGTGATTCTCTCACCTCAGCCTTCCAAGTAGCTGGGATTCTAAATATGCACCACCATGCCTGGCTCATGCTTGTGCTTTTTATAGACATGGGGTTTCGCCATGTTGCCCAGTCGTGTCTCAAACTCCTGAGCTCAAGTGATCTGCCCACCTTGGCCTCCCAAAGTGCTGGGATTGCAGGGGTGAGCCACTGGGCCTGGCCAAAGTATTCTTTTGTTCAGTTCAACACAGTGACTACTGAGTGCATTCAGCCGTGAGAACCTGGTATAGTCTATGGTCTTTTCATTTTGGGTGTGGACTTTTAAAATAATATGTTTTTAGCAGGTGAGATCTTTTTTGGTCCCTGTGAAATGACTTTAGCTGAAGACTTTAGTTGTTTGCAAATGACATATCAAGCAGAGTGGAACAGCCCTGATATGAAGTGAAGGGACTAACCGGGCTTCTGGCAGTGTGGGATCCAGAGGACTCCCTTAGCCAGCCAGGGTATGTCCTTCTACTGACCAGCATGTTGGTGGCAGGGAAGCTCAGAAAAGATGGTTGTTCATTCCATCGGTAAATACGTCATTATTCAGCTCACCAAACATATTACTTTAAATCCTATCACTGACTGACAAAGCTGAATTATAAACTATCAGATACATGCTAATGGTATTTCCACTAGACCATCTAGTAGCATAGCTCCTTACCTAAATGAATTATGACAGAGATAAAATAATTATAAGTAACAGAGAAATTGCTGCCAGTAAGAAAATAGGTCACTAGTTTGAAATGAAGGTTCTGGGCCTAACAAACCACCCGTAAGTTGGATCACTTGCAGTCGGTCAGGAGTTCGAGACCAGCCTGGCCAACATGGTGAAACCCTGTGTCTACTAAAAAGGCAAAAATTAGCTGGGCATGGTGGCGGGTGCCTGTAATCCCAGCTACTCGGGAGGCTGAGGCAGGAGAATTGCCTGAACCTGAGAGGTGGAGGTTGCAGTGAGCCGAAGTCGTGCCATTGCACTCCAGCCTGGGCGACAGAACAAGACCCCATCTCAAAAATAACAAACAAACAAAAACCACCTGGGACTGCATTTGCGCTTTCCCCTGGGGAAAAAAAAAAACGCCCGAAAGAGACATTTTTTCAAACAGCTTTATTGAGGTATAATTTACATACTGTAAAATTTACCCATTTGTAAGAGGATAGTTTGATGAATTTTAGTCAGTTTAAAACAGTTGTGCAGCCAGGCATGGTGGCTCACTCATGCCTGTAATCCCAACACTTTGGGAGGTAGATCGCTTGAGTCCATGAGTGCGAGACCAGCCTGGGCAGCATAGCAAAACCCTATCTCTACAAAAAAATTTTTAAAAAATTAGCTAGGCATGGCGGGGTGCATCTGTAGTCCCAGCTGCTTAGGAGGCTGAGGTGAGAGGATCAACTGAGCCTAGGAGGTTGAGGCTGCAGCGAGCTATTATCACACCACTGTACTCCAGCCTAGGTGACAGAAAGAGACCCTTGTCTCAAAAAATAAAACATAGGCCAGGCGCGGTGGCTCACGCCTGTAATCCCAGCACTCTGAGGGGTCTGAGGCAGGTAGATCACCTGAGGTCAGGAGTTTGAGACCAGCCTGGCCAACATGGTGAAACCCTGTCTCTACTAAAAATACCAAAATTAGCCGGGCATGGTGGCTCATGCCTGTAGTCCCAGCTACTCAGGAGGTTGAGGCAGGAGAATCACTTGAACCCAGGAGGCAGAGGTTGCAGTGAGCTGAGATTGCGCCACTGCACTCCAGCCTGGGTGACAGAGAAAGACTCTGTCTCAAAAAATAATAATAATAAATAAATGAAACAGTTGTGTGACCATCACCACAGTCCAGTTGTAGAACATTTTCATCATCCTAAAAATGTCCCAAATGCCCACCCCCACCCCCACCCCCAGCCCTAGGGAGGCACTGATCTGCTTCTTTTTTTTTGTTTGTTTGTTTTGAGTCAGAGTCTCACTCTGTCGCCCAGGCTGGAGTGCAATGGTGCGATCTTGGCTCACTGCAACCTCTGCCTCCCAGGTTCAAGCGATTCTCCTGCCTCAGCCTCCCAAGTAGCTGGGACTATAGGTATGCGCCACTGCGCCCAACTAATTTTTTGTATTTTTAGTAGAGACGGGGTTTCACCATGTTAGCCAGGATGGTCTCGATCTCCTGACCTCATGACCCACCCGCCTCGGCCTCCCAAAGTGCTGGGATTACAGGCGTGAGCCCCCATGCCTGGCCACTGACTTGCTTTTCTGTCTTCTTAGTTTTTGCCTTTTCCAGAAATTATACATAAGTGAATCACACTGTAGTTTTTTGTGTCTTGCTTCTTTCACGTTTGAGATTCATCCGTCTTGTACCACATGTTGCTCATTTGTTACTTTTCATTGCTGAGTAGTATTCCGTTCCTGGATGTGCCGCATTTTGCTTATCTATTCTGCCGGCGGTGGACGTTTGGGTTGTGTCCAGGCTTGGGTTATTATGAATCAGGCTGCTCCGACATTCACTTGCACATCTTTATGCATATGTGTGTTTGTATTTCTCCACAACTCCATGTGAACTTAAGGTGTTAGTATTGCTCTGACCTATTCATAAAGCTGGAGAGGAGAGTGAGAGCACATTTTTTTAAGTTCGTTTATTTATTTATTCATTTATTTATAGAGACAGAGTCTCCCTCTGTTGCCAAAGCTGGAGGGCAATGGTACGAACATGGCTCACTGCAGCCTCAACTTCCTGGGCTCAAGCGACCCTCCTGCCTCAGCCTTCTGAGTAGTGTGCACCGCCATACATGGCTAATGTTAAAAAAAAAAAGTTTGTAGAGATGGGGTCTCGCTATGTTGCCCAGGCTGGTCTCAAACTCCTGGCATCAAGTGATCCTCCTGCCTTGGCCTCCCAGAGCGCTGGGAGGTGTGAGGCACTGCACCCAGCTTAGAGCAAATATCCAATGAGCAAGTTGTTCCCAGCACCTCCTGCCTGCCAGGCTTGGTGCTAGGCTCTGGAGACCCACACCCTGATCAGTGAGAGCCCCGTCTCCCCAGCAGCCCCAGCCTCCAGCGGAAAGGTAGCCTCAGGCCTGACTGGCTGTCTGGAGTCCATCTCACCAGAAGAAACTTCATTTTTGGCATGAGGGGCATGTTAGGGTCAAAGAAAAGCTTTACTGGTCTACTTTAAAAAAAAAAAGGTCTTTTTTTTCTCTGAAGAATAAAGTGTCTGCAACTGTGCATAAGCATTCTTCTATCACTTCCCTGTCCCTGGAAGGTTATTTTCTTCGGCTAAAATTTCAGAAACTGCGTAACCAGCAATATCTGATGGTAACAGGGCACGGTTGGTCCAATTTCAGGTGACGCGTGGCTGTTGTTTCCCCCGACTGGCCCCATAAGCCACTGCTTTGCACACAGCGCCTCCTAATGACGGCGTCTCACTTGGAGTGTCCTCCCCACACATGGGACTAAGGGAGAGAGGCGGGCCTCGCCCCACTGATGTGGACACACAGCACACTAACAGCCATTTTTCCCTTCCGGAAGTCAAGCAATTTTACTTTATATCCCTGAGACTTTTATTTTATTTTCTTTTATTTTAGAGACTGAGTCTCGCTCTGTTGCCTAGGCTGGAGTGCAATGGTGTGATCTTGGCTCACTGCAACCTCTGCCTCCCAGGTTCAAGTGATTCTCCTGCCTCAGTCTCCCGAGTAGCTGGGATTACAGGCGCCCACCACCACGCCCGGCTAATTTTTGTATTTTTAGTAGAGACAGGGTTTCACTATGTTGGCCAGGCTGGTCTTGAACTCCTGACCTCAGGTGATCTGCCCACCTTGGCCTCCCAAAGTGTTGGGATTATAAGCATGAGCCACCGTGCCCGGCCCTTAAGACCTTATTTTAAAAACAGCCCTCCTCGGCTTCCTCTCTTTTGTGGGGGGGAAAGGCATTCCCTGCAGAGGGAACCATGCAAGCGTGACTGTCACCCACAGCAGGGCAGAGGTGCAAGCAGAGAGCAGGGGCCGGGTGGTAGGAGGAGCCTGGGAAGGTAGGTCAAAGCCAATCATGGGAAGCTGGAAGTGGAAGGAACAGAGTTCAGGGAAGGACGGGCGCAGGTGTGCCTGCTCCTCTTGGGTACACGATGTGCTGTTTGTGGTGTGTGTGTCTTACCCAGGGGTGGGTTCTAAAGTTAACATGTTAGCTACTCAGGAGGCTGGGGTAGGAGGATTGCGTGAGGCCAGGAAGTCGGGACCAGCTTGGGCAACATAGTGAGATCACATCTCTACAAAAAATCGAAAAGTTAGCCGGGCCTGGTAGGGTGTACCTGTGATCCTGGCTACTCGGGAGGCTAAGGTAGGAGGATCACTTGAGCCTGGGAGGTCAACACTGCAGTGAGCCGTGATCACGCTACTGTACTCCAGCCTGGATGACAGAGTGAGACCCTGTCTCTAAAAATAAATAAATAAATGAAAGTAGTAAAAAAGTTAACGTGAGCTGTCTTATAGTCAAAATTTCCCTTACAAGTCCCTTAAAGTGCCCTTGAGGGTACATGGTTTTGTACATACTCACCCATACAGTAAATTGTATGTTTAAATGTTTAATGTATAGAGTAATGTACATTATAGAAAAGATTACAAAAATGTTATAACCTGTACATAACACAATTTTATAGTATAACACTTTTAATTCGCTGTGAAACGTGGGTACGGACAGGCAGCCTTGTGTGGGTCTCATGCTGTGCCCGTGCCCTCAGAGCTGGGCATTTGGAGGCTTCCCCAATGGCAGGTATGAGAGTCACTGCTGAGCCAGGTCAGGACAGGAGGCCAGTGGCAGAGACTTGGCTTGGATGGGAAATACGGAGCAAACCTCTGTGGCAAATCCAGCATTTCCACTGAGGAACCATTTGGTTCTCAGTGAAGATCTGTCTAGAAGCCACCTTTGCTTGTACTTAGTGGATAGTTTATTTGGGGTGGTTTGGCAGACGGTGCCAGCTATTTCTGGCACAAAGTGCAGCCGACCGCCACACACCTGTACATGGAAAGTTACGTGGAAGGCGTCCCCTCCGCCTCTCTCCACGGGCATTCTTTTTCTAAGTGAGAAGGGTGGGTTACTGTTGCCTGTCTCTCGCAGGAGTTGTGGGATCCCTGGAAATCGTCTTGCTCCTGTACTAAGTTTCTTTTTTGAGACAGAGTTTCACTCCGTCGCCCAATCTGGAGTGCAGTGGCGTGATCTTGGCTCACTGCAAAATCCGCCTCTCAGGTTCAAGTGATTCTCATTTCTCAGTCTCCTAAGTAGCTGGTACTACAGGTGCATAACACCACACCGGGCTAATTTTTGTATTTTTTGGTAGAGACAGGGTTTCACCATGTTGGCCAGGCTGGTCTCAAACTACTGACCTCAAGCGATCTACCCGCCTCGGCCTCCCAAAGTGCAGGGATTACAGGCGTGAGCCACCGTGCCCAACCTAAGCTGTTTTCTTTTCATTTTTGCTAGGCTGTTAGAGAAACGCTAGCATCCAGAATAGTGCTGTTTGGGACCTCAGCTCTGATTCCTGAAGTCTTCACCTACTTTTTTAAAAGGTAAGAGACACGGTCATATCCCCAGGTAGGGATTTGAAAGTCAAATCCTTATAAAACCTGTCAGATACTGACCCTGGTGGAGGGTGGGGAGAAGTTGGCTCAGTAACCTTCCCATAAACACACATCACAGCTAAGACAGGCGGATTGATTGTGGCAGGCGTGGAAATCCGGGTGTACGGATTCCACCGAATGGGGAATCCAGCCCAGGCTCTGCCTCCAGTTACCCCGTGTCCTTGGCGTGTCGAAGGACCTTCCACGGCCATTTCCTCACCTCTAGAATGAGGGGCTTGGATGATTTGCAGGTTCCCCTGGCTCTCATGTGCTGTGAATATTGCTCAAGCCCTCCTCTCTAAACCCCCATTCCAAGTATGTTTTAAATGAGCTTCAGCGACTCCGAATTCAGATCCATCCCTTTTAAGAAGCCAGAAATGGCCTACGAGGCGGAGGACCTGGGCATCCATCAGGGTTCCTGTGGCCACCAGTATGAGAAACCTAACCTGCAGGAGCTCAGACCCGAGGGGAGACGTTGGGGCTTTAGGGCCGGAACGGGCAAGGATTGCAGTCCATGGCAGCTTGAACAGAAGCTCCCCTGCTGGGCGCGCCTCCCTGTCATTCTCGTGGGTGTCGAGTCCTTCTCTCCTGCCAGATTGGCTTCTTCATATTGATGCGGGACCCACTTGCTAGTAACTCCCAGCTCATAGCCTCACAGCCTCCTGATCAGAGGTGGAACACAGCAAACCCCAGGGGAGGCAGGAATGTCTTCCCCTCAGGGCAGACTCCTGGGGAAGGATTCTGTGGGCCTGAGTTAGGTCGCATGCCTGGGGTGCACATCCCCCCCACCAGTGTGGCGAGGCTGGGAATCGCCTGCTAGGACCACACATGGAGCACATTTCCAAGAAGGAGGGATGGGATGGTGCGGTGGCTCACGCCTGTAATCCCAGCACTTTGGGAGGCCAAGGTGGGCAGATCACCTGAGGTCAGGAGTTCTAGACCATCCTGGCCAACATGGTGAACCCCGTCTCTACTGAAAATACAAAAATTAGCAAGGCGTGGTGGCGGGCGCCTATAATCCCAGCTACTCGGGAGGCTGAGGCAGGAGAATTGCTTGAACCCAGGAGGCGGAGATTGCAGTGAACCAAGATGGCACCATTACACTCCAGCCTGGGCGACAGAGGAAGATTCTCTCAAAAGAAAAAAACACAAAACAAACAAACAAAAACAACAAAAAAACAGGCCTTGATCTAGCTGTTCAGGTACAACAAAAAGAAAAAAGAACAGGCCCTGATCCAGGTGTTCAGGTACACACACACGTGCACACACACACACACACACACACACACACACACGCCCTGATTCAGCTGTTCAGAAAATAAGCCCTGATAGTTTAACATCACTTGTGAGCCATGCCTTGTCTCTTACAGGACCCAGTATTTCAGGAAAAACCCAGGGTCATTGTGGATTTTGAAACTGTCTTGTACTGTCCTGGCAATGGGACTGATGGTGCCATTTTCTTTTAGTATATTTCCACAGATTGGACAGGTAAGTGCCCCCATTCCTCTTTTCTCTCAAAGTTTTTTATTTTGCAGTTAGAAGAATAAAATAAGTTATTCTTCTTAAAACTCTGCAAAGTTTATAAAAATATAAAATAAGACCAGGTGCAGTGGCTCACACCTGTAATCCCAGCACTTTGGGAGGCCAAGGTGGGAAGATTGCTTGAGCCCAGGAGTTCAAGACCTGCCTAGGCAACATAGTGAGACCCCATCTCTACAAAAAATAATACACAAATTAGCTGGGTGTGATGATGCACACCTGTTGTCCCAGCTGCGCAGGAGACTGAGGTGGGAGGATCACCTGGGCCCAGGAGATTGAGGCTGCAGTGAGCCATGATTGCACCACTGCACTCCAGCCTGGCTGAGAGTGAGACCCTATTTCAAAAAAATAAAATAATAAAACAAAATACAATTGGCTTTTGAACAACCTGGGGGTTAGTAGTCAAAAATCCAAGTATAACCTTTGACTCCCTGAAAACTTAACCATTAATAGCTTACTGTTGACCGGAAGGCTTACCAATACCATAAAAAGTCAAGTAACACATATTTTATATTTTATATGTGTTGTATACTGTATTCCTACAATAAACTAGAGAAAATAGAACGTTATTAAGAAAATCAGGCCAGGCGCGGTGGCTCATGCCTGTAATCTCAGCACTTTGGGACGCTGAGGCGGGCAGATAACTTGAGATCAGGAATTCAAGAGCAGCTTGGCCAACGTGGCAAAACTCCAGCTCTACTAAAAATACAAAAATTAGCCACGGTAGCTGTAATCTCAGCTACTCGGGAGGCTGAGGCAGGAGAATCGCTTGAACCTGGGGAGGTAGAGGTTGCAATGAGCCAAGATCATGACATTGTACTCCAGCCTGGGTGACAGAGTGAGACTCTGTCTCAAAAAAAAAAAAAAAAAAAATCATAAGAAAAAATATATTTACTGTTTATTAAGTGAAGGTGAGTCATCAGTTTCAGTGAGGATCAAAGTCTTCATCCTCGTCATCTTCATATTGAGTAGGCTGCGGAGGAGGAAGAGGGATTGGTCTTGCTGTCTCAGGGGTGACTGAGGGGGAAACAGTATATAAGTGGACCTGCATTGTTCAAACCTGCATTATTCAAGGGTTAATTGTAATGATATTTATATTTAATTCTATCCCTCAAATCTCTTGGTGCAGTTTTGGGTTCTGTTTTTCTTAACAATATTTCATAAGCCTTTTTTTCTGGGGCATAAAAAGAAATCTTTTAAAATTACTTAGAGAAATTTTAAATACTCCAAAATGTTCTATAACTACGCCCTCTCCAGTGGAACTTTCTGCAGTGATGGAAATGTTCTATAATAGATTGGTGCTGTCCAATTATGGTAGCCATGAGCTACGTGTGCTACTGAGCACTTCAGGAGAGGCTGGTGTGACTAGGGAACTGAATTGTAAATTAAGTTAAATTTTAAATTAGGTACTCTTGTGTGCTTAGTGGCTATTGGACAGCCCAGTTCTATAGATAATTTATAATATAATTTATGATGAGTCAGGCTGCTTGGACTCAGATTCCAGCTTCTCCATGACCTTGGTCAACTTGCTTAGTTTTCTTATCTGTTAAAGAGAGCTGAAGATAATGGCATCTCTGCAAAGGGTTGTTGCTTAGTAGGTAGCAAGGACATTTTTTTTTTTTTAAGTCAGAAAGCCAATTTTTTTAATTTCCAAAGCTCTGCCATAAATTGCTAGCAGATGTCAAAGACATTACTGATGCTAGCAGATATTAGCAATTTTTTTTTTTTGAGACGGAGTCTCGTTCTGTCACCCAGGCTGGAGTGCAGTGGCGCAATCTCGGCTCACTGCAAGCTCCACCTCTCGGGTTCATGCCATTCTCCTGCCTCAGCCTCCTGAGTAGCTGGGACTACAGGCGCCCGCCACCACACCCAGCTAATTTTTTGTATTTTTTAGTAGAAATGGGGTTTCACCATGTTAGCCAGGATGGTCTCGATCTCCTGACCTCGTGATCCGCCCGCCTCGGCCTCCCAAAGTGCTGGTATTACAGGCGTGAGCCACCACGCCCGGCTGATACTAGCAGTTTCTTGGCTAAACATTTCAAATGTTCATTTCTGTCACTATAAATATATATGTCCTCAAAAGCATTTATATTTATGGAATGATCTTGTTCAGAACCCACGTTTTATAGGTTTAGGTTGTAGGATCATTCATTCAAGCAACTTTGCCAGCACAACGTAGAAGTTTCAGATTATTTTAGATAGTTATGCCTATTACTATGCTATGGGCGAGGGGTTGGGGAGCGAGGCAGCATCTCAGAATAAAATTTCAGGCCAGGCACGGTGGCTCATGTCTGTAATTCCAACACTTTGGGAGACCAACGTGGGAAGATTGCTTGAGGCCAGGAGTTCCAGACCAGCCTGGGGAATGTAGTGAGACCTCGTCTCTACATAAAATGTTCTAAAAATTAGGTCGGGTGCTGTGGCTCATGCCTGTAATCCCAGCACTCTGGGAAGCCCAAGTGGGAGGATCACTTGAGCCCCGGCGTTCAAGACCAGCCAGGACAACATAGCAAGACCTCGTCTCTGCTAAAAATAAAAATTTGGCTGGGCACAGTGGGTCATGCCTGTAATCCCAGCACTTTGGGAGGCCGAGGTGGGAGGATCACTTGAGCTCAGGGTTCGAGACCAGTCTGAACCTCATCTCTCTTCTGAAAAAAATTGTTTAAAAAGAAAAAATAATAATTAGCCAGGCATGGTGGTATGTGCCTGTAGTCCTAGCTACTCAGGCAGCTGAGGTAGGAAGATCACCTGAGCATGGGAGGTCAAGGCTACAATGGGGTCACAGAGTGAGACCCTGTCTCGAAAAAAAAAAAATTAGTAGGGTGAAGCGGCACACACCTGCAGTCCCAGCTACTCAGAAGGCTGTGGTGAGAGGATCACTTGAGCCCAGGAGGGAGAGGGAAGAGTTCATCCCCAGTGGAGGATGGGAAGGGCTGAATGGGCACGTGAGGCTGCAAGGAACAGGCAGGATGCTGGGGGCCAGGTGGCAGGGCCTGCACAGCCAGGCCAAGGAGCAGGGCAGCAGGTAAGTCATGCAAGGTTGGAAGGGGCAGAACTCCCAGAGGCCAGAGTGGAGGCAGGAAAGGGAGTCAGTCTCACGCGTGACCTCAGATGCCAAGACTTGCTTGCTGGACTTTGGAAATATCCTGTTGGGGCCGGGCGTGGTGGCTCATGCCTGTAATCCCAGCACTTTGGGAGGCCGAGGCGGGCGGATCACGAGGTCAGGAGATTGAGACCATCCTGGCTAACACAGTGAAACCCCGTCTCTACTAAAAATACAAAAAAATTAGCCAGGCATGGTGGCAGGCGCCTGTAATCCCAGCTACTCGAGAGGCTGAGGCAGGAGAATGGTGTGAACCCTGGAGGCAGAGCTTGCGGTGAGCCGAGATCGCGCCACTGCACTCCAGTCTGGGCGACAGAGCAAGACTCCATATCAAAAAAAAAAAAAAAAAAAAAAATTCAAAACATTAGCTGGACGTGGTGGCGGGTGCCTGTAGTCCCAGCTACTCGGGAGGTTGAGGCAGGAGAATGGCGTGAACCCCAGAGGCGGAGCTTGCAGTGAGCCGAGGTCGCGCCACTGCACTCCAGCCTGGGTGACAGAGTGAGACTCCATCTCATTTAAAAAAAAAAAAAAAAAAGACACAAAATATCCTGTTGGCTCAAGGAGGGCATGGAGGTGCTTAGATGAGATAAGGAGTTATTACTAATTTTGTTAGGTGTGACAATGACATAGTAGTTTTGTAACTACTGTCATTACTATATCAAGTACTATATCAATAATGATAAGGTCTTTATCATTTGGAACTTGTAGGTGACATGACATGAGAATTGCCTTAAAATACTCAAGGAAAAAAATCCTACTGCTGGGTGTGGGAGGTGCTTGATGAAATGAGATCTGCAAATTGTTAATAGTGATTCCTGAGTGAGCACATGTGAGTTCATTACATTCCTTCTACATTTGTTTTTTGTTTGTTTGTGTGTTTGAGACAGGGTTTCTCACTCTGTTGCCCAGGCTGGAGGGCAGTGGTATGATCATGGCTTACTGCAGCCTTGACTCCCAGGCTCAAGTGATCCTCTGACCTCAGCCCCCCAAGTAGCTGGGACTACAGGAACGTACTACCACACCTGGCTAATTTTTTATTTTTTGTAGAGATAGGGTCCCACTATATTGCCCAGGCTGATTGCAAACTCCCCACCTCAAGCAATCCTCCTGATCTCGGCTCACTGTAACCTCCACCTCCCAGGTTCAAGTGATTCTCGTGCCTCAGCCACTGGAGTAGCTGGGATTACAGGTGTGTGCCACCACACCCAGCTAATTTTTGTATTTTTTGTACCATGTTAGCCGGGCTAGTCTTGAACTCCTGGCCTCAAGTGATCTACCTGCCTCAGCCTCCCTAAGTGTTGGGATTACAGGCATGAGCCATTGTGCCCAGCCATCTTAAAACTTTTTAATGGAAACTTTCAATTATAAACAAATGTAGAGATAAGTAAATAACAATAATGGGCCAAGGATGGTGGTGCGCGCCTGTAATCCCAATCCCAGCTACTCGGGTGGCTGAGGCATGAGAATGACTTGAACTTGGAGGGTGGAGGTTGCAGTGACCTGAGATGGTGCCACTGCACTCCAGCCTGCGCAACAGAGCAAGACTCTGTCTCAAAAAAAAAAAAAAAAAAAAAGTTTAAGAAGTTTCTTTACTGCTTGGGTGATTAAAAAAAAAAATAGGTTACATTTTCTGCTATAGATTAGACATTATTGAAAAAGATGGACTGTGAAATGGTTGCTTTCAGAAAATGATTTTTTTAACTTGGCTTCTAAGGCAAGAAAAACTATTAATAGAAACATTATGAATTTAACTATTTTTCAGATACAGTACTGTAGTCTTGAAGAGAAAATTCAGTCTCCAACAGAAGAAACAGAAATCTTTTATCACAGAGGGGTGTAGGCGTGAGTTTTAGGTGAATTTATGTGGTTCCTGCTTGAAAACCTTCCCCTCTCCAGGTTCGGTTTAGAGAACTTTGCCACAGGTCTTCTGGGGACCCCAGAGGTGTCTGTGCTGACAAGGCGACTTCAGATTCCATACTGAGATCGTTCCCAGGCTGGCGTCTCTGGGGTTTTTAAGGCTGGCTGGAGAAGACAGTGGGAGGGTGCCCCGTCTGACACCCCTGGGGTTGCTGAGGGAACGGTTGGAGTGGGGATCGGCCTGCGAAAGGATACTGTGAAATCACTAATTAACTAATAAACCTGTCTCAAGTTGAGGATTTGAAGAAAGAACACAGAGTCCACCGTGCCCAGGACACAGGTGTTAAATGGATAGGCCGTCTCAAGCGGAACACGTACCCCTGGGGCGCTGTTTACGCCCTCCAACCCCAAAAGCAATCTTGTTTCCTTACTCAGTGTCCTCCATTCTAGACAGCTACTTAAAACCTTTGCCGCCCTCCGCCCAGTGCCTCCTTTCTCCTCTCTGGCAAAGGACCCTGCCTCCTCCGCCAGGAAACAGGTCAGCAGTGGAGCCCCCCACACCCGCACCCACACCCATCCTTCCTCCGTGTAATGCCAGCGTCCTCCAGGCTCTGGGCCTCTCTCTGCTTCCTCAGGGCTGTGCTCTGTAGCCTCTGTCTGCCAGGTCCTTCCCAGAAGTATGTAAACTACTTGTCGGCCAGGCGCGGTGGCTCACGCCTGTAATCCCAGCACTTTGGGAGGCTGAGGCCAGTGGATCGCCTGAGGTCAGTGGATCGCCTGAGGTCAGTGGATCACCTGAGGTCAGGAGTTCGAGACCAGCCTGGCCAACATGGTAAAACCCCGTGTCTACTAAAAATATAAAAATCAGCCAGGCGTGGTGTTGCGCACCTGTAGTCCAAGCCACTCAGGAGGCTGAGGCAGGAGAATCACTTGAACCCTGGTGGCGGAGGTTGCAGTGAGCTGACGTCATGCCATTGCACTCCAGCCTAGGCAATAGAACGACTGTGTCTCAAAAAGAAATAAACTGCTTGTCACCTGCCTCATTAGAGACAGGATCTTGCTGTCACCCAGGTTGGAGTGCACTGGCACAATCAGCTCACTGCAGCCTTGAACTCCTGGGCTCAATGAGGACCCACCTGCCTCAGCCTCCTGAGTGGCTGGGACTACAGGCGCCTGTCACCACGCCTGGCTGTAGCCAGACACTTTAAAAGAGTTGTCCGCCCTCACTGTCTCCACCCCACCTCCCGTTCTGCTAAGATTTCTCTCATCCGTGACCCACCTGAATGTGGCACTGCCACACTGCTGGGCACTCAGGCTGGTCACTGAGCTGCTTACTTGGCTGTACTTTGCCATTTGGATGTCCCAGACACCTCAAACTCAACCCATCCGAACCTGAGATCAGCTCTCCCTCCCAGTCTCAGGAATTGACACCACCACCTCCCCAGGTGCACCAGACAGGATCACTGGAGGCGCCCTCTCCCCACCTTACCAGCCTATGCAGTAGACAGGGCCCAGTACATGGAGTCTGGAACCCACATATGCCCACTGCTACCACCCAGCGCAGTCCAACAGCATCCCCTGCTGGCACTGCCTGGCCCATCTCCTGCCTACTCCCTCCGGTCCACGTTCCAGCCTGCTCTTCTAAACCACACCTGCTGAACAACTGTTTTTTTTTCTTTTGAGACGGAGTCTCACTCTGTCACCCAGGCTGGAGTGTAGAGTGCAGTGGCGCGATCTTGGCTCACTGCAACCTCCACCTCCTGGGTTCAAGTGATTCTTGTGCCTCAGCCTCCTGAGTAGCTGGGACTACAGGCATGTACCAGCCACCACGTCCAGCTAATTTTTGTTTTGCTTTTTTTAAGTAGAGATGGGGTTTCACCATGTTGGCCAGGCTGTCATCTCCTGTCCCCGCGATCCACCCACCTTGGCCTCTTTAAGTGCTGGGATTACAGGCCTGAGCACCGCACCGGGCCTGAAAAGCCTTAAATGGCTTCCCAGTGCGTCAAGATCAAGCCCACCTTCCTCACCACAGCAAGCCTTTCCCATACTCGTATCCTGCCACTCCCTCCCCTCCCTGTAGACCCTCCAGGTCCTCACATGGGCTGTGGTCTCTTCTCAGGGCCTTCACACAGCTGTTTCCTCTGGTCTGAGTAGATGTCTACTTAATGCTTCAGGCCTGACTTTGACATTGATCACTCCCTCTGGGAGGCCTTCCAGGATTGACAGCACTGAACTGGGTCCCCATCTATGTGCTCCAATACCACTCTGTTTCACACATCACGCCTAGCACTAGCCACACTACAGCAGCCTGTTTGCTGACCCTATTCCCCAAGCGGACTGTGCGCAGCACCGCGAGAGCGGGAGCTGCTGCCCATCAGGGTAGTTCAAAATACAACACAGGCATGGCACAGAGTAGGTACCTCAACATTTGAGTACTGGACTAATGCTTCCAACACACCCTACCCCACATTACCAAAGAATTTATCTGTGGTTTTGTTTCCCCAAGGCCAGTATGATGGTTCATTTCCAAATTTGGTGAGGAAAGTTTCATAACAGCCTAAAAGGACAAAATCAGTAAATGGCTCAGTTTGACCATAGGCTGACACTAACCAAAATTAAAGTTAGAGAACAAGATGGGCAACAGCTGCAGGTGGAGGTTTAACCGCTAACAGATGACAGAAATGTGAAGGCATCTTCCAAGGACAGGAGACTGAAGTTACAGAGGCAGCTCCAGGAAGGCGAGTGGAGGAGGGCTAGGGCGGGAGGAAAGGGTGTGTGGGGGACGGCTTGAACTTTTTTTTTTTTTTTTTTTTGAAACCAAGTCTCGCTCTTTTGTCCAGGCTGGAGTGCAATGGTGCAGTCTCGGCTCACTGCAACCTCCGCCTCCCTGGTTCGAGCAATTCTCCTGCCTCAGCCTCCCAAATAGCAAGTAGCTGGGATTACGGGCATGTGCCACCACACCCAGCTAATTTTTGTACTTTTAGTAGAGATGGGGTTTTACCACGTTGGCCAGGCTAGTCTCAAACTCCTGATCTCAGGTGATCCGCCCACCTCGGCCTCCCAAAGTGCTGGCATTACAGGCATGAGCCACCGCGCCCTTGGCCGTCTTGAACTTTCAGACAGGTCTTTTAATAATTCCCTAGCGCCCTCACAGTTGAAAAAAGGTATTTTTTCCCCATTTTCTTTGGAATGAGCAGTATTAGAGAAAGAGGGGACAATTCGTCACCCACCTAAAAGTAGTTGAATATCAAAATATATCAATTTTATTTCTGCATCATAAATTTATAATTTTAACAACTTTGATCATTAGCTAATATAGTAATACAAAAAAATGAGAAAAAAGATGTTAATATTCCTCATTTCCATAAAGTGCAGATTTAATTTTCAATTATTTGCCTTAGTAAACATTGTCTTATTTCAGGTACTCCCTGCCCTCACTCAAAAAAAAGGGAGGGTGTTTAATTTTTATTGAACAAATATGTAATACCAAGAAAAAGATGAAAGACCCAATAATGTTTTTTGCAAACATGTTTCCAGGTAAGATTTCCAAGGACATCAGTACTGAGTGAAAAATAATCCTTTACAGTCAATATGAATGAATACACTAACAAGTACATCATTTAGATCTCCATGCTTATTTGGCAATTCCAGTTATGAAAAAGGTACATAAATAGTACAAACAATTGGCTTGACATGTGGCCAAACTACTTTCATCGAAGTTGCTGGAAGCCTTTCTCTGGTTTTGGCCCCTGTAGGAAGTTAATCTCATATTCCCTTAGCAATAATATAAGGTCACTGTTTCAGTCCTACACACTTTTATATTCAATGGGCTTCTTAGTTTATCACATAAGGACTGGCACTTTTTTCAAAAGAATATTGCTAACAGGGTTAAATGAGTGCTAATGGCTGAACGTTTGCCAAATGCTTACTTCTGCGATAGTATAAATATGGATTATTAAAGTTGTCTACTCAAGTATAAAATATATGCAAAACTCTCATAGGCAAAATGTTCAAAGGCCGGGAAAAACCTTTTTTTTTTTTTTTTTTTTTTAACTTTTACGAGAAAGTGCAACTGCAGGGTCTCTTGAATGATCTTCTAGACAGTTCCGCAGAAAATTAGCAGTTTGGCTCAGAAAGTAGAGTTCCTCAGGAGGAATTAAAGTTCTTCCTAGAAGAATACAAAGCAACGTTTCAGGCAGCTTTCTGAAAATAAACCATTAGCTTATGCCTACACAGCGAGACAAACTGGAACGTGTAATAATGAAGGCTTTCACATTTGTTGTGATGTGCTTTTTTTCTCTTACCCCAGGACCTCTAGCTGTTCTGTAATGTTACATAAAGTAGTTATAGCACTTCGTCCAGCACTGACAGCAGGCAGGAAGCTAATCAGCGAGGAGAAAATCGGAAGTGTGTTCATGTGTTTCATTGTTTTTCAGGTCAAATCTCAATACTTGCAAATAAATCATTAAAAAGATATAACAGTTTCTCTGTTATTTTCAGGACTTCATGTAGTGAGTGGGTAATCAGAGTGAAAGAGGGCTTTCTATCAGTCATCAGTGATACGTTCTGTCACACAGTCAGATTTTCAGCATTTGTTCGGCTGCTGCTAGATGATAAAGGAAGTTTTCTGTTGCTGGTGGAAATCGTTTTTGCTTTAGCGCCTCCAAATTAAGGACTCTCTTTTCTCCATCAGCCGAAACTTCTGAAAACGGTGCTAGGTTGGTAAAGATTTCTCTTGTTTTTAGAGCAATATCCTTTAATAGAACAGGAAAATATATGCAACATGTTAGTATCCGAAATTTGAATATTTAGTCTCTAGAATTCTTCCTATTTTTTCCAGACTGTTTATAAACTATGAAAAATGAGCTTGGCGTGGTGGCTCATGCCTGTAATCCCAGCACTTTGGGAGACCGTGGCAGGAGAATGTCTTGAGTCAGGAGTTAGAGAATGCAGTGAGCCATGATTGCACCACTGCACTCCAGCCTGGGCAACCCTGTCTCAAAAACGAACAACAAAAAAGATAACTCCTTTTTTTGTTGTTGTTTTCGAGACAGGGTCTCGCTCTGTTACCCAGGTTGCAGTGCAGTGGTTCAATCATGGCTCACTGCAGCCTCGACCTCCCAGGCTCAAGTGATCTACCCACCTCAGCCTCCTGAGTAGCTGGGACTACAGGCATGCGCCACCACACCCAGCTAATTTTTAAATACTTTTTGTAGAGATGGGGTTTCACCATGTTGCCCAGGCTGGTCTCAAACTCCTGGGCTCAAGCAATCTGCCCACCTTGGCTTCCCAAACTGCTGGGATTATAGATCTGAGCCACTGCATCTGGCCTGATAATTCTTTTTAAAGAAAAAATTAGGAAAAATGAAACAAAATTAACTTAGAAAAATCATAGTGTGTGGTTTTGGTTTTTTTTTTTTTTTTTTTTTTTTTACAATTTTAGTCATTTTCTGAGTGTATAATTCAGTGGCATTAAGTACATTTGCAGCGTTGCACAACCATCACCACTATTTCCAGCACGTTTCACCATCACAAACAGAAACTCTACCCATTACACAATAACCCCATTTCCCCTCGCTTAGCCCCTGGGAACCTCTATTCTGCCGTCTAACTCTGTGAATTTGTCTGCTCTAGATAGCTCATATAAGTGGAATCATACAACATTTACCCTTTAGTGTCTGGCTTATTTCATTAGCATGGTTTCAAGGTTCATCCATGCTATAGCATGTATCAGAATTCTATTCCTTTTCTCCCCCCCAACAAAAGCCACATTCAAAACATTCCATTCCTTTTTAAGCTGAGTAATATTCTACTGTATATAAAGACTACATTTTGCTTGCCCATTCATCTGCTGAAGGACACTGGGTTGCTTCTGCCACGTTTTGGCTACTGTGAGTAACACTGCTATGGATATTTCCATACGAGTACAGTCATGCACCACATAATGACGTTTTGGTCAACCAGGGACCACATTTACAATGGTAGTCCCATAAGATGATAATGCTATATTTTTACAGTATCGTTTCTTTTCTTTTTCTTTTTTTTTTTTTTTTTTTTTTTTGAGACAGTTTTGCTCTTGTTGCCCAGGCTGGAGTGCAATGGCACAATCTCGGCTCGCTGCAACCCCCGCCTCCCGGGTTGAAGCGATTCTCCTGCCTCGGCTTCCCAAGTCGCTGGGATTAACAGGCGCCCACCACCACACCCGGCTAATTTTTGTATTTTTAGTAGAGATGGGTTTCACCATGTTGGCCAGGCTGGTCTTGAACTCCTGACCTCAGGTGATCCGCCCGCCTCGGCCTCCCAAAGTGCTGGGATTACATGCATGAGCCACCGGGCCTGGCCGAGTCCCTGCTTTCAATTATTTTGGGTATATACCCAGAAACAGCATTGCTAAATCATATGGTAACTTGATGTTTAACTTTTTGAGAAATGCTGCTATTGTTTTTTTGAAGGAATCTCTTCCCAAAAGTCCTCTTCTGCCTGGGATAAGTAACCCGGCACCTGCCACGCAGGCTTTATTCCTTTTGGGTGGCTGAGGACTCACTAAAGCACTCATTAAAATCATGTCTTCTGGCCAGGCATGGTGGCTCACGCCTGTAATCTCAGCACTTTGGGAGGCCGAGGCAGGTGGATCATTTGAGGTCAGAAGTTCAAGACCAGCCTGACCAACATGGTGAAACCCTGCCTCTACTAAAAATACAAAAAAATTAGCCAGGCATGGTGGTGCATGCCTATGGTCCCAGCTACTCGGGAGGCTGAGGCAGGAGAATCGCTTGAACCTGGGAGGCAGAGGTTGCAGTGAGCCAAGATCACGCCACTGCACTCCCGCCTAGGCAACAGAGCGAGACTCTGTCTCCAAAAAAAAAAAAAAAAATCATGTCTTCTGGCCAGGCGTGGTGGCTCATGCCTGTAATCCCCAGCACTCTGGGAGGCTGAGGTAGGCGGAGCACTTGAGGTCAGGAGTTCAAGATCAGCCTGGTCAGCGTGGTGAAACCCCATCTCTACTAAAAATGCAAGATTAGTCAGGTGTGGTGGCAGGCCCCTGTAATCCCAGTGCCTGCTACGTGGGAGGCTGAGGCAGGAGAATCGTTTGAACCCACGTGGTGGAGGTTGCAGTGAGCCAAGATTGCACCACTGCACTCCACCCTGGGCGACAGTGAAACTCAAAAAAGGGAAAAAAAAGTCACGTCTTCTTCCTTGTTTGCTGACATCATTAATTCATTCATGTATTTTTGAACCCTTACAGCATTCCCAGCACTTTCACTTGCCCTCCCCAAGGTCTCATACGTCATACTAAGTCATCTAGGTAGCACTTTTAGTCTGTGAACAACACAGTAATGCAAAACTCAGATTCACATATGTTGCTGATATTGTAAGAATATGTCTTTACTCTAATGTTGGGGGTAGGTGGGCAGTGAGGATTCCCATGGTAGGAAAGAAGCGGCCCCAGAGTCTCCAGTGTTCAGGTCCTCAGGGCAAGATCAGCCCACTCTTCCTGCTCACAGCTGGCCAGGCCACCAGCACTGCAGAGAAATGGCCCCTCTCATCTTTCCGCTGACATGTCACCTCCTTAGAGATCTGGCCTACCCATCCCCCAATATTCTCCACCTCAACCCCTTCTGTCACAGCACCTAACATGGGCTGTAATTATCTTGTCATTTATTATTTTCTGTGCATCTACTCCACTAAATTACAGACTCCATGAGGGCAGGGATTTGCTCACCACTGCATCCCCACTGCCAGTGCAATGCCTAACAAACAGAGCTCAAGAAACACTGAGTAAATGAATGGATAAATGAAGAAGGCATCAGGTTGGGCCGAATGAGTAAAGCCTGCATATCAGAGGTGCCCCCGTACCCCCAGGTAGGACAGGTGCAGATGGGAGACAGTCCTTCTGGGCCCTCCAGCCCCAGGTTATGAGTCAGGCATCTAGATAAGGCAACGCTGGAAGTGTATCCTTCAGGAGAGGAGCAAGGAGCTGGGAACAGGCCAAATGCAAGGAGCTGGGCGGGCTGCAGGCCACCACGTGGAAAGCACAAGAAATAAAACCCATTTGCCATCCCAGTTTGGCAAGGGCAGAGCAGGTGCCCACTGGGCCACATGGACGCTGGTCAGCATGCCAGGTAGACACCAGCAAGGAGCTGGCTCTGCGGCATGTGGCAACAGTCACTAAGTGGGACAGGAGTCTGACTGCATGATTTCTGTTGTCCTGGAGACAAGCAAAGCAAAATTTTGACAATCTAGTTCCCCATGCTCAGCAACAACCTCCCCTTTATAATTTGTTCCTCCAGGGAAATTCTCCTAGGAAGAAAGAATGCACTGGCTGGCCCAGAAAAGCCTTCCAGACCACTTGGTAGTTACATTTCTCATTGCCAGCGGTCGGTGTCAGCACCAGCCCCTGTGTATACCTGCCCTCGAGCCCAGTAACTAACTAGATCAGGCCAGCCTGCACCTGCTTGTCCATCATCACTGTGGCCGTCTGTAAACCCTCTCTAAGCACCTGCCCGCTGGCCTCTACCACAGCCCCCCACTCTGCTTATGTGCACAGCTCTGCCGCACACCACCCAGCGACACCGGGTCAGGACTTTCAGTAAGTCAGAAGGTGAGGGAGTTACCTGTATAACGTGGCTCTCTGATTTCTCTGGATCTTCTGCAGACTGAACAATTAGCTGACCCATTTCTTTGTGCAGTTTGCCCATTGCCATGGCCTCTGGTGAGATCAAGAAGGTGAATATTTAGAAATCGACATAAAAAATAATCATGCCATCTATCTGAAAACTTGGAAGACCACACTGAGGGAATTTTCAAAAAGCAGCTGATAACCTCCCACATGTCCATTTTATCACTAGACACAAATATGACAACATGCTGGGAGGAAAGGCATAATATAATCGTGATTTATACTTCTGGGCAAACATAAAAACACATCACACCAAACCAGATTTCCCCTTCACACCCACCTGACCAAAATTTTTATTTTTCTTCCCAGACAAAGCATAATGAACAATTCTGACTACAACTAAGTCATGACTATAAGCCAAGAGTCTGACGTTCTAGTCCAGCTCTTTACAGTTAAGAAATGTATCTTTTTGGCGGGAATATTGTGAAAGAGGAGCTTCCTGTCAGTTCTGCAGAAGCCAGCTGGGCGCTCAATTCGTTTAGATTCTTAGAAATGAGCAAAGGAAACCACCTAAGTTAGCCTGGTTACATACATTGCTACTGTCTGCACTGAGGAGGTTAACAGAAACTTGTTTGTCACTTCAAGAGACAGACTCCATTCAACTGGTGCGGATTAGGATGAGCCCATTTTTATAGACACAGAGCAACACAGGGCAGCAGGAAGATGGCCACCCTTTCTGGTCCTAATGCTTCAGCTGCTTAAGTGGCCCTAGCCACAGCCAGTTTTCTTTCACTTTCGCTTTGCAAAAGGCAGTTATTTCGTAAAGATCTGACCCCATAGTTTGAATTTTTCATCATGAGCATGCATTATGTTTGCAATTTTAAAACGAATTAAAGGAAAGCCAGTTATGGTTCTATTAATTTGAATTTTTCAATAAAACCTCACATAATCGAATCTAACAATTCCCAATGAGTCAGCATTCAGCTGCCCCCACTTTTAGGAGAAAGATAAGTGACAAAACAAAGCTGTTAATCAGTAATCCCATCTAAAACCACTACCTGAGTAGTGCTCAACACGCATTTAAGCCAATCTTTTCTACTTTATGTAGCTGTAATTTGGGACAATTTATTTATTTATTTATTTATTTGAGACAGAGTCTTGCTTTGTCACCCAGGCTGGAGTGCAGTGGCGCGATCTCGGCTCACTGCAAGCTCTGCCTCCCGGGTTCAACTGATTCTCCTGCCTCAGCCTCCCGAGTAGCTGGGACTAGAGGCGCCTGCCACCACGCCCGGCTAATTTTTTGTATTTTTGGTAGAGACGGGGTTTCACCGTGTTAGCCAGGCTGGTCCCGATCTCCTGACCTCGTGATCCACCCGCCTTGGCCTCCCAAAGTGCTGGGATTACAGGCGTGAGCCACCATGGCCGGCCTAATTTGGAACAATTTAGAATGTCTAAGAATGCCACTCTAACACTAGTACACCCTTTCCTGATCATTAGCTCTAAGAACAGCTTCATTCCCTTATGCTTACTAAGACATGCTTCAAAAAGATTTTCCATACTGGAGTCACATTTAACCCTGTGTAGTGATAAACGCCTACATATTTTTTGATACTCCTTTCTTCAAGAGGTGGAGACATTCCTCTCTCAAGTGTTGACTAAACTTAGTGATTTGCTTCTAACAAATAGCATATGGAGGAAGTAATGGTGACTATCAAGGCAAGATTATAAAACGCACTGTGACTTCCTTTTCTCTCTCGGGTCACTCACTCCTGGGGAGCCAGCTGTCATATTGTAAGAACACTCAAGCAACCCTATGGAGAGGCCCATGGCAGAAGGAACTGAGGCCTCCTGCCAACAGCCATGCACATTGAAAGCGGATGTTCCAGCCCCAGTGGAGCCTTCAGATGACTGTGGCTCTGGGATATCGTGACTGAAACTTCCTGAGCCAAACTACCTCTACATAAGTCATTCCTGATCCGCCAAAACTGTGAGATAAATATGTGTTGTTTTAGAACATGATGGCTCACGCCTGTAACCCCAGCACTTTGAGAGGCTGAGGCCAGTGGATCACTTGAGGCTAGGAATTCGAGACCAGCCTGGCCGACATGGTGAAACCCTGTCTCAAGTAAAAATACAAAAATTAGGCCAGGCGCAGTGGCTCACATATGTAAGTAATCCCAGCACTTTGAGAGGCCAAGACAGGCAGATCATGAAGTCAGGAGTTCAAGACCAGCTGACCAACATGGTGAAACCCCATCACTAACTAAAAATACAAAATTAGCTGGGTGCGGTGGCGGGTGCCTGTAATCCCAGCTACTCGGGAAGCTGAGGCAGGAGAATCACTTGAACCTGGGAGGCGGAGGTTGCAGTGAGCCAAGATCGTGCCATTGCACTCCAGCCTGGGCATAAGACTCCATCTCAAAAAAAAAAAAATTAGCTGAGCATGGTGGTGCATGCCTGTAAACCCAACTACTCGGGAGGCTGAGACATGACAATCACCTGAACCCGGGAGGCATAGGCTGCAGTGAGCCAAAATCAGGCCACTGCACTCCAGCCTGGGAAATAGAGCAAGACTCTGCCAAAAAAAAAAAGAAGAAGAAAAGAAAAAGGAATATGTGTTGTTTTAAACCACTGAGTTCTGTATGACTCAGAAACATTTCAAAATTAAGAAAATAAACCGCTAAGTTCTGAAGTGATTTGTTATGTGGCAGTAGATAATACACCTTGTTTAAACACAAAAGTAGTGAAACAAGATGAACAGACTATTTAACTTCTTAATATACACTCTGCTGCATAAGCACCCGGGATGTTCTGCTAATATGTCTATGTTTATAGGAATAAATGTTGTGTTCTAGACACGGAAATATCCATCTTCAGCAGAGTTGGTAAGCCAGCCCTCACATACTGGTTTTAGAGAATCAGCCTAAAAATGTACAACTGTTTGGCTTATATCTTGTATCAAGAACAGAACAGAGAACAAACCTTTTGCAAGGGGAGCAATGGTAATCTCACTCTCTGCCAGATTCACAAACACATCATAGAGGTCTGGTCTGTTGCTCACCTCCAAGTCTACAAATCCAGCGACGTAACCTGCATCACAAACATGAGCAACCTTACTGGAGTAGGAAGAAATATGGTGAACCCATCAAAAGAATTGGGTCTAAAAGCTCATCGACTGCTCTCTTTCACTGCTTTATTCATTCGGGAACATTAGCTGTACCCTGTGGCAGTTAGTAAGACTACATTACTATCAGTTGCCTGAAGATATTCACACAACGCCAGATATTCCAAAATTATCCATCAGTGTCAAGGACAAGACTGAAGTAGGGCATTTACTTTCCAATCATTGCTCTTGGGGTCAAGAATGACAGCTGTGGCAGAAGGTAGCAAGGACTCTCTTGACTGATGTTCCCCCTTCAGGTCTTTGCCTTCAGGAAATCAATGGCAAATGCCTGGGTTCTCAGAGTGGAAATGGCATCATCTTTAAGGGTTCAGGGCAACTCAGGAATTAGCAGATCTCTGGGATTGGTGTTAGAACAATGATTCCCAGATTTTTTTGATTTCACAGAGCAATACAATTACCAAAAAAAAAAATTATTTGAGGAGAGACTGATATGGTTTGGATCTGTGTTCCCACCCAAATCTCATGTCGAACTGTAATCCTCAATGTTGGAGGTGGGGCCGGGTCGGAGGTGACTGGATCATGGGGGTGATTTCTTATGAGCGGTTTAGCACCATCCTCTTAGTGTGGTTCTCGTGATTGAGTTCTCACAAAATCTGGTTGTTTAAAAGTGGACGGCACCTTCCCCCACCTTTCTCCTGCTCCAGCCATGTAAGACGTGCCTGCTTCCCCTTCACCCTCTGCCATGATTGTAAGTTTCCTGAGGCCTCCACAGAAGCAGAAGCCACTATTCTTGCTGTACAGCCTGCAGAACTGTGAGCCAATTCAACTTCTTTTCTTTATAAATTATAGTCTCAGTTTTTTTGTTTTTTTTTTTTGAGACAGTCTCGCTCTGTCACCCAGGCCAGAGTGCAGTAGCATGATCTCGGCTCACCGCAACCTCCACCTCCCAGGTTCAAGAGATTCTCCTGCCCCAGCCTCCTGAGTAGCTGGGACTACAGGTGTGCGCCACCACGCCTGGCTAATTTTTGTATTTTGAGTAGAGACGGGGTTTCACCATATTGGCTAGACTGGTGTCGAACTCCTGACCTCGTGATCCGCCTGCCTCAGCCTTCCAAAGCGCTGGGATTACAGGCGTGAGCCACTGTGCCTGGCCTTTTTGTTTGTTTTTGAGACAGAGTCTTGCTCTGTTGCCCAGGCTGGAGGGCAGTGGCACGATCTTGGCTTACTGCAACCTTCACCTCCTGGGTTCAAGCAATTTTCCTGTCTCAGCCTTCTGAGTAGCTGGGACTACAGGCATATGCCACCACACCTGGCTAAGTTTTGTATGTTTAGTAAAGACAGGGTTTCACCATATTGGTCAGGCTGGTCTTGAACTCATGACCTCAGGTGATCCACCCACCTTAGCCTCCCAAAGTGCTGGGATTACAGGCATGAGCCATCCCACCCGGCCTTCAGTTATTTCTTTATAGCAGTGCAAGAACACACTAATACAGGACCAATTTATCATTCCTAGAGTTTTACTTTACCAAGCAAGGACAGTTAAAAAATAACAGGTGGGGGCAGTGGCTCCTGCCTGTAATCCCAGCACTTTGGAAAGCCGAGGTGGGAGGATCACTTGAGGCCAGGAGTTTGAGACTGTCCTGGCCAACATGATGAAACCCTGTCTCTACTAAAAATACAAAAATTAGCTGGTGGCCAGGCGCAGTGGCTCATGCCTGTAATCCTAGCCCTTTGGGAGGCTGAGGCGGGTGGATTGCTTGAGCTCAGGAGTTCGAGGCCTGCCTGGGCAACATGGCGAAACCCCATCTCTACTAAAAATAAAATAAAAAAAAAAATTAGCTGGGCATGGTGGCACATGCCTGTAGTCCCTGTTACTCGGGAGGCTGAGGCACAAGAATTGCTTGAACCTGGGAGATGGAAGTTGCAGTGAGCCAAGATCACGCCACTGCACTCCAGCCTGGGCAACAGAGCGAGACTCTGTCTCAAAAAAATAAAATAAAATAAGATAAAACAAAATAATTTAAAAAACAACAAAAACAAAACCTACTACTGAGAGCCAGACCCAGGCCCACCCATGAATGAGAAAATGTGACAGATGACAAGTAATATTACTCATTACTGAAAAAAGAAAGAGATTATTCAATAAATGTCCTGGTCCAAGTGGTTATCCATAGGGTAAAAAAGTTCAGTCAGATCCCAAACTCACACACTACACAAAAAATTATTCCAGATAAATTAATAACTTCACTGGGAAATAAAAAACATTAAAAATGTTTAGGCCAGGCACAGTAGCTCACACCTATAATCTCAGCACTTTGGGAGGCCAAGGCGGGAGGACTGTTGAGCTCAAGAGTTCGAGACCAGCCAGGGCAACATGGTGAAACCTTATCTCTACCAAAAAAAAAAATACAAAAATTAGCCAGGCATGGTGGCACGTGCCTGTAGTCCCAGCTACTTGGGAGGCTGGGGTAGAAGGATGGCTTAAGCCCAGGAAGTGGAGGTTGCAATGAGCCGAGACTGAGCCACTGCACTCCAGCCTGGGCGACAGAGCAAGACCCTGTCTCAAAAAAAAAAAAAAGAAAAGAAAAAGAGAAAGAAAAATTTTCATAAGAAAATGGCCAGGCACAGTGGCTCATGCCTATAATCCCAGAGCCCAGGAATTCAAGACAAGCCCAGGCAATAAAGCAAGACTTTGTCTCTAAAAAAAAATACAGACGGCTGGGCGCAGTGGCTCACGCCTGTAATCCCAGAACTTTGGGAGGTCAAGGCAGGTGGATCATCTGAGGTCAGGAGTTCGAGACCAGCCTGACCAATATGGTGAAACCCTGTCTCTACTAAAAATACAAAAATTAGCCAGGCATGGTGGTGGGTGCCTGCAGTTCCAGCTACTCAGGAGGCTGAGATAAGAGAACTGCTTGAACCAGGGAAGTGGAGGTTGCAGTGAGCTGAGAGCATGCCACTGCACTCTGGCCTGGACAACAGAGGGAGACTCTGTCTCAAAAAAGACAGGCAATAACAAACGATGGCAAGAATGTAGAGAAAAAGAACTCTCGTACACTGTTGGTAGGAATGTAAATTAGTACAGTCACTATGGAGAACAGTATGGAAATTCCTCGAAAAACTAAAAATAGAACTACCATATGATCCAGCAATCCCACTGCTGGGTATTTACCCCCAAAAAAGGAAATCAGTGTATCAAAGAGATACCACCATTCCCATGTTCACTGCAGCACGGTTCACAACCACCAAGATTTGGAATCAAACTGAGTGTCCATCAACAGATGAATGGAAAAGAAAATGTGGTGCATATACACAGTGGAATATTATGCAGCTATAAAAAGGAATGAAATCCTGTCATTTGCAACAACATGGATGGAACTGGAGGCATCATGTTAAGTAAAAGAAGCCACGGACAGAAAGACAAATTTTGCATGTTCTCACTAATCTGGGGGAGCTAAAAATTAAAACAATGGAACTCAGGGAGATAGAGAGTAGAATGGTGGGTACCAGAGGTTAGGAAGGGTAGTGGGGAGAGGGGGAAAATTTGGGATGGTTAGTGGATACAAAAATATAGTTAGAATGAATAAGACCTAGTATTTGATAGCACAATAGGGTGACTACAGTGAATGATAGTTTATTGTATATTTAAAAATAACTAGAAGTTGGCTGGGCACAGTGGCTCACACCTGTAATCCCAACACTTTGGGAAGCTGAGGCGGGTGGATCACCTGAGGTCAGAAGTTTGAGACCAGCCTGGCCAACATGGTAAAACCCCATCTCTACTCTCTACCAAAAATACAAAAAAATTAGCTGGGCATGGTGGTGCACACCTGTAATCCCAGCTACTCAGGCAGCTGAGGCAGGAGAATCGCTTGAACCTGGGAGGTGGAGGCCGTAGTATGCTGAGATCGTGCCACTGCACTCCAGCCTGGGCAACAGAGTGAGACTCCAACTCAAAAAAAAAAAAAAAAAAAAAAAAGAAAACTAGAAGTGGAATCACAATGTTCTTAACACAAAGAAATCATAAATGCTTGAGGTGATGGATACTGCAATTACCCTGATGTAATCATTATACATTGTAGGCCTGTATCAAAACATCATATGTACCCCATAAATACATATACCTATTATATACCCATAACAATTAAAAAGTTAAGATGAAAAAAAAAAGTCACTGATAAACTTTTAAGACTAGAACTTTACAAGTTCGGCCAGGCACAATGGCTCATGCCTGCAATCCAGGCACTTTGGGAGCCTGAGGTGGGTGGATCACCTAAGGTAAGGAATTTGAGACCAGCCTGGCCAACGTGGAGAAACCCTGTCTCTACTAAAAATACAAAAATTAGCTGGGCATGGTGGCAGGTGCCTGTAATCGCAGCTACTAGGGAGGCTAAGGCAGGAGAATTGCTTGAACCTAGGAGGCAGAGGTTGCAGTGAGCTGAGATCACACTATTGCACTCCAGCCTGGACAACAAGAACAAAACTCCGTCCCAAGAAAAAAACAAAAACAAAAAAAAACTTTACAGGTTAAATAGTTAAATATAGGTTGCATTTTTTAAATTTTATTTTATAATTTAAAAATTTTAAAAGACAGGTCTCCTATGTTGCCCAGGCTGGTCTGGAACTCCTGGGCTCAGGCGATCACCCCACCTCGGCCTCCCAAAGTGCTGGGATTACAGGTGTGAGCCACTGTGCCCAGCCAAAAACAGGCTGCATTTTGATGATGGCTGAACAACAACGTGAATGTACTTAATGCCACTGAACTGTATGTTTACCAATGGTTAAAAAGGTAAATGTAGCTGTGCGTAGCAGCTGACACCTGTAATCCCAACAGTGTGGGAGGCCAAGATGGGCAGATCGCTTGAGTTCGGGAGTTCAAGACCAGCCTGAGTAACACAGGAAGACCTGGTCTCAAAAAAAAAGGTAAATCTTTTTTTCTGGAGACAGAGTCTCGCTCTGTCGCCCTGGCTGGAGTGCAGTGGCTCAGTCTCAGCTCACTGCGACCTCCACCTGCTGGGTTCAAGTGATTCTTGTGCCTCAGCCTCCCGAGTAGCTGGGACTACAGGCACCCACCACCACACCCGGCTAATTTTTTTTTTTTTTTTTTTTGGTATTTTAGTAGAGATACGGTTTCCCCATGTTGGCCAGGGTGGTCTCAAACTCCTGAGCTCAGGCAATCCACTTGCCTCAGCCTCCTAAAGTGCTAGGATTATAGGCATGAGGCACCGCGCCCGGCCAAAAAAAGGTAAATCCTATATGCATTTTACCACAATTTTTTTTTTTTTTTGAGACGGAGTTTTGCTCTTGCTGCCCAGGCTGGAGTGTAGTGGTGTGATCTTGGCTCACCGCAACCTCCGCCTCCCAGGTTCAAGTGTTTCTCCTGCCTCAGCCTCCCAAGTAGCTGGGATTACAGGCATGTGCCACCATACCCAGCTAATTTTTTGTATTTTTAGTAGAGACGGGGTTTCTCCATGTTGGTCAGGCTGGTCTTGAACTCCCGACCTCAGGTGATCTGCCCACCTTGGCCTCCCAAAGTGCTGGAATTACAGGTGTGAGCTACCGCTCCCGGCCACAATTTTTTTTTAAACTAAAAAAAAAAAAAAAATTTAAGGGCAAAAAATTGATTGCATGTGCCAAAGAAATAATAAAGGATCAGTATCCCACTTGGGAATGCACAAAATAAAAACAAAAAACCCTCTTTAAAGTGGAATAAAATTAGCCAGGCGTGGTGGCACATGCCTGTAATCCCAGCTACTTGGGAGGCTAAGGCAGGAGAATTGAAGGCGGACGTTGCGGTGAGCTAAGATCGTGCCATTGCACTCCATCCTGGGCAACAAGAGTGAAAATCCGTCTCAGGAAAAAAAAAAAAAAAAAAGTGAAACAGTTCCTCCCCTGGGATCCTCTTGTCTACCTGTGCACATCTGCAGGGCTTCCAGCTCATCGGCGTTGAGGTGCACGTAAGAGTGAAGGATGGTCCAGTCCTGTCGGTGCCACACCAGGGCAGGCAGAGTCCTGGGGAATCAAGGCAAGAACTCAAGTTGTTGCTGGTCCACACCTTAAAGACTCAGCCTGCCCCCTTCTCCTCTTCCTGAGAAGGAAATGAAGAGGGTAGAGTCTACAGCTAATCAGGGACAGAGGTGAGACCAAGCCCCAAATGTGCTAACCTCTGGGCTTCAAATTAAAGCAATGCAATGTTTTACTATTTATTTTTTTGAGATGGAGTTTCACTCGTCACCCAGGCTGGAGTGCAATGGCGCGATTTTGGCTCACTGCAACCTCCACCTCTGGGGTTCAAGTAATTCTCCTGCCTCAGTCTCCCAAGTAGCTGGGACTACAGGTGCCTGCCACCACGGCCCGGTTAATGTTTGTATTTTTAGTAGAGATGGGGGTTCACCATGTTGGCCAGGCTGATCTTGAACTCCTGACCTCAGGTGACCCACCTGCCTTGGCCTCCCAAAGTGCTGGGATTACAGGCGTGAGCCACTGCACCCAGCCTCTCTGCAATGTTTTAAACTCTGCTTTTGGGGATCAGATCAGCTACAGAAAGCTCAAGGTGAAGTTTCAAAAGATCCCTGTGGTAGCAAAGAGTGACGCTTCTAAGGTTTTCCTCTGAAAAATCCCACTCTGGAGACTGCCATGGAAAGGGAGTCTAAGGGTAAAATTCAAAGTCACCTCTGCAAGCAAGAAATTTTCTGGAAGTCTCCCATTTATATTTAAAATTTTAGTAAAACTCGCAAACCAAGTGTGTTTGTTTCCCTAAGACATAGATTTCTCTGAAAAAAACTTATGGTAGAATAATGACTGCAACAAGATGTATCAAATTTATCTGTGGCTTCATGAACCCCTGGTGCCCTGCTAAATATCTCAGAAGCTGTGACCGCTCCAGTTTAAGGAGCATACGTAGAGGGGGAAAAGGTGATGGGATAGAAAATATGGGCTTTTGGACCCAGAGAGGGCAGGGTGAAAGTTCTGTCTCTCTCACTTAAAATCTGATGCAATCATGATCATAACAATAATAACTTCTAAAGTGTGTCTTACAGGCTAGGTACATGTTAAGCATCTTACATAAATTATTTCCAGTCTTAACAAACTTGTAAGTAGATATTACGATCTTCATTTTACAGATAAAGGAACACAGGCTCAGAAACAATCAATACCTTTTGTTTTGTTTCTGTGACAGGGCCTCACTCCGTCGTCCAGGCTGGGGTGCAGTGACGTGATCATGGCTCACTGCAGCCTCCACCTCCTGGGCTCAAGCGATTCTCCCACCTCAGCCTCCTGTGTAGCTCAGGCTACGGGTGCATGCCACCATGCCTGGCTAATTTTTGTATTTTTTTATAGAGATGGGGTTTTGCTGTGTTGCCCAGTCTGGTCCTGAACTTCTGGTCTCAGGCAATCTGCTAACCTCAGCCTCCCAAAGTGCTGGGATTACAGGTGTGAGCCACCATGCCCGGCCAACATTATCTTTTATGTGTTCACAGAGCTAATAAGTTGCCCTCCCAAGATTTTAACTCAGGTCTTTCTGACTATGAAGCCTTTGTTCTTTTCATTACCTTATACCTATACTCTGCCAACCTTAATTTTCTCATTCATAAAACAGGGTAAAAATACTTCCTTGCAGGGTTCTTGTTATGAGTAAATTTAATAATTTAAGGTATCTTACAAAATGCCTGACATACAGTAAACCCAACACGAATGCTAAGTCCTCTTGCTTTTAAAGAAGGACCTGGCCGGGCACAGTGGCTCATGCCTGTAATCCCAGCACTTCAGGAGGCCGAGACGGGCAGATTACGAGGTCAAGAGATCGAGACCATCTTGGCCAACATGGTGAAACCCCATCTCTACTAAAAATACAAAAATTAGCTGGGCGTGGTGGTGCGCACCTGTAGTCTCAGCTACTCGGGAGGCTGAGGCAGGAGAATTACTTGAACACGGGAGGTGGATGTTGCAGTGAGCCAAGATCGCGCCACTGTACCACTCCAGCCTGGTGACAAAGCGAGAGATTCTGCCTCCAAAAAAAAAAAAAAAAAAAAAAGGACCTAATGGCTGGGTGTGGTGGTTCATGTCTGTAATCATCTCAACGGAGGCAGGAGAATCACTTGAGCCTAGGACATCGAGACCAGCCTGGCCAACATAGTGAGACCCCAGAAACCCCATCTCGACAAAAAATATAAAAAAAATAAAAATGAAAAAAATTTAAAAGGACCTAATAACAAGTTAGATTTAGTAAACAAAAAATCTTTAAAAATCTGTATGGCAGGTGGGGGAGCTGTTAGAGGGGACAGGGCCTGGCAGGCACCTCCTGGCCCTGAACTGACCCTCCTGGCAAAAAAATTATTAACAACAACAAAATCTACATTTATTTTGGCCGGGCACAGTGGCTCACACCCGTAATTCCAGCACTTTGGGAGGCCAAGGCATGAGGATCACTGGAGCCTATGAGTTTGAGACCACCCTGGGCAACACAGCAAGACCCCATCTCTACTAAAAATGAAAATAAAATTTAAAAAATCTATATGTACTATCAAAGTAAGAGTCTTTGTCCTGCTCTAAAACTTTTTAATTAAAACAAGAAAAAAAAAAGAGTCTTTGATAAAACTGAACAGAAGGAACAATTTACCTGAAACGGGTCAGCAAACTATGGCCCACAGCCTAGCTGCCTGTCCTTGAAAATAAAATTTCATTGACCACAGCCATGCTGAGTCATTTATGTACGTGTCCTCCATGGTTGCTTTTGTGCTACCTAGGCAGTTGAGTAGTTGGGGCAGTGACCATATGGCTCACAAACCTAAAATATTTACTGTCTGGCAAGGAAAAGTTTGCTAATCCCCTGCTCTAAAATAGTCATAAATAGTCCAAATCAGTAACCTTGAACTACTAGAGCTAAACAGAAACTTCAGACCAAAGGTGGTATTTCACCACATGCTATTTATAGCAAATGTGCAA